>NC_000012.12:18334650-18959650 GCF_000001405.40 Homo sapiens
GGGACAATCACATTCAAATTTTAGTCTATGTATCACCTCTATGAAAATGTTGCCCAAGTCTACCTTTGTTATTTCTTGAAATAGGGTGCTCACCCTGCTGCATTTTGTGTCTGCAGGGGATCTCACCTTGCGAATCAGCCATCATAGGGTTTGTAAATTTTAAACTGATATTCCCCTCGTACTCTGGTGTGTGAGTGCATGTGTGTGTGCATGCATTTGTATATGTATGTGTATTTGGGGAGAAACTCTGTAGGTCAGTATAGAAAAGTGTTTATACAATTGTGCATTTACTTCTGCCTGGGTCCAAAAAGTCACAATAGCCTAGTGCAATTTTTAACATAAATTCCTACTATGAGTAGTATAAATTAATACCCCAGAGACACACAGAGCACAGACGAGGGTTCAGTTCCTCACATAATCATTTTTCTTACTCAAGGGCTGAGTAGAGAGAGGCTTCATCAAAAGTGTTTCTGATCAGTAGGCATAGTTTTTCTTCTCCCACTTTTTACAGGTGGCTGCTATCCAATGTCTGAGGACTATTCGAGGATCTTAGCTCCAGTTCTGCCCCTTCCCCCTACCTTCACCAAGTGATTTAGTCCTAAGATTTCAGCACTTGTCCCACTGTTAGCAAAAAAACACCAATCCTACAGCTGAGGATCTACATCTAGTCTGATATTTCCTCCAGGCCATTACAGCATCACTGTTGGAGCTACTGCTCAGGCTTGAAATTCCCTCTAAATGTCTGCAACCCTGAGATTTATCTTGCCTTTCTTAAAATTTGTGTAATGTTTATATGAACATGTGGGGAGTGTGTGTGTGTGTGTATGTATGTGTGGTGTAGTGTGTCTATATTTTCTCAGTCCAACAGTTGCTAGAGATAGAACTCCCTTGCATTTCCTCTGGGAAGCTCAAAGGCTATGTATCAAAAAATACTCACATCACAATTCTACCAGAAATATTTGTCTGTGTTTCTGCCATAATGAATAGCACCCCATATTCTTAGTTTCCAAAATTTGGAAATGAAACTTTGGAATCATCTTAAATCCAAACTTTCTGTTGGTTCTCATATCCAGTTAATCACCAACTCAATTTTACAATTGCAATCTTTTACTTCACATATTCTAGCAATCTCAGTTATGCATGAATATAATGATTATCTTCAGAATGTCAGAATGTGAAGATTAAATGAGATAAGTAGATCACATAAGAAGTACTGCAAGACTGGAGTAATAGATTGAATAAATCAGCTACTAGCTACCTAGTGACCCAAGTCAACCCAGTATTAGTATTTCAATTAGTGATGTTTATGAATTTTCACAAACCCATGTATCACACATATTTACTTAGAACAGATGAATGAAAAAAAACATAGAACCTAATATGACTTTTCAGTTTTTTATGATTTTCTAATTTTTATTCTATTAGTTATCTCTGCATATACAGTGTTTCATTTCTCTTATAAACTGAAAGATTGGTGTAAATGAATAAAATTAATTAGTTAAACATTAAAATTTAGCCCTCATTATCTGCCAGGCACCATATTTCATATTTTATCTAATTTAATCTTTACAGAAACTTATTTATTGTTCTCACTTCACAGAAGAGGGAGTCTAGGTACATGAAAGTTAAATACTCTGATGATGGCCACAGGTAGAAAGGGGCAGAACCAGGGTGTAAACAAACAGATCTTGACTTCAGAGCTGACAATATTGTCTATGATGTTCTTCTGAATGAATACTGTATTAACAGTATATTAATAGTGAGATTGTTGTCTTTTGGTAATTTCCAATTTGTTTAGTACTTTCTCAAATCTAGTACCCAAACTAAACTCCAGTTTGGATAATATACATTGAAAATGTGGTGGAACTAACTTTCTAGTTATGGAGAGCATGTGTCTTTTGATTCTATTTAATTGTGAACTGGATCTGGTAGCCACATCACAATATTGACTTACATTGAGTTCACACATAAGTGAAATAAATGATTTTTTTCCATTTGGATGACTCATAAATTTTTCTTCTCCATGTTATTATTGAGCGGATGTATTTTTTAATCCATGAAAGACAAAATAGATCTCAACTAAATTGCATCTTTTTACTTTTAGCTCATTAATAAAATCTGTGGACAATTTTTGGAATCCTCACTTTGTCTTTTATAGTATTAATTAGTTATTCTTCAGGTTTTTGTCATTGGTTTCGGATTTGTAAAATTACATATCAGAGATACTGGCTATTTTTCCACAAAAGAAGCAAAGTATTATCCCATTATATAAAACTTGCATTGTGTCTTTGTACTGACACTTTGTTAAGAAAATACCCTAGAATAAGGAGAATTAAAAATTTTTTATGCTGTGAACACATATCTTTGTGTGAAAATAAAAGGAAAAACTCTGTTCCATCTCTTCTTGAAATAAACTATTGTAATTCTCCATTGGAAGGACGGTGGTGCTGGTGACAAAACTGATGTTTTTTGAAAAACCACAATTGTTAACGATAAAGACAAAGAATATAAAAACATTGTAGAGTGAAACATGCTTCACACAGAATCAATGAAAAGAGAGATTTCTCACTATAGTTAATGGAAAAACATGGAAAAGAATAAGGTCAAAACAGAGAAGATTTTTTAAAATAAATGCTTATTTAAGAACATGTGTAAATCTGAGATACAGAACGGCTAATGAAAAGTTCTTAGAATGGTGACCATAAAATCGCTGTCTAGCTTAAGGCCAGCCTGCGTTGTTGATTTTAAGAATTTGTCATTGCTGTAGGTGTATTGGGCCATTTTTGTGTTGCTATAAAGAAATACCTGAGTCTGAGTAATTTATAAAGAAAAGAGGTTGAATTGGCTCATGGTTCTGCAGACAATACAAGAAGTGTGGTGCCAGCATCTGCTTCTGGTGAGGGCCTCAAGAAGCTTGCAATCATAGCAGAAGGTGAAGGGAAATCAGGTGTCTCACGTGGCGAGAGCTGGAGCAGAGGGAGGCGGGATGTGCTGCACAATTTTAAACAACCAGATTTTGTGAGAACTCACTGACTACTGCAAAGACAGCACCAAGCCATTCAAGAGGGATCCGCCCTGTGACCCAATGCCTCCCACCAGGCTTCACTTCCAACATTGAGGCTTATATTTCAATATGAGATTTGGAGAGGACAAACATCCAAACTATATCAGTAGATTATATTTGTCATCAGCGATTTTTTTGAAAAATCAGTCACTTCAAGGATAGTGCAATCAGATGATTATCAAACACCTTAACACCACAACTGGCTGTCCAGAGTTTGTTCCGATTTTCTAGTAAGTTTGCCCAACTATACACTGATTCCAAACAATAGGTGTATTTTGAAACTCTCCTGGGGTCGGCCATCATAACTTTTTCTTCATAGTGTTTTGTGGAAACCACAGACTTTGTCTAAGGCTGAGTTTCCCTGCTTTCCCCACACTTCTTCCTCCCTCTCTTTCTCTCTTTTCCTCTCCCTCTTCCTTACCACTTCCTCTCCTTATACCTCTCTCTCTCATTTTGTTTCAAGTAATGTCAAATTAGAGCTAAGTTAGTAAGTTAGTGTTAAGTCAGTTCTAATTTTGAACATTTGCTCAATGAAAATTAAAGCCCCAGTCACAGGATAACCAGAGTCTTGAGAACTTTCTTTTTGTGTGAAAGCAAACAAGCATATTTTATTCCACTTGCTCCTCATGGAAAAAGAAGAAGTTTGAGGATAAATTAATGTCCCCTCATTTATTTCAATAGATTGTAAGATGTGAATCTTGTTATCTACAGGAAAACGTGTATAATATTATTGAAGAAGTTAAAAAAATATGCAGTGTTCTAGGGTGTGTGGAAACCAAACAAATTACAGATGCAGTAAATGAACTAAGTCTAATTCTTCAGAGAAAAGGAGAGGTAAGTACATTCATTTATTACACAGTAGTTTTAAACCTGAGTTCAATACTTAATTAAGGAGAGTGAAAGACTTTTTACTAACAACTATATTTCCGTGTGTATGTTTGTGTGTATCTGTGTGTGTGTGTGTGTGTGTGTGTGTGTGTGTGTGTGTGTGTGTGCATGCAGCCAAACAGTATATTTCAATTGTTTGGGGGTATTGGCAGCTTGAGTCTATTATGCCAAATAGATCTGATTAAACTATAAGAACACTGATTACACCTTTGAAGTTTGTAACCACCTTATAACTTCAGGTGATATTGTAATCAATCCTACAATCCTACCTAAATGAACGTAATTATATAATAATCACATGTAAGTGTTTGTATAGATTGTTAATGGTTCTCATGTATACGAGTGTATACAGGCATTAAGTGTCATGTTTGTATGGATAAGCATATTTATAAAAAAGAAAAAATCAATTTTTGTGGTATCTTTTGCGAATTTTGCAGTGCACACTGCCTCCATGATTTCTGTGTGACTTTCTATGGATCCCACATCATGATTTGGTGGGCTTAAAAAATGGGCATTATGTGATTTTCTTTTGAATTCTCAGAAATCTGATGTAGACCTGTAAGTGATTATTTTCCAAGAAAAATATTACGACATCTGGTTACAATAAATTCATTTATCTTATTATTAGTTTAGCAAATGATAAAGCAGAAAGATATGATGATAATAACTAGCATTTGCTAGTCCATTGTAATGTATAAAATAGTTTGACATATGCATTACCTCACTGAATTTAATTTTTATTTTATCTCAATAGATGCTCACAGCAATGTCATAAAGTTGGTATTTTAATGTTCATTTCACTATGAAAACTCAACACTTACAGTGTGTGTGTGTACAGAGAATTAATAAGTGGCAAAATACAGATTTGAACCTAGGCCTCTACACACATTACAGTGTATGTGAAACTTTCTAAGATAGAGTGAATACATACATTCTCTATCTGCATGGTAAAGAACAAGAGAAATTCTACTACTTTTGAATATGCCAATCTTGAAATTTTCAAAAGACTGATTTACAATGTAGATAATCATATTACCAAACAGAAATAGTCATGCTTACTGCTTATTGTTTCAAATAGATAAGTGGGTATGAAAATTCAGTAGTTTCTTAATGTTGGGCTTTCTAGATCTTATTTAATCCAAAGTTTTGTGTGATTAGACAGTAAAAAAATGAATATAGAAATTTAAATACGTTCTTTACATGAACAATGACAATGAAGATTTTGATGAGTCATGGAGGTATACCACAAAAATATTTTAAGGATAAACATTGCTGAAAAGCTAAAATGCAAAGCACTAAAGAAATCAAAATTTAAATAATGTAAACAATAAATCCAGAAATTAAATATCAAAGACAGATTTGTGTTTATTTCCCTAAATTTTTCTTAATAAGGAAACACCTTCTCTTTTACTTTCCAATTATAGAAGGAAATGGAATAACTATGTAGTCTCCAAAACTGTTTTTATATGTAGCTATTAAGACCTAGTGCCTTTACAAATAACAACAAGGTAAAACAATCTAATTTGATCATATATAATATAATCATATTTTTCTATTCTGCTTCAGAGTGAAAAAAATATACTACAGCAGGGTGTTCAATCTTTTGGCTTCCCTGGGCCATGTTGGAAGAATTGTCTTGGGCCACACATAAAATACACTAACGCTAACAATAGCTGATAGGCTAAAAAAAAAAAATCTCATAATGTTTTAAGGAAGTTTACATATTTGTGATATTTGTGTTGGGCCACATTCAATGTCATCCTCGGCCACATGTGGCCCACAGGCCGCAGGTTGGACAAGCTTGTATCAGAGTCTTAAAAAGCATTTCACCAGTATGTTTTGAAAACAACTATTTTGATGAGCTTATAAACTTGGCAATTATATGATGCTGAAAAAGGGCTTTCTAATTGGTGATGTTAAGTCAGTATAACAAGGTAGTGAGAATTAACTTTGAACAAGCAGTTATTACTCTTAAATTGTCACATTTTAGAAACATTACAAGCTCCAAGAGCTGATAAAATACATGAGATAAGATAATGCAGATACTAAGATCTACCAGTTTCTATCTAAACATCCTGTGGAAAACTAATTCACTTTTTGGAGTTTTAATTTTCCTCATGTTTAAAACAGAAAAATAAAATAATTTCCTGAGTTCTTGTGAGTATGGGAAACAATGTTAATAAAGGGCCCTGATGACAGTGTAGCTTAAATGAGATCATTGCTGTTAATGGAGGTATTAAGGATGGTGCTGGTGCTAGTTCTGGAGAATCTTTCCCACAACGCCAATATGAAGGCTTTAATTCACACAAGCACCAGGAAGGTTGGCCCTTGTCACCTCATGGCCATCGATTACAGCCAGCCTCCTGACAAATATGAACCACTGCCAGAGGAGGAAACCAGATGTGTGGATGTCGACACGTCTTCCCATCTGTTAAGACTATTTGGTTATTCTTCGACTTTTATGTCCAGTTCTTAACGAATTGGCAAACAACTGACCAAACAACGAGGAAAATATAATTTTAGGATGAAGTATTTCAAAGGATGTTAAAGTATTGCTGGTTATAAAAAGTTTTATCTTCAAAACACTCATTTTCTGAAACTCCTTAAGAGAATAAAAATGACAATTTTCAGAAATATCAAACTTACAATATTTGAAGCTAAAAGAATTCTTCACAAAGGAATTGGGTATTTCATAGGAAAGCCATAAACAATTATAATACTCAAGAAAAACTCATCTTCACATTTCACTTTCCTTATGTACTAGTATAAACACAAAATTTTGTGTGATATTTCTTTGAAACTTTTAAACTCGTAATGTCTAAATATTTATCCTATATTTTGATAAGACTAAAATGATTTTCATGCATAGAAATTAAAAAAGGAGTTGAAAATAAGGAGTTTATTTAATATATGTCAATAGACAAAATAGTTCAATATTCTGTAAAAACTGGGTCCCACTTATTTTGAGCAGACTGCTGAAAGCTCATTTATTCTACATCAGTTGCATTTATACTTTTGTTCATCTCTTTTTCCATCCCATTTTAAATGTGAGCCCACCTATGTAAGAGTACTGGCACACATAGTAAGTACATTTTACAGAATTTGTGCAGTAACCAGCTACAGTTAACAATGCCAAAGCAGTCTATCCACCCACCATGAACTTAAGATTGAAGAAATGACAAATACAGGTCTTCTGCCAACAAACTGTGAAATTTAAGAAGCTTTTCTTTTTCTTGGCTGCATTTTTGGTCAACATGCAAAGGACTATTTCCTGCCATACAGGGAAGTCCTTAGGTGTTTATTAAATGTAAGTTTTGGCAAGATGAAGAATTATATGACAAACATACTTGTACTCTATTTTATTCTCTGACCCAGCACTGGAAACAATTTGCATCCTTCAAATTATATTCCAGAACTCACATAATTTAATTTCCATTAAATGCTTACATAATAGGCGAACCACGAAGTGAAAATATGGTCTTGCACATCATGGTGTAGGTGGATGTCACGGTGATTTTCTAATACAAGTTTATATTTCTAAATAAATTGAATTTTAGTTAAATCAGTCTAACATTTTTAATAGTCTCACCCACATAGATAGAGTGGGGATCTTATATGTAGTTGTTAAGAGTAGCAACTGATACTATACTCTAATGAAATATTTTGCCTAATAGAAATGCTTCTGAAAAGGTTCATGCAAATGATGCTTTTAATTAAAAAGTTGCATATAAATGTAATGACATTTTAAACATGATCAAAATGTTCTCTCTCTAAAGGAATACTGTAACAATTTTTTTGTTACGGAAAAACAATTATTCTCTAATTTATTTGTTTGAGAAACCTGGCTTTTAACTAATTGTATTTCCTTAAATGCAAGACTTGAAATTTTATTTTTTTATTTTTACTTTTTTAAATTTTGAGTTTATAAATTTAAAAAATTTTAATGTTAATTAAAATGGATCTTATTAAAAATTGTATTTCCTTTTGGGCTGAAACCATTTTTTAGGATGTCTATAAATCACCTTATACAGTTTTCATGATAGTTTAGTTACAACCAGCAAATCCTAAGCCACCAAAGTAATTCTAGGCTTCTAACAAGGATAAAAATAAATAAATAAGGAAGGCCACCACACTAATGGACATGAATTTAAAGAATAATGAAAATGAAAACCAAAAAAATAGGATTTCAGATTGTATTTTTTATTTAAGATATGACTCAAGATATTTTATTTTTTCAAGTGTTAGACTATCAGATTTTTAAAAATTCCCTAAGAAGAAAAAAAGAAAGAAAACTATTTAGTGAATCTGTACTGATTTTGTCCACTTCAATTCAGTCTTGTTTTTGGTGCTGTCCAAAGCTTGCTGAATAACTGCTAGGAATAAGAGCTGGACACGGCATACAGAGAGAATTAGAAATGCACTTTTATCAAAAAATCAGTCACTGTTATGTAAGGAGGATTGAGCTTAGACAATCTGTTGTGGTAATTTCTTTTTAAAAAAATACATAACCTACATTGCTTATTACAATATTTAGAAAGTTTTTATTTCATCATACAATTTAAATTCATCCTGTTTAATAAGCAAATTGATATATGATGCCAAGAAATATTTTGTTGTTTTACCATGACAAAGAAATTATAATGTTTAGATTTTGGACATTACTATTTGACTATTTTGTGAATTTGTTGTGCGAATAACAAGTATAATTTTACATTTTTTTTCAGAATTTTTATCAAAGTTCAGAGACTTCAGCAAAAGGTAAAACATACATGTACTCAAGTATTTTGAAATAAAGAAAAAAATAAGTTACAGAATCCAAAATACTTTTTTCAATTTTTTTATGCAAATACTGTGGTAACACACAACACACACACACACACACACACACACGAGCTTTTTGAGGAGAAAGATGCTTTTCTAAAGTTCTTTTTATTAATGGAAGTGATTATTCTGCAAGGGAATAAAAATCTGCACTCTCTAAACTTTTAGCCTGATATTTTAAAAATAATGAGAAAAATAAAAAGATCTATAAAAATTATAATACTGAAAATATCTTATAACCATTCCAAGACATTGAAAATTTTACCATTTACTTAATTATATTTTGATGTAAGAAAAATTAGAAAAGTAGTAGATGTCTGTCTGCAAGGTCATCCACTTCAAATTTGAATTCCAGCTCTATTTGAAAGACCAAGCTAATATAACAGGTAGGAGGATTTGGTTCTGGAATAATTAGTGTTTACAGAGGCTTCGAGTCTATAAAATTGCAAGCCACGGGAGGACTTTGCCTCTATAGAAAACAGTAGGTGTGAGATTGCATGGGACGGAGCAGTCTGACTTTTGGAATCAGGCAGAACTGGTTTTGAATTTCAACTCTCCCAACTCAAATCTCAACTGGTTTTGAATCAAAGACTCTGCTTTCAGAGTCTGTGAATCTAGATTAAACTCTTTGATCCCGTTATAGTAATATGCATAAACAATATAATAGGATTTAATGTGCAGGATCTGGTCAGGATCGTTCTTGGTTGTAGATGGTACTTGGCACAGGAATACTCTGAGTATCTGCAAGAAAACTGCCTGCCCCTCAGATGTTCAACTAACCCCTGGATTCAGAACAATCCATTGGAAAGCAAATGAAAACCTAACCTGCCCTCCACACCCTTAACTGTTTCAGTAAAGAGTCACGTACAAAAGTATATCCTCTCAACTCTAATTCCCACCACTCAAAAGAAGACACTCAATTAAGTTTGAGGAACTCCCCCGTCTCACATCAAAAAGGAAAATAGGGTGGCGGAGGGTATAAAGAAACTTGTGCAAGTACAAAAACCCTATTCTAGGTGTTCATAAAACTCCAGAACACCATAGAGGGAGGGAAGGAATGGACACTTCCTGACAGTATTGCTAACAGAATCTAAGTGGTCGTATGTGGAGTGAGCGAGCTGCAGGCGTGTCTGTATGAAACTGATTCTCCCTTTCTATCAGGAATGTTGTAATGAGGTCTCCTCCCCCATATTCCTCAGGGGACTGGAATATGAGATCCCACAAAACTGTACAGAAATGTTCCTGGAGACTTATATTCTATAATAAATCATGATAGATTTTAATTGAGTCTAAATTGCACATAGATTGTCCTTGCCTCTTTATTTCATGGCACTATAACTCTTTTCCAGAGTAAAATTAGGTGCGATAAACACTTTTCCCACCATATTTCACCACCAAGCCCTGTGTCTTGGGTTCTTAATATGTTTTGATGATGTTATTTGAAATGTAGTCTGCATCCAGAGTTCAGGAAGTAAAACATAATGCATAAGCATACATCTCTATGCAAACTCAAAGTAGCAAATTTTATCCAAGAACCATGTTTCTGCATGAAAAGCAAAAAGTAGAGTTTAATTAACCAAATGGCTAAGTTTTCCCCAAAATATACGCTAAAGCTTAAATTAATAAATCAAATTTATGATTTATTTTAGATGTGTGTTCACTTGCACAATGTTGGGAATTCTTGAAAAGGAGTTTGTGCTTCCTGCTTCAGTATACCAAAAGTACAATTTGGAGATAAAGAAACAAGATGTTTCCATAAATTTATAATGCTCTGCCTCCTGCTGTTCAGCAGAATCTCTGTTGGTTGGCCTCCAAGTTTGATGAGGCCTCTTTTAAGACTATTTTTACACTGCTTTACTCTTCCGCTTCATTAATTGCTACTGCTGACTTCTCAGAGAATTTTAATTACAGGTTTTCTTTTTCCTCTGCTTGTCCCCCCCAGACTGTTTCAACAGAGGGCACAATTTAAGAAATATAACAAATAAGGAAAATTAATCTACCTTATATATTTTGTACAAATTTATGAATAACTAAGTGAAAAATAGCATGTGTTAAACAACAACAAAAATGTTTAATTATAGACAGACGTACTGAGGCACAGACAGGATGTGGGAGGAAGCTCCATGTCAAGCTGGCCCCTTTCCTGAAGCATCCAACTGCCTGTGTGCTGGAACACTGTAGATTATCAAAGGAAATATCTAGCTCTTTGCACTATTTTCATTTCCAAACAATTAGAAACAAAAGGCAATTCATGCTTTTTTAACTTATAAAGTGTTTATTTCTAGAATTTTCTTTTAATTTTTTTTTACTTAAGTTTACTTAAGGTAACAAACTGTGGAAAGCGAAAGTACTGTTAAGACTGAACTACTATATAGGGAATTGCATGTTTTAAAAGCAACTTATAAAGAATTGCATGTGTTTGAATAAACAACTGTATCGACTAACTTAGCACATGGAATCATCACAGCAGATCTTAAGAACACAATTTCTGATGATGTGCTTACTTGTTCTCAATTTCTACTTAGCTGCCAGAGGAAAACTATTAGCTCCTATAACTAGTAATTTTTCATTTTTCTTCTTTCATGACAAGTCACTTTTAGGAATAACCAGTAGACTCCTTTTAAATAACTAATGGCAAAACTCAAGAAAGTCTTTGATTTTGAAGAGATACAGTAAACATCATAAATCTTTCATTTCAAGCTGGTTTTAAATCCTAGCCTTGTACTATTTTCATTCTCTTTTTAATATCAACACATTGTATATGATTAGTGTTCAGTTAATAGTAAACATGATAGCATCATCAAATTTATTATGATTAATTCTTTAGATGGAATTTGTTTGATGTACTTATAAGCCATCTATATTCCTTGTCTGAAAATTAATTTTAAACAATCACAAATCAGAACAAAAATTATTGCAAATTACAGTTGATCAGAATGTCAAATTAATAATTTTTTAAATTCCAAATTGTTATGAAAAGGCCATGCTTCCAAGATTTCTGCAGCTGAAGATCAGAAAGCTTATTGATGTCTAATCTAGCAGCAACTAAACCAGGTTGCATTCAGAGGTACAGATAGTTAATTCTCTTCAATTGGTAAAGGGTCACTTTAATTAAAATTATTGAAATTGTATTATATGACATTTCAAAGCTGTAATTGATGGCCTATGATAAATATGGCCCTTCTTAGTGACTTGATCTCTATCTCTTCCTTTCTAGGCTTGATAGAGAAGGTAACAACTGAACTATCCACATCCATCTACCAGCTAATCAATGTCTACTGTAACAGCTTTTATGCAGATTTTCAGCCTGTAAATGTACCTAGATGCACTTCCTATCTAAATCCCGGGCTTCCTTCCCACCTCAGCTTCACAGTGTATGCAGCACACAACATTCCAGAAACCTGGGTGCACAGGTGAGTGGTGGTGAGTTTTTCACAAAAGCATTCATTTTTACATAGCTTCTAAGTAGAATGCAATTTGTCATGTTCTTATATGCAGGAGCAAAGATTTCATAAAATTTTGGAATTAATCAGCATAGTTTTATCCATATTCTTAAAATCACATTTTAAATGTTTAGATTCAAAATGGATATTTAATTTTCTTTCTTCTTCCATTTCCCATATTTAAATAATTGTCATTGCCAATATATCGTTATGGAAATAGAAAATACTAATTCCATTTAGTGGCTCCTCTAAAATTTTCTTTTTCATGTTTGGGTTTAAATGGCTAATGCTAGTTAAGAAAACATAGTAAGACAAAAACATATGCACATGCAGAGAGATAGAGAGTCTTTAAAAATAGAAAAAAAAAATCACTCTGATCCCCACCAGGTTTCAGTGGTATTTTGCAAGAATTGTACCTTGATAAAATGAGAATTAGCCAAGAATTATTTGCGTTTCAATAGAAATGAACGACAATTACACATGGAATATCATCAGATTTTAAGTTGACTCTGTAGTATTTTCTTCAATAACATAATTACAGTAATATAGAGATAATTAAAGTTGATAAGATAGTAATTTGGTAATGGATTTATTATACTTACTGCATTTAGCATCTCAAGGAAAAACTGAAATAAATAATTTCAGTAAACATTCAACTTTTGGCCGGGCACAGTGGCTCATGCCTGTAATCCTAGCACTTTGGGAGGCCTAGGCGGGCAAATCACTTCAGGTCAGAGGTTCAAAACCAGCCTGGACAAAATGGTGAAACCCCGTCTCTACTAAAAATACAAAAAATTAGCAGGGCATGATGGCACGTGCCTGTAATCCCAGCTACTCTGGAGGCTGAGGCAGTAGAATCGCTTGAAACCAGGAAGCAGAGGTTGCAGTGTGCAGTGAACTGAGATCGTGCCACTGCACTCCAGCCTGGGGGACAGAGTGAGACTCTGTCTCAAAAAAAAAGAAAAAAAAAATCAATCTTTATCTTGATCTGTATTTTTTAAAAAATAAACTGTATAAATATTCAGAGTAAATTAAAGAGGAAATTTTACCTATGTATATAAAAAACACTATCTACACACATATTTGTTTAGAATCCATAAAATAATATTTTTATTCTTTTTCCTTTTATAATTTTATGAAAAATTTTAAAGGGCCGATGTATAGTAAAATAAATTATTACTCTAATTAATGTTTTCTTTTAATTTTCTAACCATCAATAAATACTCCTTAGTTTGAATTCCCATGGAAAATCCCTATAGCCGGATAAATACAGATAAAGCTATATGTATAGGGCATGCATTTATATATGTGTGTCTATATGTAGAGAGACAAGGATAAATATATATATAAATATATACATATGTGTGTAAATGCAAAATGTAAAATATATACATATGTGTGTAAATATACATATGCGTGCAAATGTAAAATGCATATGAATATAAAAAAGTGTGCATTTACGCGTGTGTGTGTGTGTGTGTGCGTATGAATGATCTAACCAACTCTCCTTTTTCTGTCTCTACATAGTACCTACATGCAGAGTAAAAATAGAGCACTTTCTAATATTGTTATATACAGGTAGATGTGTACATATGTACATATAATTATAAATATAAAATAATGCTTTTCTGCAAATGTTCCTATAATCAATAAATAAATTAGGGCTTTGATGAAGGAAACAAAATCATCCCAGCCATTCATTACTGGAACAAACTATAAAGGGCTGGACATGGGAAAACATGAAGCTATTCCTGTCTTAAGGAATCCATGGACCAGTCAAAATTCTTTGGGAAGAGGCTCCAGCAAGATGTCTTACCTCATGACAAATTACATCTTTATTGTAGATTTTCCTAGGGACCTAGTATATAAGTTATCTATTAATACATAACCAATTACCCCAAAGCTTAGCAGTTTAGCACAACAAACTTTGATGAGTTCACATTCTGAGGCTCAAGAATCTGGGAAGCAGTTTTGCTGGGTGGATCTGGCTTAAGGTTTCCCATGAGTTGCAGTCAAACTGTTGACTGAGACCACAGTCATCTCAAGCTCACTGGGGCTGAAGAATCCACTTCTAAGGTGATATTGATGTGGTTATTGAAAGACCTCAGTTCCCCATGGTGTATAGGTGTGGGAGCCTCAATTCCTTGCCACAGAGTTTTCAACAAATGTCCTCAGGCCATAGAGTTGGCTTTTCCCAGAGCAGATGATCCAAGGAATGAGAGAGAGTCCATGAGCAAGGGAACACCACAGACAGAAGAGACAATCTTTGTAATCTAATCTTGGAAGTGGTATACCACTACTTCTGCCATATTGTATCCTGTGGGAAAGCATGATACAAGGGTTCGCATACCAGGAGACAGAATCATTGGGGGCTATCTTGGAGGCAAGACACCTGGGAAGAAACCAGGCCAGAGGTATCTCCAGAAGCATAGGTACTGACAAACTGAGGGGGTAAAATAACAAAGTGACAACTTTCTAGATGGCTTTAGTCAAAAGGACCATAATTAATGTCAGCAAGTGAAACTAATTTGTTAAGGTACAGGACTCTACAATAAAAAAGAGTGAAACATTCACTATCAAATCTGAGGATCTGAAACTGAATTATCATCTACTCCACAGATGCCTTCAGGGAACACCCCACTCAAGCTATCAAAGACAAATGAGAATGTATCTTACTTAGAATAATTTGATTAAACAAATTCTTTCCTTGATTCATTACACTGATTAAGAACTCATTCATATTTATCCTAAATTTCTCATTATATAGAATAGAAATTTAATTACTTAACTTTATCCTCTCTATAGATTGAAAGTGCCTTTATCTCACTCAAAGATGAGATAAATTTATCGTTTTGTGTATGTATTTCATGATGCTCATTATCTTAATAATAGCATATTGTTAGTTCTCCCCCAAGTCCTTTTACAATGTCCGTGTGACCATGCACATTTGTAGGTAGGACTATAGTTTTTAAAAACCTCTAGTACCCAAAACATGTCCTGGCATGCAACAGGCACTCGATAAAGATTGGTTAAAAATGTTTGAACAAAATCCCTTGAATAGAGAAATGTGTCATACTTGGTTTGTGAAATTGTTACATGGGTCTCGACAGCAGGAATACGTAGTCCATGTCGTGGTTATTACTGAGGGCAAAAATGTAAGCTGAGCTGAAAACTATAAAGAAGCAATGACCATACAGGAAGGTAGACCAGGAGATATTCCAAGGAAGCCAAGAAAATATTACAATAGAGGTACAAAGCTAAGTGCCTGAGGTCAAGAGGGCCAGCATCAGTGAAAGTGAGTCCAGAGCAATTAGTGGCAGTGTAAGAGTGGTTGACTAGACAATTCTTAAAATGATTGTTAGTAATAATTAGTAAGAGTTCAGCAGAATCATATTGTTATATGAGGAGATTATAAGTAAGTCAGTAAACATTATTTTTAAAAAATCCCTTAAGTCACTCATAAAGTATGGTATCATTGTTTGATAAATAGAATGCAAAAATAATTATGCAAAAATGCATAATATGTACAGTAATACATATTATGTAATAAAGTATATCTGTGCAAAAAATGATTTGACAGTACTTTCAATTATGGGATACTGTGTGCACAGGGGCAAGTTGAAATTCTTTCTCATCAAGACGATGCCCTTTTTATGGGGAAGATTCGAATGGCATATAGAGGTTTCTTGTCCCATAACCTTTGCCATTAAAAGGTACATGTGTGCAGTTTATGTCTTCCATTCATGTCACTAAAGTCTAATTTATAAACTTGGCTCATCGTATTAGCACATTAAGGAATGTGTGGGAAACAGGCACAATCTCTCAATATAAATACTGATGCATATACCAACCAAATATTGGCATAAAGACCAACATAATGGACTCTGAATCAAGAGCATCATTAAATATAAAGTCCTGACATGGTATTGAAATATTCAATTCACCAGAAAGATGCAACAAAGTAATAACATTGACAGAAATCCGAAGAGTTTGATGGGGCCAATATGATAGTGGGGGATACCAGTATTCCTCTCTCAGGAATTAATACATTACTGAGAAATTAGGAAGGATATAGGAGTGAGCATATAATTAATGAGCTTGATCCAATAAATATATATTGTACTTACAGAAGATAATTTGGAAATACAAATTCTTCTCAAGCACATATAGAATATTTATTTTAAGTGACCAAATATTAAATAGTAGGCAAATTTCCAATAACCTATATAATAAAGATCTCATCCACTTTCTGAGATGCAACTTAGAAAACAGTAACAAAAAATAAATATATTCATAAATTTAAGTATGTACTTTTAATTTTATTAATCAAGGAGTTAGAAAACATTATAACTTAAAGGTAATAAAAATATATAATAAACATATGGAATATGGTCAAAGCTATTCTTAAAGTGAAAAATATAGCCTCACATTATAAATAAGACATAAAAGACTAAAAATTAATATAGCAATCATGTCACCATTTCCTCTATGCCATTTTGCTTTGTTTTGTCCAGCTTATAAAAATCAAGGATAATAAAGTGGAAGAAAAATCTTCTACCAGCATTCTGGTAGAAGAACAACAAACAAGTCCTATATCCTCTGATTTATCCTCATCATAGTACTATTAACTGAGCACATTCTAAGAGTTTTGCTGATTTATCCTCATCATAGTACTTACTATTAACTGAGCACATTCTGTGAGTTTTGCGCTGGGAAAAATACTTAACCTGCATTACAGTTGTCCCTTGTTATCTGCAAGGGATTGGTGCCAGGACCCCTGGAGATAACAAATGTCACAGATGCTGAAGCTCCTTACATAAAATGGCATAGTATTTGTACATAGCATATGCACGTCATCCTGTATACTGTAAATCTTCTATAGATTACTTATAATACTTAGTGCAATGTAAACTATGTAAATACACTCATGCATAGCTTATGACTTGGGGAATTATGTTCTGAGAAATGTGTTGTGAGGCATTATTGACAACCACCTACAGTCTTCAAGACAGTAACATACTGTACAGGTTTGTAGCCTTTGAGCAATAGGCTATCCCGTATACCCTAGATGTGTAGTGGGCTTTGCCATCTAGGTTTGTGCAAGTACACTCTGGGATGTTCGCATAACAATAAAATCACCTAATGATGCAATTCTCACAATATATCCCTTTGTTTTATTTTTATTGTCATTTCAAAAATATTTCTGATCTGTGGTTGGTTGAATCTGTGGATGCATAACCTAGGGATACAGAGGACCAACTCTGTTTTATTTAATCCTCACACCAGTGACACAAGAGCACTATCATACCCATTTTGCAGATTAAGAAATTACAGTTCTAGAACTAATCTATGACAACTCCAGATGTTGTCTTTCTAAAGTCCCTTCTGTTTACCACAGCAGAAGTGAGTATACTTCAGTGTACTTCATCCTTAACTGGTTACTAGAGTTGATTCTGAAACAGGACAGTTCCCGTGACCCTTCTGCAGGACTCATGAAGGGGTTGGCTTGTTTAGTCAGCCTACAGCTCTCAACCCCTCATGGGAGGGGAGGACATACAGGTGAGTGGGTGCAGGGGCCAGGACAAGTGCTTCTGGGTGCTGGCAGGAGTAGAACTCTGTGTAGCCCCATGGCAGTGTCTAGGAGGGGTACTCAAAATCCCTGGATCCCCAGAAGGCATCTGTTACAGTGCTCTCTTTGCCATCCGCAGATGACTTAAGTGTTTAACAGCTCAGTGTGACAGCCCTCTGCATCGCGAGCTGTTGTTCGGCATCCAGGAAGAATCAGGTCACATGAACAAATTGAAGATGGTAAATGCAGGAGATTTTATTGCTGATGAAGGTGGCTCTCAGCAGGATGGAGAGCTAGAAAGGGGATGGAGTGGGGAGGTAGTCTTCTTCTGGAGTTCAGCCATTCCTGGCCAAACTCTTCTTTGAGATCCCGCTGTCAAGCCACCCCTCTGAAGTCAAGCTGCATCTTGCCGATGTCAGACTGCTGCTTCTCTTCTTTCCTTCTCTGCCACTCTGCTGCTCTGCCAGTCTGCCACTCCACCACTCAGCTGCTCTGCCACCCCTCTGCCAGTGGACCCTGGGGTTTTTCTGGGTATAGGATGGTGGGTGGGACAGGCTAAAAAGCAACATTCAAGTAGGAAAACAGGAATGCATGTTCTCACTTTGGGCCGCAGGTCCAAGCTTGAGGGTTTTCAGCCTGGTATTTTCCTGCCTCCTGTCCATATCACTTCCCTGCTCTGAAGAGGCACATCTTACTGCCATTAAAATATGGAAGATGACCAATCTTAGCTACTTCCTGCTGACAGGGGGCATTGTTTTGGGGAAAACGGCAGTCAGATTCCTCCCTAAAGTTTACCTAAGGGTCCCTAGCAAAAGGGAGCCATTGTCCAAGGCTCCAGTTGCCTGACTGTTCAGAGTTTGATGGCCTCTAGGCACATGAGGAAAAAAAAAGCCCAAGTTTTACAAGGTTAAGTATGCATGGGTCACACATGTGTATTATACAAGGAAAGAATCTAGTGCCAAAGATTACAGAAAGAAGAAATGAAATATGCTAACAACATTGTACCCCAAGCCGTTTCACTTTGGTGAAAGAAATTAAACCTTGTGTGGGAGCAGTTAAACTTTATAAGAGAGATAAGTATTCTTGCCATATCTGTAGCAGTCAACAGGTGCACCTTGAGAATTCTGGGATTTGTAGGCTTGCATGGTGGCCATTAAAGCTTCTGCCTCTTTCTTGTGTCCCCCCATCTCTACTGTAAAAACCGAGTTGGCCACTTTCAGGAGGTCCTCTAAAGTAGTATCTGTTCCCAGGGCCTGTTTCTGCAGCTTCCTCCTTATATCAGGGGCTGCCTGAGTAATAAATTTATCCTTTATGTTTAGTTATGCCTCACCAGAATCAGAAGATAGAGATGTGTGCTTTACCAAGGCCTCTCAGCCTTTCCAGAAAGGCAGTGGGATTCTCATCAAATCCCTGGTCTTTCATGAATAGGTCAGTATAGTTGAGAGGCTTGGTCCAAGTCCTACATAAATCCTCCATTATGCACACCTGTAAGTGTCTCTTCTTCCATTCTCCCATCTCATCATTGAGATCCATTCCAGGGTCATCCATTGATACTGCATCTTTCATTTGGATAAAGTTTGGCACCTTCCCTGATGCTATATGTGATACAAAGCTCATAACCAAATCACTCTGTCACTTGCAGAGCAGTCTGCTTCTCAGTGTTAGTCAGGGTTTGCTTTCAAAGTAACATAACGTCTTTCTAGGAGAGTTCAAATACTTGGGTTAAATTCTGGAAAGCCTCTCTATATCTGTCAGGGTCATCTGAAAACTTGCCAAGATCTCCCTTAATTTGCCTCAAGTCCTGTAGGTAGAAGGGGACCTGGACCTTACTGGGGCCAAATTCAACAGGCATCTGTTGGAGGGGCAAGAGTGATACTGGGGCTTGTCTAGGGTATTTCTAGGAGGGGGCAAGCTGGAGAGAGGACGGGGAGAACCCGGAGGAGCAGGGCTGAAGGGAGCTGGCTCCCCTGTGGGAGGTGTCTCTGGGGTTTGTTTCTTTAATTCCCTGAGACTGCCCCTTGCAGCCTCTCCTGAGATGGCCAATAGGAGGGATGGATCAATCCTACACTGTTGGCAAAGGTCTGGATTGCCCTGCAAGGTAAAGAAAGCCTGCACATATGGGGTCTCAGACAATTTGTCCTTGCATTTACAGAAAAGTTCCAACTGCCAGATGATATCAAAATGAATGGTTCCCTCCTGAGGCCAAGCCAGTCCTCATAATTTGGCCAAACCTTTGTGCAAAGGGCTAATAGGCATTTTTCCTCCAGATTTGGAGGGTCAAAGCAGTCGCAGTCATTCAGGATGCACTCCAGAAGAGTATAAACTGGTGATGGTGGAGACAGTTGGTTGCCCATTCTGAAAGACAAGGAAATAGGTATCCCTCATTTCCCTTCCTTCTTTCAGCAAAAACTCAGATGTGAGGGAGGGGAAGCAGGCATCGCCCCTTTCTCTTCTGTCTTCTTATTCTCAAGTCCTGGTGACCTTACACAGATGCCACCCACAGGTGCCATTGCAGCCTGCACCCATGAAGCAGGGAGGTCTTAGAGAATAGGAATTGTCCACATTCACTTATGCCATGCCTCCATTCCCCCTACTGTCAGCAACCTTTGGGTTTCCCAGGCCTTATCTGTGCCATGGAGCATGGCCTCCTTCCATGACGTGGAGGCTTAATTAGCAGAAATTGTCCTGCCCATTTACATTGTGCCTGTTTCCTTGCTTGGATCCCTCAGATCTGGTTTTCCTTCCTAAGGCCTTAACCTGAAGCTTGGAATCAGGTTGGGAACAAAAGGTATTTCAGGGTCCTTTTAAATTAAATCCCAAATGGGCCCTGCCAAATTTGCAGTTATCAGCCAGCAGGGCTCACTCTTCTGTTGCCTCCCTATCGTAAGCAGAGTGCTGAGGTAGGAAAAGAAACCTCTCACTTAGAAAAGAAAAAAGAACAAAAATAGTTTAAAAGGCAAATGGGGGTGGTCCAGGGAAAGAACCTCTTGCTTTCTACGAATAGGTTACTTTAATCATTGTATCTCTCCCCTAGTTCCAACCAGGCTGAACTCCTTGCCAGGGAAAGAAAGAGTCTATGGGCTTGTGGCAGGAGGGGAAGGCATGCAGAGAGCACTGGCCAGCCGGCTGCACGGGGTCCCTGGCCCCAAAGACTACCCTGGGGCCTGGGCAGCATGCACCGCTAACTCCCACCACCCCACTTAGCTGTTGGGCACAGCACATGCATGCTACGGACATGCCCAGGCACCCAAGCCTGGAGGGGAGGGGATGAGAAGGGAACCACCATTCACCTGCCCATCCCATTCACACACCTGTGGCCATTGGGGTTTGGGGTCATACCTCTAAGAACATATGGAAATTGTATTGTTCTGAGTTGCATATCTGATGGCTGGACTAAACATACATTCTGCCTAGTATCATTGCTGCTGTTTGTAGTAGAACCCTTAACATTATAAAAGAAGAGCCAGGAGCCATTTCAAACCATGAAAGAAGGAAGGAAAGATATCAAAGGAAAAGTCTGGGGGTCTTGGCTGACACCTTGATAGACACTTGGGGAACAGGTCCAGTCTTGTGGCCTTCCGGCAATACTGAGGAGTGGCCTTGGCAAGAGGCCTTCAGTTTCCCCAGGACTTTATTCCAGTCCCACATGACAACTAGACCTCCAGGAAGGGAAACAGAGCCAACATTCCTTTTACCCAAAAGAAAGAGAGAGATGGCAGGTTGCATCCTATCCCCTGCAAATGGCATAGCTCAGAGGAAAGTCTGAGGACAAGGAGAGATAAATCCACATTTTGCTTACCCTTCTGAAGTATCCTAGGCAAGCCCCCCGATGAAACGGGATGGTTCCCTTGACCCCTTCACAGGATTCATGAAGGGGTTGGCTCATTTACTCAGTCCATAGCTCTCAGCCCCTCACAGGAGGGGGAACACGCCGGTGACTGGGTGTACGGGCCAGGACAAGTGCTTCTGGGTGCTGATAGGAGTAGAACTCCATGTGGCCCCGTGGCAGCATCTGGGGGGTACCTACAATCTCTGGCACCCCAGAGGACATGTGTTACAGTACACTTTTAGCTTTGCCATCCACGGACAGCTTAAGTGTCTAACAGCTCAGTGTGACAGCCCTCTGTATCCTGAGCTCTTGTTTGATGTCCAGGAAGAATTAGGTCACATGAACAAATTGAAGATGGTAAATGTGGGGGATTTCACTGCCAATGAAAGTTGCTCTCAGTGGGATGGAGAGCTGGAAAGGAGATGGAGTGGGAAGGTGGTCTTTTCCTGGAGTTCGGCCATCGCTGGCCGAAATCTTCTGAAAGATCCTGCTGTCAAGCCGCCCCTCTGAAGTCAAGCTGCTTCTTGCTGACCTCAAGCTGCTTTTTCTCTTCTTTCTTTCTCTGCTGCCCATCTGTCATTGGAGCCTGGGGTTTTTATGGTTATAGGATGGGGCGGGGGGTGGGCCAAAAAGTAACATTCAAGCGGGAAAACAGGAAGACACGTCCTCACTTTAGGCTTCAGGCCCAGGCTTGAGGGTGAGGCTTTGCCAGGCACCCCACCCTTTTCTGTCTAGTATTTTCCTGCCTCCTGTCTGTATCAATACCAAACTCTTTCATTCTAATTATCACATTAAATTGTTAGGCAACAGTACATATAAAAGATCAAGAGATGACAGCTATAAAAACTAAAAAAAGATATCTCAAAATGTTAAGAACATTTTATTTTAAAAGACCTGTTTGCTGTTTAGATATGTGGGAAAATTTGCTACTTGCAGAGAATTTCTATTATATACATATATAATAGTTTAAATTAATATTGCTTTTACTTATTAAGATTTTTTACAAGATTTTATAGTTTTGTCAGGAGGTGTGGGTGTGTGTGTGTGTGTTTAATGTTGGAAAGCTCATCAGATATTGTGTACAAACATGTTTTACATTTAAGTTAAAAATATTCAAACACAGTATGTACTTTCCAGAACTGCTGCGAAATATTAGCACTATTGTTAGTTATCCTATGAATTCATTAAATGTTTAAAAATCTAATGCACACAAATTCTCATTCAATTTAAAATTGCAAAGTGAATAAGTATTCTTAGAAACTTTGGCTCCAATGCTGAATTTCACATTAGAAGTTTATACAAAAATCTAGTGCTAAATAATTTATGTTTACCAGAACATTAGCATATTGTTTCTTCTTTTTCAATCTTTTAAAAATTGTGGTAAAAATACAGAAAATGAAATCTACCCTACTAAAAAAGTTTAATTGTAAAGTACAGTAATGTTAACTACATGTGCATTGTTGTATGGGAGATCTGTAGACCTTTTTCATCTGGCATGGCTAAAATTCTTCCTCTTCCTTTTCTATCTCCAAGTGCCCGGTAACCAACATTCTACTTTTTGCTTTCAAGAAGTGGTATATTTAGTATTTGTGTTTCTGTGATTGGCTTATTTAATTTAGCATAATGTCCTTAATATTTATCCATGTTGTAGTATGACAGGATTTTCTTCCTTGTCAAGGTTGAATAATATATCATTGTATGTATATACCATGTTTTCTTCATCTATTCACCCACTGGTGAACATTTAGATTCTTTCTACATCATGGCTACTGTGAACAATGTTGAAATGAACATGGGAGTTCAGATAGCTCTTCAAGATCTTAATTCAGTTCTTTTGGATAAATACCCAGAAGTAGGATTGCTGGATTATATGGTAGTTCTATTTTTAATATTCTGTATTCCACTTTTTTCTGCTCTCATATTTATTATTTCTTTTCTTCTGCTAACTTTAGGCTGAGTTTATTTACCAAACTAACATTTGCCAGTTCTGCTTACCGGAAGTAGTCCACTAGGCACTTGCATCCCACACTTGGCTTTATGCCAGCAAGCTGGGATGCTTACCCATTTAAAATGTAAGGATAGTTTGAGATCATTTCAACCCCAAGATGTCTAATAATTTATGATCATCACATTGGATCGGGCACCTTAACTCAGCATTTGGTTCATCTCACAGCAGCAGTGCTGACCATCAAAGTATCAAGGAAAACAGGTTAGAAATTTGACTCTCAGGACCCACTTAATTAGAAAGAGACCAAATTCTGAAATGGTGTCATACCTTTCTGCCACTGAAGCAGTGAGGCAAAAAGACAGGAAAAGAACTTAACCCAGTTAAGAAGAATGCCAGGACAAAAGTTAACCAAAAAAAATTCCTATCCTCAGCTGGTCAGCATCATCAAAATCATCCTGTCCCACAAAATCCTCATCTCTTCCAGGAACCAAAGAAAGAGCTTCAGCCTTGATTCTCATGACTTTATTATAAATTGGTAATGTTTGCAACCACATTGTAAAATGGGGGCTTTGGAAAATTAGACTCATCTGTGTAGTCAAATATACCATACTCTCTGCAGAGTTGATGCCATAAGGTGGAGGAACCTCACCTGAAGCCTTCTCAGGTTCCTCAGGCTCTTCCTCATTCTATAAATGTTGGTACTTGCTGCTGCAGACCAGCTCAACTGCCACTGGTGCCACTAATGCCAACTCCATGGTGCAGCAGGCTACAGGGAAGGGAGGGCGAGTGAGCAAGCTGAACAGGTGAGGAGCTGCAGCCTGGGAGTGCTGAAGGGCTGAAGGCAAAAGGCTGAAGGCAAAAGGCCTCAGGTGGATCTCAATGGCAGCCACTGCACCTGGGCAAGATGCTCTCCTCAAGCTGTAAGCACTGCCAATTCTGAGATGTTTTGTAATTGCCCTTTTGATTTCTTCTTTGAACTGTTGGTTTTGCCGGAGTGTGTTGTTTAATTTCCACCTATTTGTGAATTTTCCAGATTTCTTTCTGCTATTGACTTTGAATTTCATTCTCCTGTGGTCAGAAAAGCTACTTGATATTATTTGAGTTTTCTTAAATTTGTTGAGATTTGTTTTGTGACCTAACATGTCATCTAGCCTGGAGGGTGTTTCCTGTTTGCTTCAGAAGAATATGTATTCTGCTCCTGCTGAGTGGAATGTTCTGTATATATCTGTTAGGTCCATTTGGTCTATAGCGTTGTTCTAATCCTCTGTTTACTTACCTTCTGTCTGGTTGTTCTACTTATTAAAAGTGGGTTATTGATGTCTAGTATTATTGTATTGCTGTCTATTTATTCCTTCAGCTCTGTCAATGTTTGCATTATATGTTGGGTGTTCTGATATTGCTTTATATATTGGGTGTTCTGACGTTGGGTACAGATATATTTAAAATTCTTATATCTTCCTGGTCAATTTACCTTTTTGTCATTATACAATCTCCTTCTCTTTTTCTTGTTATAGTTTTTTACTTAAACTTGACTTTCATGGTGTAAGAATGGCCACCCCTGCTCCCCTTGGTTACTGTTTGCATAGAATAGCTATTTTATCCTTTCATTTTTGGCCTATTTGTGTCCTTAAATCTACATTGAGTCTTTTGTAAGTAGCATCTAGTTGGATCTTATATACTTTTTGTCCATTTAGCCATGCTGTTGGTTAAATGGATAATGTCTTTTGATTGGGGAATTTAATCTGTTTACTTTTAAAGTAATTAATAGTAAAGGACTTACTATTGCCATTTTGTCCATTGTTTTCTGTCTTGTATCTTCTTTGTCTTTTCCTCTCTGGCTGTGTATTTTTAGTGTTTGTTGTTATTTTTGTGGGGGAGGTAGTGACTTGCTTTGATTTTTTTCGTAATGATATGTTTTGATTTTTTTTCTTGTTTTTTGTGTATCTTCCATAAGTTTCATTTTGTGTTTACCATGAGTCTTATACAAAATATCTTATATTTATAACAACCTTCTTTAACCTTTTAACTAAAATTCAATCACATACGAAAACTCTGTACTTCTATTTCTCCTCCCACCACACTTTATGTTATTGATGTTAAAAATTACATCTTTTTATATTACATATCAATTTATTGTTGTAGCTATTTTTGTACTTTTATCTTTTAAATGCTACACCAGAGTTAAAAGTAATTTATTTAGCACCATTACGGTATTCTGTATTTGTCTATATATTTACCTTTACCGGTGAGTTTTATAGTTTTACATGCTTTTGTGTTTCTCTATAGCATTGTTGCATTTCAATTTGAAGGACAGTGTTTAGCATTTCTTACAAAGCAGGTCTTGTAGTGAGGAACTCCCTCAGTTTTTATTCACCTCATAAAGTATTTCTCTTTCATCATTTTTGAAGGATGATTTTATCAAATATGGTATTCTTTAGTGACAGGTTTTTCTTTCAGCGTATTGAATATATTATTTCTCTCCCTTCTGGCTTACAAAGTTTCTGCTGAAAAATACACTAATAATCTTACGAATGTTCTCTTGTACATGATTAGTCATTTTCTCTAGCTGCTTGTGAAATGGTCTTTTCATCTTTTTGACTTTTTATGATTTGATTCTAATATGTCCCTGTGGGGTCTTCTTGGGCTTCTTCATAGTTGGCATCCAGTGGGTTTCCTGAATCTGGATGTTCATTTTCTTCCCCAAATTTAGGAAGTTTTTCACCATTACTTTTTCAAATGAGCATTCCTCTTTTTTTCTTTTTCTTTTTTTCTCTTTCTGAAAATCCCATAACGATACATTGATATATTGGCCGGCTTGACGGTGCCCATTATTCTCTTTGGCTTTCTTCAGTTCATTGTGGGGTTTTTGTTATTGTTGTTGTTGTTGTTGTTTTCATTTTTGGCTTCTCTGGCTGGATAATTTCAAATAACCTGTCTTCAAGTTCACTGATTATCTCCTCTGCTTTATCAATTCTGCTTCAGAATCTCTGTAGTAAATTTCTCAACTCAGTTATTGTATCCTTTAGCTCCATAATTTCTATTTGGTTATTTTTATAATATTTTCTATATCTTTCTTGATATTCTCATTTTATTCATCCATAATTTTTCATTGAGTATCTTTATGATGGGTATTTTGAACTATTTGTCATGTAATTTATACAACTTTATTTTCTTAGACTTGATTTGTTTTGTTCCTTTGTTTCTTTAGCTAGGTCATGATCCCCTCTTTCTTTGTGTGCCTTATTACCTTGTGTTGAGATATGTGCATTTGCAAAAACAGCTAACTCTCTCAGTCTTTATGGTCTGTCTGGCTTCCCACTGAAAAAAAAAAACCTTCAAAAATAAGCCTTGCTAGAGATTCTGGGTGCCTTCCAAACCTTTCATATGAGCACATCTTCACTCTGCTTGTACTTGTAAATTCCCAATTAGAGGGATTTTGCTGGTTTCTGTCTTGTGGAGCTCATGTTTTCTTGCTTTTTCTGGTGTCTGTCTGTGGTACTGCAGGTTCTCTGGAATTTCTGTGAGGTGATCAGATCTTTTTGTTTTCAGTAGTGTGGACCTAAAGTATGCTGCCTCCCATCAGTGCTTCTAGTTGGATAAGACAGAAACCAGTCCCTCAGGCAATCTCTTTAAAAGCTGAAGTGTTGGACATATGCTCCTTTCTTCCCCATCACTTTCCCTGACCAGGGAGTGGCTGACAAGGTATATAGGCTTTGTCCACTGTACCATAGGACCTCTGGAACAATAAGAAGCCACCCAACTTTTTTTTTTTGTTCTCAACAGTCTCCAGGCATCTAGGGTATGCAGGGTCCTGTCAGTGCTCCAAGACAGACAAGACAGAAACTAGTCCTTCTGATAGTAGCCCCAAAACTGGAATGTTGGACACACGAATCAACTCTTTTCCTACCCAAGGAGAAGCCATAAATTGGGTTTTTTTAAAAAAATCATTCTATGCTGAGTTGTGGAGAGAGGCAATAGCAAGTACGTGCTAGTAAAAACCATCATCTTTGTTTTCAGTGGCCCCTAAACTGGTGACATTTCCTGTCATCATTTATATCCAGGAAAGACAAAAGCTAGTTCCTTGTGTAGCCTCAAAGGTGCTAAGTCTAAGTGTTAGATGTACGTCCCCGTGTTCTCTTTCCCTCCTTGGTGGGAAGCCAGAAGTTGAGAGTTTCTTTCTGATCATGCCACACTGTGCCAGGGAAGAGGCTCTGGTAAGTGAGTGCCACAAATTTTTCTACCAACTTTGACATGGCTGGTTTTGAATTCACCTGGGATACAGGAGCCTCTTAACTGGTTTCTGGTTTTCTTTCAAAAGGAATCGGTCAGCATATTTTTCTCTCCATGAATAAAGGAAGGTCTTAGGGCCTCCTATTCCACTGTCTTTTTGACATACTCAGCCTAAATTCTTAAAGCAATTTTTAAAGCATGCTTTATGCAAGCAGTCATCACTTTATCATTTGACTTTTGACTACAAAAATAATTGACCCATATAGAAAGCTAGTTTCTTTAAAGTGCTAAGCATATTGAATTGATGTTGTTTCATTTTAGCTACAAAGCGTTTTCTTTTACCTGTTGGCTTACATATGCTGGAAAGAAGCTGTGCCAAGTGAGAAACTACAGAAATATTCCAGACAAGAAATTATTTTTTTTCTTGGTCAACTGGAATGAAACGTAAGTTTAATCTTTACTGTATCTGGATCATTTATGTAATAAATGTCAGCTTTTTCCCCCTTTTTTTAAAAGCAAGGGATGTAATTTAAAAAAAATATGCTGCCAGTTGATTTGATTCAGTGGTATGATAAGTACACTAGGGCTAATAGATAACTGATTGTTCAATTCAACAGATTAAAAGTCCATTTAGAAACCTAGACAAGTGTCCAATTCACATTATTGAACTGAGAAAAAGGGAAATTGAAAAAAGAAGAAGACTTATTAATCATTCACACACTGTGCATATCAGGAATATGCTCTCTTTGAGGCAGGAGTGGAGGGAGTCCAGGTGTAACAAAGAAAAGACAACCCTCCTGATAACGTGGGTAATCTCCATTTTCTCAATTTTCTCACATAAGCTGAAGTACAAATTTATTTAAACAATCAAGTTTTTTTGACAATAAACATCTATAGATGTGTAAGCTTAATTTGGGGTGACTGGCTCCCACTTCCTTCTTCTGTAAAGATTTGTTAAGTCAAGAAGATAAAGTAACTTCCTAACATTATCACTGTCTTTCTCCACTTTTTTGCTCCCCGCACCCAACTTAAGCCCTCTCTTTACTCAGAACCCCAGGGGGCTCATCAGCCTCATTCACAGCTCTTCCATGGTTACTGCTGCATTTCCTCACTGCTCTGCCAGCTTGCTCTCAGTCATTTCCCTGCAGTCTGTATTGCTTCACTCAGATCAATATTCTTCCCACCTCAAGCAGAAGAAAATTCCCCAGCCTACTTCCCCTCAGCTCTTTCAGATGATCTGGCTTTCTTAGAAGACAGTTTGACTCCCGGTATGATGCTTTTCCATTAATAAATACGTGTCAGAATTTGTAGAAGAGGATGATGTTAGATAGCACCATCTATTCTACTCTTACCACAATCAATGGAGACTGTGTCCTGAAACATGGCATGTGACCTTCAATTCTCGCATACCTCATGGCCCCTCCCATTCCAAACTAAATCTGCCTTCTTATAGGACCATGACAATCTCTATCTCCCCTTCTTTGGGTAAGGTTCTTTATTCCTTTGACCAAAGACCTGACATTCAATAATAATATCCCTTTTTCTTTCATAGAATCAACTCTGCTTGTAAAATTTTTCAGTAGCTCTCCAATTCTTATAAGGCAAAGTACAAATCATTTAGCAAAGCACACAAGGCCTTTTGTAGTGTGGCCCCTACCTATCTCTGCATCTTTACCTCTAGAATTAACCCCATTCCCCGTTCTTGCTATCCACCAGTCATTTGCATCTTATCTACTTACCCTAACTATCCCTTGACTGTCCACCAGTCATTCTTTGCATCTGATCTATTTACCCTAACTATGAACTGAGAAGTCAGGCCTCTGCCAGGGATCCTCCATGTGTCAGGAACACAGTATTCCACTTGCCCATCTGGGAAACACATAATTATCTTTCACGATGCATCTTTTACCTCCTGTATAAACCCTTCCTGTATCATTGGGCAAAATTGTTCATCTTTTCTTCCCTTGCTTGGTCTAACCTGTAAATTTCTCTTACAGTACCTACTGTTTGTTTAGATTTCTGTATGCTCCTACCGAATAATACAAAGATTTTTTTTTTAATTTTATTTAGTCGACAGCAGGTAAAGCAGCACCAGACAAAGGGTCCAGTAAGTGTTATTGGGCAAATTAATAAATTTTGTGTAACAAGTGACTCCTTTAAAAAGTTATTAACCAACCCAGGTGCGGTGGCCACATCTATAATCCCAACACTTCAGGAGGCTAAGGCAGATGGATCACTTGAGGTCAGAAGTTTGAGACCAGCCTGGCCAACATGGTGAAACTTTGTCTCTACTAAAAATATAAAAATTAGCTGGGCATGGTGGCTCACACTTGTAATCCCAGCCACACGGGAGGCTAAGGTAGGAGATTTGCTCAAACCCAGGAGACAGAGGTTGCAGTGAGCCAACATCACTCTACCTTGGGCTACGGAGCAAGTCTAAAAACAAACAAACAAACAAACAAACAAACAAAACCATTAATCAGTTCAATCCCTAAAATTTTTCTTCTGATTTAATTAAAAGTAATTTCTGGTTGTTTTAAAACATCAGATTTATTTTCAACTCACACACTTATGCCATCATATAGATAATTCAAGATAAAAATCTAATTCTAAACTCAATTTCAAAGAAAAAATTCTGAATGCTAGTTCTGATACTTACTGATTAACTTGGCCCAGTTCCCACAACCAGAAAGTGTCAAAGCTAGCATTTAGACCCACTGTGACTCCTAAGCTGATGGTTTTACTGTGACTTACATACTTTTCCATACAACATATAAAATCTTGACAAGAGTATTTACATCCCATGAATAGTATTCAAGTTTTAACTTAAGAAATAAAATAACAACCTCTATTCTGCTCCATCCTCCTGCCAGCAGCTACCCCATTTCTTTTCTCTGCTTTGTAGTGAAACCTTCCAAATAACTATCTATATTCACTTTATTCAGTTATCTTTTCTCTGCTCTATAACATACTCCAATCAGGCTTTCATCACCTCTGCTCCACTGAAATTGTCACCAGTAACCTTCATGACTGAATCCAATGTTTGTTTCTCAATCCTCATCTTACATGACCTATCAGAAGCTTTTGGCACTGTTGATCTCACCCTCCATCTTGAAATTTGCTTTCCACATGGCTGACTCTTACCTCACTGGCCATTTGTTCTCCATGTCCTTCTCTTCTCCCAGACTGATTATGATCTTAGCCCTTAACCCTCTTCTCTGTTGTATATGTCATTATTCCCTCACTTTTCTCTTACAGTTATATACCTTTAAATACAATTTAAATGCCAACAGCTCCCAAATTTATATCACTAACCCAGCCATCAGTCACAAACTCCACACTTAGAGAATCAATATATCCTAAACTAAATTTCTGATCTTACATTTCAAACCACTCCACCTATGGATGGCCATTCTGGATAATCAATTCTAATTCTGGTTGTTCAGATCAAAATCCTTAGCCTGAATCTCGTTTCAGACCCTATGTTCAGAAAATCTTAATGGCTCTCTTCTCAAAACATATCCAGAATATGTTCTCATCACCTTCAATGGTCTAAAAAACCATCATCTCTCCTCTCTATACCACAATAGCTTTATAATGGTCTCCCTACTTCTCTTACACCTTTGTAGTTCTTCTTGCACAGCAGCTAAAGTTGTCTCTTTAAAATATCAGTCAAGGCATGTCATTCTTCTGTCTAAAAATCCTGAACTAGCTCCCCATTTCACTCAGTGAAAAGATAAAATACTTGCAATGGTCTATTGTTTAGTGTCTTCATTTTGTTTCAGTATTAATAGGAGAGTTCTAAACAACGTACTTTCAGCCAGGTGCAGTGGCTCACTCCTGTGATCCCAGCACTTTGGGAGGTGGATCATTTGAGGTCAGGAGTTCAAGACCAGCCTGGCCAACATGGCGAAACCCCATCTCTACTAAAAATACAAAAATTAGCCAGGCGTGGTGGCCTGTACCTGTAATCCCAGCTACTCGGGAGGTCAGGGCAGGAGAATTGCTTGAACACTGGAGGAGGTTGCAATGAGCCGAGATTGCACCACTGCACTCCAGCCTGGGCAACAGAGTGAGATTCTGTCTCAAAAAAATAAATAAATAAATAATTAAAAGTGTAGCTTTCAAAATCTCTCATTTTTCACTCTCAGAAGCTTACTCTGGTCTTAGCAAAACTATTTCATATACAATAAAACAATTTTAAGAAAAATTGTAGTGATTATTCATTCTTAAATAGTATAGTGAGGCAAACATGTGGTTAAAACTTGAGATCTATACTATACCTGTTCCTTGGTTTAAAAAAAAAAAGCAATCTGTTTCCGCTTACTGATGTGTCTCTTATTTTTTTTTCCTTTTTTGTCTGAAAGTTCATTCCTTTGACTTTTAAGTAGCTATACAAAAGTTAAAAAAATTTTCAGTGAAGTTGAGATTATTCTGGCTTTAAAAATTCATAGGTATTAAAGAATGGATAAATAACTCCTTGGGAAGCACTTATTCTTATCCTAAAGGAATTTATTTTTCTTAATAAAAATGACAGAATGGAGATTGGCAGTAACTATCCACTGTAACTTATATAATTTCTTTCATTCTTGTTATAAAAAAAGCTCACTAACAAGTGAAGTTATACATGAAGAAGCCAGACTTAATGGGAAAAAAAGAACATTCTAGATCATGTGAGAAATAAAGTGAAATTACAGTTTTCATCCTAGCACAGAAATATGAAAGCTGAATAGAAAGTCAATTATAAGTAAAAGAAAGAACATTAAAGAAATTGCTGTGCATTCCACAGGATCATCAGCATTTTATGTCAAGTTTCAGAGCTTCTTTTAAGCTGAGAAATATGTCCATACTACCTTAAATGAATATGACAAGTGTGAAAGAATTTGAAAGAAAACAAAGAGAGGACGTTTAGTTTTGGATACCGAAATATCTAGGTATCCAATTTAATATTTTAATCTAAAATTTGACAGTCTTTAACAATAGAAGATTCTTCTCACTCTAGTATTTTCTTTATTTTTCTCCATTAAGTCTAGCTAGAATTACGTATTTGTCAGTTCTCACAGTGTCATAAAGATACTACAAGAGACTGGGTAATTTTTTATTTTTATTTTTATTTATTTATTTTTTTTGAGATGGAGTTTCACTCTTGTTGCCCAGGCTAGAGTGCAATGGTGTGATCTCGGCTCACTGCAACCTCCGCCTCCCGGGTTCAAGCAGTTCTCCTGCCTCAGCCTCCCAAGTAGCTGGGATTACAGGCATGCATGTGCCACCACGCCTGGCTAATTATGTATTTTTAGTACAGACAGGGTTTCTCCATGTTGGTCAGGCTGGTCTCGAACTCCTGACCTCAGGTGATCTGCCCATCTTGGTGGGAGTGCTGGGATTACAGGCATGAGCCACCACCCCTGGCTGAGACTGGATAATTTATAAAGGAAAGATGTTTACTTGACTCACAGTTACACATGGCTGGGGAGGCCTCAGGAAACTTAAAATCATGGCAGAAGGGATAGGAGAAGCAAGTACCTTCTTCACCAGGTGGCAGGAAAAGAGAGAGAGCAGGAGAAGCTGCCACTTAGAAAACCATCAGATCTCTAAGAACTCACTCACTATCATGAGAACAACATGGGGGAAACCGCTCCTGTGATCCAGTCACCTCCTCCCAGGTGCCTCTCTCAACACCTGGGGATTAAAATTCGAGATGAGATTTGGGTGGGGACACCAAGCCAAATCATATCAACTTACATTTCATCTGTCTACAAGGAATGTGTTTTTTACAAACCTGTGTATTAAATGCACAATGGCTGATACAAATTATTGTAATAATAATTGAATAAATGAATATAATGCGGTATACAACCTACAATTTGCCATATATTGTGTTATAGAATAGCAGTTCCATTTTGTGCAAAAGGAAAAGTAAGACTTAGAAAGGTTAAATGCATTACTTAGAAAGGTTAAATGCATCTTAGTCAATAGGGTCATTTTTTGAGCATAAATAGATCCAAATAGATCCAAATCCAAACTTGGACCCATCCTATCCGCAGACAGTTTATATATTGGCATCTCACAATTATCATTAACTCAATAACATCATACCCTAAACTATACTAATTATTCCCATCCCATCTTCTTTATTCCCTATCAGTTAAAAATATCTGTCGTAATCTAGAAACTAGAATTCGTCTTTAATTCTTTATTGTCTTATTCCACTGGTATGCCATCAGTCAGGTATTAGTTATGCCTTTTACTTCTAAAACAGCTCTTCTATCTTTCATCCTGTTAGCTGCTCTATAACCACGCTGGGTCTGGATTTGATTATCTCAGTGGACACCATGAGTAGGAGAGACAGATGTACTTCCTCAAATTCAATTATGGTCATTGAATTAAATTAACTTCTCCTTATCCCCAAGGCTGGATGCTGTACAGGCACTGAAAAAAAGAAGTCACCAATGTTTGATTTGAAACCCTGGGTAAAAACTGCTCCCTAGGCTCCAGATTAGAAAGCCAACTCCTAGTGTGAGAAGATGCTTAATATTACCTGAGGCCTCAGCTGGGTGAACCTCAGTCCGCACCTTTCAGTTGGACAATAGGCTTTTGTCATCTTCAGTACTCTAATAATCACCTACTGCTCTAATAATTTAACATCAAAGTTCAACTGGGAATGACAAGGCCAGTAGATTCTGTGTATTTCCCTCACATCTCATGGCCATCAGGTATCATCCCATAAAGATGCTCGGTCACTCTTCAAGTCTCTTTGCTCTTTATCCTTCCCATTCATCTGTGATTTATCTCCCATGACTCTGGCCCTGTCTGCCAAACTTTGTTCCAGTTTTCTCATTCCTCTTTAGCATTCTCACCTACTGTAAACATATCTCCCCATCTCAACTCCTAGAAAAAAAATTTCTTTCATCTCCTTGTCTCATAAATAGTTCTTTCCTAAACACCAGGCTTCTCTGAGGCATTATCATATAATGATCATATAATTGACATATGATCATATAACGATCGTATAATTGACATATGATCATATAACGATCGTATAATTGACATATGATCATATAACGATCGTATAATTGACATACGATCATATAACGATCGTATAATTGACATATGATCATATAACGATCGTATAATTGACATATGATCATATAACGATCGTATAATTGACATATGATCATATAACGATCGTATAATTGACATATGATCATATAACGGTCGTATAATTGACATATGATCATATAACGGTCGTATAATTGACATATGATCATATAACGGTCGTATAATTGACATATGATCATATAACGGTCGTATAATTGACATATGATCATATAACGATCGTATAATTGACATATGATCATATAACGATCGTATAATTGACATATGATCATATAACGATCGTATAATTGACATATGATCATATAACGATCGTATAATTGACATATGATCATATAACGATCGTATAATTGACATATGATCATATAACGATCGTATAATTGACATATGATCATATAACGATCGTATAATTGACATATGATCATATAACGATCGTATAATTGACATATGATCATATAACGATCGTATAATTGACATATGATCATATAACGATCGTATAATTGACATATGATCATATAATGATCATATATGAGAACCTGATCATATAATTCTATACAATTGAGATGACTCCAGAAAAGAATGAAAGGTAGATGTCTCCCTGCCCCTATTAGGGATGCCAGATCACAATCTCAACTTTCTGTCAAAAGCCCCTTCTCAAACAATCATGCCACCTACGTATACCCCATCCAGTCTTACAGTAGTATTTATGACCTTCTGGACACTTCCTTACATATATTGATGATTTCAACCCAAACTCGAGTTTTTCTCATCATTAAAAATCCTGTGTCTATCCTTAGCCAATTTTATTTGCTAGTATCTATAATCCATCCAGGATCTGAGCTCGGAGAGTCTTGACCTTATCATATCCAGAGATTGTATATGTGTTACATTTCAGTGACCATCCTCCAAATTCCTAGGACCTCATCATGACCCAGAATGGTCCACATTTAAAATGGCAAAAAACTCTCTACACTTTGGCTGTTATCTTTCAAATATTTCTTTTTGACTTTAGGGAAAAGTTGAAATTCTTTTGCCTGGCATGTAGAGCTCTTAAGCATTCTGGCAACCACCTATCTTTCTAATTACATCCTCCACAATCTCCCCTATCAACTTGACTTCATCTTTTGTTCTAGCCACAATGAACCATTCACCATTTATCAGACACACCTAGTTGTTCATCCATATATGCCCTTGTCTGTGCTTTTTCCTCTTTCTGGAATATTCTTTTCCAAATCTCCATCTCATTATAGCTAACTTAAACCTTGAGAATCATTTTGAGTTATTTCCTGCCTCCTCCAACTCCCTAACACAGTGTCTTTCTAAGTCTGTTTTTCATCTGTGCTTGCAACAGCTTAAGAGTAAATGTTCAACTTATTGTAACTTTTAAAAATATACCTACATGTCAACATTATCAGGAATAATTTTCATCGATTAACAAAATCTCACTATTCTACATATTTCTGTTAAATTTTCATTTTTACAAGATTAAACAAAAAATTTCAAGAGGCAGCCTCAATTCAAATAGTTAAATATCTTTGTCCCAGACCAGTACATTATAAGAACATTTTCATTAAAATATCAGTACAATTGGGTAGGTAATGCTTCTTCTTTCTTTTATTCTCAGGATCAATTTTCCCCTTGAAATAAAGTCACTTCCAAGGGAATCCATGCTCACTGTAAAACTGTTTGGGATTGCCTGTGCAACCAACAATGCAAATTTACTGGCGTGGACTTGTCTTCCACTGTTTCCAAAAGAGTAAGTGTATCAATTGTGAGTAATAAGCCTATCATTTCAATAAAACATTCCTAGAAGTAAATATTTTGGAGTATATGGCATAATGAGGAAATCAAGACATTTTATTCTAAAATTGACATAGTTCAATATAAATCGTGACTGCTGAAATCAGAACTGAAAAGTGAAATTGTAGAAATGGCTTTCAAAACAGGACTCATGCTGAACTTGTCAGCTGGATCATTTATAATGAAAAGGTATTGGCATGACCAATCTCAATTACTTTTTCTTTTCTGACCAGCTGGTTTCTTTGGAACTAGTAATTCAAAATGATTTGGATTAATATTGTCATTTAGAAAGAATGTAAGTCATGGAATTCTGGCTAAAGTAAAATTATACAAGGTAACTGGCTTACTGACCTTTTCTTGTGAAGAAGAAATATTTAGTAATTTTAAGGTGATATTTTCCAGAAAACTAGGTCAATTATAAGTTCAGATATTCTCTCAGAACTAATGACCGTTGCAAAATGAAGTGTTGATTCAACCATAAATCTTGGAAAATATTAATATTCAGAATACTTGATAAAATCAATTACATGATGTTCTATGGTATTAAGGAAAAATATTTTTTAAAAATCAACCATTTTTCACACGGCTAGTCTTGCTTCAGAATCAAATGATAAAATTCAGGACTTTCAAAAAATCAGAACATATATTGTAATGTTAATATTTTTATAAAGCATATTTTTCCCTCTGCTGTTTTAGAAAGATATGGTGATACAAAAATATTTTTTTAATTTATTAATTTTTATTTCCCAGACCTAATCAATATAAAAAATTATTATCAGCAACCATAATAGATATTTCAAATCTTCTTTGTTGGATTAATTCTGATGTAAGCTGTGTGTATGTGTGTGTGTGTGTGTGTGGGCACGTGTGTGTGTGTTGTTCTGTTATTTGTTTTCATGCTTTAGCCCATTTCTATACCATTGTTCCTTGAGGACAGGGAATGTATTTATCTTTGTCATATCTATCATCTAATGTAGCACCTCATATAAATAGGCAATCAATACAAGTTTGTTTACTAAATTGAATTGAGGAAAAAAACAGTCCCTATATAGGAGATAAAGAATGAAATAGGATTTCAAGGTCTATAAGAAACAGTTTATCCCTAAAAGCAATACCTACTGCTGTTAGCAGACATTTCAAAGATATGATTTGTATGCTAAGAACTTTATTTTCTTTCTCACTAGGAGCAGCTATACAAGTGTCTTTCCTTCTCATGAGTGAGTTTCCTTAAAGTTTTACCTGCAGTATTTGTAAGATCTACCATTTTTTGTAGAATATTTCTAGCTAGTCACTGAAAATAAAAAAAGGTTAAGTCCATTTTACTCTCCCATCATGTAACACACTACTTGCACATATCAATAAACACTAAACATATAAGAATTCAGGAATATTTTTGTCTTTAAAACTAATCTTCAAGGCATTTTTCCAGATGGTTACGATAGTAAAAATACCACCTCCATGTTGTTTTGTCATATGTCACTTACCACTGGTAAGCACGTTACAGGCGAGTGGTCACAGAAGATGAGCATTTGTGAGAGATGGCATCTGGGACTGATCCTAGGTGTTATTTTTTAAGGGGATGCGTCAAAATTGTAGACAATGAGACATCAAAAAACACAACTCACTTCAACAATTACACAATAAGGATTTCTAAACATTTTTCAAAAAAAACCTGTTTCTCTTGAAAATCAGAAAATCTGCTTTTCTCCTGTGCTAGACAATTTAAGGAAATAAAGATATTTTTAAGAAACCAGAAATATGTCACATGGGGCAATTGGGAGGCTGCAAAGACTCCACTTTGTTCGTTGCTTCAAGTTACAAAGATTCTAACCCAGTTTATTTGATGCAGATATTTCCAGATCACAGCAAATTGGTGACTGAATTTCATTTCCTTTCGGGGGTAATCCCTGCTCATAAACATTTGGTATTGAATCTGTCTTTTATTACAGTTCAAATTGCCCATAGCTAGCCACGTGGAACTATAATGAGCGCTTATGTCATTATTTTTTCCAACACATATATCAACTGAAAATATGCAGAATTAAAGGTTTCCTATCGCTTTGTGGTTTCCAGAAGTGGATTTCAGAAGAACCAATGGTGATTAAACTCAGATAAATCAGTTAGGGCTGCATCAACAAAGTCTGAAAATAAAAATAAACTTCTACATTTTCAAGCATGCAAACTTGTCTTCAGTTCTATTTTTAAAAGTCTTGGCCGGGCACGGTGGCTCACGCCTGTAATCCCAGCACTTTGGGAGGCCGAGGCGGGTGGATCACAAGGTCAGGAGATCGAGACCATCCTGGCTAACATGGTGAAACCCCGTATCTACTAAAAAAATACAAAAAAAATTAGCCGGCCGTGGTGGCAGGTGCCTGTAGTCCCAGCTACTCGGGAGGCTGAGGCAGGAGAATGGCGTGAACCCGGGAGGCAGAGCTTGCAGTGAGCCAAATTGGTGCCACTGCACTCCAGCCTGGGCGACAGAGCGAGACTCCGTCTAAAAAAAAAAAAAATGCTCAAGTCCAAAGGTAAATTTGGCCCACAGAAGTTTTATAATCATGTCTTTTGCAGACAAGGCTTCCACTCCATCTGCATTTGTAATGTAGCCACAATGTAGCGAGAAAGTGTTATCCTCACCTCAGCAATTTCCATGAGCTTCCTCCCCTATTCAAGTTCAAAATTAATAGTATGGTAGTTACTTAGCATTTCTAAATTGTGGTAAGCTACTTCAGCACAGAGATTCTCAACCCTCATTAAATAATAGAATTTTCTGAGGAGATTTAAAAATAATCCCAAAGCCCAAGCATGCCCAAAGATTCTAATTTGATTGGTCTGTGACCTGGCCTGAGCACCAGTATTTTCAAAGCTCCCAAGGTGAGTTTAAAACCTTGAAAAATCAGGATGTTTTTCATAATTTCAAAAAAGGCCTAAAATAAACCTTAATCTCAAAACAATTAGATTCCTTAGACAATTGCCTGAGTAGCCAACCCTGACTCCACTGTGTCAAGTCATTTCAGATGTATCTTCAAAATCATAACCAAAAAAAAACTGGATGAGAATTTCTTATTGTTTTTCTCTCCTATCCAAAAGACCCTCAGTTAGTCCAAATACGTCATTTATAGATGAAGAACTCTATGATGAAGGAAGATTGAAAAACCGGCAGTTGGTTACCAGGCTACTTAGAATAGAACAAGAACTAGAATGCAGGTCTGAGCTTTAACTACCTTACGCCACCTCCCTTCCTGCTCTTAGGTGCCATGCCTTACTCCATGCACACTCTGTAAACACTTCACTACCCTACAAGAGGGATATAATTTAGATATTGTCTGCTGTAAATCTCATATTGAATTATGGTCCTCAGTGTTGGAGGTGGGACCTGGTGGTAGGTGTTTGGGGTCATGGGAGCAGATCTCATGACTTGGTCCTGTCCTCGAGATAGTGACTAGGTAATCACAAGGTCTGGTTGTTTGGAAGTGTGTGGCACCTCCTCCCACCTGTTATCACCATGTGAGACACCTGCTCCTCCTTTGCCTTCTGCCATGATTGTAAGCTTCTTGAGACCTCCCCAGAAGCCCAGCAGATGCCAGCACCATGCTTCCTGTAAAGCCTGGAAAACTGTGAGCCAATTAAACTCTTCTCTTTTAAATTGCCCAGTCTCAGGTATTTCCTTACAGCAATGCAAGAATGGCCTAACCCAGAAAGTCGGTACCAGGAGTAGGGTATTGCTATGAAGATATCTGTGGATGTGGCATTAGAACTGGGTAACAGGCAGAGGTTGAAAGTTTGGAGCACTCAGAAGAAGACATGAAAATGAGAGAAAGTTTGGGATTTCTGAGAGACTAGTTAAATAGTTGTGGCCAAAATGCTGATAGTGATATAGACTCTGTAAAGGCTGACAAGGTCTCAGTTGGCAATAAGGAACTTATTGGGAGCCAAAGCAAAGGTCACTCTTGTTATGCCTTAGCAAAGAATTTGGTTGCATTGTGTTCATGCCTTAAGAATCTGTGGAAGTTTGAACTTAAGAATGATGACTTAGAGTATCTGACAAGAGAAATTTCTAAGCAGCAAAGCATCCAAGAGGTGGCCTGGCTGCTGCTAACAGCCTCATCTCAGATTCAGGAGTGAAGAAATGACTTAAAATTGGAATTTATACTTAAAAGGGAAGCAGAGTGTAAAAGTTTGGAAAATTTGCTGCCTGGCCATGTGGCAGAGAAAGAAAAAGCATTATCAGGAGAGAAGTTGAAATGGACTTGGAGCAACCACTTCTTAGACATATCTGCATGACTGAAAAAAAGCCAGGTGCTAATAGCCAAGAAAATGTGAAAAAGGTCTCAAAGGCATTTCAGAGATATTCCAGGCAGCACCTCCCATCACAGGACCTGAGGCCTAGGAGGAAAGAATGGTTTCTGGGGCCAGGCCCAGGGGCTTGCTGCCCTGTGCAGCATCAGGACACTGCTCCCCACATCCAGGTGGCTCTGGCTCCAGCTTCAGACCAAAGGGGCGCAGGTACCGCTTGGGCCACCACTTTGTAAGGTGCAAGCTACAATCCTTGGCAGCTTCCACAAGGTGTTAAGCCTGCAAGCACACAGAGTGCAGGAGTGAAGGAAGCTTGTTAACCTCCACCTAGATTTCAGAGAATATTTTGGAAAGCCCGGGTGCCCAGCCATAAGCCTGCTACAGGGGCAGATCCCTCACAGAGAACCTCTAATAGAAAAGTGTGGAGGATAAATATGGGGTTGGATTCCTCACAGAGTCCTTACTGGGGCACTGCATAGTAGAGATGTGGGAAGTGGGCCACCACTCTCCAGATTCTGGAATGGTAGAGCCACCAGCAGCTTACAATCTCAGCATAGAAAAGCCACAGGGGCATAGCTGAGCAAGGTCTTGGGAGCCCACCATTGTATCCGTGTGCTTGGAATGTGGGATATGGAGTCAAGGGTTATTTTGGAGCATTAAGATTTAATGACTGCCCCGCTGGGTTTCAGACTTCCATGGGACCTGTAACTCCTTTCTTTTGGCCAAATTCTCCCTTTTGGAATAAGAATGTTTACCCAATTTCTGTACCCTCATTTTATCTTGGAAGTAAGTAACTTGTTTTGATTTTATGGGCTCATAGGTTGAAAGAACTGATCTCCAGATGAGACTTTGGACTTGGACTTCAGACATTTTAGTTAATGCTGAAATGAGTTAAGACTTTGGGTGACTATTGAGAAGGCATGATTGTATTTTGCAGTGTGAGAAGGACATGAGATTTGAGGAGCCAGGGGCAGAGTAATATAGTTTGGATGTTGTTTCCTCCAAATCTTGTGCTGAATTGTAGTTTCCAGTGTTGGAGGTAGGACACGGTGGGAGATGTTTGGATCATGGAGATGGGTCCTTCTTGGCTTGTGGCTGTCCTTGAGATAGTGAGTGGGTACTTGCAAGATCTGGTTGGTTGGCAGTGTGTGGCACATCTTCAAAGCTTGCTCCTGCTCTCACCATGTGAGACACCTGCTCACCCTTTGCCTTCCACCATGATTGGAAGCTTCCTAAGGCCTCCCAAAAAGCTGAGCAGATGCCAGCACCATGCTTTCTGTAAAGCCTGCAGAATAATGAGCCAAGTAAACTTTTCTTAATAAATTATTCAATCTCAGGAATTTCTTTTTAGTGACACAAGAATAGCCTACACAACAGGGTTCCAGCTCAGCCTTGCCTGGGCTCTACTCTTGCACATGAAACCTGTTAGACATAATAAAGTCAGCAGCCCAAAGAATTTTATAACATCAGATCCTTTGGTCCTGCCAGCTACAGATTCTTTGGCTCCAGGATGCCAGCAATGGGCACATAGAATATTATGGCTAAAATTGATAATTGCTTTATTTAAACACCTGATCTTGTTGTTTGAGGAAATGGGGCCCAAAGAGGGTAAACCAGCCCATCTGTTCTCCTGGTGTCACAAATTTTGTGTTGGCTTTTCTAGTCAATGAATTTATACGATATATTCAAATTAAAAATATTCTTAAGGATACTCCAGAACAAATATTTTGAAATACTATGTTTAGCAGCATAGTCCTTCTTCTAATGGCATCATATTAAAAAGTCTCAAAGTGTAAGAATGATTACATGGATGTGTTGCGTTACAAGAATTTACAAACCCATAGCCCAGCCTAACTGACATCTTCCCATCTTTCTGAAGTTCACCCTCAAACACCAGCAGAACCTCAAAGCTATATGTAAACTCTGAAGACCATTGATTTTGTCCAAAAAGCTCAAAAAAGTTAAGTTAATAAAGGGAAGGTAATAAAGGCAGGCTCCAGATGTCCTGACATAAACTCTGGTGTTCTTTCCATTATATGAAAGTCTTTTTTTGTGTCTCCTGCCTTCAAAATGTTTAATTTTAACTAACATAATAAATGTTTTCACAGGAGTAATACTTTAAAAAATGACCAGTGGTCCCCATTTGCCTGGTCTTATATATGGCTTTAAGTTATAAATATTACATATATATATGGCTTTAAGTTAAATATTATATTAGCCTTTTTGAGATGGAGTTTCACTCTCGTTGCCCAGGCTGGAGTGCAATGGTGTGATCTCAGCTTACCGCAACCTCCACCTCTCGGGTTTAAGTGATTCTCCTGCCTCAGCCTCCCAAGTAGCTGGGATATAACAGGCATGCATCACCATTTGTTGATACATTGCCCCATACACACATCTATGTCAGATGACTTCACTCTGCCACATGTGCCTCAGGGTTAAAGCCATGGTGACTGTTAATACATCCAAGACTCCATCAAAGGACAGTAATTACCATCAAATTCTTGAGTCCCCTCATCTTCTGTCAAGACCAGCTTAGACCACTCAGATTTCTGGAGTAAAGCATAGCCAAGACATAAAAATATGGTAAGGACACAAATATAACACATTCCACAACTTAGGTGTGAATAAATAATGCAACTCATGTATCACACTCTTCCTCATGAGTTCCCCCCCCCGTAACTAATGAGAAGAAATAAAGTTTCATCTATGATAAAGTATTAGTTCAGTAACTTTAAATAGTCCTTTTAGAAATATGCAGTCTCTTTTGGATAAAAAACCTAAGCAATACCATTCAGGACATAGGCATGGGCAAGGACTTCATGTCTAAAACACCAAAAGCAATGGCAACAAAAGCCAAAATTGACAAATGGGATCTAATTAAACTAAAGAGCTTCGGCACAGCAAAAGAAACTACCATCAGAGTGAACAGGCAACCTACAGAATGGGAGAAAATTTTTGCAATCTTCTCATCTGACAAAGGGCTAATATCCAGAATCTACAAAGAACTCAAATTTACAAGAAAAAAACAAACAACCCCATCAAAAAGTGGGCAAAGGATATGAACAGACACTTCTCAAAAGAAGGCATTTATGCAGCCAAAACACACATGAAAAAATGCTCATCATTGCTGGCCATCACAGAAATGCAAATCAAAACCACAATGAGATACCATCTCACACCAGTTAGAATGGCGATCATTAAAAAGGCAGGAAACAACAGGTGCTGGAGAGGAAGTGGAGAAATAGGAACACTTTTACACTGTTGGTGGGACTGTAAACTGGTTCAACCATTGTGGAAGACAGTATGGCGATTCCTCAAGGATCTAGAACTAGAAATACCATTTGATCCAGCCATCCCATTACTGGGTATATACCCAAAGGATTATAAATCATGATACTATAAAGACACATGCACATGTATGATTATTGCGGCACTATTCACAATAGCAAAGACTTGGAACCAACCCAAATGTCCATCAGTGATAGACTGGATTAAGAAAATGTGACACATATACACCATGGAATACTATGCAGCCATAAAAAAGGATGAGTTCATGTCCTTTGTAGGGACATGGATGAAGCTGGAAACCATCATTCTCAGCAAACTATCACAGGCACAAAAAACCAAACACCACATGTTCTCACTCATAGGTGGGAATTGAACAATGAGAACACTTGGACACAGGAAGGAGAACATCACACACTGGGGCCTGTCATGGGGTGGGGGGAGGGGGGAGGGATAGCATTAGCAGATATACCTAATGTAAATGACAAGTTAATGGGTGCAGCACACCAACATGGCACATGTATACATAAGTAACAAGCCTGCACGTTGTGCACAGGTACCTTAGAACTTAAAGTATAATTTAAAAAAATGCTGGGTCACTCAGATAAATTTCTCACACCCTGGCTCTCTTCCTAAGAGGGGAAAAGGATATATAAGAAAAGGAGAAAACAAAATCATAAAAGCAGATCCTTTGCCCTGGTGACTTCTGATATCCAAATGAAAGCCCCTTTTTAAGCTGACGGATGCTTGTTACAGCTGAAGTCTGCAGCTCATGACTGGGGCTCCCCCAGCTTGGCCAGGGTTTCCTGGCAAGCCCTGGGTGACTCAGGCTCTCACAGGCACCATAGACCCTCTTGAGGTTTGCCAACGACTCCCAGTTGGCCCCAGGTTGGATGGTCCTATCACATGCCCTTGTTACAGAAGCCCTTATCCCCACCAGGGAAACTCTGGAAACTCTCCCTCTCGAAAATCTTTAGATATTTCCAGATCCCATCTCACCTACAGAGAAACCAAAGAAGGCCCACAAAAGCTAAACTCACGAGTTCCTCCTGCCTGTTAATCACATGACGCCAAGTTTAATGGCCATGCCACAAGCAGTGCAGAACCTCTCAAGAGGTGATTTCCTTCCAGGATCTGAAACGGGGAGTGAGAAGAGGAGCGCCTCTGCCTTCAACATTATGTTTTGCTCACTGATCTCACACTTCTCCCCATCTGCTTGCCAAAGCAGAGGAGAGGCAAACTGGGACGCCTATGTCCGCCGTGCTTACTCAGGTCCTTCTTTCTCTGCCTTCTACTTCTCACCCTCCCAAATTCCCAGGAAGTGATGGGCTTTTCTGTCGTCATGTTCTCCTATCCAATATGGCACATCCTCCTCCCTCCTCACCTCTGTTGACTCTGTCCCATGCACAGAAACATTTTCTCTAAATGCTGTGGAGAACAATATGACCTCCAAGTTTGGCATTGGACATGTTTCTTCCTCCTCTTGCATTCTGCCTAACACTAATCCAAAACTTTTCTCAGGCAGATGGGGATTTGGCCATTTGGGGTGAAGCTCCTATGCTCTGACAGGCAAAGGGGAAAATTACAATAAAAATTTTCTAATCTTTACCTCTATTAAACTAATTCATACCTTACTAATACTGGACCCCTGATATTGTTATACCAAGACAGATTTTCTCTAGATAAGGGAGGGATGGAACAAAGAAACAAAGAAGACCCAAAATTCATCCTGCTACAAGAATATTCTTGAGTCATATAAAACATCTGCCTATATTTTAATAAAGCACATTATACTCCTCTAGGCAGATATGTGCTGACAATATCTTTAAATAGAGAAAATGATAAAAGAGGCAGTCTTCAGAAAGCTAAAGGTCTAAAGAAAGCTTTATTTGTTGAATTTTTTCCTCATGCTTTGCATAAGATCTGTTAAATGGCAAGATGGAATTGTATATTGCTTTTAGAAAAGCTCACTGGATGCATTAAAGTTCTTTATAAACTTAAATTTAATTTTGTTGACTTTCAGTTTTGCACTTTCAAGTTGGCATATTAAAATCCAACACTGTTTTCTGTGATCACTGGAACATTTTACTGATATTCTGACTCATATACCTAGCCAGGTACAACTTCTTTTTTAATTCACATAAGGATCTGTGGATTTGGATGTTACTGAAGCTGTTAAAACCATCCACAAACTCTTCCCTGTTTAAAGCCTTTCCTGTATGCACTCTCATTTACTATGGTAATTTACCACCGATTTTTAAACATTTAGAATATGAATAATCTTTCTATTTATGCATAAGGAAGCGTTTCCTCCGTGAAGCCCCACAACTATTTTTATTCTGCAGATCATATGCTATGCTAATTTAAATCTTTTTTTTTTTAATAAATTTAGAACTTGTATCTTTAAAGTTTCCCAGGGGATTTAGTCACTCCATGGAGCAAAATATGTTCTGAAGAGTTGACATCTTTATTGATTTAAGGCAGTTGTAACTCCAATAATATAAATCTGAAATTCTTAGTCCCACTTTATAATCACCATTGATGGCAATTAAAAATAAATGCTACCCATTAGAAACCACTGTGGGCAAATAATTTTCTCATGTGCAAAATAAATGTAGGCATTTATGAAAATAGCCAAGCATGTGGTATATTAGAAACGAACTGTTAATCAGTGTCTAGGCTGGTGGACTATCTCATTTCTTTTCTAGCAACTGAATAAAGCCCCTGTAAGAGCGGATTATGTTTATATTCCAAAAGAAAACATTTACAGATAATTATAACTTCCCTCATGAAGTGACTCCTGTCTGTGTGTGTGTGTGTTGTCTTTTGCAGAAAATCCATTCTCGGGTCTATGCTGTTCAGCATGACATTACAGAGTGAGCCTCCCGTAGAAATGATAACTCCAGGAGTGTGGGATGTAAGTCAGCCATCCCCGGTGACCCTGCAGGTAAGTGCCAGGCTAAAAGATTAAAGTACACATGGCAAGTATTGGTTGATACGTAGTTTGTTGTCAATTATAGAAACAATTTCTTCCAGGATCACACATTTTAATAGCCTTCTCTGCCTCCAGCCTTCTGGGATTTGTGAAACCTCTACTGCTTTTATGTACAGTACTCTCAAAGCACTTTTCTCCCAGCTTATATAATGGCAATTTCAAACCATTCTCCATCCTACAAGGTCATGTTGGAGAACTATGGAGTGTTGCCATTAGTATACTCATTATGGGCATTCATTTTCTTTCTATTGTCTAAAAACAGTCATTGGTATGTATTATTAACTTGGTATCCTACTCACACCTGCCTCTGCTTTGTGTCATATTTCTTTAAAATCTCTTCTGTTATATGTTTCTTAAAATGACTAGCAATTAACTGAGTAGTAGAAAAAAAACTGCAAAGTAATTATCCTTCTTTTTTTCTTAAAGTCTCTCTACTCTGTGTGATTAGTGATCATAAAAGAAAGGTGGTAAATGACTTCAGCCTTTGGTCCTTACTGCTGACAGCTCCTTATGGGTTCCTGATTGTAGTTTGTCAGGTTGGTTGGAAACGTGAGGCATGCACAGTCTCATACACGGAAATTCATGGAATATGAACTTTTCATCTCTATAGGAAAAATTAGAAAATGCTCTCTGGGCAGCACCCTCTAGAACAGAGTTTTTCAGCTTTACCAGTGTTGACATTCTGGACAAGAGAATGCTTTGTGGTGGGGGCTGCTCTGTGTATTTCAGGATGTTTAGCAACATCCCCGGCTTCTTTCCACTAGATGCCTGAGGCACTTTCTCATTCTGAAAATCAAAGAATGTCTCCAGATATTGTCAAATGTGATTTGAGAAAAGGATTTCCTCAGCTGACATCACTGCTCTAGAAGAAGTCAGTAGAGTCTCCAGGCTCTTAAGTTTCCAGGCTTGTGGTGAGGGGTTTGGGACATAGAGTTGAGAAAGATGCGCAGAAAAATATTTAACATGGAAAGGAAAAATTAATGCTACTAAAATATGGCATCACACTCTTGCAGAGGAAGATTCGACCACGTGACACCTAAAGGTCCACTTCTAATCTGTGGACATGTTAAAAAAGAATGCTTATTCAGATTAGATCTTGGCACAATATCATAGACACTCCACACACGATATCTTATCAATTAGCACTTGTTCTGTTTTAAAAGAACAAAAAGATAAATATATCCATGAATAAAGAGGAGAGACTCATCACAAACCCGGTAAACATATTCTACTAATGAAGAAAAATAGCAAAATGCCAGAGGTTCAATTCAATCACATTTGATTCATGTTTTACATATGACTACTATGCTCCAAACATTATGGTAAACACTCTTACAAAAATGAGCGAATATGTAATACTAAGCCAGGAATTCAAGGAATGCAAAATCCAGCTGGAGAGACAGACTTTCGCAACTCACTCTGATGTAATGTGACAGATACTATAGCCATTGTAGGGACACTAACACAGCGAGAATAGCAATGAATATTTCTGAGGGAAAGTAAAGAAATGTAAAAAGTCTGGGGACAGACACCCAGAGGACATGACATTTGAATGCCCTTTCTAGAATGAGTAAATTCTCACTAACGAGTTTAAGTGGGAAGGATTATCCAGTCATAAAGGAATGCACAATGCAAACACACAGATTCAGAAAAGAGTTGGCAGTTTCAAAATATGGCAAGTTAGTTAAGATTAAAGAATAAATTATGTGAGGAACAGTGGTAAAAAGTGGAAAATCTTTAGGGCACTAGATTGTGTACCAGGTTTGGACATGATTATCTGGGCAGTAAGTCATAAAAAGTAGTTCCAGCAATGTTGTAGAAAATGCCTTAAAAAAACAGGAAGATCGGATATGTGAACACTTGTTTTGGTTTGGGTTTGGGTGTTTTTTTTTTGAGACAGAGGCTCACTCTGTCACCGAGGCTGGAGTGTAATGGAATAAACATAGCTCACTGCAGCCTCCACCTTCTGGGGTCCAATGATCCTGTCATCTTAGCCTCCCAAGTAGCTGGAACCACAAGTGCATGCCACCTTGCCCTGTTATTTTTATTATTATTATTATTTTTTTTTTTTTTGTAGAGATGGGAGTCTCACTATGTTGCTCATGCTGGTCTTGAACTCCTGACCTCAAGCAATCCTCCTGCCCCAGCATCCCAACGAGCTGGGATTACAGGCGTGAGCCACTGCACCCAGCCTGGACATTTATTAGAAGAATATTTTAGTGATCTAAGTTAAGGATCATAGGGCCAAAAACTAAGAAAAAACAATTAAGTGGTAGATTTTAGAAACTTTTTTTAAACAGAAAGGGGTGCAACCATATGAAGGAAATATATAGGGAAACAGAGACAGAAACTTGAGTTCCTGAGTTCATAGCAATATCTTCAGTTTTAAGAATGAACACAGAGAAAAGATAGACAGTCTTCAACAGAGTAATATGAAGAACTCAGTTTGAGATACCTTGCATTTTATATAGGCCTGTGGGGTGTGTAAGTGTAGATATAAGTGATCTTTCTTTAAGAAGACAAATGTATTTTCTATCAAACTATTTCTTGACAGGTCCAAACCACCTTAGCTTAATGAAAATTTTCAAGTATGACCATTGTCAGAGTTTTGTGGATATAAATTCATGATTTTAAGGTTCTATGGGGCAGAGAAGAGTGATGGTGGTAGAAGAAGGAGAAGAAGGTCTATCAGATGAGACTATCCTTGATTCTTCTCAGATGAGGTAAATAGTTCCTTTATCAACATAGATTTTAGCAAGTGGAATTTGAAGGAAAACTTCAAATATTCAATAGTGGCACCGATTTCCACGTAAAGATCTGGATCCATAATAGAATTCATCTTAGAAATAAGTGGAAGAGGGGCATGTAAATCATTCCACAGTATGCGAAAGTTAAACCATCCCATTTTTACAAAATAATTTCAAATTGTATAGACACATGAAAAGCCTCTCAGCATGATTTTAATTGGTGATGCAATATATAAAATAAGAGTTATTAAGGTAGTAAAGGCAAAACCTTTAATAGTATCAGTTTAATTAAATAGTCAGCTAAATTTAGAGCAGAATCTTTCAACCTAAAGATTATGAGATGGTGAAATTACAACCAAGTTCTGCATCCAGTGTTTCGTTAGGGAGTTAGTATGAGTCTCGGGGAAAGACATCTGGCTGAGTTAGAAAATCTGGATTCTAGTCTTCCTTTTACAGAAAACTTTATGACCTTGAACAAGTCACCTAACCTATTTTATCCTCTGCATAATGAAAAGATTATACTAAGCCTACCTGACTTCACTTTTCCGATTGTCCTCATTAGATGGTGGTTACTGCCACACTGCAGCCACTCCAGTATGACAAGGGATGTAATATGACACAGATGTGATCACTTCCAGGCAATACTTTTTTCAGGTCCTATGGTTGATTGATGTGCCGACCGGAAGCAGTCGACAGAGTGAAATAGATTTTAGTTCAGAAGTGGAGGCAGATAATACATAAGTTACTGCTTGACTCACTTAGCCTGGGTCTCCTTCAACTTCCTGCCTCTCCCCGAATGCAATCTAGTGGAACAGCTCTGTCACATATTTAAGCACGAAATGCAGAGCTGTTTCATAGAATTCATGCGGTTCTTGTTCTAGTCTATGTTTCTTTATTATTATTATTATTTGGAGATGAATTCTCACTCTGTCGCCCAGGCTGGAGTGCAGTGGCGCGATCTCGGCTCACTGCAACCTCCTCCTCCCAGGCTCAAGCAATTCTCCTGCCTCAGCCTCCCAAGTAGCTGGGATTACAGGTGTGCGCCACCATGCCCAGCTAATTTTTGTATCTTAGTAGATACGGTTTCACCATGATGGCCAAGTTGGTTTCGAACTCCTGACCTCAGGTAATCCACCTATCTCGGACCCCCAAAGTGCTGGGATCTATGTTTCTCTACTTCCTCACCTCCCCGTTTGTATCTACAATCACTGTATTCTGGCTTGCCACCACTCTTAACTGTGGTTAGGTACCTGCTAGTTCCTAGGTGCCAAACCCAGTGATGGTTTTCAGTCCTCATCAGGCTAGCCCTCCCTCTGCTCTTCTTGGCACTGTCTGTCTCTTCCCCATAACTGAACTCCCTCCTCTTCTTCAAAGAGACTGAACTTTCTCCCTCCTCCTTCCACAGAACCAAACCCCCTCCTCCTCTGGCTTTGGTGTTACTGCCCTCGGTTATCTCCTTCCACTGCTCTCTGATCATCCTTTGTCTCCTTCCCAGGCTCTCACCAAAGACAATTCTCAAAGGTTCCAGTCTGCAGCCCGCTGCCGTGCACAGTGGACATATTCTCCCTGGATGCTCTCATTCATTTAGTTTCTTTTAAAAAACAGCTTTCTTGAGATGTAATTCACATACCATACTATCCTCCCATTTAAAGTGTGCGATTCAGTAGTTTTTAGTATTTTCACAGATATGTGCGACTATCACTGCAGTCAATTTCAGATCATTTCCATCACATCAAAAAAGAAATCCCATACCCCTTAGCTCTCACCTCCTATTCCCCCAATCCTAAGCAACCACTAATCTTCTTTCTATCTCTGTCAATTTGACTGTTTGGGGCATTTCATTTAAATGGAATCATACAATGTGTGATCTTATTTGTGGCCAGCTTCTGTCACTTAGCATAATATTTTCAAAGTGCATCCAGGTGGTAGCCCCGATTGGGATTCATTCCTTTTTCTATATTACAGATACATTTTTATACAATAATATTACATTATTGTAATATGCACATATGAATATACCCTATTTTATTTATTAATTTATCCGTCAATGTACATTTGGATTCTTTCCACTATTTAGCTATTAAGAATATTGCTGTTATGAACATGTATGGACATGTTTTTGTGTGAACATATGTTTTCATCTTTCTTGAATATGTACTTAGCCATGGAATTACTGGGTCTCATACATTTCTAAGGTTCTTGTCTCAATATCTGTGTAAGTGCACTTCTGAGTCTGTATCTCTAGTTCAGACTTCTTCACACATCAAGCTTCAGACAAATATAGCCACATACTTGCTGAAACCCCCACCTGGATATTCTATTGGCAGCTTCAAACGAAACATGCCCCAAACGGAGCCCACTTCCTCTCCAAAATTACTTTCACCCTCTGAATTCTTTATGTCTGTTCATGCCCCACATACACCTACCTGATTTTCTTGTCTCCTTCCTTCTTTCTCTCTACTCATATCCGGTCCATACTATATCCTGCCAATTTATATTCTATATTTTTATTGTCTATCCTCTCAATTCCTCACCTCATCTGCTGGTTTCCTTGGCTTTAGTTTTGTCATTCTCTAATCCAAAATTTATACAGTCACAAGGGTGATTCTTCTAAAACTTAAATCTGAACCTGCCAGTTCCCTGCTTAGACTCTTCAATAACTCAGCACTACCCAGAGGATTAAGGCCAACCTCTGTAGCATGACCCCTGTCCCATCGCTTCTCTTGCCAGTCCCTGTTTGACACTTCAAGCTTCAATAACTTTGAAAATGCTGTCGTTTCTGACATGCACTGTCTTGCTTTCACCTTATGTGAATTTATGAATACTGTTCCCTGTCTATAATGTGCCCTCGCCCCTTCACCCTCCACTGTCCACCCCTCCTCTGACTCTGTGTAAATGAGATTCATCTTTTTCCACCCACGGACCCTCTAGAAATCTCTCCCTTACCCCCTCCACTCTTCTCACACCAAGCAAAGTTAAGTGCCCTTCTTCTATGTTCACGTAATACCCAATAGCATTTTTATCAACACATTTATCACTTCGTATTCCTTCCCACTGACTGAGTGATCTCTGATGGCATTGAAGGTATTATATCACAAACATCTAGCACAGTAGTTGGAATAATGTTTTTGTTAAATTAATGATATGTATCCATATTTCTGATGACTACAAAAACACTGCCCACACGTATGTCTCAATTTAGCCCTTTGGTCCACTTATCTGAACCTGAATACCAAAATGTTTGGCTCTTCCTTTTATCTAAGCAAGACGTCTCCTTAAACCACAGACCTTACTCACTCATTCGAAGTATTTTACTTTTTCTAACATTTTAGTACATGCTTATATTCCATTATCGTCAGCGTTAGGAAGAAGCACCAGTCTTATCATTGATACAAAGTTTTTAGAACACATTGTATTTTTATTTCTAATGTAACGGAGATCCTTTTTTTTTTCTCACTCCAAAACCACCATATGGATCCCTCTTTTACAACTCCTTTTTTCAGACTCACCACAATTGCCACCCAGTTAGCAGTTATCTTTCCTTCCTCTGAACTGCAATAGAACTCATGGTCTAACATACGTATGTCTTTTCTTTTCTTTTTTTCTTTTTTATGAGACAGTGTCTCACTCCATCACCCAAGCTGGAGGGCAGTGGCGTGACCTCAGCTCACTGCAACCTCCACCTCCATGGTTCAAGCGATTCTCTCTTGTGCCTCAGCCTCCCAAGTAGCTGGAATTACAGGTGCATGCCACCATGCCCAGCTTATTTTTGTATTTTTAGTAGACACACGGTTTCACCATGTTGGCCAGGCTGGTCTTGAACTCCTAACCTCAAGTGATCTGTCTGCCTCAGTCTCCCAAAGTCCTGAGATTACAGGCATGAGACACCATGCCCAGCACGTGTGTCTTATAATACCAACCTACGCACAGTCCAAGTGGAAGTTCTTTGAATAATCTGACAGAATCATGGGAACCCAAAATTGGCCCAGGGGCACCTTATGGGTATGGTTGTGGGGCATGGACGCTAGGGACATTCACAACAGCTCCCGTGAGCAGTGCCAAGTAATGAAGCCATAGTAGAAATCATGGTGGCCAACTGTGAATGACAAAGGATGAGCAGAAGAAGTGAAGCAAGATGGATAAATGGAACACAAGAAGTTGATATCCAAATGTGTAAGGAGCTGTGAATTAGAAGGGAGGATAACCAGGTTTGAATATGTTCCTCTATCCCCCCCAAAAAAACATATTTTTGTTGCTGTTGTTGTTGTTGCTGTTGTTAAAATAAGGAGTGCATCCTCAAGGCTTAGCCAGGAATGTGAGAAATAGATGTCATGGCGCATGCAATGTTGACATTTGAATAGATCTCCTGAAGCGTTCCTTTCAAAAGAAATTTGAAGCCAGGTGCGGTGGCTCACGCCTGTAATCCAAGCACTTTGGGAGGCCGAGGCGGGTGGATCACAAGGTCAGGAGATCGAGTCCATCCTGGCTAACATGGTGAAACCCCGTCTCTACTAAAAATACAAAAAAATTAGCTGGGTGTGGTGGTGGGCACCTGTAGTCCCAGCTACTGGGGAGGCTGAGGCAGGAGAATGGCGTGAACCCGGCAGGTGGAGCTTGCAGTGAGCCGAAATGGTGCCACTGCACTCCAGCCTGGGCAACAGAGTGAGACTCCATCTCAAAAAAAAAAAAAAGAAATTTGAGACCAAAGCCAGGCTTGGTCAGCCACAGCCATAGAAGGAGAAAGAACAGAGCTGAGTGTTTGTCAGTACTGAAAGCACAACAATGAAGCGCAGCTTTGGGGTGCTATGTATTTATTATTCCCTATTTTAATTGTTAATGTGTGCGCCTTTTCTCCTCAATTAAACTTTAAGTTATCAGAAAATAATAGATATTACTTATATCTTTCATTATGTATGGTGCTTAAAAGTGTTCTAAAGCAAATGCATTAAAGCATAGTTTTGGGGAAGTTTTCTCTTATAAAAAGTAGAAAAGGCAACTAGGAAAAATTCCAATATTTTCTATAGTAACTCAAGAATCAGTAGCTATTTAGCCTCATAATTCATGAAAAAATGCAATTTGATAAAAGATCTCACGTATCAGAAATGAAAATTGTTTCCTAAGTGAAATATACACAAATAATTTATTATAGGTTTGTACACAGGAATTCTTTTGTATGCTCATCTACCTTTCTCAGTTTTCTCATCTACCATGCCATTTACTTAGTATCAACATAAAATTATACTAACTCATTAAGAGCTATTTAAAAATATTTGTCCATATAAAGAGTAGCATGTAACTTGCTCGTACTGGATGCCCTTCCCCTCTAAGGTACCAAAGTTCATCTTTCAAGATTAATCTTTGTCAAGAGGCAAACTTTGTTGTAATGTTTCAGTTAAGCTGATCTCGTACTTGTTTATTTTATCATGTTGGAGTAGTAATTGATATATTGTAACACAGATTATATCAAAAACAAAACTTATAACAAACGTTAGAGGTTATAGAATGAAATTACTAAAACTTTTTCAAATAAATAAGCGCTCAAATATATTAAACTGTATTTCAAACTGAAACTCACACCATCTACTTTGTAAGGTTCCTCAATTTTTTCTGAGATTCCAACCTAACATAACTCAGCAGAGAAAAATAATGTCTGTGGGATCTCTAATATTAAAATGAAAAAAACCCAGTATGTGTGATAACCTTAAGCAAACCTATGGAGCCCTAGAATATCCAGCTTATTTACATAGCCTGGAACTGTCTTTTTGTTAACTGTAATTTTATTTACTAATCAGATTCTGAATCACTGAAACATGGTTTAACAGAAAGTAGACTGAGCCAGAAAAAAAAGGAGGCTGGATTCTAGAACTGTCTATAAATCTGAACTACAGAACCAAAGCAGAAATATTCTATTTGATTTTTTACTAACACAACAGTTCTTTACCAAAGAAGAGCTCACTCATGTGTACATAATGATTCTCAGACTTGCAAATTTCATGAACTAGAGATCAATATAGATTAACTCTATTTTTTCAGGCGGGTTACATGAAAAAAGCATAATTACCAATGTTAAATTTCATCATTTCGTAAGGAGACATTTTAACACCGAAATGTAAAAAGGATATAATGTTAGCATTAACCAAAAATGTAACATATTAATCTTTATGGAGAGACCATATATTATTATTTCTCTCATTTTCCCTCAGACAACATTACCGGTGACCCATCTATACCATTTGTATACATAATTGGCTAAATAACTTGTATATTTAAATCCTAAGTCCAACCTCTAATAATTATTTTAGAAATTATTTTAAAATTATAAATAGCACAGAAAAAATAGAATTTATTCTGTTCTTTAGTTTCTATAAATCTAAGATAGGAATATTAAATCAATAATGTATTTTGAGACACCTTCAACACATGGCAAATCATTTTTTTTCTTTCAGATTGATTTTCCAGCTACTGGGTGGGAGTATATGAAACCTGATTCTGAAGAGAATAGAAGTAATCTTGAAGAGCCACTAAAGGAGTGTATAAAACATATTGCCAGACTTTCACAGAAACAGACTCCCCTACTGTAAGTGACCTAGGTCTTGTGAATGAATTTTTGCCTGCTGTTTATGATTTCCTCAATCATTCTTGAAGCATGATAGCTTCAAAGAGTGAGTGTTCCTTCCTACATAACTGGTTTCATTTCCTGATGTCATGCTTCTTGGATGGTTAATTAATGTTTAGGACGTAAATAAGTAATTTTGTCTGCTTTTAACGATTTATTTCCTGTGGTCTTAAGGAAAAGTAAAAAGTTTGGAAGTTATTCAGTTCAAAATAACAAAGCAGAGAGTGATCATATATACATCAGCACATAGCAGTGATAAACCATCTCTCAACCTTCCTTCCAGGAGGTAGAAAGTTGTTTTAGTCAACAGGGAAAAGCAACATTTAATTAAGGCAGATTTTTAAAAAGAGCAGAAAAGAAATAAGTCTTGTTTTAACAGCACAAATTAGTGACTAAGGAGTACTTTGTAAAATAATAATTCTTTGAATAGAACCAAAATCCCAGGAAGAACTAGTAGGGAATTAGTGGCATTTGTAGTTGATACTTGGCAAAATGCATGTCACAGCTGATCATGCTCATTAATAACAAGCCAAGGGCATCAAACTGAGAAAGTGTCTCTCTCTCTCTATCTCTTTGTGCGTGTATGTGTGTGTGTGTGAGAGAGAGAGAGAGAGATTAAGATATGTAACATGATAACAGACTTTACTCCAAGAGTGAAAATTAATGTAAAGGTTTTAAACAAGGGAATCATGTGACCAGAAAAATCTTGAGTGATACCTTTGACGACAAGTTGAAGAATGGATTGGAGTGGACGTGACAGTAGAAGCAAGCAGTGCAGCAAGGAGGTGAATGTAACAGTTTAGGCAAGAGGCCATGATGGCTAGAACTAAGATGATAGCAGTGGATATTCATAGAAGTGGCTAGATTTGGGAGACATATTTTGGCAGTTGAGAAGACATAACTTGATGATTAATTAGAATTTTGGAGTAAGTCCCTTAAGAAATTAAAGAATCAAGGTTAAGTCAATAGAGAGTCCAAATCAACTGGGCAGATGGTAGTCATTTTCTGGAGGAGGAATTAGTTTGGGCCCTCCCATACTAGGGCACTGAGTGCGATCAGGAGTTTTCTTTTGAGTAATCTTGCTACTTTCCTACTCTCTAATTTCAATATTTATTACTGTTTTTCTCATTCACTTCAAGCCAGTAACATCAAACTCCTTTTTAAACTTCAAATGTGCTAGTCCTGCTCCCATCTCAAGGCCTTTTTATTTGATATTCCCTCTGCCTGAAAAACTGTTTCCTAAGTTCTTCACATTACTAAATTATCTCATCCTTTAGGCTTTCACTTAAATGTCACCTCAAAAAGTCCTTCTTTGGCCACTCTATGTGATGAAGCCTTTTTTCCCTCACTCTCTATCATATTACCTTTTATGTTATAACACTTAACACAAGCTATTATCCTGCCCACTCATGTGTTTAGCTCTTGTCCCCCTCATTAATTTGCAAGAACTGGAAAAAGTAAGGAACCTATCTTTCTTGTTTATCACTATATTTCTAATGCTATACACTGATAACAATGTGTGTGAATAAATAGATTATAAGGACTGAATTGACCTTGCATAGTTTCTGGTATAAAAAGTTGCCTTAAGAACTGAAGATGACAGAAAATTCTCATAGTCTTCATGACACATATATTGACAATCCATTGTCATACTAGACTATTGTCATCTTAACTAGATGAAGCATCTTTTTCTGTCTTACTTGAAAATGTAAAACCGTGTGTTCAACAAGTGTGCCACAAATAAGAGGCTAGCATATTTACACTTAGAGGTTTTTAATATGAAAAAGATGCCTTGAAATTTTAAATATATTCAAGCAAAAAGAGGTCAAAACCAACAAATAATAATCATGGTAACTCCCTTTAAATATCAGAGGTTTGTGTTTTTAAATTAACCCTGGTGATTTCTAATTGTTTTATATTTCAGTTTCTATTTAAGCTAATAACACTCATAAAATAAGCAACATTTTCCTCTGTTTCACCCACTCAAATAAAATTATTAATGATCAGTGTGGTGCAGTTTTATTCTGGACTGTGAAAATAGATGGAGAACAGCCTTCAATGTGGTGAAACTTGTGTTAGAATCAGATTAACCTCAGTTTCCCAGTACCACATTTTATCATTTAGTTGATGACTTAATTATTCCTTCTTTCAAACTGACCAAAAGTAATCAGAGTGAGGAAGTTCAGACTCAATGAAACTCAGTGAAAATATGCCTGTGATATTTGTAAAAAATAAAAATTGAAAAAAAAACTTCTTGATGTCAACCAAAAAATGCTTCCAAATCTAAAGACCCCAGAATGAAATATATAACAATATATGTTCTAAAATAGATTAGTACTTCTACTTCTACCATGAAGAATACCTAGTGCAAGACTAACCCCCATGACTGACAGAATTATGACAAGAGAAAAATAGATACGAAGCAACTGTTTTCATAAATTAAACAGACAGGACTTGAGGTAAGCCTTGGGATTAAAGTGGCTTTCAGCCTGGAGTCACTTTCTATACCTGGGTCCTCCCACATGACTTGCGAAGGTAGAATATAAGAAGAGAATGCAGCTCCTGCTGAGATATTTTTAAAAAGGCAGAATTTAGAGTTCAGTGATGCTGAGGCAGCTGGCATCTTCAGAGCATCATACTGGAGAGCAGGATGAGAGCTACAGAAATCTGTATTGGAGTCTTCTTAAATATTTGGTTGAGTGCTAAACTACTCAACTTTCCAGGTGGAAACTTTCCAGGGCCTACAAGAGAACTGCTTCAGGGAGATGTAAAATAAATGTGATTTGAGAAGCCACACAATGCTGGGAGACATAGAAATTCTGACCAATAAGAATGGAGAAAGCTCACAGGCTGTCCCTTACATTTAATAAAGAAACCAAAAAGATGCACATTAGGATTAAGTCCACTCTAGCCCTAGATTAAAGACTGTAGTAGACTCAACCTAACAAATCATAAAAACCAGTCTCAAAAAAATTAGGCTGATCTTCCAGTAATTGAACTGTCTACTAAAAAAAATGAGATCTGACCCCTGAAAAATAGCAGAATGCTGACTCTCAATAATGTACTTTTCTAAATGTCTAGCATATGATCAATAATTGAGAAAACTATTGGAAAATGTCTAGCATACAGTCAGTAACTAGGAAAATAATTGGAAAGAATCAGGAAAATATAAACATAGCCTGGGGAGAGGAAGTGGTTAATAGAAACAGATCCAAAGAGTTTTAAATTAGCAAATAATTATTCCAATACAGCTATTATAAAGATATTTATTGATTTTTTAAAAAGATGTATATGAATGAACAAATGAAGAATCTTATTAAAAATGGAAATTTAAGAACTGAAAACACAATACCTAAAATATTTGTTTAAAAAATCAGCAAATGGGCTTAATAGATTGTGAAATGCAAGAAAAAAAGAACGGTGAGCTTGAAGACAGGGCAATAGGAATTATCCCCCATGTTGAGGTACAAAAAGAAAATAAACCTTGAAAATAATGAGAGCGCCTTGTAACCTGAGGGACAATATCAAACAATATGTGTGTATTGGACACACCAAAAAGGAGAAAGATAGTGAGGCAAAAAATAATTAAGGAGATGGCCAAATTTTACAAATTTGATTTAAAAAAAATTAACCTACAAATATAAGAAGTAAAAGGCTTAGTAATCCCTAAGCAAATACATACTCTCCCTTTCTTTCTTTCTTTTCTTTCTCTTTCTTTCTTCTTTTTCTTTCTTTCTTTCTTTGTTTCTTTCATTTTCTCTTTCCTTCCTTCTTTCCCTGCCTCTTTCATTCCTTCTTTCTTTCTTTCTTTCATTCTTTCTTTCTCTCTTTCCCTTCTTTCTTTCTCTCTCTCTCTCACACACACGCACACACAACAAACACCCCCAGGTACCTTATAGAGAAATTGCTGAAAAATAAGATAAATTTAAAAATTTTGAAACATCAGATAAAATAAACAAATTCCATATAGAGAAACAACTATAATATTAATATTATGATGTTCTATATAAAACACTAAATACAGGCCTCTCATCAAAAAAAAAATCAAGACAAAAGGAGGTTGAATACTATCTTTGTGTTAAAGATGAAAACAACTTTTTCAAATTAGAACTCTATACACAGTAAAATTATGTTGCAAAAATTAAGGCCAAATGAAGATATTTTCAACCAAATCCAGCTGAGTTAGTTTAGTATAAGTTCATCCGTACTATACAAAATAGTAAAAGAAGTACATCAAGCTGGAAGAAAATCATACTAGATGGAAACTCAAATTGGTAAGAAGAAATGAAAAATACCCCAAAATATGTAAATAAATAAAAACAGTTTCATTTACACATTTATTAATTTATTTAAAAAGTGATTGAAGAAAAATGAATCACAATGTACTCTGGTTTATAATGTATAAAAAATAAAATTTATAATAACTTCAATAAGAATGAAAATGGAAAATGGAAGTAAACTGTTCCAAGTTTTTCATATTATATGTAAGGATGCATAATGTTAATTCATGGTTGGCTGTAATATGCTTAAACAAAGGATATTTTAATCTCTAGGAAAACCACACCCCTTAAATTTTAAGAGTATATTTAAAAACCAAGGAGAAGATAAAAATGAAATATAACAGGAAAAAAATATGAAAGGAAACATAAAAAAGAAAAAAGGGGACCAAGAAATGGTTTAGACAAACAAAGAAAAAAACACGCCATAGAAACTAATAGCAGTACAGTGAGCCTTTGGTATGGTTAGGTAATCATATCAATAAGACATTAAATGTAAATGCACTAAGAACTCAAATTAAAAAGCAGAAATTGTCAGCCTACATCAAAAAAGCAATATATAATTTTATTCTGTTTACAGGAACATGTATATAAGCAATTAGATTTTATATATAAGCATTTATATATAAGCAATTAGATTAAACATTTTATATATAAGCAATTAGATTAAAAGTAAAAGAATAATACTTTCCAGGAAAATCCTATCACCTTGCTAGATCTAGGAAAAAAAGTGGTAAAGTTCAGCACCCATTCATGATAAAAACTCACAAAACTAGACATAGAATGAAACTTTCTCAACCTTGAAAAGTGATCTATGAAAAGTTTATAGTTAGTATCATGTTAAATCATGCAAGAATGAATGCTTTCTCCTAAGGTTAGAAACAAAGCCACGATGTCTGCTTCAAACATTTCTTTAATGTTGTATTGGAAATCCTAGCCAGCACACAATGTGAAAAAAAAATTAAGGTAAAAATTAAAAAGAAAGAAATAAAACTGACTATTTTTACATAGCATGATTATGTAAAGGTCACAGCATTTGAGATCAATGTACAAGATCTAATTGTGTTCCAGTAAAAATATATATAAAATAAATTCTGTTTTGAAATGTTACTTACTGTAACAAAATTTTATTTACTAAAATTTAGTAAATTATTTAATAAAATTTTATTTACAGAAAAGTGCAAAACTTTCCTAAGGAAAATTAAAGAAAATCTAAATAAATGAAAAAATATACTACATTTATTGATTGAAAGATTCCTGTGGTTAAGATGATAATTCTCTCCAAACTCATCTATAAATAAAATATAATCCCAATGAAAATCCCAGCAGGTTTTTGTAGAAATTAAAAAGCTGACTCCAATATTTATGTGGAATGCAAAAGAGCCTAGAATAGTCAAAGCAATCATGAAAAAAGAACAAAGTCTCACTTCATAACTTGTATGGATTCATGTACTATAAATTTACAGCAATTAAGATAATGTGATATTGCTTAAGGACAGGCAAATAGATCAACAGAATACAATTCAATGTAGATAGAATAGAAAGCCAGAGACCTATTTGTATGTTCAATTTATTTTTGACAAGGCCACCCATGCAATAAATGAAAAATGTACTTTCAGCAAGTAAAATACTGCTTTCAGAATACTTCAGAAAAAATCACAAGAATCAATGTTAAGATAGGCAATGTTTTCTTAAACAAATAAAGAAAGTAATAACTATTTAAAAGTTTCTGAATTGGACATTATCAAAATTTAAAACTATTCATGAAAAGACCCCATTAAAGAAATCTATAGGCAAGCCACATTCTGAGAAAAATATGTGCAAAACATTTATATGGCAAAATTTTTGTATTCAGAGTATATAAAGAAATCATGCAAATGAATCTAAACAAACAAAAAAATTGGGAAAATACATGAGCAGAGAGTTCAAACAAAATATATAAGAAGATAGTATATGAAGAATTGCCTAGACCCCAAGTAAATATAAATTAGAAGCACAATGAGATACCACTATACACCCATTGGAATGGATAACATTGTAAAGACAGACAAAATCAAGAGTTGGCAAGAATGTGGTACAAATGGAACTATCATACTCTGCAGGCAATAGTGTAAAATTTTACAATTACTTCAGAAAACAGTTTCACAATTTCTTGTAAAGATAAATACCTAACATATAACCATGTCCTTCCTCTCATAGATATTTCCTAGGAGAAATGAAAAATACATTCATATAAAAACTTGTGCACAAATGATCACAGCACCTTTATTCATAATACCCCCCCAAAAGGAAGCAACCCAAATGTCCATCAAATAGGAGAGTGAATAAGTAAATTATGGCATAGTTATACAAAGGAATAATATTCATTAATTAAAAGGAATTAACTATTGACAAACTCAACCAATATGGATAATTTCAAAAACATTATATGATGGAGTGAAAGAAGCCATAAATAAAAACATATTTACTCTATGATTCCATTTATATGAGGTTCTAAAAGGTTAATATTTATCAAGAGAGAAAAAAATGATACCAGTGCTTGCCTCTGATGACATCAACAAAACTATTTTATATCTTGATAGGAGTGTGGTTGTTATCTGGTACATGCATTTGTAAAAATTTATTGAACTGAAGCTGCGGAATGTCCTTGAATGTGAATTTGCTTTAACAAAAAGAGCTAAAAAAAAGAAAGAAAGCATTGTTCAGTATTGGGGAAAAAAATTTAATCTGAGCAAATATGTTTTAGTAATTTTACTATGGATTTTTTTTCTTCTGTGGGCTTTTCAGAGGAAAAGGTGGTAGCAAAATATAAAAAAAGGAACCTAACCACACCTTCAAAATCACCTATAATCCAGTCTTTTCTTTTTACAGATGAGGAAAACTTTAAAATGAATTATAGAGAAAGATAGACCTTTAAAAGATTTTTTTATGTTTCATTAGCTTTCTTGGGAGTTTCAGCAGATTCAAGCTCAGTGTCACTTTGGAGGAGAGTGCGCAAAAGCCATTGTCGTGTGAGGGAAGCTGTCCTCCAATTGAACTGTGGTTCTGAATACTTCTACTGGAGTGTGAGCAAAACATGATAAATTGTCAGCAAGTCAAGGCCCTAGTCCTAGATTTAGATCTTTTATTTCAGACTACTCTCCAGGGGCAAATACTTGAGCATCTAAGAAACTAGCATCAATGACATTTTCACGCCAAACTTCCCATGAACTCTGAACATTTAAAGACATAATCCAGGGATGAATTGAGATCTTTGTTTTTGAAGTTAACAACAGCAAAGATTTCTTAACTCCGATAAAACTTGCTTTAAGATGAAGAAATATCATTACTAAAATATGCCATTTTGGCCGGGCGCAGTGGCTCACGCCTGTAATCCCAGCACTTTGGGAGGCCGAGGCGGGCGGATCACGAGGTCAGGAGATCGAGACCATCCCGGCTAAAACGGTGAAACCCCGTCTCTACTAAAAATACAAAAAATTAGCCGGGCGTAGTGGCGGGCGCCTGTAGTCCCAGCTACTTGGGAGGCTGAGGCAGGAGAATGGCGTGAACCCGGGAGGCGGAGCTTGCAGTGAGCCGAGATCCCGCCACTGCACTCCAGCCTGGGTGACAGAGCGAGACTCCGTCTCAAAAAAAAAAAAAAAATATGCCATTTTTTCACAGGCCCACTTGGATCTCAGTTAATTTATAAAAAATAAAAAAAATAAGAAAGTAAACGGTTGATTACCTCTGTTCTAAATAGGATGTGTCGCAGGATTCAGAAAAACTTGGTTTTCCCTAGAGGAGAGAGATTTTGCCAACCAAAATGACATATTAAAAAAAAAAAACACGAATAAGAGTGAACAAAAATAAATGTGAGTTATCTGAATTGATGTTATTTTTTTCAAAATAATAATACAAAAGAATAAAGTTAGTGGAAAATAAACTGATGAAATAACCTATGAAAATATCCGAAGAAGGTAAAAGATGTTTTTGAAAGTAAACTAAAATAAAATTCAAAGAACTACAGTAAGGTTTTCTACTGCATATTTATAGCAACATTTGTTAGTGCAGCAAACTCCAGTAAATTACAGTTTCCAATCTGGTTTTTCAGACTCTCTGAAGAAAAGAAAAGATATTTATGGTTTTATCGCTTCTACTGCAATAATGAAAACTGCTCCCTTCCTTTAGTCCTGGGTAGTGCCCCTGGATGGGATGAAAGGACTGTTTCAGAAATGCATACCATTTTGAGAAGATGGACATTTTCTCAACCTTTAGAGGCTCTTGGGCTTTTGACTTCCAGGTAAGAATTGCATAACAAGCATGATATTACTGACTGAGAAGAACTTGCTTGAAGAGAACTATAGAACCATATAATTAATTCAATAGCTATTCTGTTTGTTCTCAATTTTGATAGTTATGGATATTAATTTTAGATAAATGTAAGCTATGAATATAAATTTTAAACAAATCTAAGCTATAATCATGTCTGCTGCCCTAAGCTTGTAGTATAATAAATTGTAGAAGTTTCTTAAATGAGGATTCTAGTTCTTACAGAAATAATTTAATTAAGCAGGGAAAAATAAAAATCCCTACTTCTTCTCTCAAACTAAAAATGTCTTTAAAAATTAGGATCATTTTTGTACTATTAAAATATGCAAAGTTTAGCAAAATGCCCTGTGTAAAGTAGTTGTACAATTAATATGATAATGATGATGATAGGAATAAAAGAAAAAAATCTATTCCTTGCATGTCCTTGAGATCTTCACTCAGAATCAAATGCATGGAGCACCAGGAAAGGGCTAATGATGTCTTCCTGTTAAGGAGAAGCTTGTAGGAACAACTGTGGTAGCTGGCTCTGGTCCAGGAGAAACAAGTCTTCCTTGGTTTTCCTTTTATATTCAAAGCCAAGAAAAGATATTTTAAGTTTGTCCTGATAGCATCAGCTCACTGATGCCATGAAGAAAGTCTGCAATCTCTTGAGCCAGGCAAAAAATTGTGAAACCCCGCTCTATTCTGAATCCATTCTCAAGAACCCAAGAGGAGAAGAAAGGTGGGAAAGGGAGTTACATGAAGAACTTTCTTCATGTAACCTAAACTGACTTTTAAAGATTTATTTACCAATGAGTGTCCTTCAGAAAACTTCTGGGGTGGGTAAAGGGGAGAGTGGGTTTTTCTTATTATTTGTAAGAGTTACTAGCTTCTCAGTCACCCAAGCTCGAAATTTACATACTATTTTTGTACTCCTCACTTTGAAGATTTTATTAGTTTTATGGCTTCTTCCATTAACTGATGTGTGCTCGGATGCCTACCTCTTTCTTTATATATATAATGGAATATATATATTTATATTTGTTTCTATTTGAGCTTGCAACTTTTTTCTTTTGTAAGCCTTCTTGTGTGGGGTCTTCTCTGACCTTGCCATGTAGAATTGATCACTCCTGGACTAGTACAGTGCTCTGTTACTTTACACATTGCATTTTATGGTAATGTGTTTATATGCAACAGGTAAAATGTGTATATTTTCACTCACATCTGACTCAGAGCTACTCAAGGCAAAACAGATCATCTCAATGTTTCTGTTTCCTGAAGGCTTAGTATTACCTAGGACGTAGTAATTCCTCAGTATTGAACCAATCACTTTCTAAGATGCATTATTATTATTTTTACAGTAGTTTAACTTTAAATTATAAGCAATTTGAGGATATTATCATTATTATTTATTTCCTACATGACTTTGTGCAGTTGCATTAGTTAATAAAATAGTCATGTGGTAATTAACAATTGATTGGTTTCATTGGGATATTCACAATTCATCATGCTAGTGTTTAAAGATCCTTTTGGAAAAAAGGTCTCATTCCCAACATGATCCTACCCCTTTTTCTGGTTTAGATGTAAGAACAGCTAAAATCTGTAAAATTGTTATGCTAAATTCTAGCCGGTTTTTGCTGAAGTTAGACTTGGGCTATTAGCACAATTATTATTTTGTCATTCTTGAGTTGATTAACTAATAGAGAATTCATTCAAAATGTGACAGTCACAACTGACAGAATAAGAGAAAATAAATATCTGACAAGGAAATTTTATTCAAAACATATAAAGACTCTTAAAACTCAACAATAGAAAGATAAATAACCCAACTGTAAAATGGACAAAGGCTCTGCATGGGCATTTCTCCAAAGAAAATACACAAATGCCGAACATTTACATGAAAATATGCTCAATATCATTAGCCATTAAGGAAATAAAAATGAAAATCACCTAACACCTAAGATACCATACTCACTAGGTCTGGCTATAATCAAAAGATACAAAAAGGACAAAAAATAAAAAGTGTTGATGAGGATATGGAGAAATTGGAAACCTCATTTACCTCTGGTGGGAATGCAAAATTGTGTAGCCAATTGGAAAACAGTGTGACAGTTTCTTAAGTGTTAAACCCAGAGTTACTATATGACCCAACAATCTTACTATGAAGTATATACTCAAGATAAATTTAAAAATATGCCCACTCAAAAACTCATGCACGCATGTTTGTAACAACATTATTCACAATAGCCAAAAAGTAGAAACAATCCAAATATCCACCAACTAATCAATAGATATGTAAAATGTGATCTATCCATACAACATAATATTATTTGATAATAAAAAGGAATGAATACTGATATATGCTACAACATGGAAGGACCTTGACAGCATTATGCTAAGTGAAAGAAGCCAGTTACAGAAGACCACATATGGTATGATTCCACTTGTATGAAATGTGCAGAATAGGCAAAGCTCTACAGACAGAAAGTAAATTAGCAGTAACCCAGAGCGAGGGCAAGTTGGGAGAAAATGGAGATTGACTGCTAATGGGTATGAGGTTTCCTTTTGTGGTTATAATTGATATAATTGTTGCACAAATCTGGAAACATGCTAAAAACATTGAATTGTGCACTTTAAATGGGGTGGATTGTATGGTATTTCAATATCGTGGTAAAGGTGTTTAAAATTTTTGAGAAAATAATTGTGAAGGTAATATCTATGAATCTCTCTAATATCTTTAAAGAATAATTTTCTAACAAGATAACTTTCCAAAGTTTAAAGTTCATGGAATATTTTTTAGAAAAATCTTTAATAGAATGAGATTGTAATACTGCTCTGTTTACTCACTTATTAAATAAGAGGATTAGCTGGATGAACTTCAATATCCTCTGATCCCTGATAACTAAGCAGAATTATGCTTCGTGAGTCTTCTTTATCTAAACAGATCTTCAAAATCTGTTTGGCTCATTCAATGTTTTATGTGTCCAGATAAAATTTTTACTTAGTGCCCCTTAGTACTATCTCATATTAACATCCATAACAACCTTATGATGGAAATACTATTATTATTCCTATTTTACATATGAGGAAACTGAGGCCTATAGAGGTTATGTTGCCTCAAGTGCCCTGTAAGTTGAAAACCTGGGAATCAAATCCAGGCATTCATGAGAGCTTATAATCTGAACCATTCTGTTTAAAGCCTTCCTGCATAAACATGCTAGGCTATTTACATATGAAATATCTTGGCTATCCTAAACGGTTTTTTAAAATTGTAAATAGGAGCACTTAGCGATCTCGGTCATGCTCAGATGTTTCTACTTCACTGTGTAATTTCTTTTTTTCTGAATAATCAGATTTTTAGAGGTTATGGGGACTGATTTTAAAGTAGAAGGTGTTTATTAAACTTCATTCAGGGAACTTAGTAGAATCCTGATTTATTTACACACTGGAAAGTTTCTTATCATGCACCAAATAAGGTCACTGCAAATGTTGGAGTATTTCCATTGTACTCATCCTCTGACTCCCACTCTCAGTTTTACTGAACTATTAAAAAACTTGAGGACAAGCTGTTTCCAGAAATGAACCTTTCAACTCCTCTAAATTAAAAAGCTGACTTTTCTGAGAACAAACAGTATGTGCTTATTAAGTGAGTTGTCAGAGTGAGTACTTGAGAGATCTATATTTTTCCTCCTTTGAACAATCTATTTTTTTAAATGGTTTAACCTCTTGACAACTGGTGTGCTCCATTTCCAGCTTGGGGAGTTTTTAATATTGCTATTTACTTAATCTGTCCAAAGGTTCACCATCTCCTTTTACTTTAATTTTAGCAAGAGGCATGATGAAATTTAATTTACCTAGGATGGGCCATACAGTGTTAATATTTCTACTACTGAGTGCCAGCAGAGAGCTCCCTGGGTACTGATAACTTCCATTAGAGAAGGGGGTGCTGTCAGGAAAACAGAGACCAAGGGCTAAGGTCTGTGGTTCCTGGCAGATGGTTGCTATTTTCCTGAACCCTCATTCCCAGGCACAACTATTCAACTGCTAATAACAAGCAAAAATTACCCAAGGAATTAAAAGTCAGTTCAAGGAAAGTATTCATTTAAAAATAGCAACTTTGAATTGGCATCAGAGGATTACATCAGAAGCTTAAATAAAAATTTGACAAGGTATGAGAACTTGCCATCCCACATGATGTAAAATTATTGTTTTGCAAGAAGAAAAGCAATATTTAACAGAACAGTGCCTTAGCTTCCAAAATTAGGTTCCTTGGAAAAATATTTCCAAAATATTTTTTTTCTCCAAACCATTGTATTCTTTATTGTACATTTAATTTATACTGATGCCATTGTTTACTAACATTGTAAATAGAAAGAATGGAATATGGCATAGGGAGGCAGTTAAAACTCTCACATTTGACTGATTAAATTATGAATGATGGTGTATCTTTTCCATTTATTTATTGAACAAAAATATGTGTACAGACAAATTGGTAGGCACTGAATCAAAGAGGTAGATGAATAAGCCATAGTGACTGTCTCTAAACAAGGTACAATTTATAGGGAGAGACTCAAGCTAGAGGTTACCAGGCAATGTGCTCTGTACCATCACCAAAATAAGTATTAAGTACTCTACGAGCCCAAAGGAGAGAGAGGAAAATTCTTTCAAGGAAAGTAAGGAAAAGTTCACAAAGAAATTGGATTCTGACTTGAAATATTCATAGGAATTTTCTGAGTGGAGAAGCGGGGAAATGACATTCCAAGAAGGAAGACTAGTGTGTGCATGGTTATACAGGTTCAGAAAATAGTGAATCATTTTATATAACATTAGAAGAGAATTGTATCAGGAAACAAAGTTGAAAATGGTGGTTCAATTTAGATTGTTTTGGGCCTGCTGAGCCAGGTAGGTACTATGAACTTGTTATGGCATACCATGGAATTTTGTTAAGAACAGGAGTCATAAAATCAGATTTGTGTTATATGTGCACAAATCTGGCATCAGTATAAAGAACAGATTGAAAAAAGAAGAAAATGAGAGAAAGAATATTAGATAGATAATAGATATTGAAATAATCCATTTGAAAAATGGTCTGGGACTGAACTAAGAAGTCTAAGCAGTAGGAACGCACAAAGCAGATTTGAGAGAAGTTTCAGAGGAAAGTAAAAAAGAGAGAAGAAATAAGGAAGACTTTAAGCTTTCAGACCTGGGAAACTTGATAGATAATTGCATCATTCACCAAGATAAAAGTTTTAGATGAAAGAGCAAATTTACGTAGTGAACGTTGAAAAGTTCTATTCTGGATATGTCACATTTTTAAAAACCCATGAGACACATAGAAGAAGATGCCTGGTATGCAGTTGTGTATACAGGTCTGAATTTTAGCAGATAAATCAAAACTTGAAAAACAATGTGGGAGTTGTTGGCTTTCAGGCAGTAGTTGAAGCTACGGAAGTAGAGGATGTGTGACAAGTACTGTGTGTAGCTATAGAGAGGAAGTATAGAAAGAGGCCAGAGATGGAACTCTGGAGAACAGCAACATTTGTGTTGTTGTTGTTGTTGTTGTTGTTGTTGTTGTTGTTGTTGAGATGGAGTCTTGCTCTGTCTCCCAGGTTAGAGTGCAGTGGTGCGATCTCGGTTCACAGCAACCTCCGCCTCCCCGGGAGAACAGCAACATTTTAAGAACAGTGCAAAGCAAGAAAAACCAGGAAAATAAACTGAAAAAAAAGTGACCAAAAGGTTGCAGGAGATCCAGAAAAGGGTGGTATCTTAGAACTCTTGAAAAAGATTTTCAAAGGCTTTAAAGAAGTATTAAATAGAATTAGGTCTAAAAACAGATTAATGAATTTGGAAATCAGGTAGTCACTGATGATATCAATGAGAGCAGTTTTTTAAATTTAGTTTTAATTGACATAATAATTGTATATATTTATGTGGTACAATATAATCTTTTGATCTATATATACATTGTAGAAAGATTAAATAAAGCTAATTAACAAAGTCATCATCTCACAAACTTATTTTTGTGTTTAGAATGTTAAAAATTTATTTTTAGCAATTTCAAAATATATGATACATTGTTATTAACTCTGATCTCCACGCAGTGCAATAGATCACAGAAATTTACTCCTCCAAGCTACTGAAATGTTGTACCCTTTGACAACAATCTCCTCTTTTTCCATTTCTCCTCTCCCCAAAGCCTCTGGTAACCACCTTTCCATTCCGTTTTTATGACACTGACTTTTTCAGATTCCACATTTAAGTGAGATTATTAAAATATTTGTGTTTCTGTGCCTGGCTTATTATACTTAGCATAATGTCCTCCAAGTTCATTCGTGCTATCATAAATAACAGAACTTCCTTCTTTTTAAGGATGAACAGTATTACATTGTGTGTACATACCACAGTGTCGTTATCCATTCATCCTTTAATGGACACTAAGGTTGCTTCTATATCTTGGCTATTGTAAATAATGCTTTCATGAACATGGGGGTACAGATATCTCTTTGACATACTAATTTTAATTCATTTGGATATATATCCAGAAATGAGATTACTGGGTCGTATTTTAATAGTGAAGTTAGATTCCATACTTCAAGTTCCTAAAAAGGAATAGGGAGATATAAATGGTGCCTCTTGGAAAAGAATTGATGATAAAGGCAAAAAGATAGCTAAAGTTGGAAGTGGTCAGAAAAACATGTTTGATGTTTGGGGTTTGTATCCCTTTTTAAATAAAAGAGCTTCCAGCGTGCTTACAAGGTGAAAGGAAGGATATTTGAAGGGAAGATCAGAAAAGAGATAGATAGGTGAAGTAGCAAAATGGGATGGTACTAACAGCCAACAGCCTGGAACACAAGTGCAAGCAAGCATTTTATCCAGGGAAAAGAGTGTAACTTCTTCCTCTCAGGTGAGAGGGAAGGAAAAATATGAATACAATTATAGATAAGTGTGGATACAGAAGAGAAAAATGTGGAAATTTCAGTATTCCCTATCGAGGAAGAGTGAAGGTGAGAATGAAGAAGGTGGAGTTATATAAACACAAAGATACATATTTTGTCCTTGTATGCTTTTGGAGTTTCTTGAGTTATTTCCAGATTTCACAGTTGATAACATAAGCTTTGAAATCAGACTTATCTGGTTCTACCAGTTATTCCTTGAATGACCTTGGACAAGTTTATTTAACTTTAAAACAAAGAGTAATATTATATACCTCCTAGGGTTCTTGTCTGGAACAAATAAGGTAAGGTACATATGAGAGCATTCAATAAATGCTACCAAACATTCTTATCATGAATCCTTCATTATAATTACATTTTAAAGAGAATTTTCAGCTTTCAGATTCTTTCATTGCCAAATGTTAAATATAAATAAATTCATGAGAAATATTTAATTTCTATTAAACATAAATGACTTAAACACACTTGTTAAAACTTACATGATAAAGAGTTAGCATCTTAATAATATTTTATAATTGAAGGACATAATTTACAAAGCATTTCACAATATATGACTTGAAATACAGAAAAACCTCCTTAATATTAGTCCCAACATCTATTTCCTCCATTTTACTGATCTCCATTTTACAGATGAAGACATTGAAACCCATTTGTTTATTCATTTATTCAATACGTGTATATTGATGGCCTACTCACCTTAGACACTTTGCTAGGCCCTGAAACTAGCAAAAAGAAACATGATCTTTATTCATGGTCTTGCAATCTTCTGGAGGTAGATAATAGGCCATTACCAAATTATGAGTGTAAAACAACAGTTGTTATCACAACTCTGAATAAAAGCTACATAATCCTATGATAACATACAACAAAAGAACCAAACCTTTCTTCAAAGGAGAAAAGTCTTCCTTAAGTAAGTTATATTCGAGCTCAAATCTAAAGGATAAGTGGGAATGAATTGACAAAAGGGAAAGATTAAGAGAAGGATTTTCCGGGAAGAAAGAACTTAAATATGACTAAGTCTTGAGACAGGAACTGCACATAGGAAACTGGAAGAGAGACAGTGTAGCTGAAGTCCAGGGGAGGAGTACATGATTTAAGATGAACTGACATTTGAAGGTCAAACTAGAAGACCATGTTGAGGACTTCTAAAGCAGGACCAAGTTGGGCAAATTGGCCTTTATGCTAGTAGCAACAGTAAGGCATAAATGATTCTAAGTAACAGAATATTTTGAACAGATTTGCATCTCTTAAAGATCACTCTGGTTTCTGAGTGAAGCATAGATTTGGTGAGGAAAGCAAAAATAAATGAGCTTCCATTAAGTCTTTGCCCATGACTATGTTCTGAATGGTATTGCCTAGGTTTTCTTCTAGGGTTTTTATGGTTTTAGGTCTTATGTTTAAGTCTTTAATCTATGTTGAGTCAATTTTTGTATAAGGTGTAAAGAAGGGATCCAGTTTTAGCTTTCTGGATATGGCTAACCAGTTTTCCCAACACCATTTATTAAATAGGGAATCCTTTCCCATTGCTTGTTTGTGTCAGGTTTGTCAAAGATCAGATGGTTGTAGATGTCTGGCATTATTTCTGAGGCCTCTGTTCTGTTCCATTGGTCTTTATATCTGTTTTGGTACCAGTACCATGCTGTTTTTATTATGGAAGCCTTGTAGTATAGTTTGAAGTCAGGTAGCATGATGCTTCCAGCTTTGTTCTTTTTGCTTAGGATTGTCTTTAACAAAAGCCAAAACAGACAAATGGGATCTAATTAAACTAAAGAGCTTCTGCACAGCAAAAGAAACTATTATCAGAGTGAAAAAGCAACCTACAGAATGGGAGAAAATTTTTGTAATCTAGCCATCTGACAAAGGGCTAATATTCAGAATCTACGAAGAACTTAAACAAATTTAAAGAAAAAAGCAAACAACCCCATCAAAAAGTAGGTGAAGGACTTCTCAAAAGAAGACATTTATTCAGCCAACAAACATATGAAAAAAAGCTTATCATAACTTGTCGTTAGAGAAATGCAAATAAAAACCATAATGAGATACCATCTCAGGACAGTTAGAATGGCGATCATTAAAAAGTCAGGAAACAACAGATGCTGGAGAGGATGTGGGGAAATAGGAACGCTTTTATACTGTTGGTGGGAGTGTAAATTAGTTCAACCTTTGTGGAAGACAATGTGGCAATTCCTCAAGGATCTAGAACTAGAAATACCATTTGACCCAGCAATCATTTACTGGGTATATACCCAAAGGATTATAAATCATTCTACTATAAAGACACATGCACATGTATGTTTATTGCAGCACTGTTCACAATAGTAAAGACTTGGAACCAACCCAAAGGCCCATCAATGATAGATTAGATAAAGAAAATGAGGCACATATACACCATGGAATACTATGCAGCCATAAAAAAGGATGAGTTCATGTCCTTTGCAGGGACATGGATGAAGCTGGAAACCATCATTCTCAGCAAACTAACATGAGAACAGAAAACTAAACCCCAACTGTTCTCGCTTGTAAGTGGGGGTTGAATAATGAGAACACATGGACACAGGGAGGGGAACATCACACACCAGGACCTGTTGGGGAGTGTGGGGCTAGGGGAGGGATAGCATTAGGAGAAATACCTAATGTAGATGATGGGTTGATGGATGCAGCAAACCACCATGGCATGTGTATACCTATGTAACAAACCTGCCTGTTCTGAACATGTACCCCAGAACTTAAAGTATAATTTAAAAAATAAAAAATAAAAATAAGCTTCCTGTTAGGAAGCAATGGAAGTAGTTTAGGTGTCAGAGAATGGCAGTCATCCTCGGAAGGTGGCAGCAATGATGTAATTAAATGAACAGAATGAGAAAATGGGAGTGAAAATGGCAGAATTGAATGGAGAGGGTCTGTGAAAAAGAGATGTGTCAAGGATGTATTAGTCTGTTCTCACATTGCTATAAAGAAATGCCTGAGACTGAGTAATCTATAAAGAAAAGGGGTTTGTCTCATGGTTTTGTAGGCTATACAGGAAGCATGGTTGGGGAGGCCTCAGGAAACTTACAACCATGGTGGAAGACAAAGGGGAAGCAGGCACACCTTCACATGGCTGGGCAGGAGGAAGAGATGGGGAGAGGTACCACACACTTTAAACAACCGGATATCATTAGAACTCTATCACTAGAACAGCACTAAAGGGGGAAATCTGCCCCCATGAGTGAATCACCTCCCACAAGGCCCTACCTCCAGCACACTGGGGATTACAATTCAACATGAGATTTGGGTGGGGACACAAATCCAAACCATATCAAGGCTCAGTTCTATGTTTCTGTCTTATGTAAGTAGGTCATAATAGAAACATTCACCAACATGGGGCACACTAGCTGACTAGCAAATTTTAGAAGAGCCTTATTGTTCAGGCCAGGCATAGTGGCTCACGCCTATAATCCCAACACTTTGGGAGGCCGAGGTGAGGTTGGCAGATCATCTGAGGTCAGGAGTTTGAGACCAGCCTGGCCAACATGGTGAAACCCTGTCTCTACTGAAAATACAAAAATTAGCCAGGCATGGTGGCACAGGCCTGTAGTCCCAGCTACTCAAGAGGCTGAGGCAGGAGAATCACTTGGACCTAGGAGGTGGAGGTTGCAGTGAGCCAAGATTGCGCTACTGCACTCCAGCATGGGCAACAGAGTGAGACTCCATCTCAGAAAGAAAAAAAAAAAAAAAAAAGATTATTTTTCAGATTAGGATCCATTGGCTTTGAGGTGTCATGAAATAGTTGCATTTACAGATTTGGTTGTTCAAAAAGTCTAAGCTAGAGACTCCAATTTGTTTTGTAATCATCCACAGAAGGATGTGAATTAAGTGAAAGATATAGATGAATTTGCTTAGAGAGAGGGAACATAAGGCAATAAAAGAACAGTCTCGATGTTTAAACTCAAAATTTCTATCCTTTTCAGTGCATCATGTTACTTTTACATATAATGTTTATGTTTAGTGCATCCAAACATAATATCTACATGGTGCTTTCAGTACACTACTGGCTTTATGACAGTGACTTTTTAAGATTAGCTACATGTAAAATCAACGTGTAATTATATAAGAGGAGCGAAATCAAGAACTGCTTTTTAATTGTAAATAGCAATTTTAATTCACTAATACAATGACCATCTAGTTAATTCCCAATTTCTATATGCAAGTCCATATACTATCCATCAGGAAATATCTCTGTATGGCTTCCATGTCTCCTTCGGTCTGAGATTCATTATTATTCCTGTTATATCATGACTGGGTCAATGTCCCAGTCCAGTTAGACAGATTACATTGCTTACTATTAAATATCTTTACTGATCCATTTAGAATGCAATAAAATAAATAATATACCCAAGATAATCTTGTGATTTTTGTATAAGTAAATATAAAAATATCCAGTCAAAAAAATGAAAAGTCCTTGCTAGGGGTGCTGTAGAAAGCCTAATGGCCTAGTGTTTTGGATATCTGGATGATAGTTTCAGTGACACAAACAAATGGTGTTGGGAAAACTGCTTATACTCCGAGTTTGAGTTTTTTCATCTGTATAAGGAGATTAAACTAGGTCTCAAGTTTCTTTGGGTTCTAATATTCTGTAACCATATAAAAATCCTTGAAAGAACATGAATTATTCAGTAGATAGACATTTACAATCATCTTAAAAAAATCCTATTCACCACTTTGCTAGAAAAAAAAATTCTTGTCACATCTGATCATTTTTAGTACTAGAAAAATAGCAAAGATATTCATATTGACATTTTTCTTCCAAGCTGATGCTGAGTGTGTCATCAGACTCAAAATCTGTTGGAGAAACAGTTCTGCACTTCTGATGATTTTCTAATTCTAACCTGACATTGGGGCTTTTAGCTGTGAATAGCCTCATGGCATATTCTGCATGAATTCTTGCTGTGTATTCTGAAGTCTGACATTTCCATTACACTTAAATTTGATCTCAGATTTCTTTGCTTTTCAGTTTACTCAAAGTTGCTTTTTTAAAAGGTTGACATTTGTTACATCGCATTTGGCTTTCACCCATCACTTCAAAAGTTCTTTGAGTAAGATATTTTCCCTATACCCTTTTCAAACTAGAAAAGAGGAACAAGTGAAAAAAACAATAAGGGGAGAAAATCTAAAAAAGGAATAGAAGTGTTTTTTTTACTGTCAAATGGAAGAACTTGAAAAATATATTTTTCTGTTGAAATTTTATTTCATGACTCCACCGGCCCTATTGACATTTGCCTAAATCCTCTGGATATTCCTACAGTGCTCTGAGATGAGAGGGACTGTAAATGTTTGAGAAAAGAGAAGAGTAATGACGATTCCCAAGTCTGAATGTTGGTCAGATGACTTCACAGATAATTTGAGCCCAGAGAAAACACAGGCTGAGAAACAGTCCACAAGTGCTAATTCCTTAACTTATGGCCACATAACAATGATCCATGCCAAACTGTGCTGTGTACATCAGAGGTTCTAAAAGTGAGGCCTGAAATCCCCCAAATGCTTACAGGGGTGTTACAAGGCTAAAATTATTTCCATAATAATTCTAAGATGCTATTTGCCTTTGTCACACTCATTTGCTCATGACTGTAGGGTGGGGTTTTCCAGGGGCCACATGATTTAAAATAAGGCAACAGATTTAACGTGGAAGCAGTAAGAGAATCCAGCTCTCTTTCATTAAGCCACATATTAAAGAGACTCGCAAAAATGTAAAACAATATTACTAATCTCACCAAATAGTCTTTGTTTTGGAAATATTCTTTTCAGAAATATATTATTTATGTTAACATAAAATGGGTTTATTAATGTGATTGCAAATGAATTGATAAATATTTCTTAAATGTCCTGAATTTATTTCTAATATAATTATTGATAGATATCATTCACATAAACCAAAACTCTTTGAAGTCTTCAATAATTTTTAAGAATGTAAAAATGTCCTGATACCCAGCATTAGAAAAGGCCACTGTTGTACAACAAATCCTAACCATTGGTCACTTATTACCTCCACCTTGAGCTGGAGAGTTACCTAAACACTTGGTGCTCTTCCTTCCCTGCACGTGTAAGCATTACCATTTCAACTTAATCCTTTGCTTGGCCCTCCATTTTGTGTTTTACCCTACATTGTTGGCAAGATATAGAGTTGCTATTTCATTGAAGTTCCTTTGAAAATAATCATGAAGTTGCTTTAATTATACCTTTTCCACCTTCTGAGTTTTTAGCCATGTGTCTTTGATTCTTTTTATTAACCCTTACAATCTTAGCCTTCATAGAGTATTTTTTTCTTTGTCTCTCAGTGTCTTCATTGGACAATGGCCCATGTTCAAGTGTAGATAATTTCTTAATGGTTAATGTACAGAGTTATATTTATCTTAGCGATGAGATCTTGTCCTTTAACAGATTCCAGAGACTCAATTGTTAGCTCAACTTGGAGGCCAATTAAATCCTGAAACAGAGAGACAGAGTGATTTGTGTTTCCTCCCTGTTAAGACACATTTGGGAAAATAAATTAAGTAACATAAAGTGCTTAGGTGAACACTTAGAGAATAATGAACTACCTTAAAGAATTGATTATTGTACATGAATTCTTGTCAAGCCTAATTTTAAGAAGTATTTTTTTCATAATAAATGAGAATTTCTTTTGCTTTACATGATCTGCTTCCCAAGAAATAATGAAATTTTATTGACCTTTATCTTTTTTATATCTCAAGCCAGATGTCCATTTGTTACATTGTAATAATCCATTTTATGATTGATTATAAGGAAGTTTCTTATAAATGTAATTAAGGTCCTAGTTGACATCAGCCTCATGAATCTCCTAGCAGTACTTTGTTTAAGTCCCATACTCAAAGTGTAATATTCACTTCAATAGTAATTAGTAGTTCCAAGGTTAGCAGAATTGCTAAAGAGTGTCTCCTGGTATGATATAAAGGAATTATATGTGCATTTTTCAAGCAAATCTAATAAAGCAGGATAACCTGGCTTGTGGAAAATTCAAAATAGGTTGTAGTTTTTCTGTTACATATGACATTTCAGTCTGTAAATATCACACCAAAGTCAGAGAAATAATGCGTAGCCCTCACCTCATTGAGGATCAAGTTACTGAGAATGAAATGCCAACAACTATATCCCAAAAGAGTGTTTAAATAATTTCAGATAATATCACAGAAAAGAAATGCCAGGATTTGTGGAACATATTTGTCCATCGATCTATACCTGAGTTCAGGAGCCCTTTTTGAAAAGGTATCAAGTTAAGCATAAATTCTCCAGAGGTATTCTATGTTAGAAGAAAATTTTAAGGCAACTAAAAAGTAGAATGCTTGCTCTTTCACGCAACAATGTATACTCTTAAAAGGGCATATGATTTGAAGCTTTTTTCTAGTGTTAGTCATGAGTTCGTAATTATTCATATATATTCATTAACTAGTTGGACAAGCTTTACTTTTAAAAAGTATTATTCGTTTTCTTAGCAATTAATAAAACTTTCGTATAGAAAATTTGAAAAACTTTTTAAAACTTAGCTTAAAAAAGAAAATTAAAGTAATCTATGACACCTCCATTCAGATATTTGGTATTAATGTTTTCATCCTTCTCATCTTTTTGTTAATCATATTGAGAGACATATACATATTTTAAAAATGGCATTATACTACAAAAAATGGCTCTTAGTATTTTTATTTCATTAAACTTTTTTACTATTTTTAAGGAATGCATATATTCCATCACATAGTTATATCATATTTAATTTAACTATTAATTTTTAGACATTTATATTATTCCCAATTTTGTTTGCATACACATACATATCTTCACACACGTCACTCATCATATTCTTAAAATAAATTCCCAAAAGGTAAATAGATAGATCAAAAAAAATAAGCACACTTAAATTTTGTTTTTGGTTTTGTTTTAATACATGTTGACCTATATTGCCAACAAGTATGAAAGAGCCCATGTTGCAGGAACTTCAGCAGTACTGCTGGCATCATTTTTAATGCGGCCAACACTTCCTAAAATAGTCAAATGCAAGCTATGTTCGGACATGCTTTAATGTCAAGTTAGGCCTTAGTCACATCTCAGAATGTCATGTGGTTAGTTTTATAGCTATTTCTCTTTCAGCTTCTTCTGGAACTTCAAGCAATAGTAATAAATAAACAGAGACATCCCTTTCCATTAAAGTGCAAAAAATTATTCCCAGCATTTGCATATATTGATACAAATACACAATTTTCCTTTTTGACTATATAGGTACTGTATTACTAATTTTTTGTTCTCCTGTTTTTGAAAGAAAAATGCAGGCATACCTTACTTTATTGTGCTCTACTTTACTGTAATTCACAGATAGTGTGTTTTTACAACTGAAGATTTGTGGCTTCCTTGAGTCAAGAAAATCTATCGGTGAGGTTTTTCCAGCAGCATGTGCTTACTTTGTGTAACTATGTCCCATTTGGAAATTCTCACAATATTTCAAGTATCATTGTTATTATTATATCTGTTATGGTGATCTGTGATCAGCGATTGCTGATGTTACTATTGCAATTGTTTTGAGGCACCACAAGGTGCACCCACAGTACAGAGTGAACTTAGTCCATTAATGTTGTGTGTGTTCTGACTCTTCCACCTGCTGGCTGCTCCCTGTCTCTCTCCCTTTCCTTGGGCCTCCCTGTTCCCTGAGACCCTACAATATTGAAACTAGGCCAGTTAATAACCCTACAATGGCCTCTAAGTAGTCACGTGAAAGGAAGAGTTATATGTCTTCCACTTTAAATCAAAAGCCTAAAACGATTAAGCATAACGTGAAAGGCATGTTGAAAGCTTAGATAGGCTAAAAGCTAGGCTTCTTGTGCCAAACAGTTAACCAAATTGTGAATGCAAAGGAAAAGTTCTTGGAGGAAATTAGAAGTGCTATTCCAGTGAAGACAGACTGATAAGAAAGTGAAACAGTCTTATTGCTGCAAGGGACAAAGTCGGAGTGATTTGGATATAAGATCAAATCTCACAACATTCTCTGAAGCCAAAGCCTAATCCAGAGCAAGGCCCTAACTCTCTTCAATTTCATGAAAGTTAAGAGAGATGAGGAAACTGCAGAAGAAAAGTTTGAAGCTAGCAGAGTTGGTTCATAAGGTTTAAGAAAAAAGCCGGGCGGGCGCAGTGGCTTATGCCTGTAATCCCAGCACTTTAGGAGGCCGAGGCGGGTGGATCATGAGGTCAGGAGTTCAAGGCCAGATGGCCAAGATGGTGAAACCCCGTCTCTACTGAAAATACAAAAATTAGCTGGGTGTGGTGGCGGGTGCCTAAAATCCCAGCTACTCAGGAGGCTGAGGCAGGAGAATCACTTGAATCTGGGAAGCAGAGGTTGCAGTGGGCTGAGATTGCACCACTGCACTCTAGCCTGGGCAATGGAGCAAGACTCCATCTCAAAAAGAAAAAGAAAAGAAAAGAAAAGAAGGAAGGAAGAAAGCAAGCAAGCCGTATTTGTAACCTAAAGGTGAACCAGAAAGTGCTGATGTAGAAGCTGCAGCAAGTTATCCATAAGATCCAGCTAAGGTCATTGAAGACTGTGGCTACACTAAGCAACAGATTTTCAATATAGATGAAACAACCTTCTATTGGAAAAAGATGCTATCTAGGATTTTCATAGCTAGGGAAGATAAGTCAATGCTGGGCTTCAAGGCTTCAGAAGACAAGCTGACTCTCTTGTTAGGACTATGCAGCTGGCGATTTTAAATTGAAGCCAATGCTCATTTACTATTTCAAAAATCCTGGGGTGCTTCAGAATTCTGCTAAAATGACTCTGCCTGTACTCTATAAATAGAATAACAAAGCCTGGATGACAGCACATCTGTTTACAGCATGGTTTACTGAATATGTTAAGCCCACTGTTGAAACTTACTGCTCAGAAAAAAAGATTCTTTTCAAAATATTACTACTCATTGACAATGCACCCAGTCACTCAAGAGCTCTGATGGCGATGTATAGGGAGGTTAATGTTGTTTTCATGCCTGCTAACAAAACATCCATTCTGAAGCCTTGGATCAAGGAGTCATTTTGACTTTTAAGTCTTATTATTTAAGAAATATGTTTCATAAGCCTACAGCTGCCATAGACAGTGATTCCTTGGATGGATCTGGGTAAATTGGAAACCTTCTGGAAAGGATTCACCATTCTAGATATAATTAAGAACATTGGTGATTCATGGGAAGAGGTCAAAACATCAACATTAACAGGAGTTTCAAGAAGTAGATCCTAATCCTCATAGATGACAGTAAGGGGTTCAGGTCTTCAGTGGAGGAAGGAACTGTAGATGTGGTAGAACTTATAAGTGAACTAGAATTAGAAGTGGAGCCTGAAGATGTGACAGAATTGCTGCAATCTCATGACAAATTTGAAGGGATGAGGAGTTGCTTCTTATGGATGAGCAAAAAAGAGTGGTTTCTTGAGATAGAATTTACTCCTGGTGAAGATGCTGCGAACATTGTTGACATGATAACAAAGGATTTAGAATCCTATATAAACATGATTGAGAAAGCAGTGGCAGGGCTTGAAAGAATTGACTTCAATTTTGAAAGAAGTTCTACTGTTAATAAAATGCTATCAAACAGCATCACATACTACAGAAAAATCTTTCATGAAAAAGAGTCAATCGATTCAAGCTTCATTGTTGCCTTTATTTTAAGAAATTACCACAACCACCCCAACCTTCAGCAACCACCATCCTGATCAGTCCACAGGCATCAACATGGACCGAACACCCTCCACCAGCAAAAAGATTAGAACTTGCTGAAGGCTTAGTTTATTGTTAGCATTTCTTAGCAACAAAGTATTTTTAATAAAAGTTTTTAATTTAATGATTTGTTTGACATAATGCTATTACACATTTAGTAGACTACAGTATGGTATAAGCAGAACTTTTACATACATTAAAAAAAACAAAAAAAAAATGTGCGACTGGCTTTATTGTGATATTTTTACTTTATTGTGGTGGTCTGGAACCAAACCTGCAATATCTCTGAGGTATGCCTGTACATCCCTCTCTTTCATTGCCTTCAGATTTGTTTTTCTCCTATGCTTTTGACGGAGAGAAAAAAAGATCTGGAATTTATATGAGTGGTATTTATAAAATTAAACCTATTGCAACCAATGGAAACTATCTCAAAACACAGAAGGAAATAAAATTGACTTTATAGTAGTATTTTTGTAATTATTATCATCATGATCAATGCATTTTTATTCATTGCAACCATATATGAAGTTGCTAAATCCTAGCAATAAAAAAGAAAACATTGAACAATCCTCATCTTCAGTTGAATTAGTCAGTAGTTGAGGAATAAGGACACATATGTAAAAAGATAAATTCTAATACACACTGTCATATCTTAAGTGGGAGTCAACCAGTCAATATCCTTGGCTTTCAGAGAAGTGATTACTAAGGACTAACAGAGGCACCTTCAAGGGAATTTGATCTACATTTTGAAGGAGGACTAGAACTTAAAGAACTAAGGGAGGGTTTTCCAGCAGAAGTTACAGTGTGCACAAAGGTGAAAATGCACATGCATTTTCAGAGTAGAATATATCAATGAGCCAGACTGGTTCAGTGAATATTAATGGTAGAAGAAAAATCTAGAGTGTTTTGCTAGCCTTGAATATTTAGATTGCAGTGTGTACTAAAGGGAGGTTTATTAGATATAGAAAACCATTTAATGTTTTATGACAAATAAAATAGTTTAAGGGATTTGATAAGGTATTACTATTAAAAATGTTAGTATTAGCATGAGGTAATTATGGCCTAGAGTAGACAGCAGCAGAAGAAATTAAAAGCAAGCATTAAAGGCTAGAGCCATTAGGATAGAAAAATCAACAGAACTCGGCAACTGATTAGATGTAAAGATAAGAGAATACTAGGAATTCCAAAAACTTTTATTCAACTGCGCTTGGGCTAGGGAACCATAACTAAATGAGCCTGCCCTCAATGATGTATATAATATAGAATTTTATAGAGAAGGGAGTTATCAACTCCACAGGGTGTTAAAATATTGCTGGAACAGCTTCACAGGTAAATTGATGCTTGAGCTTGGAGTTCATGGATGAATAGAATTCCATCAGATGGGAAAGGTGAAAAAAGTAATAAAGAGGGGCAAAATATTACCTTTAACATTTTAAGTCTATGTAATTGGAGAAAGGTGATAACACAGACTACAGTGAGGAAGGCTGGTAGTAAAGATGTTTACGTGTAACGACAATGAGTTCAGGTTGAACAGTCTTCTAAGAAATATGTAGAGAGTGCCTACAAATCTGAAGGCATTGGGGACACATCTATGAACAAAACAGACAAAAATTTACTGCCTTTCTGGAGTTTGCATTCTAGTGGAAATAAACACATAGTTAAAGATATAGCATTCACCAAAGAGCATTGTTTTGTTGTGATGTTCCTTTTATACTCCTCTTTTGTCATTTCTATCAATAAGGTAAAATAGTCACACAGGGAAGCATGGGCGACTGATAGCTAACTTAACAAGTCATCACTTAGGCAACAAAACTTACCTAGTAACTATTCCCTCCAAGACTTCAAACTGTCCTCACACTGACCTTGATGTCTACAAGTTTCAGACAAATGGTTTAGTAATTGAGAGCAATAAATTAGAGTCAATCACATTTAGTTAGGAGAATCTAAAGTCTTAATGTACTAAAACAAGCTGAACTGCTTCTAGCTTTGCATTTTAATTGCACTCTTTCTGCCCTCCACCTGTGCATGACGTTATGCTGAGATCTTCTGACCTTTGCAATACTTCACCAAATGTGTCTGGACCGCAGTTCTCAGTAGGTCTCGTTGCTAGAATGTTCAACAGGAGAAAAATACTGGAAATGTACTTGCAGGTCAGAAATAAGAGTTTTGACTGACTAACCTTATAGGTAAAATTCTTGTTGCAATTAAAATGCTCAGTTTAATGAAGAAAAAATATGTAACTTGCTTAGCATTCCATTTGAAGCTGCCATCAAGGACAATTGAGTTATGTGATACCACTGTTTACTTGACTCGATGGCGGCATAGTTCCCATTTAACCCTTCAGTAACCTGATATGCTGAGAAAACACTGACCATTAAAGACTTTACAGTTTTCTAACCTCCTACTGGAAGCCAATCTTTAGAGCCCTCACCTGACTGGTTGAAAAGCATTCAGTTAGTTGTCTACAAAATTAATTTCTGGTTTGTTTGTTTTTATTTGTAAATAAATTACTATAAGCAGTTCCTTCACGTTTTAAATTATGCTTGTTAATTTTTTTCTAAAAAATTGTTTCTTTAAAATTAATTCTTCTTACCAAAGCCCTAGTAATATCTAATCAATGTCAAAGCAATATGGAGCCAAAATTATCTCCAAGCACTTCCCAGGAACTTTGAGATAATTGAATCTATTTCTTCTGATGGAGCAAGATGACAATTTGAGGAATCCATTTCAGGATAAATTGTCTTTGGAACAGGACTTCAAATGCTAAATACCTCACAAATTTATTTAAATAAAAAACATTTATTAAGTGCCTAATGGGTGCTAAATCTTACAACAGGCAAATGCCATCCAAAAATGAATAAGGCACAGTTTCTTTCAAGAACTTCACAGTCTACTAGTAAGATTTAGCTGTATTAAATTATTTTTGTTTATTTATTCTAAAGAACTTTAGATTTCTGGTTTGTGGTAAGATCTGGCTAAGACTGGTTAAAAATATTAGATCACATTTTGAATCATATAATCAGATTTCCAGTTGGTAATAACTTATTTATCAAATGCTTGGCTAAATAAGAAGCAAAGATTTTCATACTACTTTAGAAAAGATTTTAGATTATCCATAATCCACATTTTATAGATAAGAAAGCCGGCAGGAATCAGACTTAAAACCACATTTCCAAAGTCTAGTTGAAAGGATTTTCTACTGTAGTCCACACGAGAGTATAGAATATGAAAAAATAAGAATTATTTGGTGCTAATATTACCTTAATCGATTGTGGGATAATTGTTTTACCTTATGCACTGGGGGTAGAATTCATTCTCTGTTCTCCCTGACATGTCTTATGCATTATTCCTTACCATTAACAGCTTAGTGGATATATTTACTGTGTATTAGTTTTCCAGATCAAGAAATTCGTAAAGTGGCAGTTCAACAATTAGACAACCTCTTGAATGATGAACTACTGGAATATCTCCCACAGCTAGTTCAGGTAAGAATAGAAGAGTTGCTAAGGAAACCCAGGGTTTTAACTAATTATCTCTAAAAGGTTCCTAATGAATCAACAATAGTCTATCTAGAAGTGACATTGCAATTTGGCCACCCAAGGGACTAAATGATGTCAACATGGGTAATGAAGACATTCTCTAGCTGAAATTGTTACAATTACAAAATACATTAATTCCAAAAAGGAAAATTTTTTAAAAATGATTTCATTTATTAATTAGAATATGAAAAAATAGACATGCTCATGATACAAATTTATAAATATGTATATATAAAATGATAAAAATTACCAAATAAATGTTATGTAGAAAATAATCATTTGCTAGGCAGGTTTTCATAATTTATGAGTTTCTTGCACTTCTTTAGAGGCTTATAATATTGATAATAAATTTTATCACAGTAATTTCTAATAGCCAAATTTTGCCACCAAATAGTACATTTTAGTATCATCAAATATCACAATGTTGGAGTAATTTTAGAAAATAATATAAAGTTATCTAGAAATGTAAGCAAAGACTGATTTAGTCTGAATACGATGAAATATAAACAAGTAAATTAAACATGCCACACATGACCATGTAAATAACAGAGTATCTAATAGATATAGAATAGAAGGTAAGTTGTTTTTGTTTTTTCCAGGATGACTGTATGCTGACAGCTAAATAGATCTAAACTTGTGGTTTTTATGCTTTGTTTTGTTTTTAATCCAGCTTTTTTTTTTTATCTGAAAGGTCAGGTTGTTACAGCTAGTTTGAATGTCAGTTGCCTCAGGTTTTGAAAAGTGACTGGAAACTGGTAGAAGGAGCCTATATTAATAAACTTTAGTAGAGTATGACTGCACAGAGATTATGAATTTCTCTGAAGTTCTCCTTAAAAAAGAGAGCTGGTTTAGAAATAGCTGTACCAGAGAGTACAATCCAGTCTTTCTTGAAAATAAGGGTTAATCTAACTTACAAGTTTACCGTTCATCTCATGACTCATGGGTATGGCAACATGCTATTTCGAGCCCAATTCAGGAGAATACGTTTTCACAAAAGTCTGTAGACATTAAACTCATTTGAAAGTCTCTATCTGAGTAAGTACACTTGGCATCAGGAATGTCATTGAGACCCATATTGCCACAAATCCAAATGTATAAGACAGTGTGCACACAATCTAACACAGCAAATACACAGAAGGCAAAATTAAAGTTTCAACTATGTCATGATTAAAAAGGAAAGTTATAAAATGTCCTGAGATGGAAAGAAATAGATAATGTGACTAGAAAAATTTAAAAAAAAAACACTGGAAGAATTTCAAAACACTCATTGTCCTTAGACTTCTATACTCTACCTTGAATTTCAAACATTCCAACACATAAAAAAATCCTAACCTGTTGGTTGTTCTCTTGAATCATGCTATTTTGTTACGTATTATCATGTTAGAATTATGCAGTCTATATTAAAGCTGTAAGAAAAGACCCTAAGGCTGTAACAAAACAGAAGATGCAGTTCATAGCTAAGAGTCAAATAAGACCCAGACCCAGGGGTTACTGCAAACCACTTCAGATAATGTGGTGTTCACCAGAAAAATTGTCTACATTCTAGATGGTCAGGCGGGATTTAGGGGGAAATTGTAACAGTGGACAGAGTAAAGCAGGAAGCTTGGAAGCGAGGGGTAACACATAGATACTGGGTTCAAGAAGAAATAATGGGCAGACATCTAAAAAGGCAAGCATGTAGGTAATTCTGAAACATACCTCCTGCTCATATGCTCATATAATATGCTCACTATTAGGGCATAAATAAAACCCATGACCTAGTCAGTCCAGCAGTAGCACGTGAATGATAGAGTGCCATGGCTACAGTTTAAGACAGCACACATTATTGTCCTTCTATAGTCAGACAGCATCAGGAGTTTATGCAAATTTGCTGAACTCATCTTCAGCACCCTCACATCTTAGGAATTTATAAACTTTCCCATTCTTGAGGATGGCTAGCATATTGAGGTGTTTCTTCAAGTGTATGTATGACTGGATATTGTACTCATTTTTTCCTGCTGTCTGTACTGTGGTATAAAGCCTGGCTTAGACTCTGAAGCTTTGAGAGAGAGAGAGAGAGTGTGTGTGTGTGTGTGTGTGTAAGAGAGAGAGACTTAAATGGTTTATCAAACAACTAAAGATATAAGCTTTGTCTCTCAAGCAGGAATGGGCATTTTTATGAGAACTGGGTTTTCATTTTCATATATACAGATTCCTGGGATGATGATAGCAGCTCAGCTACAGATTCCTGTCAGTGAAGTCCCTGCAGAGGACAGATGAAGCCCTAAATTAGGTCCCTAAGGATAGTGGGGGCTGCCACTGTTATCTCTGTTTTCTACCCAGTTGAGTATCCTAAAAAACTTAAGAGTTGTTCACAGTGGAGATGAAAGAAAGGATTTGGGACTGAGTTACGGTAGTAACAGTCAGTTTTGAAATTTTAAGCAAAACCTCAAGGCCTGGAGGTTGATAATGATACACCAGTTGATGATGATTTCTGTTAAGGCTTTGAATGTGCATTAATTTCATCTCCAAATAGGAAAAAATATCTGTGGCTTAATAATATTGTATTTAATAATCCAGGACTTTTTGTGTCAGTATTCTCCCCTGGTACATGGTTGAACTCCACCAACCACCTGCCCTTATTTCTTATCCATATACAAGGAAAGGAAGCAAAACTATACAAATCCAAATGGTGTAATGTATATGTGTTTTGTTATTAGTCATATACCGACTCATAAAATCATCGAATGTGTTATTAGCATTTTGTTAAAATATGCATGCTGTTTTCTCTAGTCTTTTCTCAAGCCTCTGAAGTCCCTCTGTATTCTGCTATAATTTTGTTACTGAGAAGTAAAGTAATTGTGTCTCTTACTTCAGGCTGTCAAGTTTGAATGGAACCTTGAGAGTCCTTTAGTGCAACTTCTACTCCACCGCTCCTTGCAGAGCATCCAGGTTGCCCATCGTCTTTACTGGTAAGATTAACTAAATCAGGCAAGGATGCCTTTTTAATTGCCACCTTCTCTATGGGGCAGCTTTAGAGGAAGCAGAATATTTCTTTACCTTATAATTGATACAGACCATAAAATTCAGGCAGTTTTGAGTCTTTGTCAATGTCATTTTTATTTAAGAGGATAATGTGTCATCATTTTCAAAATCTACCAGTTGGACAGTTGCTACTGTTAATCAGGAAGTTAAATCCAAACAGAATTTCAAATCTGAATGATGCCTTTCTTGTAGCTTTAAATGACAAGTGCAATTTGTATATCTACTCCTTGAAGATTTTAATGTAAAATCTAGTTATGAGACTGAATGTTTTTGGAAGAATATGTGGTATAAAAATACTTTCTGTGCAATATTAGTTATAAACCATAAAATTCAAAGGCTAATGTATACTCATTCTGTTGAAAATTTCTAGAGCACTAAACTTTTCCCAAAGCATAAATTTGAAATATTATTAGTGAAGAAATAAGACTGATTCATAAGATGCCAGAATGTCTATAGCAACACCTGAGGATATTAGCATTTCAGTTTCCCCATAGTTTCTGCCAGAACTTAGCTTCTGTACATCAACCCCACTATTCCTTCACACACCGAATTAAGATTGTCAAAAGATGCTATTCCTGAGAAGGCTTGTCAGTTGGACAGTTGCTAGTGGAGACTAACGAATGCTAAAGGTGAAGTAGAAGAAGTTCAAGGACCTGGATTAGCTTGTGAATTTCCAGTCATCAGCCCAGGCTGGGTATATGACTGGAGCAGCTGTACCACATTCTCTACAACACCACGATATATGGAAGGGTATTATACCTACCATTTCCTGTACTTTAAATATCTTTAATGTTGCCATTCTCCAATTCCATATGGCATGTCCAACGTTCAGGGTGTCTATAGTATGATTGGAAATGGGTCCTGATGAATATGAAGAGATGGAAGAGAAAGATGAGGGGGAGGAGAAAAAATGATAATGATGATGCTGATGATGATTCAGCAGATATGGATGAATCAGAAGAAGATGAGGAGAAAGAGAGAGTAGAGTCTTTGATGTTCCCATTTGTAGATGCCACTGCTCGTGCCTTTTTTAGCAAGCCTTCTGCTGATGGAAGCATTGGGATGATTCTAGTCTGCTAAATAGATTTCTCAATAATGTAAATAACTAAATTATTCTCAGCATATAGCAGGAAAACCAGAATGAAATATTGTTCCAGGCCCTGTGTTCTGTATGACATTACATTAGGAATTGGATTGTTTTGGTTTGTTTTGTGTTTTTGAAGTAAAGAAGGAAATGGGTTGCTTTTTTTCTCTAGCTAAAGGACAGACATTTCTTTTTTTTTTTTTTTTTTTTTTTTGAGTCGGAGTCTCACTTTGTCACCAGGCTGGAGTGCAGTGGTGCAATCTCAGCTCACTGCAACCTCCAACTCTCTGGTTCAAGCGATTCTTCTGCCTCAGCCTCCCGAGTAGCTGGGACTACAGGCACACACCACCACGCCTGGCTAATTTTTGTATTTTTGGTAGAGACAGGGTTTCACCACATTGGCCAGGATTGTCTTCATCTCTTGACCTCATGATCTGCCTGCCTTGGCCTCCCAAAGTGCTGGGATTACAGGTGTGAGACACCAAGCCCAGCTGACATTTCTTCCTTTTAAAATATTTTATACTTAAAAACATAGAGAAATGGAGAGAGAATTGTTTTGAATAAGGATTTAAAGTGTAGCAGAAATACCTACACAAGGGTAGATAAATACCATGTGACTGAATGATTCTGTGAAAAGATTTCCTGAAGTTAAGAGTTATTTATAAATGAAATAAAATTTCTAATTAGGCCAATCCATGTAGTGATTTCTTATATTTTGTACTCACAGAGAACTAATTGGATAAATAACTTGAATGCTAGTGGTTTGTCCTTTCTTACACAATATATCCTTGGATTTAAAGTCTTTGTCATCAAGACCTTGACTTTGAATTTTTCATCACTACAACCTTGAATTTAATTTCAAGTCTTCAACATGATGACCTTGAATTTAAAGTCTTCAACACTATGACCTTTATCATATTATTCATAGATGCATCATTTTTGAAATGTAGTATGTAAAAGTATTTATGGGTTGTTTATTAACAAAAAAAATTCTTTGCGATGTCTCATGTGGTTTAAAATTACTATTTCTGTTTTGTTTCTCCTTTATACACTTGACTATCTAACTTTGTGATAAGTGACATGAATTTTATGTTAGGATTAAGTGTGTTTTCCTGAAACATTGATTTTTTTTTGTGATTATATAATTGAGAGTTAAGAATAAAATCCTTCTAATGTTAAAAACTCACTTATTAAAAACAAATTTTGGTTCCAATCCTGTTTTCAAAAAACGATTTATCCTATTATCACCTACACTTGATTCTATTGAACATAATATTCTTTGCATACTGTTCTTCCTACTTTCCTTTGTATTGTTAACCTTGTTGATTCAATTTTAATTTCATAGGACAAAGTTTTAACAATTATAAGTTTCAATGACCTAAGGATAAAATTAGATCTATGTTTTACTCTCCTGAATGTATGACAGGCATCATTTAGTTGCTTTGATTGATAGTTAAGACCACTAAATAACAGGAAAACAGCAAGTCAATATCATTTTGGAGTGTCATATTTTTCTGCTTCAAGAAATGTTACTCATAATGAGATCACTCTTCTCATGAAAATCACTCAAGAAGATGTAGCAAAGAAGATACACAGGAACTTGGTCGGAGACTGTTTGATTTGATGCTTATTTTCATTTTAAATGCCTAATTTAAAAAGCAGAACAATTCCTCTAGCATGTTATTATAATAAAACATAAGATACATTGACTGGCATGAGGCCCTTCCATGAATAGACTCTTATTAAAGCTCTGAATGAAGTCTTATTTTCTTCAGTTTTTCAGAAAGCTACTTTGGGGCAAAGGAAAGTTAAGTGGATACACTTTGTGGTGTTCTGCTGTCATATTAAATGTAAGACTCCATTAAACTCAATGTTTAATTCCCTTAAAACTTTACTGTTTTTTGCATGCATTATTAAAATGCACACATATTAAAAAAGTAACATAGCCAGATAACAATTTTTATTTTAATATTTGAACAAAAATATAAAAATATATAAAGTATAAAATATATAAAAGACAATGTTTTAGGCGGGCGTGGTGGCTCACGTCTGTAATCCCAGCACTTTGGGAGGCCAAGGCTGGTGGATCACCTGAGGTCAGGAGTCCGAGATCAGCCAGGCCAACACGGTGAAACCCCCATTTCTACTAAAAATACAAAAATTAGCCGGGCCTGGTGGCGGGCGCCTGTAATCTCAGCTACTCAGGAGGCTGAGGCAGGAGAATTGCTGGAACCCGGGAGGTTGCAGTGAGCCGAGATCGCGCCATTGCACTCCAGCCTGGGCTGACAACAGCGAGACTCCATTAAAAAAAAAAAAAAAAAAAGTTTTAAAAGTATATTAAAAATATAATAAAATATTAAAGACTTATTCTAATTGACTAACGATTGTTAAAATACTTGGACCACCTCAGTAAGTTCTTCATTTGCTAAAGTTGTATGAAAAGTGGAGTCATTTGAAAGGCAACAATGGGTGCACACAAAGTGGTAAATCAATGTCATACTTGCAAATTCATGTAAACACAATTACGTCACTGTTTCCAAAAAGGTTGGAAGGGAAGCTTTTTTGTGTATAATTCTCATCCTTTCGAAAAAAAAAATCAAGCCCATTTTTCCTTTCAGTGATTCAAGGAGAAACTAAGAAGGAATAGAAAAGAATATAAATTATAAATGGACTGTTTGTTTTGAGAGCTTTGTTTGTAAGAATATGAAAAAAGAGAAATAAAACAGGAAGGAGTTTTCTTTAACTTTTAAGTCCAGGGTCACACGTGTAGGTTTGTTACATAGGTAAACATGTGTCATGGGGATTTATTGTGCAGATTATTTCATCACCCAGGTATTAAGCCTATGACCTATTAGTTATTGTTCCTGATCCTCTAAGGGGGGAGATTCAAAAGTGCCTACATCCCCTTAAAACAAATAAAAATTAAGAATCAGGCAACATGCACTAAGCATAAAATAATATTAATTATATTTAAAATATATCAGAGTTAAAAAATATAGCTCAAGCCAAGCATCATATTTAGGGAGTGACTGCTTCTGTGCAAAATGTTTGTGTTAAAACTTTAAAGATGCAGCTCCCATCTCACGATTCATGAAAAAAAAATACTCAAAATATCTTTCCTTAAAAAAAAGTCTTATTTAAAAAAAAAAAAAACTAGAAACCCATCAGTCATGAGTTTATGAGATTTTTTTTCACGTGGATGAATTACTGCTTCCTCAGATTCACCATATTCAAAACTGAACTAAATATCCTGTCTTGCTCACACAGGTCTTGAGGTCTTCCTTGTTTCTCACTAACATGACCAATTATTCACCAAGCCCTATAACTCTATATATCCTCAACAGCGCTCCCTGCTCCACAACTTCCACCTGTCACTATCAGTGATCAGAAAGTTGCCTCACCAGATACTGAGCTATGAATAAGTAAGATTGGAATGAAAACCATCTTGACTACTTGGCATCACTGTGGGTAGCCTTTCTGAGAGGTGAAATTGACTTAGGCTCACGTGAGTCTCTTCCACTGGAAGAGTGAATGTAGGATGAATAGCCCCTATTTTCCAAGGCAAGTGAGTTAACTAGAAGCTTTGTGTTTGAATTTAAAAGCTTTACCTCACAGTTTGCATCCTAAAAGGTGGCTATAAATGGGAACCATAACATTTGGAGCTTATGCCCAGGAGGCCCCTCCCCCATTATGTAACAATTAATTACAAAAGCTTAAATGTAGTGCCCCTTTCCATTTGGAATAGGAAACACTTTAACCACTAGTCAAGTATTGAGTTGAGTGGTGGCCCCAAAGAAGATATGTCCACAGCCTAACCTCAGAAACCTGTGATTTGTGAATGTGACCTTATGGAGAAAAAGGGTCTTTGACGATAGAATTTAATTAAAGATCTTGAGATTAGTTCCCCCTGGATTATCAGGGTGAGCCCTGAATCCAATGCCAAGTGACCTAAAGAGAGGCAGAAGAGGAGAAGACACACACAGAGAGAAGGTCATGAAAAGGGAGGCATTGATTGCAGCCTCAAGCCAAGGAATGCCTAGAGCTACCATAAGCTGGAAGAGGCAAGGAAGGTTCTCCCCGGAGCCTTGGGAGAGAGCACAGCCCTGCTTACACCCTGATTTTGGACTTCTGGCCTCCAGAACTGTGAGAATACATTTCTGTTATCACTAGTTTGTGTTAACTTGTTACGGCAGCCACAGGAAAATAATATAACAGACTTTATGAAGGCTCTGAGTCAATTGCCTAGGATGTCACATCATCAGGAAGCTTTCCCTGACCCTCTCCCAGCCACCATCTGGGATTGAGTATTGCTTCCACATCATGTCAAACAGCATACTGTTCATGACTCTGCCAGACATCATATCACACTCCCTTGACACCACTGCTGCCCTGTCCCTTCCCCCTCTTAGTCCACAGAGTAGCTCAAGACAGCAATCATGTCACACTCTTCCATGTACCAATCCAGCACAGTATCTGAAACTCAGTAGATACTCAAAAAATGTTTTAAAAATTATGAATCCACAGAAATGTCTGTAAGGCCATCAATATTTTCACACACAGTACTGGAAATTCCATGGTACTCAGGGAATATGAAATTGGGCACTGTCAAAGGCACTGCTGTGCGCCTCTACCTGGCTGCTGCACCCACTCCCATCTGCTGCAGTGACTGCTAACAAAATACGGCCCCTTCTCTGGAGAATTAGCCTCTGATTCCACAGCCCCCTGGCCTACGAAGTGGGAAAATCTCTAAGATATAATTTACATTCCAGAGCCTCCCCATAAATCAGATCAAGGTTAGACTTGACCCGAGATCTCATCCTTGTTAATTCCTTTCCCTTCCCTATAATTCTGCTCTTACTCCCTCATAAGATTTTTCCTGAAGAGCACTTCTTCAGTAAATCACAAACAGTGAAATTCTGCCTCATGTCCTGTTCTAGAGAACCTGACCTACAATAAGTATTTCTTATGGAAGATAAAAATTTAAATATGTGTTTTTAGAAACTGGAGCATCAGTATGCTATGGGATACATCGTAGGTAGAACAACAGTATTGCAGTCTTTCCCACTCCTCCTACCAAGTCTGATTGAACAAACTCCAAGAGAGAACCAATTGGAATGAAAAACTGTCTGGTAGGAAACCATATTATAACACAGCTCCTTTTATAAGGTGTCACTTAAGGCACCTAATGCAAAAATCTCTTCAAAATGTTCCTTTCAAAGTATGGGGATAACCTGAAGTGAGGCTCCCATTTGCAAGCTCTATCAATGTAAGGATCTTTTTTCTGCTTTATTCACTGATATATCACAAGTACCTAGAACAGTACTTGGCACTTTATAGACATTCAATAATTTACTATTCAATGTATGAATAGGATTAAGTTTCCTGGACTCAGCTGTGCACATGCAGACTTATGTCGATAGGGGGTGGAGGAGAGCTGCTTCAGAGGTCAACTAAGAGCTGGCCTGGCTAAAGCAATTCCAGGAGATTGACCTGATCAGAAACGAGGCAATGGATATCACTAGTGAAACCAAAACTGGAGAAGAGGGAGAATGTGAGCAGAAGTCCAGGACAAACCAAGACAGGAGTTAGGGCCTAAGAACAAGTTGATGGAGCAGCATCTTCTGTACCAGTTGAGAAAACCACGAAATGAATTAAGCCAATGTTGTCTCTGGTACAGGGTATTAAATGACCATATCCTGTGACTTTAATATGCTATCCATAAAACTGAGATGATCCAAAAATCTGTCCATTTTTTTTTTAAATAATCTTCCCTCAACTCTTTTATCTAAAATTTTGGGGGCAAGTTCTCAAGTCACAGATGACTTTAAATAAAGCAAAAAGATGTGGAAATTTGGCATCATGAGATTCAAAGTCACAGTTGTCTCTCTCACCCGCCTCTCCACAATACGTATCCCCTAATGCCTGAAATTCTCTCATTTGCAAGTCACTCCTTGAGGTTAAGTATTGCTCTCTTCCAGCAGTTCTCTTCTAATATGAAAATATATATATTCTGAACCTAATGATTATGGGAATTAGTTTATCATTTTTTCATTAATGTGACAAACATAGAGATGATGGACACTGTTGAATGATTAACAATAAAACAAAGGATGATCCTTGCCTTAAAGAAGCTCAGGGGCTAACATTAGCATCCAGGCAGGAGGAAAGAGCCCACTGGCCACGTGGCAGGGACAGAGTAGAGAGAGGGAACTCAACAAATTTTGTCCACTTTACAGTTTTGCCTATGACCTTTTCCAAATAAAAGCAGAGAGGCAAGGCCAGACATCCAGTGAGTAAAAAAGTCTGTGTGCTCCCATTCTGTCAGTTTTAAATACTGATAAAGGCTTACAAATGAATACACAAAGGAGGTAAATGCTCTCTCTTTTTGTTTTGATGTCTGGAACACTCCCTGAAGCAAGGGGAAAGAGCTGTACTTCAGGGAGGTCTTGCAGAGCAATACAGCACACATGATACAGAATCCATAGGGGGCTTTAAAGCCTCAGCCCTTTACCTTTGAGAATCATTATTTTGCAACTAATTTATTTTTTTACCTTTACAATGTAATAAATGATGAATTATTGCTTCATCTTTTGTTAGGGAAAGATATGTCTCACTGACTTTTAATATTGATCTGCTGTAATCATCTTTCCACTTTGTTGTCCTCAGAAATGTATACACAGGATAGAATCCCTACCTTCAGCAACTTGCTTAAACCAAAAGCAACTGTTCTCTATCCCAACCAACCTGAAGGAAAAGAGGCAGATAGTGGTAACAAGGTTTCCTTTGTACACAATAATCTGTAAAATCCATTAGCATAGTTTTCCAGTGAAGGCATAATACAGGAACAGTTGTTTTTGTCTGTTTTGTTTCTATTTTATGCAATAGAGATTTTATGTAGTTCCTTTAATAAAAAGATTTTTAAAATACCATACAATCTTTAAATAAATTTGGTGTCATTTAAGCCTTATTACTGCTAATAAATATCTATGAAAATAGAATCTTATACAAACTTCTACCACAAATCAAGTCAAAAGCCAAGAAAAGAGCTCCAGCATCAATGTATCACTGGTTTAAATCATTTTTCCCTCAAAATCTTCTATTTTGTTAAGAAAAAGTGAAGAGTTATGGAAATGAACATTATGTATATACATAATGAACTCAAATGTTGAAACTTGGACCCACCCAGGCCTTTGGGAACTGAGCTTCCTAATCCACTGTCCAGCAATTTTTCATTATAATAACCACATCCAATTACATCACTGCTTCCTTAGATAGTAATCTGGTTTCCCTATAATAATGTTAGTCCCCCACTGTCATAGTTTATACTAGAGATTTGGGTTAAGTCCCTGAAAAGCAGTATTATAGTGTTTAATTATTTATTGTTTCTCAATCAGACTGACTTTGCTCTAGCCAACAAAAAATATGGTTGGCAAAAAGGCATTCTGTTTAGAAATTATTCTTGTCTTCTAATAATATTTGAATTTGGCATCCAAAAGGAATACACTAACAGATATTCATAGAGTTACAGTATTTTGAAGCCAAATGGGACTTGAAGGATCATCTGCTATCCCAGAAAGGGATCTCAACATGTTAAGTGATTTTTCCAATGACAATCATCTAAGCTGACTGAAGAATTGAAATTAAAATACGTTTATGATATCTCATGCCCAATTCAGATTTCTTTCTAATTCAACATCTACTTTCAAAAAAGGGTAATTTGAAGAATTCAGGAAATGTTTGTTTTTTCTATCAATTAGGAACTCATTCAAGTACTGAAGATGTGACTTTTTTTTTTTAACTTAAGAGCAAAACTGAAATGAAAACCATATTGAAAATTGAGATATTTAAAAGCTCAAAATTGTTGCCCCTAGTTGTTGGCATGACTCACAAGTGCTGTCAGTTGTAAATGTTAATAAGTAGGTATATACAATAAGCCCACTAAAATTGTATCCTTGAAGGAGCTTTGAAGTAGATAGCAGATTGTTTCCAGAATCTTTCTTTTATAGTGTCTAATTGATATTTAAAACATTAAATGTGTCCCGGCGTGGTGGCTCATGCCTATGATCCCAGTACTTTGGGAGGCCGAGGAGGGTAGGTCATGAGATCAGGAGTTTCAGACCAGCCTGCCCAACATGGTGAAACCCCATTTCTACTAAAAATACAAAAATTAGCTGGGCGTGGTGGCAGGTGCCTGTAATCCTAGCTACTTGGGAGGCTGAGGCAGGAGGCTGAGGCAGGAGAATCACTTGAACCCAGGAGGCGGAGGTTACAGTGAGCCGAGATCACGCCATTGCACTCCAGCCTGGGTGAAAGAGCTAGACTCCATCTCGAAAAAAATAAATAAATAAAAATAAAACATTAAGTGTGCTCTTTTAGTTTTACTATTAAACCATGAGTTATGATAACAATAACTGAGTAATCTACTTAGTAGACTCACTTTGTACTTATTTTTCAGCACCTATTTCATAAAACCAAGACTTTCTCAGTTTTCTCAAAAACACTGTTCAATTAAGCAACTACCAATTATGCTAATACAATTAAGTCACCCATTTCATCAAGTTAAATGAGTTAGAAAATAAATCCCTCTAGGATGGGAAAGAACATGACAATAATAAAATGTAGGCAAATGAGTGTTTGGTTTCCTTCCAACTAAAAATACACAGTAAGCAGTAGGGTACAGGCCTGAAGGACAGGGAAAAGATCTGGGATGGTGACAGAAAATTGAATGTCATCAGCTCATTGATGGGACTTACCCAGAATCCTTTCATCTTATGGCTCAGTCATTCCCTATCCTCATCCATTGGTGCTGCAGTAACAGAATATCTGAGAAATAAACAACAGAAATTATTTCTCTAAGTTCTGGAGGCTGAAAAATCCAAGATCAAGATGCTAGCAGGTTTGGTGTCTGGTAAGGGCCCAGTCTCTGCTTCCGAGATTGCACCTTGAACACTGCATCTTCCAGAGGAAAGGACTGTTGTTCCTCATGTTGTAGAATAGTGAAGAAAAGCAAACTGACTTTTGGGAGACTTTTTTATAAGGGCATGAACCCATTCATGAGTGAATAGATCCTGAACATCTTCCATTAGACCCCCACCTGTCAATACTGTTGCAATGGGGATTAAATTTCCAGCTCATGAATTTTTAAAGGGAACACATTGAAACCATTACATCCCCTAAATTTGGAACTCTCAAATGTATTCCCTGAACCTGGACCCAAATAAGATAGAATCATAGCATATAATCATAGAATCATAGAAAGAGAATCATAGCATAGAATCATAGAAAGAGAATCATAGCATATAATTGTAGAATCATAGCAAGAGAATCATAGCATGATGTTGGAGATGCTTTTAGATGCTAATAGCAGACATCACTTTTGTCTATATTCCGTAGGCCAGAAGTCAGTAATAATGCCCCCACCTAACTGCAAGGTGGCAAAGGAAAGTGGTCCATGTATGTATATATACAGAAGCAAAATGCAGTTTAATTTGGTAAACCTGTAGCAGTTTCTGCCATACAAGTACAACAGCATAGATTATTCAAGAAACCTCTCCATAAAGTGGTAGAGGAAGAGGGCATGAAAGAAAAGCCAATATCCACCTTTCCACATATTAATTGGCTTTCTTTTCAAAAACCAAAATTAGTCTTAACAGACAAAAAAAGATTACTAGCTAACTACTCCAGTAAGAATCATCATTTTAATAGACATCCTCTAAAAATGTCTTTGACTTTTGTCCAAAAATTTTACAAATAATTCCAAGAGATTTAACCTATGGGTACATTTTGTAACCAGGTTTTTTTTTTTTTCTGGAGGGCTCATTATTAAGATATTTATGTAGCCATGGTATACGACTGGCATCTCAGCTCAAGAAATTCAAAACTGAATTCAATATTCCTACCCTCTACCATTTCAATTCTTTCACCCACCATTCCCAAACTTTTAAAAATACACAATGCCCTAGTTTACAGCCATTACTAAGATATCCAACACAGAAAATCTAGAAGACATTATTCTTACCCAATAATCTTTATTTACTTATTTCTTAAGTCTTGATTCTCTTTTCTCATAAATTTGTCTTTAAGTTGTCCTTTCCTTTCTACTTTATAGCTAGCACCTTTGGTATCATCTACTTGGACTATCACTACCGCTTCCAGGCTGTTTTCCTTCACTTTCATTCTTACCTATCCCCAGTCCATCCATCCTCCACACTGCTCTCAGAATAATCTACACATGTAACAACTTGATCCCAAACTCATAAAGTCAGCTCCAGGTCATGGGTAACCTCCAGCTGGTTAGCATAATTTCTTAATTCCAGTTTCCTCTTTTCTTATGACAGAGTTTAGAATTAGGGTATGAGATCCATGTTAAGAGAGAAAATCCATTCTCTCTTAACATGACTTGGCAATGGAGCTTCATAGTTTCCACTCTGCCTATCTCCCACCTCATCTTGTAAGCCTTTCTACATCCAAATATAATCTTTCTTTTTATTATTCTCAAGTAGTTACTCAAATTCTCAAATCTTTCATGCCCTGATGACTTTGCACACAGTTTTCCAACTTCTTGAAATGCAGTTGTTCCCTTGTCTGTCTATATAGAATCCTTTAGGACTCAGCTCAAGATTTTATCCTCTTTGAAGATGTCTCTGACCTTGGCTCCCTTGTACACATCTACAATACAGTTCTTAACATATTTCATACTTTACTTGACCATTTCCCTTCCTTCACTTGAAGATACTTCTTCACTTCAAGATACTTAGAGCTACAAGTAACAAAAAAAAAAAAAAACCCTGATTCAACTGGTTTACAATTATATGAAGAATTAATTATTTTATCTCACATAACAAGAAGCTCTTCAGTAGTGTGGTTCCAAAGTTTATTATTGCAGCAGCTCACTGATGATGTCATAACCTAATTTCTTTCCACCTTTCTGCTGTGCCATCCTCACCATGTTGACTTGTCCTTAGTCTACTTCACATCATTGTTACAAGAAGATTGACACAATGGGTCTCACATCCATACATGATTCCATGCAGCAAGAGTAAAGAGAATGTCTCTTCCTCAGTTAGAAAATTTTTCCATAAACCCCAAAGCTGAGTTAACTTCTCATATTATTTGCCAGAATTGGGTCCCTTATCATGAACCCATCATATGACCAGATGGCAATCTGATGACTCAGCTTACATGATTGGTTTAGCATATTCAGAATTTATCTCTAAACTGGTCATCTTCCTCTAAGGTTTTTGATATCTGAATAAAAGCAGATTCTTTTTGCAGACATTAAGGGGAGAGTAGATTTGGTATAGACAAACCCTATGTTTCTCTTCTGCACTGTGAGGACAAAACTTAACCATCTATCCTTAACATAGAACATTGCACACAGTATACAATTCATTCAATACCTATTGAATGAATAAAAATAATCACACCACATACATGTGTATTGCCTACAGGTTAATTTACCTTGACTACTATCCTTAGAACAGCAGGTAATCAGAACAAGTCATATTACAAAAGATGTATTTTTCTCTTTTAAAAAAATGGACTCTCTAGCTCTCTGGAATTGGGTGAAGTTGAGTTAAATGACTTACAGAATAATCTGACGTTCTGAATAAGGGTTTTTGAAACAGTATCAAGTGTTACATTGATCCCGTTCATAGTGTGAGTTGTTTTGTACTGATTTAAAAACGATGTTTATTTTAACCCTGATTGAAAATGTAAGGCTGCATCTAGTTATCTGGCAAAAAAGTGTTTTCTGGGGAGGCCTTGTTAAGCAACCACTTACCATCTTTTAAAATACAATTTTCTGCATTGAGATTCTCTATGAGCATTGGGGAATTACTAAACAGTTTCTGATTTTTTCTGGCTTCTCTATTCTCCACTTCTATTTTGTTTCCCAGGGCTGTGAAGACTCAGAGTTCTCTGTATTTTGTATTAGTTAATGGATAAGGCTTTTACTTTCAGGCTCCATCTTAATTTTTTGTATCTTTGTTCATGAAAAGATTGCTCCTTGAAAATGTTGAATGGGGATTTTTCTTGCTTTTCTTCTAATTCAATTTTATACTTCATTTGTATACAATTAATATTTATAAGAAAATGACAGTTACTTTCTTGTTTATTGTCTAAAGAACTTCAGATGTGTTGCTTTTAGTGTAACAAAACCAAGACTTGGATATTACAATCAAACACTTGTTACATTTAATAACTTAGAATTCTTGTACTTGCTTTGGTATGTATGATTTATTTTTGACCAATGAAAAATGAACAGCTTCCACAAATAGTGACTCTTTAGACTTGACAGTCTACCTGATACACTAACCACTCTTGACAGAATGTCAGATAATTGGGTTATCTTGCTTGGGTTTAGTTATCTGAAGTTGTTAAAGGGAAGAACCCTAATGTATGTGTCACTTTCCTTTTTAAATTGGGCACTAGGCCCATATGTTCCTGAGAGTTCTGTAAATGTCATTAATTTACCAAAATGGTGGAACTTCTGTTTTCTTCCAACTAAAATTTATGATTATTTTTAAAGAGGCTGCTGCTCAATAAAATGTTGACATAAATTGATTGATGATGCTGAAAATTACACAAGACAGTCTAGATAATCAATTACTAGATATTATAGGGACAGCTGCATAAGTAGACTGGTAGACGTCAGTGAACAGAAGCAAGAAACTGCCTAGGAAGCGTATTGAGGAAAGAGAGTTTTATGTTAGTCATTCATTCTTTAATTCAAATATCTATTCTCCCAGTTTTTGTTGACTGCCTGCTATGCACATAATAGATAACGCTTGCAGAGGAAATAGAAAATATAAACAAGTTATAATAAACATGGATTAAGCAATATGTGTTTTTTTAAAGTATTCTAGCTATTTCAGGCAGCTACCACAAACACTAGAGTCATTTTTCCAACCCTTTTGTCTCAATAAATTAATTTTAAACATTTTATTTAGTGATTTTCAAGTCTTCCTTGACTGGATTGTAAACCTGAATTCAATGTATTTATTAACAATTATTTATTCTTAGACATAATTGTGTCAAGTGTCTACAGACCCCTTTCCAGGATCAAGAAATTTCAAGAACTGAATTGGTGATCAGACGGTGACTTGGATAATCTTCTGGAAAATTTTGCTGTTCTTTCTCTGCTATAAAGAAAGGAATACTAAGGTTTAAGGTTAAACAGTAGACTCCAGTGTGGCTCTGACTGAGAGAGTGTTGCTAAGAATTCTAATCATCTAACTTTTCTGCTTTGACTACTCCTTCTTGTCTTGACAAGATTGTCTTATGGTACACGTAGTATAGTTAATGCTAGACACTATGGTAGTCATTTCAAATATTACTTCATTAACTGACAACAATTCTTTAGTCTCCATTTCTCTGAAAAATATTAATACTCAGAGATGCTAGGTATACAGAGCTATAAAGAAGAAGAGCCAACATTTGATCCTGTGCCTCATACATTAGTACCCATCACTCTACTTACATATTATGAAAGCTATAAAAATAACAATAAAAGATAGAATAATGTAATAGAGGGAGAACAAGATTTGGAGAAAAACATACTTGAAGAAAAATTTCAACTCAGGCCTCTCCTAAGCTGGGTAGCCCTTGAAAAATTATTCGACCTCCCTGATCATCAATTTTATTACCTATACAAGAAATACAATTGGGCTTAACACAGTTTTTATTAAACATATATATTGCATAATATATATAATACGTATTTATACCTTCAAGAATATGTTTTTGGAGTCATTTAGAAAGGATAAGAAGTATCACCAAAGTTTCAGTTCCCAAGGTTATATCACAGATTACTAATGACATGGAATTTGGATCTCAGATTCCTGACATTTGACTCCTGACTCCTACCATTGCATTGCTCTTCTTGTCTTATCCTAATTGCAAATTTAAAATTTAAGTTTAATAACAGAGTTTGAAATGAGTAAAAGGAGTAGTAGAAAAATCACTGTATAAACAAACCAGTTTATGGGCCTGTTAAGAAAAGTTTCTGAAACATGCTAAGTGTCAGAACAAGTTGGAAATATGTGTGTCATTTAGTGTCAGTGAAATTTAACATACAGAGAAATCTAACAAAAGTCACAGATCGCCAGTTGATACATGTTTTTGCATTTCAATAGCCAACACATATTTCACTCACATCCCTCATCTGCCTGCTAGTATAATACAGATCAAGAAAGTACAAGTAAAATTCTTCATCAATTTCTTAGTTCTTTTAAAGCGTTATTTAATGTATTAACCTTATTACATTGACGTTACTATTCACACTGAAATAGAGTTGAGTGTTAGAAACTCCACCTCTGACTTCTTCAAGTTCATCAGACCACTCCATAATTTGACTTGCTTTCCCACCAACTTTCTGAGCCACTCATGTATGTATCTGGGGTAATTTCTTTTAGCACTCCGTGTATATAACAAGTCACTTGCAAAATGTCTCATGAATCAATACCCTTTCTTTATCTCCACTAAACCTTTAACTCAGTATGACATCATTTCCTTACTGCTAGTGCTATGTTTTTTTACTCTGTCTGCCTCATTCAAGATTCTATCCATACCACGTCATTCTCCATATTGCTTTAAAACTAAACAATGATTTTGCAATGTCTATAGCATAAAGATCAAATTTATTAATCACACACCATGTATAATGAATCACAGGATACATTTGTAAAATACGTTTATTTTATTATCAACTGGTTCCAAAGCAACCAGTTTGTGTTTCACATATGAAAATATTGTTATCCTCTTTAATTCATAAAGTAGTAGTTAATAGTTTAGGATCTACCTCACTGTACCTGGATGCAAACCTGTTTCTACTATTTATTAGGTGTCTCACTTTAAGCAAGATACTTAATTTTTACAGGACTCATTTTTCTCAGGCACTAAAAATTAGAATAATAATATTTACTTTCAGAAGGTTATAGTAAGAACTAATGCAGTATGGGGCCACGGTGTTGGATAGCCGTGTGAATTCAACCAGGAGTCATGCAGGCTTATATCTGTAAGAGTTATAAGAGTTATAATCCTGTCCCATAGGAAGAGCTTGTTCACCAAAAAAAAAATATTTATTGAGCACCTTCCATGAGTTAAGCCACATTGTAGTCTTCAGGGATATAGCAATGAATAAAAGAGACAAAAAACCCAGTCCTTCCTTATGTAGCTTTTAAGAGAAATAAAATCCATACTTGTAAGGCATTGATAAGTACTAGGGAGAAAAATAAAACAAGTAGGAAACATAAAAAGTACAAGGGTCAGGTAGTTGCAATTTTAAGCTGGGGAAGCAAGAAAAGGCCTTATTAAAAAGGTGACATTTGAAAAAGACCTCAGTGAAGTAAGAGAGTGAACCGCCTATGTATCTGAAGGAAGAGGATGCCAGGAAGAAGTAATAGCGTGTGCAAAGGCATTAAGGTGTCTATTTGGGGTGTTGGGAGGACAACAATGGGGCTAAGGTGGCTGGGTTAACTTGAATGAGGGGAAGACTAGTAGTAGATGAGGTTACAGGGGGAAAGAGTAGGGGTAAGGGCAGGTTATATAAAAATTCCTAGGCATTATTAGAATATTAGCTTTAATCCAAATGATTAGAGGGCTCTGAGAAGATGAAAGGCACAATTTGGCTTATATTATCAAGAGATCAGTTTTGATCTATTGAAGTGTGAAGTAACTATTGAACATTTTCATCTGGGCTAGAACTAAAAATGAGAAAATTATCAACATATACGTAAGGTTCAAAGCCACATTAACAGAGAAGGTCATAGGAGAATGAATACAAATAGAAAGGAAAAGAAGTCCAAATATTTAGTGGTAACGCCAACATTTTAAAAATCAAAGAGATAAAGTAGAACCAAAAAAGAAAACTGAAGAGAAGCAGTCAGGGATATAAAATATAAACCAAGTGAGCATGGAATTCTGTAACACTATATAAAGCATCAAAAGAGAGATGTGATCACCTGTGTCAAATGCTACTGGTAGGTCAAGTAAAATTGAGATCTGATTAGCACCATAGAGGTCATTGGAGGTCATCAAAAAAGCACTTTCAATCGAGTAGAGGTAAAACCTGATGGGAATATATTGAAGAGTGAAAAGGAGAGCTATTAAAAACAATTATTTTAGGAGTTTTGCTAGGAAAGGGAAGAGAGAAATGTGGTAATGGTTGAAGAGGGACATGGTCTATGAAAAGAGTGTTGCTTCTTTGCTTTTACAATAGGAAAAATTGCTTTTTAAATATACTGGTGGGAAAAATCAAATAGAGAGGGCAACATTGATGAGACGGAAGAAAGAATTTCTGGTGCAAAATCCTTGAGTAATGATAGGGTGTGATATCTGTAGCACAGGAAGATTGGTACACAAAGTCCATACATAGTAAGAGGAGAAAATGAAGAGTGGACTGGAACAGGCGGGTGGGTGCATGTGGTGGTAGTTGCCTGTAGAGTGAAGGAAGCAAAGTCATCTTCTCATGACTGTGTCTGGGCCTCTTTGTTTTCTGTATGCAACAAACTCAGAATCACTTATAGTAATAGAGAAGTCTAAGATTTCCCAATGAGACAACAAAGGACAAACCAGCAAAGCAGATGACAAAAACAAGATAAAAGTAGGGGTACAATGTGCTATAGACAGAAGTGCATCCTGGAGTCTCAAGTGTCAAATGCAGCATTGTGAATCATTCTATTTAAACTTCTGATTTAACTGTTCTTGAAGCTTTGTTTTCTTTTAATTTCCTACGTCTATCTGTGTATTTTTCTTATTCAAATGAAGATATAAAAATATGAAACTTTAAAAATAAAAGTTTAATTCAGTAGTGAGGCTGAATTAAACTTAGAATAGAAATTAGTATTTCTATTAAGGGGATGAAAACATTGACCAATATTAGCAGCATTTATGATCTGCACTATAGTAATATAGGAATATGCAATTAGAATTTAATATACAATATGTTTTTGCATCAATGATATTTAAATGAAAGATATATTGATATGAATAATCACTATAGCTTTTCTCTAACTGACAGTATTAACCCCAAAACTATGAGAAATAACTCTATTAACCTCACCCAGACAATGAATGTACTCACTGAGTGTGGAATACTGTAAAATATGCACTGGACCAATTTCACAAACATGAATATTATTGTCTGTCCTCAAAAAGTTTACATCTTCCTTAGAAGAATAAGAAAAATATAAATAAGCAATCAAATCTGAAAAGAACATTTATAAAGTAATATTGCAATAATGGCATGATAATTACAATAGCCCTCAAGGAAAGAAAAATAAAAATATCTTTCGATTTGGAGGAGATTAGTTGAGGTGAATTCTTAGAAGAGGGGTTTTGAAACAGTATTTTGAGGAGATGACAGATAAGAGTAAACTGAAAAGATTCCAAGAACGAACTCATACAAATATAGAGAGGCTAAAAGGAGAGAGGAGTAGCCATATTATGTTTCTAAAACAGGACTCATTGTAAGGATGAATGTGAAAAAGAGTTCCAAGTTATAACATTATAATTCTTCAGATATTAACAACATTTACAATTGATTAAAATATTTAAGAGTATACCTTTTAAAATGATTAGAAAATTATGCATCTTTTTATGCATACATTTTTATATAGACTTGAGTTAGATCTGAATCATTCGGTCTACAAGTTCCTCTGTATGGTCAATATCCTACATTTTTTTTTTTTTTGAGACAGATTCTCACTCTTGTGGCCCAGGCTGGAGTGCAATGGTGCAATCTCGGCTCACTGCAAACTCCACCTCCCGGGTTCAAGAGATTCTCCTGCCTCAGCCTCCCACGTAGCTGGGATTACAGGCACCCGCCACCATGCCCAGCTAATTTTTTGTATTTTTAGTAGAGACAGTTTCCCCATTTTGGCCAGTTTGGTCTCGAACTCCTGACCTCAGGTGATCCACCTGCCTTGGCCTCCCAAAGGGCTGGGATTACAGGCATGAGCCACCATGCCCAGCCTAATATCCGACTTTTTATTCCAGAATGATTACCTGGAACCTAAACTGATCTTACAAATTAAGAAATAGAATTAGCATTCAGAAAGCATAAGAGTACCTACTCTGTACATGGTGCTGTCTGTGTGTGTGTGTTTGTGAGTGTATGTATGTATGTGTGTATGTTTATGTATATATAATTTTTCACAAGTAATAAAAAATATCAGTATATTTATTTAATTTGAGACTTTCATTCAATGTGATGTGAATGTATTGTACTTTTATTTCATACCCTATTATGGCTTTAAAGTTTTTTTTTCATTTTACAGCACACAGGAAATGAAAAACCACTTCTTTTGTTATATCTTTGTTTACAGGAATTTCTGAAAAGTAAAATGTGTACCCTTTTATTTCTGTAATCACCGAAAAACTCCTTCTATATGTATCAGAAGAAATGTTATTAAAAAGTTAAAATTTTGGTTAAAAAAACAAAGAGAACAACTGAATGGGACCTAATGAACAGAAAATTCTTTCACGGAAAAGTGATACCATGATAATAAGAAAATGGACAATTGCTAAATCAAAATGAGTAAATACTAAAGTCTATCTCTGATCTGTTACCATTCACTAACTTTAATAATTGTTGTATATGCCATCTCTAATCATTTAGACATTAGAAAGATTCTCTAAAAATTGGATTGCCAAAATATTTATAGAAAGCATCTTAGAGTGTAACGACCCTTCTCCTTGACGCCCAAGAATTATTCACACAGTTGCCACTTCAACATTCCCAATTCATAAAGCATTATATAACTATGCAAATACTCCAGGCCTGACTCATGCTCTCGTGTATTGAGTGTATTTTATCTGGCAAGAAACAAATATTGGCTTTCTTCTTGTCAATCAGAGAGTGCCAAGGCACTATTCTATTACAAAATAAATATGTAAACAAATCAATGAATATTAAAGTTCCCATTCCAGTAAAATCTATACACCCATTCTCCTCCAAACACACTATAAGCCATCTTCCCTCTATAATGTTATGTTTGGCATTCAGTGCCCTTTCCTGGAACGGCCACCCCTGTCTTTACCTCCTGGGCCTTTAGTAGTCTTATCAGTAGTATGAAGTCTCACCTGAACAACTCCAATCTTGAGAATTTCCAACTCTGCTGAAATCCTGTATCATATTTTGTCTTTATCAATTGTTTGGTATTTATGTTTTTAGTCTTACATGTATGTCTGCATCTTACGAATTCTCACACTTAGCCTAATATATTTAGTAAATACTTATCAGTATTTTTATTGAATTGGAGCTGCAAAATCAGGCAGACCACAAACTTAATGGTGGTTTTGACCTTTCCTTGCTGAATAATCTTAAATTCCCTGAAGTTCAGTTTCCATACTGTAGAATGCGGATAATAGTAATTATATCCTGAATATAACAATTAGTCAATAAATGGTGGTGGTGCTGTTGCTGCTGATGATGATGACAAATAACAACAATATCAACAATGACTATTTTTTTCTTTCATTCTTTTCCTTCAGTGGGATTGAACTGATTTGACGTTTTATCTAACATAAACTGGATACTTTTAATTATTCTTTGTATTAAAAATATTTCTGAGTCCCTTCGTTTCAGCCAAACCCAAAGAATCCATTCAGGTTATGTCCTAAGTTTGATATGTTCATACACATTCTCTATCACAGTGGATGCTTTTGTATAATTTTAGTACAATTATGTTCAGTTTTTGTCCTTACCCATAATTAAAACTATATGATACTTGCCAAAAAAGAACACTGCCAAATAAGATCAATGAAGCAGAAAAGACCAGAAATATACTTGATTATCTTCAAGAATTTATAGTTTTTCAAAAAATTTTAAATCAGTGGAGGAAAGATCGATTATTTAATGAATGGTGTTTGGATGGCCAGCTGAGGGGAAAAAAATGGATCCAAAGCTAGTACAAGCCAGATATTTAAAAAATTAGAAGAGAGAAACAATGAAAATACCAAAAGAAAAATTCAGAGACTTTTTTATATTAGGAAAATACTTTTTAATAAATAGGTGTTGTATATCATCTTTTCAGTGGTGAAGAATTAATTTCTTTAATTAACACAGAACCCCTACAAACCCATAAAAGTGGTTTAAGAATATAAGCAAGTAATTCCATTAAAAATATATACTGTGTATGGTTCTTAAACACAAGAATTGGTATTCAACTTGAATTATAAAATATAATCATATACTGCTTTCACCTATCAGATTGGCAAAAATTAAAAAAAAAAATTGGTGGCAGCCTACTAGTGAAAATGTGGGGAAACAGAATCGCAAATTGAAGATGGAAGTTTAATTGTTAAAATGTTGTGGAGGTTTGTTTATCAGTTATCTTTTACATTTTAAAATACATGTATTTTCACAAAGCAATTTTGCTTTTAAATGCTAATTACAGATCTACTAAGATATGTGCAAAATGATGCATGTATGATAATATTCATGGTAGTTTTGGTGGTAAAAAAAATGAAAACAAATACTCATCAATGTAGAATTGGTAAAAAGATTTTGTTATACTCATCCAAATAAAATCTTATTTACTTTAGAAAGCACTCTACATGCTAACTGTAAACCATCCCAAGATGTATTATTACATTTCAAAAGCAATATGCAGTCTGTGTGTATAATATTCTACTATTCACGTAAAAGAAATATTTATTTACTTACCTTGAGTGCAATTGCATAGAACATCTCTGAATGGATACAAAAGAAACTAGGTGCAATCTTTTTAACGAGGGGAAAATGGGCACAGAGAGAGGAGGACTGGAGACTTAATTTTCATTGTAGTCTCATTTGCATCTTTCGGATTTTGTAACCTAGATACATTGCCTATTTAAAAGAGTAAGAAAAGTAGATAATTTTTGAAAACCCTATAATTAGCCATGTTTTGAGAGCAACAGCAACAGACTGTATAATCTCCCCATATCTTTTTATATAAACACAGAATTTAGACCCTGCCAATCTGCCACTTAATTATTTTAATCATATGGAAGGGAATGAACTTGAAGATGATCTTGCCAGATGTCTTCTGTTTGCCTCTTAAGACCCACTCCACCATTTCCCTGCCCCTGCCCTGGAGGTTCACCTCCGTGGACAACATTCAGAGTCTCTCTTGCCCCTGGCTTTTGGTTGGATAAGCCAATTGGCAGTCTCAGCAGGAGATTACAGGGAAAAAAAGAGAGTTCATGGTATGTATTCTCTGCCTCCCTAACTGTGGGACTCTCCTTCATTTGGCTGTGTCTTCACTGTTCCCTTCATGGCCGCTGACTCATTCCTGAAGTCCCACACCTCAGGCCTCAGTGCTAACAGTATCACTGTCACTGGCCCCAATGTACCACCCATACCGTGTGATTTTTCTCCCTGCAACCTTTTTTAACAGTCCCATTAAACCTTCCTCAAGTTGTTTGAATGGTGCATTTTCTGTTTAGACCCTGTTACAGTGGAGGAAGCAGCTATTGTTGTTGTTGTTTTGCTATAATTAACATAGGAATGATTAAAAGTGAATATTTAATCATTGGCATGAACCATGCACAAAAGCATAGTTAGAAGTTTTATATTAACTTCAAGAGAATATGTATGTCAAAATAGAGTCTTTATTCAAAATGAAGGGCACTCTGTTTTGTCTACTTCTGTATATATACAGTCTACTGGTTTCAAAGGCCTTTTTCCTTCACTTTTTTCTTCTTTTAAATTTGATTGCTAGGCATCTCGCTATTTAATGCCACACACGCTATAAAATAGAGAGTAGAAAGAGTCCGATGAAATTCTTTTATTTAGAAGAGATGAAAATATATTGATATTTCCTTATAGGTGGTGATCTTATACTTCTGTTTCTTCCCACTGCTCCAAGCTACTTCACCTTTGTTCAAAGGTTGAATACAGATATTGAACTAAATATTGTAATAACTTCCTCATGATTAATATAAGAATAGTCATGTTACCCCTATTTGGTTCGTGTGTTAGATGATCACTTTTTACTCAGGGCCACGTGATATTATGAACCACGAGTGGCAGTTCCACAATATGCAGCAATTGACAGTGGCCCTTTTTGCTTGTGCCCAGTTAGGTAGATTTGTGTTATTCTGAATGGCAGGAACACTACAAGACTTTTTAATAAATAGAAAGTAACCATGACAGATTTTTGTCCAGACAGATGTTCAGTGGTTATCTTGTGACAGAACACTCAAACAAGTTGTCAAACTTAAGAATGATTTTTGCATTTTCTTTTTAAAATAAAAGTTTCAAATTTGCAGCCTTTCTTGTGATGTCTAGTGGGTTGCCACCTGGCATATATCCTATTAACACACAGATACACGCACTTCATGTCAGGTGCCCCTTCAAGATAAAGGTAATTTTTCACGGTAATGGAAAAGCAAATATTATTTGTTCTGAATATGTTACGAGGGAGTATTCTGAAAATGTTATGTTTGTTTGGATATGTTTTCATAACTACCTGGATTTGTTAATTAAAAATATGTAAAAATATTACCTGAAAAAAATCTTTTATCGTGTACTTTTAAACCTTGGAGACAAAATTTTCTATTCTGTCGTAGAATCTTTCAAATAATGAATTTAAAAGTATAAAGGTGCAACAGCTTCCACTAGTATGAAAGAACAACTGATAGCTATTGAGTAATATTGAAAATGTTAAGCAAAATTGTTAAAAATGTTTGCTTAACTGTTGGATGGTATTATTTAAAAGTATTATCATTGAGAATACATCAATAACATTAATGCAGATTATGGGGGATTTCCTCCACTTGGGTCTCTGCATCTTTGTGATAGATTCTTCCTGGCAATGAAGCTAAGGAAATCAAATATTGGAATGAGACCTCAGTAGTGTAAAATGTAAACTAAGGTCCTAAAATGTAACGAAGAATATTCAATAACATAACTCTCACTAAGTAGTATTAATTAATAATAATTGTTAGAGCAAAAAGTGCTTTTTTGATTAAAACATACAATAAAATTATTTTTGAATAGTATTTCCTCTCTCTTACTCTTTTTAATTTGATTTCAGTTTGTGTATGTTTTGTAATGGAATATATTAGTATGAAAGAATATACCTATAATTCATTTCTGTTTGTTTTTATTTTATATGTTTAATATACACACAATGATGTTTTGATGTACATAGTGAAATGGTTACTATAGCCAAGCAAATTAACATATTAATCATCTCACATAGTTATGGTCCATTTTGGGATAAGAGCACTTAAAATCTACGTGTTTAAAATGATCAATATACAATACAGTGTTATTAACTATAGTCCTCATGTTGTACGTTAGATCTCTAGACTTATGCAGCATATACAACTGCATCTCTGTTCCCTTTACCTACATTGCCCCATTTCCTCTCCCTGTCCACATCCCACAACCACCATGCTATGTGTTGGACTTTCTTTTAGATCCCACATAAAAGTAAAATTGTACAGTATTTTTCTTTCTGTGTCTGGCTTATTTCATGTAATGTCCTTTAAGTTTATCCATGTTGTAGAAAATGGCAAGATTTCCTTTTTTAAGGCTGAATAATATTTTGTATCATTATATATATAATGAAATATTGTTACAAATTGAAAACATCTTATATTGAAACAAATTATATGTATATATTATACACACACATATATATATAATTGTGGTGGAGATATATCTCCACCACAATTAATTTATCCATCCTCCCCAACCACTGATGGACACTTAAGTTGTTTTTATTTCTTGGCTATTATGAATAAGGCTGCAATGAATGTGAGACTGCAGATATCTCTACGAGGGGTTGACTTTATTTATTTCTGGGTTCATACCTAGAAGAGGGATTGCTGGATCATATGGTAGTTCTATTTTTAATTTTTTGAGAAACTTCCATACTGTTTTCCATAATAGTTGTACCAATTTACATTTGCACCAACAGTGTATTGAGTCCTCTTGGTGCCATTGTTTAAAGTTAGTTTGACCATATATGCTTGCATTTATCTCTAGGCTCACTATTCTGTTCCATTGGTCTATGTCTCTGCTTTCATGCCAGTACCATACTGCTTTGATCATTATAGCTTTGTTTGCATATAACTCTTTTTTATTTTTATTATTTATTATTTTTTTTATTTTACTTTAAGTTCTGGGATACATGTGCTGAACATGCAGGTTTGTTACGTAGGTATACATGTGCCATGGTAGTTTGCTGCACCTATCAACACGTCATCTAGGTTTTAAGCTCCACATGCATTAGGTATCTGTCCTAATGCTCTCCCTCCCCTTGCCTTGCACCCCACAACAGGCCCCAATGTGTGATGTTCCCCTCCCTGTGTCCATGTGTTCTCATTGTTCAACTCCCACTTATGAGTGAAGACGTGGTATTTGGTCTCCTGTTCCTGAGTTAGTTTGCTGAGAATGATGGTTTCCAGCTTCGTCCATGTTCCTGCAAAGGACATGAATTCATTCTTTTTTATGGCTGCATAGTATTCTATGGTGTGTATGTATGCCACATTGTCTTTATCCAGTCTATCATTGATGGGCATTTGGGTTGGTTCCAAGTTTTTGCTATTATAAATAGTGCTGCAATAAATATACGTGTGCATGTGTCTTTATAGCAGAGTGATTTGTATTCCTTTGGGTATATACCCACTAATGGTATTTCTGGTCCTATATCCTTGAGGAATTGCCACACTGTCTTCCATAATGGTTGAACTAATTTACACTCCACCAACAGTGTAAAAGCATTCCTATTTCTCCACATCCTCGACAGCATCTGCTGTTTTCTGACTTTTTAATGATCGCCATTCTGACTGGCATGAGATGGTTTCTCATATGGTTTTGATTTGCATTTCTCTAATAACCAGTGATGAGCTTTTTTTCACGTTTTTTGGCCACATAAGTGTCTTCTGTTGAGAAGTGTCTGTTCATATCCTTTGCTCACTTTTTAATAGCGTTGTTTTTTATTTTTATTTTTGAGATGGAGTTTTGCTATTATTGCCCGGACTGCAGTGCAATGGCACAATCTCAGCTCACCGCAACCTCCACCTCCTGGGTTCAGGTGATTCTCCTGCCTCAGCATCCCAAGTAGCTGGGATTACAGGCATGTGCCACCACGCCTGGCTAATTTTGTATTTTTAGTAGAGATGAGGTTTCACCATGTTGGCCAGGCTGGTCTCGAACTCCCAACCTCAGGTGATCCACCCGCCTCAGCCTCCCAAAGGGCTGGGATCACAGGTGTGAGCCACCAGTCCTGCCTGTTGTTTGCTTTTTTCTTGTAAATTTGTTTAAGTTCCTTGTAGATTCTGGATATTAGACCTTCATCAGATGGGTAGATTGCAAAAATGTTCCCTCCTTCTGTACATTTCCTGTTCACTCTGATGACAGTTTCTTTTGCTGTGCAGAATCTTTAGTTTAATTGGATCCAATTTGTCAATGTTGGCTTTTGTTGCAATTGCTTTTGGTGTTTTAGTCATGAAGTCTTTGCTCGTGCCTATGTTCCTGAGTGGTATTGCTTAGGTTTTCTTCTAGGGTTTTTATGGTTTTAGATTTTAAGTCTTTAATCCATCTTGAGTTAATTTTTGTATAAGGTGTAAGGAAGGGGTCCCAGTTTCAGTTTTCTGCATATGGTTAGCCAGTTTTCCCAACACCATTTATTAAATAGGGAATCCTTTCACCATTGCTTGTTTTTGTCAGGTTTGTCAAAGATCAGATGGTAGTAGACGTGTGGTGTTATTTCTGAGGCCACTGTTCTGTTCCATTGGTCTATATATCTGTTTTGATACCAGTACCATGCTCTTTTGGTTACTGTAGCCTTGTAGTATAGTTTGAAGTCAGGTAGCACGATGCCTCCAGCTTTGTTCTTTTTGCTTAGGATTGTCTTGGTTATGCAGGCTCCTTTTTGGTTCCATATGAAATTTAAAATAGTTTTTCTAATTCTGTTAAGAAAGTCAATGGTAGCTTGATGGGAATAACATTGAATCTACAAATTACTTTGTGCAGTATGGCCATTTTCACGATATTGATTTTTCCTATCCATGAGCATGGAATTTCATTCCATTTGTTTGTGTCCTCTCTTATTTCCCTGAGCGGTGGTTTGTAGTTCTCCTTGAAGAGGTCCTTCACATCCCTTGTAAGTTATATTCCTAGGTATTTTATTTTCTTTGTAGCAATTGCGAGTGGGAGTTCACTCATGATTTGGCTCTATGCTTGTCTATTATTGCTGTGTAGGAGTGCTTGCGATTTTTGCAAATTCATTTTGAATCCTGAGACTTTGCTGAAGTTGCTTATCAGCTTAAGAAGTTTTTGGGCTCACACAATGGGGTTTTCTAAATATAATCATGTCATCTGCAAACAGAGACAATTTGACTTCCTCTCTTCCTATTTGAATATTGTTTATTTCTTTCTCTTGCCTGATTGCCCTAGCCAGAACTTCCAATACTATGTTGAATAGGAGTGGTGAGAGAGGGCATCCTTATCTTGTGCTGGTTTTCAAAGGAAATACTTCCAGCTTTTGCCCATTCAGTATGATATTGGCTATGGGTTTGTCATAAATAGCTCTTATTAGTTTATGTTTCATCAATACCTAGTTTATTGAGAGTTTTTAGCATGAAGGGGTGTTGAATTTTATCGAAGGCCTTTTCTGCACCTATTGAGATAATCATGTGGTTTTTTGTCATTGGCTCTGTTTATGTGATGGATTATGTTGATTGATTTGCGTATGTTGAACCAGCCTTGCATCCCAGGGATGAAGCCAACTTGATCGTAGTGGATAAGCTTTTTGATGTGCTGCTGGATTTGGTTTGCCAGTATTCTACTGAGGATTTTCACATTGACGTTCATCAGGGATATTGGCCTGAAATTTTCTTTTTTTGTTGTGTCTCTGCCAGGTTTTGGTATCAGCATGATGCTGGCCTCATAAAATGAGTTAGGGAGGAGTCCCTCTTTTTCTATTGTTTGGAATAGTTTCAGAAGGAATGGTACCAGCTCCTCTTTGTACCTCTGGTAGAATTCGGCTGTCAATCTGTCTGGTCCTGGGCTTTTTCTGGTTGGTAGGCTATTAATTACTGCCTCAGTTTTAAATTTGTTATTGGTCTATTCAGAAATTCTACTTCTTCCTGGTTTAGTCTTGGGAGGGTGTATATGTCCAGGAATTTATCCATTTCTTCTAGATTTTCTAGTTTATTTGCATAGAGGTGTTTATAGTATTCTCTGGTGGTAGTTTATACTTCTGTGGGATCAGTGGTGATATCCCCTTTATCATTTTTTATTGTGCCTATTTGATTCTTCTATCTTCTTTATTAATCTGGCTAGCTGTCTTTTTTATTAATCTTTTTTTAAAAAAAAACAGCTTCTAGATTCATTGATTTTTTTGGAGGGTTTCTTGTGTCTCTATCTCCTTCAGTTCTGATCTAATCTTAGTTAATTCTTGTCTTCTGCTAGCTTTTGAATTTGTTTGCTCTTGCTTCTCTAGTTCCTTTGATTTGATATTAAGGTGTCGATTTTAGATCTTTCCCACTTTCTGATGTGGGCATTCAGTGCTACAAATTTCCCTCTAAACACTGCTTTAGCTGTGTCTCAGAGATTCTGGTACATTGTGCCTTTTTCTCATTGGTTTCAAAGAACTTTGTTATTTCTACTTTAATTTCGTTATTTACCCAGGAGTCATTCAGGAGCAGGTTGTTCAGTTTCCATGTAGTTGTCCAGTTTTGATTGAATTTCTTAATCCTGAATTCTATTTTGGTTGCACTGTGGTCCGAGAGACTGTTTGTTATGATTTCCATTATTTTGCATTTGCTGAGGAGTGTTTTACTTCCAATTATGTGGTCTATTTTAGAATAAGTCCTATGTGGTGCTGAGAAGAATGTACATTCTGTTCATTTGAGTTGGAGAGTTCTGTAGATGTCTATTAGGTTTGCTTGGTCCAGAGCTGAGCTCAAATCCTGAATATTCTTACTAATTTTCTGCCTCATTTATCTAATATTGACAGTGGGGTGTTAAAGTCTCCCACTATTAGAGTCTAAGTCTCTTTGTAGATCTCTAAGAACTTGTTTTATTATTCTGGGTGCTCCTGTATTGGGTGCATATATATTTAGGATAGTTAGCTCTTCTTATTGCATTATTTCCTTTACCATTATGTAATGCTCTTCTTTGTCGTTTTTGACCTTTGTTGGTTTAAAGTCTGTTTATCAGAGACTAGGATTGCAACTCCTGCTTTTTTTTGCTTTTCATTTGCTTGGTAAATATTCCTCCCTCCCTTTATTTTGTATGCATACAACTCTTTAATGAATGTAAATATCTGAGAGGTGTTCAACAATTTTTCCTCTTAGGAGTATGTGATGAAAAGTTTTGGTGACCTGTGCTTTTAATAATTGACTTGTAGATCTTGAGGGGAGGGGTTAGGCTTCAGGTTCAACATACAAGTTAAATGGAACACTCATATCTTGAGGTTACTGCCAATACTAAACACATTGTAAAGCACCTTAGGAATTCTTTCACAGGTGTTCTGAATAGTAATTTTTAAACAACAAAAAGAGACCCTCTGTCAGTTTTGTTTTATTCTTTTCAATTAAAAGAGAGAGAGAAAGTAATTTGCTATCAAAAAAAAAGTATGCAAGTGAACACAGCTCAATTAGCTTTTAAACGTGAATTTTAATTAGTGTTCTGACTCACTGTCTAATTTGAATGTTGTCAGTTATCTATGGTTTAGACTATTCCATGCCAAAATTTACTCATTTGTTAGGAAGAGCCAAAAGTTGGCTTAATTCCACCCCTCTGCTTAGCATTTTATTAATGTAAAGCTTCTTGTAGTTTTAAGTGCCACATAAATGCCTTTGTACACCTATCTGATACACGTCTTCTTTTCAAAACAGAGTTTTTCTACTAGTTTTTTTTACCAAGTAGAAATTAGTCATATTCATTCATCTGCTTCTTTAGTTAATTCAGCAGTTATTTAATGAATGCCTACTATATGTTAAGCTTTGTCCCATGCATTGGAGATACAACAGTAAACAAAATAAAAATCTCAACACCCTGATGGAGTTTACATCCTAGTGGAGGAAACAAATAATAAGCAAGATAAATAAATAAGGGGCATAAAATATTCTCTCATGAGAAATCAAAACAAGGACCTATGTTGGGAGGAGGCAGTGCAATTTTAGATAAATCACCTGGGGAGGAACTATTTGAAAAGCACTGGAGTAAAGATATTTGAGGGAATCAGCCATGAAGATATTGGGTGAGGTGCTTTCTCTGCTGAGAAAACAGTGAGTTCAAAGGTATTAGAGTGTGCTTAGCAATGTAGGGAAGTGTGAAAAGCCAGTGTAGTCACGTGAGGTATACACAGGGAAAGGAAAAAGATCATGCAGGGTCTTGTGGTTTTTGTAAGGTGGCTGAGTATCTGAATGAGAATGGAATCCATTAGCAGGATCACTTTGCCTGCTGTTTTGAGAATAGAATTAAGGAGACAAAGGCAAAAGCAGAAAAGTCACACATTCCTAAGAGTTATTGCAATAATCAGCTGAGAAATTTTATTGCATTAGCTGAAGGTGGTACCAGATGTAGTCAGATTCTATTCTACTTCTGAATTTTAGAATTCAGAAAATTTTAGAAATTTCTCTTCTTAATTTGAAGATAGAACTGACAGAATTTACTGATGAATTGGATGTGAGATATATTCATCATCTAGTGCTGCATAACTAAGTTTTATTCACTTAAGAAACACATATTTGTTATCTCACTATTTCTGTAGGTCAGGAATTCAGGTACCCCTTAGCTGGGTTCTCTCCTCCAGGGTTTTTCTCTCAAGAGGCTGTAATCAAGGTGTCAACCTGGGATCTACCCTCATCTCAAGATTCAACTGGAGAAAGATTTGCTTCCAAGCTCACTCAAGTGATTGCTGGCAGCATTTAATTCCTTGCCAGGAGGCCCACTTCATCAAAGCAAACATACAAGGATAGCTAAAGAATATACCAGCAAGACCAAAGTCAGAGCCTTTTACAACCTAATCACAGAAGATCACTATATCAGCTTTGTCATAATCTATTGGCTAGGAAGAAATCGCTAGGTCCAGCCTACACTTAGGCAAGAGTTTTACACAAAGACATGAACACCAGTAGGTGGGATCATTGGGAGCTACATCAGAAGATGCCTCCCACCTAAGGTATGCCAGGAGGTTGGGAAGGGGAGGGGGGTGGCGGTTGGTGGAGAAGAGTCAAGAATGACTCTCATGTAAATAACATACATAGGATTATTTTACTTGATAAAGCCTCTTTTGGTGTTTAAAATTTTATTTTCTCCCTTGAATTGCAGAATTTTAATTGCTATAAATTTTAAGTTCAAAATCTTTGTCTTAGATCATTTGAGCTGCTATAACAAAAATACCATAAACCAAGTGGCTTATAAATGATAGGAATTTATTCCTATCAGTTCTGAAGGCTACAGAGTCCAAGATCAAGGTACCAGCAGATTCAGTGTCTGGTGAAGACTTGCTTCCTGCTTCACCGACAGCTGTCTTCTCACTGTTTTCTCACATGGCCAAAGGGATACAGAAGCTCTCTGGGATCTCTTTTATAAGGGCACAAATCCCAGTCATGAGATCTCCACCTTCATGACCTAATCACATCCCAAAGGCTTCACCTCTTAATATCATCACATTAGTGGTTAGGATTTCAGCATACGAATTTTGGAGGAACACAAACATTCAGTTGATAGCATTCACGCATTCATTATATCCTTTAAAGAAAAAAATAGACTGTCTGCCTCCACTCATAATCTGTCAATGACATTCGCCTTATGCCAGTTCTACTTGTTTTCTTTACCATTCTGGAGTTCCCAGAAGTTATTCAGTCCCAGCAATGTTTGTTAAGCATTCAAATGTGCCCCTTGTTGCCTTACAGAACAAAGACACAAGTCCTTGTTCTCAAGAAGAGCTCAGCAAAGGCAATTGTTTATCTGTTAGTTTACTGACCTATTTAAAGTTTAGGAATAAATAAAGTTTTTAAAATGTTAAATATTTTGGACAAATGTCCAAGGTCATGAAGCAACATCGTTTGTCTGGGGTAAATACCTGAGGTTTGCTGTCTCATGACAAGGAAATTAAGGATGCGGACACACAAGGGAGTTTAAGAGGGGAGGTTTAATAGGTGAGAGAAAAGAGAAAAGCTCTCTTTCCTGGAGTTTAAGAGTGGAGGCTTATTAGTCAAGAGAAAGAGAAAAGCTCTCTCTCCTGCAGAAAGAGAGGGGCTCCCAAGTGGGTCTTCCAGTTTCATGGTGAAATACACAGGGGGTTTTATAGATGAGCTTGAGGAGGCCATGTCTAATTTACATAGGGCACAAGAGATTGGTTGGACCAGGTGTGTCGTTTACATAGTGCAAAGAAGCTAGCCGCCCCAACCTAATCTTTTATTATGCAGATGGGTCCCCTACCTGGCCAGCACTATGTTACCTGTTCCTTTACTGTACACTTGGTTGACAAAGAAAAGGGAAGATGGAGCCTCCAGGTTGAACATACCTGGCCCCCAGGTAACCTTTTCCTATTGGCACAGTTGTTGGCATTCACCTGTGCAAGCTTCCAGCTTGCTTATCTATGTCTGCAGCTTGATTTTACAAGCTGCTCTTTGTTAGAAAAGAAATAATTTGGGGGCTGCTTTTTGTTAAAAGAGAAGCCTTACCAAGGACTCTTTTACTCTCACCAACGGCTGAAATAATTTCTTTTTAGCTCCTGTATCATTTATACTACTAGTAAATGGCAGAGCTGGATTGACAGTCCATTCTTTTTATATAAAAGTTTTCCATTTTTGAGAACTTTGTAATCTTGAGGGACAAAACCAATGATCTTGAAACCATCAAAAAAAATGGTGACTTTCAAAGCATTGTAATGTGAAATACAAGTACAATGGAAACATAGAAAAAGGAACAATAAGGGTAGACTGGGATAGAGAAACTGGCTGGGAGGAGACAAGACCAAACTGGAGCCATGGATAATGGATAGAAGGAAGATACACAGATTATACTGTATTGTGTAGTTTGTGCATAGGAAATTACTGAATACATATAAATATAAAATTGATGTTCGCAGAGAATAGTTAAGTGCTTTCCTTTGATTCTGCAAAGTCATATATTACCCCTCTCTTTCTTTCTGAATTTCCTTTTGGATGGCAATTGAGGAAGTAAGAAATAAATACACATCCAGTGTACTAATAATTTAACAATCACTCTTTAGTGTCTTTTGGCCATCAGAAAATTATATTGTCTTGTAGACAACCAAAAATATAGCCCATTCTTAGTGCCACCTGCACTGGCCTCAGTTCCGTGTGAGCCCTTTTCTGCCTGTCCTAACCACATCATGATTTTGGAATATGTGTGTATGTTCATACCACTCCAAAAATTTCCCTTGGGCTTTGTGTTGCAATTTTCCAGCAAGTACACACTCCCCACTCTCTCTGTCTGTAATCATCTGTGCTGATTCTGAAACTCTTCAATCTCTATAAAATAAGAATGAGGTGCACTGATTTTTTTTTAATGAAAGGCCACATCTTTTATTCTAGACTCTCTTTCAATCAGAATGAATCCAGTGATAGCCATAGTAGAGTAAACTGCCTATTCTTAGACTTTTTAAAGTCAATGTGAACAAAGATAATATGGACTGTGCATGAATCTAGAGTGGGGGTAATCATTTATAATAACCAAAACCTAATCAGACACTTGGTATTATTTAATTAGAATCTAAATATGTAAATAGGTGACAATAGTTTTTTTTAAGTCAAGATATAGAAAATTCTACATTATCTACTTCTTTTATAACCTTCTTTCTTTAACATTAAAGAAACTAATTAACATTAATTTATTAATGATAACAATTTATTTTACATCAATGTTCAAAAATGAAATTTAAACTTCTTAAGTTTTATGGAGTAATCCTTCCTGTTCTTATTTACTACCTTCATCTTATCCACCATAAGCTAGGTTAGTTTTATAGACAGAAAGGAATGAAGAAATGATAGGGATAGGCCAGTTAGGTCTTCCAATTGCTTTTCATTTCCAAAAGTGGATTAAACATTTTAATATATTATGCATTCTAAGGGAAGAAAGAAATGTTAGTGTGAAGCAATAATTTTCTGGGCATACTGTGTTATTTAGAGCAAAAGATATTCCCATATCCCAAAGAACTTGCTTCTATGACAAGTCATGGATTAAAACATGAAGAAAAAGTAGATTGCATGGTTAGTCTTGCTTAGCACCATGCCTAGTAACTTGCAGATGCTCGTTGTATATATTATATGAATGTTGGATGAAGTTTTCAAATAATTCAGTGTCCTAAATGCTAAGTAGAGGTAGTGGGAAGAATTCTAAGATGGCCTCTAGTGACTCTCCTCCTAGCCAGATCCCCTGCCCTACAATGTGGGAAGAAGCTGAATATGATGAGTATCACTCTTGTGATTGTGTTACATTATATGGCAAAGGACAGATTATACAGAGTGGGCCCAACTAATCACTAGAGCCCTTGAGCCCTTATAAGCAAAGATTTGCCTCCAGCTGGCAAAAAACAAAGTGAGAGATTCAAAGTGCAAGCAGAATTTAATGCAAGGGGATGCTCTGTGGCTGACTTTGAAGATGGTAAGGGTCATGCAGCAAGCATGACGATGGCTTCTAGTTGCTGAAAGTGGCCCCTGGCTGACAGCCAGTTTAAAAAAAAAAAAAAAAGGAAGCGGGGAGGGGCTGGACTCTCCTTACAACCACCAGGAACTGAATTCTCCCAACCATCTCAACAAGCATAGAAGTGAGTATTTTCCCAGAGCCTTCAGATAAATATGAGTCTGGACAATACTTGGATTTTAGCCTTATGATACCCTGAGTAGAGCACCAGCCACACCATTCCTGGACTTCTGACTTACAGAACTGTGAGCCAATAAGTAGCCATGGTTTTAAGCCACTAATGAAGACTGTCAGCACTGACTCTTATTAAAATCTAAAAGAAGCCCGAGGAAAGAGAGATTTAAGAAGTTTATCACTGGAAATCATAAGTTAAAATTTTTTAAGTGTGTAACTGTTCCTCAGGCAACCCCCAAATATTATAATTTACAAATTCATAAATAATTGCATATAGAAGAGCAAGCATTTGGCAGAAGTCAGTCCACTCCAAGTTGTTTTTAGCCATTTAACCTAAGTCTAAGGCATTTAGAAAAAGTAAAAGAGACTAACCTACATGAAAAACCAGTTAATAAACTAGCCTATGTTAGGAAGCAATTAATTATTTTGGTTGTAAACTTCCCTCACTACAACAGATTTCTCAAATAAATGTTCATGGGAAAGGGTGAAAGATTCTTTCTACTGCTTATACATCAATCCCTGTGAATGTGTAGACAACTTTATGTTATGTAGTTGGCATCTTTCCTGTTAGGAACAATTAAATTCAAATTCCACTATTTGGATTATATATTGGAAATACACTAGTTACAGTGAAATTTATATTGAATCTGTTGCATGCTTAACCTATGCCTAAATTGAATGGACACTTTAATGAAACAGACTCAATATTAACCAAGTCTGTGATGTACAGAGAATCACTGTTATTATACTACATCAAATGCTATACTAAAGCCCTCTGAAACTAAGACTAGAGTCTAGCTGTGTCATCCAAACTGGAGTGCAGTGGCCCAATCTCGGCTCACTGCAACCTCTGCCTCACGGGGTTCAAGTGATTCTCCTGCCTCAGCCTCCCAAGTAGCTGAGACTACAGGCACCTGCCACCACGTCTGTCTAATTTTTGTATATTTTTAGTAGAGACGGGGTTTCACTATGTTGACCAGGCTGGTCTCAAACTCCTGACCTCAAGTAAGATGCCCGCCTCGGCCTCCCAAAGTGCTGGGATTACAGGCGTGAGCCATCGCACCCAGCCCTTCTTTTTTCTTAATTACTTTTTTCTACATGTTATACTTATTAAGGCAGAGTGATATCGTGTTTAAGAATAATGACCCTGGACTGAGGTAAATACAAATTTGAATCTGACACTTAATAATTGTATGATTATGAAAATGTTTCTAAACCTCTCTGAGACTCAGTTACTTAATATGCAAAAAAGTATGTTTAAAAGCATTGTTTTGTAGGTTTTAATTAAAACTAATTGTCCAGGTGCGGTGGCTCACTCCTGTAATCTCAGTACTTTGGAAGGCCAAGGAGGACGGATCACGAGGTCAGGAGTTTGAGAACAGCCTGGCCAATATGGTGAAACACCGGCTCTACTAAAAATACAAAAAAATTAGCCAGGTGTGGTGGCACGCGCCTGTAATCCCAGCTACTCAGGAGGCTGAGACAGGAGAGTCGCTTGAACCCGGGAGGCAGAGGTTGCAGTGAGCTGAGATGGCGCCACTGCACTCCAGCCTGGGTGACAGAGCAAGACTCCGTCTCAAAAAATAAATAAATAAATAAATATAAATAAAAAGATTGACATCATATTCATATATATATATATATATATATATAGCACTTAGCACACTGCCTAGAATAATTAAATCACTCAGTACATCTTAGCTATTTTTTATTGTTGCTATATGAAAATTAGAAAACGCAGATTAGCATACATATCAAATAAAATATTTGATAGGCCCTGTTGAGAGAGGCAGTAGTATTGCCTAGGGATTAGGCATGCAGATCCTGGACACCGTATTAGGGTAAAATCCCAGATCTCTCACTCATTATTTACATCACCTTACACTTTCTGGGGTCTGCTTTCCTCAGCTGTAAAATGAATGCTAATATTAATACTTACTTTTCTAGTTTACTGTAAGGATCAAATGAGTTAATACACGTAAAATGCTCAAAACAAATTCCGGAACCTAGTTGTGATATAGAAGTGTTAGCCTTTAGTGTACCTCAGTGGTAAATATTCTTCAAAACTGTATGTTTATGTGTATGTATGTATATAATCTGCGTGGTATTTTATATATATAGTGAAAAAGGTGCATTATAGATATTGTGATATACCTCACTTTATTTAAAAAATACAGCCTACCTTCAGCATCTTTCTAAAAAGTAAGTAGCATATTTTCATAACGTCATTTTTGCAACTTACCAGTACTATATAGTTAGTTAACATCATTTATTGACTTATTACATTATAATTTATTATGTTATAGTTAACCAAACCCCTGTTGTTGGACATTCAAACAAAAGTTGGACAAAAATATTGTTTCCAGTATTTTCCTGTGACTGTATATTCCCATTGAGATGAACTTCTTTGTAGTTAAACACTTGCATATGTCCTTAGTTATTTCTTTGGACTATTTACATAGGGTGGAATTGATAGAACAGAGAATACACATGAGAATATTCTACTTACTTTGATCTACATTGCCAAATTGCCTTTTATTAAGGTTGTAAGGATTTACACTTCCATTAGCAATAAATAAGACCAGCTGTTTCCTGCATCTCCACCAACATCTGTATTCTAACTTGGTTTGTTAATAGTGTCTAATTGTTGAGATAATTGAAATTAGTTGCTTTATAAAAGAAGCTCCAGAAAGCTAAATAGCCCTTTCCACTATGTGAGGCCACAGCTAAAAGATGCCATCTGTGAACCAGAAGCAGGCCAGACACAGAATCTGCTGGCACCTTGACCTTGGACTCCACAGACTCAGAACTGTGAAAAACAAATTTCTGTTGTTTATAAGCTACCCAGTGCATGGTATTTTGTTATAGCAGACTGAGTGAACTAAGGCACTTGCCTCTTCCAGCTTCAAGAGACTGCCCACATTCCTTGGCTCATGTCCTTCCAGCAATAGCATCACTCTGACCTCTGCTTCTGTTGTCACATCTTCTCTTCCCTCTGACCCATCTGCCTCCCTCTTATAAGGATGCTTGTGATGACATTGGGTCCACCCAGGAAAATCTCCCCATCTCAAAATCCTTACTTAGTCACATCTACAAGTCTCCTTTATCGTGTAAGTAACATACGGACAGGTCCAAGAATTAGAATGCAGACATTATGAGTGGAGGAGTGGGCGCATTATTCAGTTTACCATAGCAAGTTACTTTCATTTCTTCCTTGGGTAGCCTTTACTTTAATCCACAGTCTGTTAGCTAATCCTTACAAACGGCTGAAGAAATTTAATTCCAATATTAAAGTATAAAGGGTCTACAAAATATTGGCTATTCACAGATACTACGCAGAATAAAAAACAACCCTTTTATAAAAGATATAGCTAATGCACTTCAGAGCACCATACAAAAAAAAATGTGGTTTTCCCTTAAGGGTATTACATGCACATTATATCTGACATTATGATAAACCAGAGTGAAATCAAGTAAGCAGTCCATTTCTCTCTTATTCCCTTCTGTTTGCATTATCTCGACTATCTTAGTTCAGGCCCTTTTTTGTAGACTATTGACAGAAGGTAACTCAAAAAGCATGGATGACTCTGAAATCTGGGCCAGTGCCCATGGGAAAGCTAAATGAAACAACTGCATTTTTGTTGTTGTTGTTAGGCTGCAAGAGAATCTAAAAGTTAGGGCCAAGTTTAAAAGAGAGGAAGTTTTAAATGTGGACTCGCTGGTTTTATTCCAAGTAATGTCAGTTTTTTGGCAAGTTGGGTTTCTGACTCAGGAATTTCTGCTCGCTGATTAAATTGGCCTCATTTCAACACATAATATTGGCTGCTTCCTAAAGATTAACTTGCTTACCAACAATATAATCTACTCTCTTTATTAGTAGTAAAATTACATTATCCAGCATTGCATTCTTTTCAATGGTTTGCAAACAAACATTTTAAAAAAAATAAGTGCTATAATTTATAAAATGCTCTTTTCACATAGCATCATTCTTTGAAAAGAATACTATAGCCTTTATTGGATACACTTAAAAATAGAGTTTTTCTATAAATCATGGGATAATTCAGTAATTAATAAGGATATATTTGATTTTATCTCCATTGTTAATAGTCACTATCATCAGCATTAATTACTGTGATCTGATTCTGACTTCTGTTATTGTTTCAGAGTCATCAGATTTGCTTTAGTTATTCATTGTCATGGTATATCCTACGTACCAAAATTTTATAACATATAGAATGGGCTATTTCACTATTTGATTTTCATGCATACTTATAGTAGAGCTTACCAATTTTAGTAACATATCTAATGGAAATTATATAAGGCAGCAAGAAACTGAAGCATTACCTCCCTTTGACAATGAGTAGCTCAGCAGCTGAGTAAAATTCTGAAAATATAAATTGTTAGACTCCTCTCTGCCATAAAGAAATCTTTCACCTTTAATGCCTCAATCCAGGTTTTCCCTCCCATAGATAAACGCAGCATAAGCAACATGAGGATCCCTGTTAAACATTTACACAAGAGGAATAATACTTCCTAATTAATCACCAGTGGACTGCATCAGCGATTATATGATGGTCGTGTTTCTAATGCAGGTGTTCATAATTTGAATGGAATTTAATGAGCACGGGTAGTTTATCTGCATTTATTCTCTGGTGCAAACCAAGGCAATTAAGACAGCTTTGTGTTCATGTAATCACACAGCATAGAATGTAAGAAATGGGAGAGACATCAAATGTCTTCATGACCTAGACTCACATTTTACAATTGAGGAAACTGGAGGCCAGAGAGACTTGAAGAGCCTCCAAATCCCTCCTCCAAATCCCTTTATATTATCCATAAATGAGTTTGTTGACGGCCTTAGAGCTGGTAATAGCCAGATCTATGAAGATCAAACAGGCCCTTCACTCCTCCGCTCTGCTCTTTACTTGGTCTCACTTCCTCCCAGATATTCAGTGTCCTTTCCTCTTCTTCACATCCCAGCCTATCAAAGCCCTGATCTCAGATCATTACACTTCGCTGTGTACTGAATTCTATTATTACCTTCCCCAGAATGATCTGTACTAACAAATCATAAATTGTGGATTTGTGGAGTGAAAAATTGTCTGACTTTAGTGAATGAAAGAAATTTGAAAAGGGGCTGCCTCAAGTGTAAAGCTGGCCTCATATGCCCTAAAGTACTGTTATTTTAAAAGTCCAAGATCAACGCTAGCAGATTTAGTGTCTGGTGAGCACCTTTTCCTCATAGATGGTACCTTGTATGTGTCCTCACGTGGTGGAAAGAGAAAACAGGCTCCCTCAAATCTCTTTTATAAGGGCATGAATCCCATTCATGAGTTAGGAGGCCTCATGACCTAATCACTTCCCAAAGTCCCTACTCTCAACACAATTGCATTAAACATTAGGTTTCAGCATATGCATTTGGGGGAAATACAATATTCAGACTGTAGCAATAGGTCTAAATTGTAAATGACAATACAACAAACTGCCATGAATTCACTACCAAGTTTAAGAGGCATCAAAATAGGAACTTTGACAACTCCTATATGACCTATGCCAATCATATTCATTTAATCTTTCTCATCAGAAGAAGAAATGACTTTAATTATTCCAATTCACTTTTTTTGTATGACCTTATCACTAATGTTTACACCCTTACAAAAATATATTATTTAGTTTTATGTGTTTTTAACCCTGCATAAATAGAATTGTATGTGTCTTCTGCAAATTTTGTGTGGGCAAAATTATCTTGACATTCACGCATGTTTTTGTTTGTAAATTCTAGTTTGTTAGTTTTCACTAGTTTATTGTACTCTGTAGTATAAATGCATCACAATTTATCTCTTCTACTTTGGATGCCATGAATATTTATTGTGAGTACTGATATTTTTGGATTTATTTCTATCATTGTATTTTGTTTTTTCTAATTGCCTTCATTTTCTGTTTCTTTACCCTTTCCTTTGTTATCTTATTTTAAAGGATTTTTTATTCCATTTCCTCCTTGACTAGTTTGACATTTGTAAACTCTCTAATCTACCAAAGCTGTATTAGAAATTGTAACATCTACACTTAATTTATCAGAATCTAATACTGAAAAATAAGAAACTTTCTTCACCTAGTCATTCATTCAAAGAATTGTTACAGCCCTTTGAATACCTCAGTCAAAAAACATACAAAAACCTTTTGGAAGTTCTTATTGGAACTACACTCTGTGAAAACTTCCTTCTTAATGAATTTAGCGTACTTTATGTGTGTTTCCATCTTAGTGACATTTAGTACAACCCAAACAACTTGTTTCCTACTTTATATGTTATTGGTGTTAGGTATCAGAGTTCTATTTTACTGTATATTTAGCTTTACAATATGTCATTAGTAGCTGTTTATTTAGTAAATATTTATAGGTTTTGCTTTCTTTGTCCATCATTTCTTCTTGCATTTTAGTCTTTTCATCTAGAATCACTTTCTTTCTACCTGAAAAGGCTTCTTAGTGGAAGGGTGTTGTTGCAAACTCTGGCCCTTTTTATTTTCTAAAACAACTTTAGTTCATATTCATTTTTGAAAGATATGTTTAGTGAATATACAACTCTAGGTTGGCTGTTGTTTCCTTTCAGTAATTTGGAGATATTCTATGATCTTTTGACTTCAACTGTTGCTGTTGAGAAATCATTCATCATTCTACTTGTTTCTTTTTGGATAGTCTTTTCTTCTGGCCATTTTTAAGACTTCTTTGTGTCTAGATGTGTTTGAATGTCAACTTGTTTTTATTTATTCTGCATGGAAGTTGGGCTTTTGGACTTTGAAGATAAGTGTTTTTCATTAACATTCTAAAGTTCTGAAAATTTCTCAACTTTTATTGCTTGGGATACTGTCTCTTTCATTATTTCCCTGTTCTGCTTCTGGAATCCCATATATTAGATCTACTCGCTCTATTTTACCTGTCTTTTTTATTGTTATTCTACATACTTCTTTTTTTATCTTCCTACACTAGATTCTAGATAATTTTTTAAAAATTTTATTCCTGTTCTCTCCTCAGCTATTTTTAATATTCTACTGTGTGTATATGTGTATTTATGTGCGTGTGTGTGTATTTGCATGTGTGTATATATTATACATAGAACAAGAGATAGTTCTAAATTTATTTTAATTATGTATTTTTATTACTGAAAGTTATTTTTATTATTTATTCTGTTAGTATAGTGTCTTGCTCTTATTCATCTTTTTTATTCCCCCTTACTTCTTTAAAAAGTTGTTTAAATGTATTAGGTATCACTATTTTCTGTGTATGTCTGATAATTACAACTGCTCAAGTTTTTACGGATCTAATTCTTTCTTATTTTGTTGCTACTGACTCTGATTTATAGAGCAAACTGGAATAATGTTCTCAACATTATCACATTCTATATTGAAATACTCTAATTTCTGCTTTCAACTCAGAACATCTTCAGACTTTGTATTAAAGTATTGATTTTCAAACTTCCTTATTTGTAGAACCCTTTTTAAAAGGAAGTTTTACACCACACAATAATATATACATTTTAAAGTTAATTTTATTCATATAATTGCTTTACATAAGTTTAAAACATTTGTTACACATTTAATCAGATAAGTCTATTCTAAGGAATATTTTTAGTGAGTGCCTTCAAAAAGCTTAAACATTTGTCAGATGGCATAATGACTAGTTGGATGGATGATTTATTTAGAGAAGCTCGAAAGGTTCAATAAATAGCACATAGGGAAAAAGTCAATAGCAAACCACTTTACTTTAGCACAAACAGGAGAAAGTCCTCTTAAGATGACTCTAAGGTCAGATAATCACCATTACCCTTCTCTAACCTTCATCTGTTGCTAATAACTAATTCAATCACACACAAACAAAGTAATAACATTTGACACAAACAGAATTAATAACTTCTTTTTTCACTTGGAATGTTTCTAATTTAGTAGAACTAATATGAAAATGCAATAGTGCATTTCTTAAAAACAAAACATAATCAACAGGACTCTTAATTTTCAGCTTTAATTGCTATTTTTATTGAGTTCACTTTTGGAATTTACCATTTTTTAGAAGAATAAATTCTAAATAACTTTACTATTGTCATTCATAGTGTATTAGGCTTGAAACGCTCAATGATAGGAAGCCATGCACAAATAATTTGATACTGTTAATGGAACAGCCTCATTAATTCAATCAAACAAGTTAGAACTATCTCAGTTTGCTCAAAGCTGACAAATCAATATTAAATATACAGACACAGCTTCAGAGAATTGATTCTACTCCTCCTACTCTTAGAATCATTCCAGGTATAGGTGTATTATTCTGGAAAGAAACCCAACACACAAAATGTTAACCTCCAAAACCACAAAGCAAGCATGCAAAGGGTAATATTTCTTTTTTCAAATTTTTATCTACAATTGGTTTCCCTCTTGGTACTTGGAATGCTCTCCTCAGCCAGAACATTTAAAAGAGTTTGTTTTACAAAATTTTATTTACAGGTTTTTTTTTTTTCAGACACTTTTCAACTATGTAAAGCAAAGTAGACCTGAATCAAGAACCAATGTAAGACAAGATTTACCTGACAAGGATCTTGATTAACATTTCACTTTTGATAAATTTGGTCCTTCCCTGGGAATCCACAGAAATATGCTCCTCATGTTAGGTAGTGAGATAGACATTAGCAGCTGGGAAGGGGTAAGAGAAGAGAGCAGAAAAGCCATCTCTAAAACTGCATCTGGCCCACCTAAGTTCAGCTCTGGAACCACCCTAACTCCACCCTAACAGATGGAGTTTTTGGTGGAGACTGTATCCAGCACATCTTATAGAAAGAGAAACTAGAGCACAAGTGGAAATCCCCCAAAGTAGCACATGCCCAATAACCTAAAGCTCTATCTTGGAATTGACCCTAGGCTCATGATACCATTATTATAATAAAATTTACATGTGGTTTTTGCTCCCCTGAGTGGGCATTGTTTTAAAACAAATTATAGGTAAAAATATGCACAGTTTAATTTTAGCTACATAAACATAAACTGCCAATCAAATGACATCATCCTGTCACTCAAACACAGCCCAAACCTCAACTGCTCCCCAGAAACCCATAAAAGGACCTCAAGTTTTGTAAAGAGGTGCTGATCTCACTTCACAAAAATAAGTCTGCTCTCCCTCTGAGAGTATATTTCTATGCTTCAATTAACTTTGCTTTAAGCTTGCATTCTGGAGTTAGTCTGCAATTTTTTTGTTTACTCTCACAAGAACTGAGATTGCTGGTCCAGAGCTCCAACTCTGTTCATCTCCTTGGTTAAAGAATCCATTCCAATGCAGAATTCCCACTGACACATCACAGGATCAAATGTTCTGGTGGCCACCCTCTTGCAAGGACTTTTCTTTTAACTACTCCTGACATACTCTATTCACCACCTCACAACTGCTAAGTATTCTTCCTTCTTGCCTTCAGCATTCTTGCCTACGGAATCATCTTCAAATTCATGGTCAGATACTTTAAATGCTTAAGAGGATATTCTTGAATATCCTTATATTCTATTATTCAGTTGATCTGACTGACACAGTTTCTTAAACTCAGTTTAAGATCATTATTTATAAAGCTACAGGGAATAACTAGTTACTGTGACTTCTCCCTTTATTGACTCTAAATACCACATTGTGATTCATTGTTGTAGCTCATGATTTTTAAGCAGTAATATTCTGTGATTAAAAAATAATTTCCAGCCATTTATGATTCAAAATTGGTTGCTCAAGGAATGAATTTCATAAAAAATAATGACTGTAAGTGCCTCTGTGAATTACTTTTTTAAAAAAATATTTTAATCCTATCCTTATTGCTGTGAAGAAGAGACTACAGGAAGAAGCATGTGCTTAATGACCAGAAAATGAGTCAAACCATTGATGTGAAACTGAGCAGCTTAATTTTGTTGGTTAATGGTGAGTAATGCACAAAACAAGCCAATGACTAAAATATATCTTAGGGAGAAGAAAAAGACCAACATGATTTTATTCCTCTGAAATTATAACATCATAATCCATCTTTGCAGCAAAAGGGTCTCTAGAAATTATTACACACATTCCTTGATCATATACCCAGATTGCTTCAATCAGCTAATTAGACAAAGCCATTGTATAGTATTTTCAATCTTTATTTCCAAATCAGAGTTAAATTTGCTTCCTACGTCAGTGTGACTGGCAGCTCCTCTGTCACCCTCAATCTCTAAACTATTGCTTCTAATTTGGAGTTGCCTGAGAGACCCATTTCTGAAAAGGAGGCTTTTACCTACAAAGCAGTTTATAGCTTCTTTGATTTCAGTGCAACAAAGCTTTCGACTCTGCTTAAAATGGAAATGATTATTTCTTACAGGAAAGAAACGAGTGAACCCCTGCTGGGGGGAAAATGTTTTCTTGGAAATACTTTTATAAACTTGGTAATTAATGGCAGTAAAATTGCTTATTTAAAACTATGACCTTTTCAAAGACATGCTGAATATGCTCAAATTATCCTATACTTGTAATCATTTTTCAAATTGTAGTTGAAGTTTATTTAAACTATTAAATATACTACTCTGACTTTTGTCCTACGGATGCTTATCTTAGCCCCTCTGAATATTTTCTTACAACTAATTTCCCCAAATTTCTTCCACTCCTCAAATTATTCTTTCTCTCTCCCCTCCACTTCTCTTCCCTCCACATTTGGTTTCTTATATTATCTTTTGATATTACATTTTATTTTTCTCCACAAAAGATGAATGTATGCTTAATTCACCTGTGAAGTCTCTCTTTAAAAAAAAAAAAAAGCTTATTACACACACTGGTTACTCTAATACCAGATATCAGCACCCTCTTATTACCTAGCTATCTTCACTAATTGTTTAAAGCTTGTCAAGTGTGGTAAAACAAAATGCAGCCACCTGCTACTCTTTTTTTTTTTTTTCATTTGGGTTTTATGGCTTTCTGAGACTGGTATTACCAACTTTGTCATAGGCTTTAGAGTCATATCTAAAGTTTACCTGAGAGTTAAACTTCAGTATACTTTATTTCTTTATCACATTTTGCTATTATATCTCCTCTTTTACTCCACACATCCTTCTGCTTCTGACCACAGTGGGTGATAGACTGCCAATTTAAGGCATAATATAGTAAACAATTTGGGAGATATTATTTATAATAATAGTATCATGAGTGAAGGTATGTGGCTGGCAAAGAAGCAGTTAAGATTATAACTGATCTAGATCTAGACCAGCATTTGGGTTGAGTTAGTCAAGGCCAACCAGAATATTTTTCAAGGCTGCCCGTTAGCAGAAAAAGTCTTCAAGCCAGGATACCAGTTCAAGGTAGGAAGACGCAGGGTCCAGGGTCTCTAATACTTGGTCAGAGAGCTTTCAAGTAGAGACTTGCTAATAACTTAGAGATGCATATCCCAAACATTTCTTCCATGAAACCACAGCCCCATGCGGTTAGGGCTTAGTGGTCAAATAAATCTGCAAAGGGCTGAATGCTTTGTTCCAACCATAGAAAGTTGTGCACTTTAAAATGTGAAGATGCTGAAAACTCCTGTGCTTTAGAACAATTCAATTTTTGTAGCTTTTCTCAAACCTATTTGACCTATTGACTGTCTTTGAAGGAATACTCTTTGGAAACTAGAGCCTAGGATGTATCCTTGCCACCTCGTCTCTCAGCTTCATAACTGGTCCCCAAGTTCTGTAAGCCACACGGTTCATTCCTCAAAAAATCCCTTGCAACTCTTCCTTCCTTCCAGCCACCACCCATGTTCATGTCAGTGGTTCTCAATGTCAACAGAAGGGAGGAAAGATGGAGATAGTTCACATCAACAGGAGAATGTGTAGTTTCAAAAATCAAAATTAAATATTATAACGTTTTATTATAATGTTTTATTATAATGTTTTATTTATCATCAAACTAATTTACTTTATTTCAAAGTTTCCAAAAGAATTAAAGGGAATGAGATTAATTTTATATATCCAAAGACAGATTCAATTTTAAAAAGTTAAGAAACGTTAACTTAGACCTTTATGATGCCCTAAGCATCGAATCAGACTTACTCTAAACTATTTTTCTTCCCTCCAATGTACCAGAGTCACCCTCAGCAATGCAATTATCTGAAAAGAAACAAATGAAAAAACTTGTACTCATTTTGACAGACTTTCTGGTATGCCATAAAGATGCCAGGGGAAGGAAAGCGATGCTCCAGAAGGACCAGTTGCCTTACCTCAGACAAGACAATTACTGCTAGGGACCTTAGTCTTCTCATGTACAAAATGGGCATTCGGGATTAGAGGAATCTCAACCTACATGAATTCAACATCTCCTCTCTACTCAAAAATCTTGAATGTATATATACTGCTCTCCCCGGTGCTACCTATAGAACAAATCTACCTTTTGGCTTAGGTATTTAAGACCTTCCAAATCTATTACAAATCTATCTTTGTAACCTTTTCACTAATCCTCACCATTAACTTTCTGCTCTTGTCCAATTTTTCAGGTAACTGTTGCCTGAATAATTCTTGCTTGTTCTCATCACAAAGCCTTGGCTTATGACAGTCTTATCTCTGGAAACTTCCTTACTACTTATTTCTTTTCCAACACCTACCCATCCATATCTTATTTTTTTAGGATTCAATTCACAGAGCACATTCCCCTGTGAACTTTCTACAATTATTCTGAACAATGGTAATTTCTTCCTAACTGATTTTCTGTACCAAAAAAATTTATACTATTATTTGATCCTTATAATGTAAGATCTTGTGTATTTAAGTATGTTTTATTTCTTCCAATTAAGTTGTGTGAGTGCCTCTGGGGCTAGAAATTTTTATGCTTCAATGGCTTTCTCATAATGCTTAGTAACATGTTACCCATAGTCAATAATCAATATTTATTAAACTTTGGATATTAATTAATAATGAAAGATCTGTAGATTCATAATAGATTCCATTTATATCAAATTAGATACTGCATTACAAAAATCAGAATGGAATACTCTTAGTAGGCTGTGAGAAATTTGGTTCTATTATTTTAAACTACTACACTGAACTTTCTCAGTCACCTAAATTATCCAAAATGGAAACTAAATTCAATTTCTTTGTATCTTCAAATTTGAAAGGACTTTCTACTTTTCTTGATTCAAAAATATGTTCAAATGTATAAAAACAGGAAAAGAAGAAACAGATTAAGCAGAAATTCAATTAATTCAAGAAGTGATCATAATGATACATTTATAATTCTTTCACTTTTGCTTAACATATCTTTATGTTAAAATCATCACATCTTAGAAAGAAAACATCTATAAATATTTTATTAGTATTTTTTGGACTCTGGATTTGTGTCCAAAGACGTTCTTTAACTAGCTGTACTTATCAGCTACCTAAAAGTCCTGTCCCAATCATGTTATATCACATTTTTAACTTGTCTGCTTATTCATTTTTGTATGTTTACTGTCTCCCTCTCCCTACTCCCAACTATAATGTAAGCTCTGTGACCACATGAACTCTGGTCATCACGATCACCCTCATGATCAGTAAAGTCTTAGTCACTTCGCTGTATTGTCAGGGTTTGTGTAGGCATTTAGTATTATATACATTCATTGAATAAATAAAATACTTGCCTGAACTACAGCAAATAATTTTTTCTCTCTTGGCTTCAATTGTTGCCCCTCTAAAAATAGAAAAGTTTATCTATTCCAATATTTTTATTATTATTATTTGGAGACAAAGTCTCACTCTGTCACCCAGGCTGGAGTACAGTGGTGTGATCTTGGCTCACCGCAACTTCCACCTCCTGGGTTCAAGCAATTCTCCCACCTAAGCTTCCCGAGTAGCTGGGATGACAGGCACCCGCCACCACGCCCAGCTAATTTTTGTATTTTTAGTAGAGAGGCGGTTTCACCATGTTGGCCAGGCTGGTCACAAACTCCTGACCTCTGGTAATCCACCCACCTCACCTTCCAAAAGTACTAGGATTACAGGCGTGAGCCGTCGCGCATGGCCTATTTTGATGTTTTTTAAAAATGTGTTTCTCCAAATCACAAGGTTCATTAGAGCTCTCTCAGAGTGTGAAAGGGGAAACCAAAACAAGCAGTGGTCTAGGCTGCCTACTGCCCTCTCAGTAGGGCAAATCGTTTTTTATCCTGGGGGTGCATGTTGAGGAAGGAAGATGGTTCTAAGTAAGATTTTGCTTTTACAATGTTTTAAAGAAACTTCTAAACTAGATTATTTCCATAGATCTTTCCAGAGTCCAGGTCTGATTTACAGATTATGTTTGTAGGTTTGTTTTTGTTATTGTTGTTGTTTAATTTCACATGCTTGGAAAAACACTGAAAAATAATTATCCTCTCTGATACTGTGCAAACTTTAATCTAGAAGTGATAGCACATGTGTCTTATCAAAAGACAAAATGCCCTGTGTATCTGGACCAGTCTGTAGACCTTTTTATATGGTACTGAAGTCCCCAGTATTGATTTCCGGCTGGTGCTCATGTCTGCTACTTCTTTGCCTGCTTGCTCAGTTCAGATCAAATATTGAAACAACCATCCCAGTGATAAGGATCAAGTAGAAATAATGTATCTAGAGCAGCCATTCAGTACTTGTTGAGAAACTAAGAAAAATGCTCAGCTATCTTTGATGTTAGTAAGAGTAATGTTGCAGTAGAGTGCCTGCTGAATTGATTCTGTTACTGTTCTTACAGCGGTGACTTGACTTCAATTACTGCTATTGTTGTTATGATTATTATATATTTATTCTAATTTTTATTACAGTAGTTGTTTCACTGATGCTTTTGACAATGACATGAAACTAACTGAAGGTACAGAACTTGAATATCCTTGAAACCAGTTTTGTCTTAAACAGTTGAGAAAGCACTCTGCCATTTTTCTTAATTGTTTTTGGCAAAAACAGTATAAAATAAGTAATACTTTTAATTTAGCAGGTATTTTGATGGAGGAAAGTTTAAGTTTTTCATTGGGTCATATTTGGCAAAACATTTTTGGTAAAATGAGCCACACAGCAAAAATATTTATGAAATCTGGAACAATCTGAGCTAGTATTCAAACTGCCTATTTTTGTGAATACCAAGAACAACAACTACTATTATTATTGAGCAGATATTAATATCACACATTCACTAGGTACTGTTCTAAATTATATCATTTAATTATCACAGCAACCTTGTCAATTGAGTATCATTAGCTACTATTGAGATTCAGAGAAGTTAAGTCAGGGGCCAAAAGTCACACAGCCTTTAAATCGTCCAACCATGTTTCCAACTCAGATATAGCCAACTCCTTAGCCTGTTCTTTGCCTATATTTCAAGGCCTTAAAACTGATACTAGAATTTTTTAATTGACACAGGCATTGCCAGTCCAAGAAACAGAAACGGAACTGGTAATGAGACGTCCTGAAGCAGAATTTACCATGTAAAAACAGGAGACTTTCTCTTGCTGAATTCCCTATTTATACCTTTCCAGAATTCTTGGGAAAGAAAACAAGTGAAATTCATCAAAAATTTACCATCTCATTACTCTATTTTCCCAATTTGTGAAAATAAAAAATCATTACAAAGTAATTAGAAAAGCACTACAATAAGCCAGTTAATTTCTTCTGTTGCTAATTGAAATCAAGAAAACAAGAAAAAAAGTTAAAGTAAAGCATACAAATAAGAAGATGAGTTAAGCATTATTGAGTTTGTCCAACATAAAATACTAACATAGAGGAAAATACTATTTTAGGAACAGTATTATAGAATCCTTCTAAAGATAGAGCATGTAAATATTTGATTCATAATTCAAATAAATGATTTTTAAATTCTGGTTGAGTTAATGCCATTTTCTAAGAAATGTGAACAGTAACTATTTGTCCTTTTTTCCGATCAGAAAAAAAGAAAATTGCTAACCAATTAATTCCAAAGCAATTTCAGTTATCTGCCCTTTAAGCACTATCATCCAACCTCTACTGATGATTTCAGAGACAGAGAAGAGTCTCATTAAGGCAAGGCTCTTAAAACTTTTCTTAAAGGATAATTATGATGGGAGAATCTCATAAGAACACAAGAACCGAATGGTCCGGTGTGAAAAGACTTTTCTAAAGAGGAGCAAAAATGAAAATAACAATAAGAATAAAAGCCACCGATAGATTATTATAGGCTAATTTAACTTTGGTAGATATTGCCACCTTTTTTGGTTATTGCTATAATTGCTTATATCTTAAATAAGACTGGGTTTTAGAGTCTGACTTTTTTTTTGCACCAACATTGTTAGTAGCAGCCAATCTAAACTTCTTACAACAGGCTTTTGAAAATTCTTTAGAGATAAATGCTTAGATTACTTAACTAAATAGAATCTCTCTCTCAATCTCACCCACCACCCCAACACACACACACACACACACACACACACACACACACCATTTTTTTCTTACATTTGTAATTAATTTTTCCCCCGAGATGAAAAATGTCCAATTCTAAAATGACATGGCTTATCTGATAGAAAAGTACTCTGTGGGATGATTCTTAGCTAATGTAACTTTACCAACGATGGGGGTTCAACAACTAAGTTCATTTAGTTATGCAATTATTTTTAAACAGTAACAATTCCACCAAATTTTTCCCCATGATCTGAATCCTCAAATCACAATATGATAGAGAAACTCTGGTATTCTCTTGGAGTCTTTCAAAATTCTCAAATATAAATTAAGTTTAATCAGTTTGTAATTAATGTCTACATTAATAAATATATTTTAAGTATATGCATGTATATGTATAATATGCAAACTCTTAGGCGACTAAAGGAAATACCATGTGAAAATGTAATTACTTAGGATTCTATAATTCCCAAGCTATTACTAGGTTAGTTTGGGCTCATATTCCAAAATTTTAATCAATAAATAAATTTTAGGAAGATGGGATTTATTTATTTAGTAGTATTTAATTCATTTATTCAAGAAATATTAACTGCCTACTCTGTCACAAGGAGAAACTGTTGAACCACAAGGGTGTAAAGTTACAGTTCTGTCCCGAAAGAATTTAAAATCTAGTAGGAGAAAGACGTTTTAAAAAAACTAAAACACGATTTTTAAAAAGCAAAAAATAACTGTCAATAAGAACAACGAATAGAGGAAAGTACTTCATCCTTACACGGGTGGATAATGCATACCTGCCCAAGCCTGAAATCCAAGGAAGCTTTTTTTAGAAAATGTGCTAAGTTAAACATTAAAAGATACACAGATGTTGTATAGAAGCATCATTTCAGATACAGAGGACAGGGCAAGGCAAAAGCATTACAGCTTGAGAAAGCTGAGAAGATTCAAGTTACCAAGGGTAGTACTTTATGTTTGGGGTGGAAGAACATGATTGGAAATATGAGATAAGACTTAAAGACCCGAGAGAAACAAATCATGAAGTGCTCTGTTTGTTATACTAAGGATTTTCTATTTTATCCCGGGGAAGGCTAGGTGATTTTAATCCCTAGAATTAGATTTCATTAGACTAAGTAAAAAAGGAAGAGAGGGCGGGAAAAAATTCACAGGTAATGGGAAAACTGAGTACCAGAAATGAAGGCCCCAGTTAAACTCTGTCAGCAATGACAGAAAGAAGAAACTAGATTTGAGAGCTATTTTGAAGGTAAACCTAATAGGACATGGTAGAAAACTTGATGTTGGGGATGAAGGTGAGAGAAGGGCCAAGGATAACAGCCTCATTTTTAGTTAGGGTGATGGAAGTCTAGCCATCCTATTCATGGAGATAAGTAATTCAGGTGAAGAAGCAGGTATTGGGGAGAATGATGATGAAATCAGACATGTTAAGGTTAAAATGCCTTAGGAAAATTTAAGTGTGCTATCTTATAAATAGATGAACATGGTCTGGATTGAAAAAAAAAAAGAGTTCTAAGTTGGAAACTGTATCAGTCTGCTAGGGCTTCCTAGAATACCACAGATTGGGTGATTTAAACAACAGAAATTTATTTTCTCACAGTTCTGGAAGCTGGAATTTCAAGATCGAGGTGCCAGCAAGCTTGCTTTCTGGTGAGGCCTCTCTTCCTGGCTTGAAGACAGACACCTTCTCCCTGCGTCCTCACATGGCCTTTCTCTGTGTGCGTGTGCTCTCCTGCTCTCTCCCACTGCTCATAAGGACGCCAGCCCTATGGGATTAAGTCCCCAGTCTTATGACCTCATTTAACCTTAATTACCTTCCTAAAGGCCCTGTCTCTACATTCAGTCACCTTGGGAGTTAGGGCTTTGGCATATGAGTTTTGGGAGAGGACACAATTCAAAACAAAAACGTAGATTAAACGACAGGACAGACATGATTATCATCATTTTACAAATGGAAAGGCTGAGGTTGGAACTGTTAAACTGCTTGTACAGTTACAGAGAGAGCATTTGAAACGAACTGATAGAGTGAAAAGGACAATTATACCTGCCTATAAGGTACAACCTGAACAACAATAGCAACAACAGCATAACATAAGTCAACAGAAAATTAGCACAAGGATAGGTAAATTACATAACATAAGTCAACAGGAAATTAGCCAGGTAGGTTGTGGAGGCCTCATAGAACAACACCAGTTTCTTACTGAGTTTCCAAAATGAATGGGATTAAATGGTCCCAGCCAACTTTAGGGGACAAGTTCTTTTATGACAACGAACGAGAATGCTGCAGAAGTTTTCTCAGGACATCAAACACAACTCCAGATCTTATGGATAATGTCCCAGAGAACCTTTAATACCTTTACAGAATGAATCTCACTGTTTGTGACTCTGAAGAATGAAGGGAGAAGCACCTGCCCCAGCTGTGATTTGAAGCTGAGGTTCCAGGGAAACTAGGTATTTCAAAGCCAGCTTCGCCTTGCACCTATAAACCTGCCTCTCCAGCTGTGTTCAAACACATGAATTGTTCACTGCGCAATATGATGATTATCCAGCTTTCACCAGAGGGCTGTGCAAGAACAAAAGGCTGAGGGGTAAAGGGGAATTTTATTATTAGTTTGCTATTCTTATGAAACATTCATATAGCAAAGGAATTGCCTTGCTGTTAAAAGAAATTTTGTTAAGGAAACTTTATGAAAAAGATGCTTACATTGCCTTTAAAGTAACTATATGGGTATTTAGAAGAAAAAAGAGAAATTTTTTAAAAAAAGGACTGAGCTGGGCACTCAGTTCAGAACCACATTTTCAAAGAGTAAGGGAAACTGTAGACACCTATTGAACTAACTTAAAATTCCATGAGCATGGATTCCAGCATTAATTATATATCAAGCAAAATTTATTTTATTACAGCACATGTGCTGATGTTAGAGACTTCCCATTTCTTTTCTGCTACATTTTGAGTTATTTTGAACCCCAGGCCCAGTTAAAATGGGTAGTTCAAGCACATCTGTTGCATGTGCACAGTTCATCAAGATTCTTAGGTTCGCAAATGCAATCAGTGTATTGCTTTCAATGTGGCCTCTTCTCCCATCTACTCCCCCAATGCCACCCACTGCCATTTGTCTAAATAAACCAAGGAGGCCAGACCCTTTGAAACTGTGATGTTGGTCCCACTTTCTCAAGTGAAGAAGGGGTGGAGGAGAAGTGAGTCAGGTGTATGATTTGCATCATCAGAATAGATCCCACAATTCTATTATTTTAGTGGGCTGTGTAAGGGAGAGAAAAATATCCCTGTTTATCAATATTTCACACAAAGTTATATTTAAGGCTGGGCATGGTGGCTCATGCCTGTAATCCCAACACTTTGGGAGGCCAAGGCCAGATCGCTTGAGCCCAAGAGTTCCAGACCAGCCTGGGCAACACAAGGAGACCCCACCTCTACAAAAAATTTAAAAATTACCCAGACGTGGCGGCGCAAGCCTGTGGTCCCAGTTACTCAGGAGGGTGAGGTGGGAGGTTCAGTGGAGCCTGTGAAGTAAAGGCTACAGTTAGCCATGATCACACCACTGCACTCCAGTCTGGGTAACAGAGTGAGATCCTGTCTCAAAAAAAAAAAAATATATATATATATGTATATATATATTTTTATATACACACACACATATATACATTATACATATATACGTATACATATATAAAATATATCTATGTATGTATAAAATATACATATGTATACACACATAAATACATATAAAGTACATATACATACATACATATACACACACATACATACATAGAAAGTTGGAAGCCTTTGGAAAGAAAGAAGGCAACCTGGAGAACATGAGACTTCAGAGTGTTAGGAACCAGGAAGCAAGAGAAAAAGATTAAAGGAAAACAGGGCAGGAAGGTGGCAGAAGATAATTCCTAGATTGCATAAGAGTCTCGGGCTAACCCCTCAGCTGGTATCCATGTTAAGACATCAGGAGGTGGCACAGCATAAGGCTAAAGAGCAAGGGCTGGGGAGTCAGACACACTTGGATCTGAATCCCCAGTCCACTGGGTGGATGACTTTGGGCAATTTACTCCACCTGCATGAATCACAATATCCTCCCTCATCTGTGAGAAGGAAGAAATCATATGACCTGGAGCTGAGGTAAGGATTGCCTAACACAGCTATGCAAAATGCTCGGAAACACCTGGCACAGAGTAAATGCTTGATAATTTCATAAAAGAATAAAATTATAGAGCCCCGGAACTGGAAGGCAGCTTACTAAACCTCACCAATGCCAACATTTGACAGAGAAGGAAAGTGAAGAACCAAAGCATGCAGGTTCTTGCCAGAGTTGGTGAAAGTAGAAAACAGTCTTTCAAATCACGTTTCAGTGGATTTTAGAACACAGAATATGGTGCTTTGCAAGGAGCCCTGAGTTGTTGTCCAGAAAGCTGGGCTCTTGTCATAGGTCGTTGGCCAAATTTCTCGATCACTCAGTGTCCTCACCTAACAAATGTAAGGGTGGGAGAAATTTCCTCAAAGTATTGTTCAGCTCCATGCTCTTGTAATATTATCCCACTGAGAATATGAGTATAATTATACTCAGGGAATGTGTTCAGCTGGAGTGGGAAGGACAAGGACTATTTGGAAGCCCAGGACACCACAGAAGAGAGCAGAACAAGGTGGAGTTTTTGACAAAGGAGAAGTGGCTGGAGCCAAGGCTTTCTTGGGGATCAGGAAAGGAGAAAACCAAAATGAGCGAAAAGGGAGGTGGGATACAGGAGGGCCTCATAGATACCTGTGTCTTCCAAAGTGTGCCCAGGGCTAAAATTCCACCTGTTTCTTTTGCTTATATAATTAACAAGCATATACGGAGTGTAGTGGGGGAGGGAGAGAGGGGTCACTATAAGCTATTCACAGCAGAGTGCTTAATTTAGAAAAATGATAAATAAAATAACTTACACTAAAGCAGTAAGTGTGTTTTGTAATGTAAACAGGACAGTCCCTTCTCTTAAACCCCATTATTTGATAAATTTAACATGTGAACATGTTACATGTTAACGTGTGAGTAGGCTGGAACATGTGAACATATGTTACGTGTTAACATATGAGTAGGCTGGAAGGAGTTTTATGTATTTACATGTAGCCTTGAGGTAGGAGGCAAGACTTAACTCCAGATGTGGGGCTCAGACATTGGACCAAATTGAGGACTAGTTAAAACAAGAATGGGGCAGAAGAAGCTTTCTGTAAGTGTGTGTGCCAAGTCAAGTTTGCCATTGCCATGACAACACCCAAATGCTACTGCTCCTTTCCATGGCAGCAACCGAATGACCTGAAAGTGACCATACCATTTCTAAAAATTTCTGCATAATTCACCCCTGAATTTGCGTATAATTAAAGGTGGATATAAATATGACTGCAAAACTGCCTCTGAGCTGCTAGTCTGGGCACACTGCCTATGGGTAGCCCTGCTCTGCAAGGAGAAATACCTCTGCTGCTGCTCTACATTGCTGCTTCAATAAAAGTTGCTAACACCTCTGGTTCACCCTTGAGTTTTTTATTTTTTTATTTTTTTATTTTTTATTTTTTTGAGACGGAGTCTCACTCTGTCTCCAGGCTGGAGTGCAGTGGCGCAATCTCGGCTCACTGCAACCTCTGCTTCCCAGGCTCAAGCAATTCTCCTGCCTCAGCCTCCTGAGTAGCTTGGACTACAGGCACATGCCACCACATCCAGCTAATTTTTTTTGTATTTTTAGTAGAGACAGGGTTTCACCATGTTGGCCAGGATGGTCTCGATGTCTTGACCTCGTGATCAGCCCACCTAGGCCTCCCAAAATGCTAGGATTATAGGCATGAGCCACTGCACCTGGCTTGAATTCTTCCCTGGGTGAAGATCCCTCCCAGATTAATCACCAATTTGGGGGCTCACCTATCCTGCATCAGGCTCCCGGGTTGACCACGTTTTTCTGTGAGATGAATGTAAGGAGCTCTGATTTCTTATTACAGGTGCAGGAAACTTCAGGGAAACTTATCTGCTCAACATAGTTTTTTCCCTCCATAGCTACCAGCTGACCCTGAGTGCAACACTGTTGTGTAATAGAACTCTTCATTGTAGGTTGTTTACACAAACAGATACCATCTATAGCTAATTTTAAGCTTATCATTAAATATGTGACTGACCATAACTGTTAAGGATTTTACTTAATTATCATGACAACTAATTGTGATAGTATGTATATACTCATATATATGCAGTGTTAATAACCTATTGCAAAAGAAACAAGTTTTTTTTTAAATACAATTCATTGCTTAGCCATGCTCATCCACAAATGAAATCAAACAAAATAAGCCCAGATCTGGAAGAGTAAGTGGTGGAGAGGGAATAAAGAGAGGCAAAGAGAATGATTTCAGCCTAACTCTCAAGAGTTTTGGGTCAAGGTTCCCCAAAATTCTACTGCCCCAGAATAAGATCCCCCTTATTCGGCATCTTAGGGCTTTTCTCACCTGCAATGCAATCAGGACACTTCCTGAAGCTGCACATTTCTTTCTGACTCTTAGATTTTTAACTGTCTTGGCTAGTTTTTATTAAACTAATTGAGCATAGTAGGTCTCAAAACTTTTAACGATTTAAAAAATACTACCTTTTCCCTTTCACATTCCCTAATTAAAACCAGGCTAGATTCTATAGTTTCATCGTATATACTTTTGGACAACAAAAAACTTCAACCCATCTTGTCCAATTTAAAACTTCGTTTTCTTCTCTAATTTGACAGATACCTCACCCACCCCATCCACCCGCCCCCCGCCACCCTCGCACCCCTAGACTCCAATACTAGCCAAGATCTAGCTTAGGAATAGAAGATATGATCTGTTATTTCACTCTTCTTCTCTTTCTTTTTTGGCTGTAACTTTTCTTAGCTAAGAGTGGGAAGAAAAGAGAAAGAGAAAAGTGACCCTCATACTTGATAGGGCAGGAATTGCAATCCCCTCTCTGTGAGCGCAGATTCTCCACCAAGGCCCACTGTGGGTTCACGGTCAAAGCTGGCTACCTTGGGGTTACCATGGGTGAGTTCTTTGGGAAGCCTTGGAGAACCTCCCCACCAGGAGATTTGGCTCTGGCTCAACCTCTACCTATAAAAAGAGTGGAGCACATATAATTACCTTTTATGAGTTTATTTAAACCTTGAGTAACATCCACCCTACAAACCCTTGTTTTGTCAAACTGCAGGGGTGCAAGAATGCAGGTTGCTTCTTTGCCCCCCCTTTTCTCCATCCTGGCCTTGCTTTTTCTTCATGTTCACAGAAGCCTAGGGAAAATCAACAAACTCTCTTTCAGAGCAGAAGTCTAAACTGGGGTAACAGTCTCTTATTGCATACACTCAAATCACTATAAATGGCTCAGATTGAGCTTCCTTCCCCACTGGACTTTGAAAGGATAAGTGGACATCGTGGACTCACTCTATTCCTCACTGGGCTAATGACTCATGACTCTCAAACACCCCCACCTGCAAATATGTAGAGGAGATAATGCACATAGCCATTTTATCCATTTCCTGATAACCCTTGAAGAGTTATCTGACCCCCAGTTGGTTTTTCGTTTACTTGTTGTTGTCTTCTTGTTGTCAATGTTTGCAACACTCTTGAAATATAGGATAACTATTATCTCTTTTCTTCAGTCTTAGGTCTTGGTAGCCAACTCCAGAGCAACAAGGGAAAGTAACACTCAATATGCTAATACAGATGCTTCCTCATCCAAAGCCATTGGCCCCTTTTCAGCCACTTCAGTCCTCAAATATTACCATTAGGGTAGAGCCGAAGTTTTTAGTTCCTAAGAACAGCCACATGTACCATCTCCTTCACTGCCCTCAGCCATCAGACCCTTTGTTTAGCCCTGTGTTATGTAAACCCTAAAAAAGTTTGCCTTTGCCCTGTTGCACTTAGTACTGTAACATTTTTACTCAGAGAGCATCTCCTATCAGATACTCAGACACTTGGCTAGACAAAGCAACAGATGGTACATAGGCCTATTCACACTTTTAAATGAGTCAAGAAGTATGTTAGTAGTAATAAAATAACAACAGAATTTTAGCAGTGGCACAGAATATACATGTCCAAGTAAGCTGGATCAAATCATTTTTGGAATATCTTTTGGGACTTTTTATGATCCACGAAAAAAGACATGTTAATTACTTTTATAGTTTTTTTTATCTGAAATATTATACTCAAATTGACTATTCATCTAATTCACCAGACTTGGCTCCAGATGACTTTTGTTTATTTTCAGTAATTAGATTTGCCCCAAAATATCCTCAGGGATACCCCCCGAGAATGTTTAAAAAAATGTGCTTTCCATTCTAAAGGCAACTCAAACAAACAAGTGGAAAAAGAAAAGAAAAACAAAGAAAGTTGGCATATTCATTAGTTTTTACCATAGCAACAAATAGCCCCACAGTTTCAGTAGCTTATGGCAACAAAGATTTATTTCTCATTCATGTAGGACTCAGGCTGCAGACTTGCTGTCGTCCTGCTTGGCTCCACCTGACTGTGCATCAATGCTCAGCTTGGCTCCACATTGTCTTCTCATTCCAGGACTAAAGGAACAGCCTCCTACTGGGACATGCTGTTCTCCAGGAAGAAAGGAGAGGCAAAATTAAACCAAACCGGAGGCCAAACCAAATCACAATAGCCCATTTAAAGCGTCTCCATGGACATGAGTATAGGTTTCATCCAGTCACATTCTGTTGACCAAAGCAAATCACATGACCAATCTGACAAGGGATAAAGAAGTAAATTCTACCTACAGGAAGGTACTGGAAGTCACATGACAAAGAGTCTAGAGGTATAATCTTCTACAAAGGAGAAAACATGGAGCTGGGAACAATAATGAAATCTACCACACAGTGTGGGAACAGTGGGAACATCATGAATATATAACATTCCAAAGAGATTACTTTGGAAATTATCAGAATGATTAGCCTCATAAATTATGGTAGGGGTATAAACCAAGTCAGTTTCATGCCTTATAGGCTCCTCTCATATATTTAAGTGTTCTAAAAATATATACAACATCTAGGGTATGGATTTAATCATTTTCCGAACTTGTTTCCTTTGTGAATAGTTTTATACTTGAGTTGTTACGAAGTAATTTATTGATAAACACATATTGCAGAATACTGATTGGAATTTGCATTATCTGCAGACTTGCCCCATATAATGCTCTTTATATGCAAAATTCAACAGTTAGTGCTGCTATTTCTGAAAGAGCAAATCAATATTCTAAAAATGGGCTAGTCAGAAAAAACAATTATCTTTGCAAGGATTGTATAACGTATCAAGTTCCTCAGTTGAGGAAAATACTAAATAAATCTCTTAGCCACTTAGAGGTAAAATAAAGTTGCTAACGCTAAATAGGCATGCTTTTCATTTCCTAGCCACACTACTAAAATCTTAAAATTAACAATTATATTTTAGTTATTGAATTGTATTCTTTATTTGTCCCAGAGTTCTAAATACACTTGAAAAAGTCATATTCTGGAATCCACCTGTGCTCACTAAAAATTGGTCTCCTGATCCACGTACCTCAGCCCAAACAAAGTAGCAAAATATACAAGATGAAGTGGGAAGGGGAAGCCCTGGAGTGATCTGAAATCACTCATCTCTATTGTGTAGCTCAATTCTTTTCTGTTACTGGATGTTGTTTCCTCTCTTGACCCACAGAAAATACACACGTGAGTAAAATTCTAGGACAGTCCCTGAGATGTGCAATATCCTGCTGTTGAAAACTAAAATTACGGCCTGGATTGAATGAGTTTATGAGGCAAAGAGGGCTGGGATGATGTGATTACTCTGTTCTGTCCTGCTGGTAGACTGATGGAATATGAACTATCTGTACTTTTCCTGTGGCTCTAGCAAGTCCCTCATCATGTGACCAGAAGCAGCGACATGCATGAAGAAATGTAGAAAAGTTCTAATTTTCAAGAAAAATCTCCATTCTATGCTAGCTGAGGTTGGTGACTATCTCTGTATCTCTGAGTCCACTATAATTCACTTAACTTAAATACCTCCATGACATCCTATAAAAAATTTGCTCAGTCACCTGGATTATGTTTCTTTCCCTCTTCCTTACCGCCTACCAAACTTAATACTGTCAAAATCTTCTTTAATCATCTAGATTTTATGCATTCATCCTCATTTTAATGTTGTCATAACTTACACTTTATAAAGCATTAAGGCATGTGTACAAAATAATACCAAATTGAATCACAGCTGGATATTGCAGACATTAGGGTAAACAGGTCTCTGGCATTTTAAGATTTACCTCACAGTTTGTGCAAAATCACATTGCCTGCATCTTAAAAGCCCAGTCTTTTAATAGCAAGTCTTACTTGATACTTCTCAGTCCCTTGACCTTAAACTTTTTATTTTTAAACATTTTTGCCATAAGCAATATTGCCTCTCCCAGGTTACGGCATCTTTTGAAAAGAATTTCTGTAAACCTTAAAAGAGAGTGGCCAGCTATTTTCTACAATCTTATAGACAGAGGCAATGGATAAAAACTACAATATTTAGGATTTACTGCTTCCTTATAGAGAAGGTCACTGACACAGAACTGAGTAACCTTCCACCCAAAACTTTGTAGTTCAGCCTTTTCCGTAGTTGTTTAAAGTTAAGGGGCATGTTAATTTCTCTTGTCATTTAAAGTGTCTGTGCCTGAAAATACAGGAATAGAATAATTGACCTCTCGTGTTCATCTCCAGCACTCTATGATTTCAATTCTGCAGTGTACAAAAACAAACTCTCTACACATTGAGTAAAAAGCCATGGATCTTGAACCAGATCTCACCAGGAGAACATGTAATCTTGGCAGGGATGCAGGGTTTGAATGAGGTATATTCTCCAAGGAAAATAATCCCAACAGAATACACTGAGTTTTCTTAGCTTTTATGTTTTTTAGGATATAGTCACATGTTATCTCTGTGACTCTCCCCTGCTCGGTTTTATTTTGAGCAAGGAATCAAACTGAGTTTTTCCTCCTTGAACCAGAGAGAAGCAAATACATTGCTCATGAGTGAACAAGTTCATTTCAATAGAATAAGGAATAAGAGTATTATACGTACAAATTAACTGAACAATTCTGACAGTCCCTATAACCCCAACCCTAAAATATATTATTTCTTTAATTATTTTGGTAAAAAATTGTTGATTTTGTCTGTGTAAATTAACTTTTCTTTCTATCACGTATGTAGCAGTTGGGTAGTCATAGAGTTATATTTATGTACTAGATCAGGTTAAAAATACTTAAAAAAAAAACAAGTAGCCCAATATTCAAAGTGTATGAAAGTGCTGACAAACATTGATATTCAACATAGAAATACTCCATCGATCCACTCCCTATTCCGATGAATCCCATGTAGACTATAAAATGGTACATTACCACTGTGCTCAAAGCACTGTGAGAATCTGAGCAGTACACAATTCTGCAAAAAACATCTTCAAGCTTTACAAGTGCATGCCTGCATCTGCAGCTTTGCATTCACATGCATGCAACATGCATTTGCTTAGAGCTTCCAGTTAATTAATTATGTGGTCCATTTATTACTTGTTTGACATTTCAAAATCTCATCATAGGGATGAGTAGGAAAATTTTTCACTGCTACTCTTCTTAAAATGAAAAGAACCAAGTATCAATAGAGAATATTTTACCAGTGATACATCTTTAGTCCCTTGAGGTATTTTGTGTGTGTGTGTGTGTGTGTGTGTGTGTGTGTGTGTGTAAATGCTTTCCAGAAGTAAATAAGAGCCATTATTTCACACAAAATTTGTATTTCCTTTGAGAAAATAAAAGAGGTACTAGAAGACAAGTTGGCTTCTAATAATGACAAAGGAACAGGCCCTTACCTTAAAAAACTGCAAACTCATTCAACTAATTTTTAACTTTAATGTGTAGCAACAGAAAACATTGAATAAAAATAATTTGTTTGTTAGAGTATCTCTAACATAATACACATTGGACAGAGATGCAAAATTAGGCATGCAGAATAAAACACATCTATATATTTAAAAATCCTTTTTTTTTAAGTATTTAGTTCTCAGAATTATCTTTTAGTTCCTTGAATGCTAATCATTTTTCAGAGAAGGCAAAAACTAAAGACCAGTTAAGATTAAAAGAATCAATTAGAGAGAAGTTAATGTGCAAATAAATTAGTCTTTTTTAATTCCATTTCAGTGTTTTAAGGGTATAATAGAAAGTAAAATTGTCAAACATTTGTTGTTGCTCCATTATCTTGCAATGTTTTCTCACTTCGTCGTGATTTATGCTTCCCATGTTCATGATAGGAGCAGACTTCCAGGCAGAGACAGAAGCTGACTTGGGAAGGCTATGAGACGTGGATGAACTAATGTTTTTGTGCTAAGCACTTTCAAATGCATTGCCTCATTCTGTGTTCTATACAGCTCTATAGCTTTATAGAATTACCTTATTTTAAGATAAATAAATAAAAACTCAGCCTAATTAAGTAATTTGTAAGTTTGAGAGCTGGGATTTGAGTCCAGATATGCCTGAAAACAAAAAACCATGCTCTTGCCTTTACAATACCTTCCTCCAGGTAGTCCAGGGGAGGTGCTCGGAAAAAGACAGCACCTTTTGTGGTTTGTGACAGTGCGGGGATATTATCATTTGAAGGAAACAAGAAAAAGTTAGGCTTGATGTTTGAGTCTCCATATAGTACAGTCACTTATAAAAACTATTTCTAAAGGTATTTGTGCATATTTTAAGAAGTCAAAAGCATGTTCTTGAGAAAAGTGTGTGTTACAGAATTAAGAGGACTGAAAGGAGAAAAGATGTGTTATGAATTGAAATGAAGAAAGGCAGATCTCTTATTGATTCTTCACTCTTGGAATCTCATTAACTATCAGATGGAACTTGATGACTGTCAATGAATAAACAACATTTTCCCCATTCTAGGTTGTTAAACTGCCCAAAGCCACCAAATACAGATTAGTTTGAAATGCACTTACTGTTCCGGCTGGATGTGGTTTAAAAAATTAGCTTTACATACAAGAATTTTTTTCTCTCTCTTTCCTTCAGGCTGCTAAAAAATGCAGAAAATGAAGCTTATTTTAAAAGCTGGTATCAGAAGCTACTAGCTGCTCTCCAATTCTGTGCAGGTAAAGCCTTGAATGATGAGTTTTCCAAGGAGCAGAAACTTATCAAAATTCTGGGAGATATTGGGGAAAGAGTCAAGTCTGCCAGTGACCATCAAAGACAGGTTTGTTGAAATATTAATATTCAGGTAGTAATGTTTTTAACTTTGGCTTAAATTAAGTTTTAATTTCATTGTTTGCAAAGCAAATTCCTTGATTACACTTAAATAGAAGATACTTAAATCAATTACTTTAGTCAAGTTTTTTTCCCCACCTACTGTTCTTAAGTTAATGATAATGTCTATCACCAGGACATGGTTTTTTGACCTAAATAGCCATGTGACACACAGAGAGAACCTGAAAAGAAAAGACCAACGTATAGGCAGTTGGACTAAACAAGCCTGATAAACTAATCGCGTCAATATGGAGGCACAATTCAGACTCATGGAGAAATACATGAGAAGTTTTAGGGCACGTTTTTGTCGTTGCTCAGCAAAGGACATTTTTCACGTAACAAATAAGATGAATTAAATGAAATAAATCAATGGCCTTAAGAACAGTAATACTTTTTATACTAAGATCTATGGATACTAGTCAAAATATGTGCCTCTTTCTCAGTGTTTATAATAATGGACCTGGCTATTATTTTTCTTGGAAGAATATTTGCTCTTTTTAATTATCTCCATCACTAGTTCCCTATACTGATATACACCATTAAGTAGTTTCTCTCAAGTTCAACACTCTAGATGCAGGGAGAAAGGGGACATTCTTTCATTGTATTAAGAATATTATTCAATAATAATTAACTACCTACTATAGACTAGGGGTTAAGGATAGAAAGATGACCAAAACATGAGTTTTGTCCTCAAGGGAACTCAGTTTCTCTCCACTTATAATCTAAAATCAACAAGAATTTTCAACAAAATGATATAAAAATAGTAGTAGGCAAAGTGTCCCAGAATTCTTTCTCAGCCCAGGATTTTTCTTGCTGGAACTCACTTCATTTAGTAGAAGTGCCAGAAACTATGCTACTTCACCTTCCTGGGAGAAAATGGAAAATAAAAAAGCAAAAGTTTGGAATTAATTTTTAAATGGGAGATATATAGACTCCAGTACACAGAGGATCCTTAAGGCATATAATAGGATAAGCAATGCAAAAAAAAGTTCTATGATTTTTTAAACGTTACTACAAGTTCATTAATTATTTTGTAATGGTAGACAAAAAGTTGATGGCAAGTTAAATAAATTGATTTAAAATTTACAGAAGTTTGTGTGACGGTTTGGTCTTTATCTCCTATGTTTTAAAATCCCTCACATGTTTAAGATGTACATTATACTTAAATAATTCTGGTGCTTTTTTTGATCATTCGCTTCAAGTACCAGAGTGATATTGACATTATTCACTCAGGTAAATATATTTATCTTGCCTTGAGTGGCTGCTTTTGTGATAACATCTCTTCACATAGGAAAATAGGAAGAGGAAAAGGAAGAGGTGGAAGAGGCATTTATAATTTCTCACAATTTAAGAAATAATAATTTCTCACAAAAATTTAAGTTCCTAATGGCTACTTTTGTACTTAAAAAAGCACTAATTAAGCATAACTATATGAACTGGGAAGATACTTTACTTAAATGAAGGGAGCAGAGATTCCTCTCCATGATATCTGCCAGGCAAATCCAAGTATAGATGAGGCAAAGGAGAACAACACACACAGAGGGCTGTAATGCAACTTTTCTCTCTACACTTTGCTCTTCTGGATTCTGGGAGCTGTGGATTCTATTATTTGCCAATAAGCCAGGAGTAAAAGGTAAGAAACTCTTGAGAGCTGAGTGAACATTATTAATATGATATCCTTGTCTTCTGAATTGGGCTCAAAAAGTTTCTTTTTTAATTTTCAATTTTAAAATGCACAAAAAAATTTTTCTACCATAGTTACCTCGTGCTAGCAAATAGTAAGTCTTTCTAATTTACTCTAACACTTTTTTTGTATCCATTAACTATTCCCCCTGCCCCCTGCTGCACTGACGACCCTTCTCAGCCTCTAGTAACCATCCTCCTACTCTCGGTCTCCATTAGTTCAATTGTTTTAAATTTTAACTGTCACAGATAAGTGAGAACATGTGATATTTGTCTTCCTGTGTCTGGCTTATTTCACATAACATAATGACCTCCAGTTCCATCCATGTTGTTGCAAATGACAGGATCTCATTCCTTTTTATGGTTGGATAGTACTCCATCATGCATATGTGAAAGTGGACTAAAAGAAGCTTTGTTTGTTTTGTGATGAATTGTAATTATTTCCTATCTCTTTTGTCATAGGATGCACAATTTAAAGGTGTTGTTTGTGATATCTGAGCTGCCATGAGTATAGTGGAGTGTAGGAATGAGTAAATAACAGAAATATACTCATTGATGTCCAGTAAACTATTTGTTCCTACATATTATCATTTCTGACAGCATTATGCAATTGGATTTTTGTCATTGTTGTTACTACTGTACGTAATTTTTTTTTGTAAAATGCACTATACTATTGAGTGTAATTTTGAGAGTCACAAACTCAGATTTCAGAAAATTATCAGAAAAGGATCATGTTAATAATTACATAAAGCAGGGTTTCCAAATTGGCGGCCACGCAGGTCAAGTCCAACCCTTTTATGTTTTGTTTGAACAGTACAGTGCTTTGTTTGGTTTTTATTTTTAGTTGAATTTGAGGTCCTTTAGAAAGGGCATGCATGCCTTAGTTTCCCATTTCTCCAACATGCCCTATTGTCTTTAGCCCACTGTCTTCTCATGCCTGAATACATCACCTGCCTGACCCCAAAGTCATCCAAGTGTGTAACCCTGAATTCAAGAATTCATTTAATCAATAGAAGAAAATTATAACCTGAAGGAAAAGTCAAGTTCTTTACATTTTCTTAAATCCTTTTTCTAATGATTTTTCACAGGAGGTACTGAAGAAAGAAATTGGCAGACTAGAAGAGTTCTTTCAAGATGTAAATACTTGTCATCTTCCTCTGAACCCTGCCCTATGTATAAAAGGGATTGATCACGATGTAAGTCAACTTATTCCTCAGATTAATGGAATATTTCTGTTTTGTATAGTTTAGTTCATTGTATATGTTTGAAATGGCAAAAAGAATTCGTAAGTTGACACTGCAATTATTTTAACGAAAAAGTAACTGAATCCATTTACATTGTGTTTTCCCTTTGATACACTAAGACCAGTTGGGATCACATTGGCCTTATCATATGATTTGTTTATTTGGAAACAAACTATCCATCAGTTCAGTGAAAAAAAAAAAAATAGAGGAACATAGAGGAACATATCGCTGGGTTAATTTCTTGACTCATTAAAAATGATTGATTTGGTGACCCCATGCAGGCTGGGTATAATTTCATGGTTTATTTAGACTATGTGCATAACCATACCTAGTACACGAACATTAGTCATTAGCTACAACATTTCTATTTTGATTCGATTTAAAATTTATTGATTCTAATATGTCAGTGTGTCATATAGTTTGTGATTTTACTCACGCCTAGAAAGCCCATCTTGGCATTGTCAGACTCACAACTTCCTAAGCCTTCTCTTCCTAATCCTCTGTCATATGGTACCTCTTCAGTCACACTTCTCTGACTTAGAATCATTCTTTCTCCCTTGTTCCTGATAAGCTTTATTATCTTCCTTCTCAAAAGCCCAAGAGTACAAAGACACTAACAGAGAAAATTATGAATATGTTAGATTTAAAAGTGAAGAGGTTAAGCTATCATGCACGGACAATAAATGTTACCTAACTGAAGTCATAAGACAGTCAAGAAAACAAACCCAATAATTAGGTGAAAAATTAGACCATTATTACTGTGAATGTAAAATGTTTTGCTAAAAACTTGATACCATCATCTTTATCACTTTGCCACAAGTAAGACTCCCTGAAAATTTTTTGATATGCTTCATAAATATATTTTGAAACATAACAAAATAAGGCTTCAAATTCCTTAAACTGAGATATGTCTGTCTGGGCTGAAATCCAAATCATTACTAATTTTCAAAAAATTGCCCAACTTTTTCATCATCAGCAGTATTCTTGTCTAATGCTGCACATATGTAGGAACTCAGCATTTCAAAGACACTGTACCTTAATGTAGAAAGAACAACAGGGATCACTGAGTCCATGTATTTTTTGTTTGTTTGTTTTTGCTTTTGCTTTATTGGCTGCTTGTTTTAAAGGAGAAGAGTGTTTTTGTTTTTGTTTTTTTTCACTTAAAATTACATATAAGTTTGGCATGTGCAGGTGCACCGGCTGGGCCAGGGGTCAGCTGCCCAGGAGTCACCACCCCTAGTGCTGCAGGTGGGACCACACTCCTTCCCTATATAGCACCCTACGGTTAGCAGTACTTTTCCTGCAGAAGCTGTCCCAAGTAGAACCACTGTCTGGTTCCATTTGCTCTGACTAGCTATGCCTGGCACAGGGTTGGGCACCTATGGGTACAACAATGAACAGGACAGACATGGCCAGGTGACACCATCTTGGGAAACATTTGAATCTATCCTCCAGTCCCATTGAACAAAGAAGTGAGAAACCTTACAGTTGAAATGAGTATGGAAAAGCTCTCTGTTTCAACAGAAACCTTATCAACTACTGGAGAATCCACACTGGGGAGAATCCTTATAAGCATGATGAATGTGGCAAGGCCTTCATTCAAACTAAATGTCTTATTTGACATCAGAGCCTACACACTGAGGTTCATATAAAAACCTTATTTAAATGGAAGCAGTTTGGAGAAACCATCTATGAGAGCTCTTAACTTGTTGACTATGAGAAAATTCATACCTTTTGAATGCAGTGTGACAAGGCATTTGGTCTGAGTAAATGTCTTATTCTGTGTCAGAGAGTTCACACCTGCCAAAAGCCCTATAAATATGATAAGCATGGAAATGTGTAGTCAGAACTCATGCCTCATTATACACCAGAGAATTCACACTGTTAAGAAACCCTACAAATATAATGGGTATGGGAAGATATTCAGTTATAGTGCCAGTCTTGTGGTACATCAGACAACCCATTGTGGGGAGAAATCTTATAAATGCAATGATAGTGTGAAAGCTGTTATATGATTGTGTGAGCCATTATAGTTCACAAGTGATTGTGCACCAGAGGGTTCACACTGGAAAGGAGCCCTGTGAATGCAGTGAGCATGGGAAAGCCTTTAATCAGCATTCTATCACTATCAGTCAACTATACTGGGGAGAAGCACTCAGGTATGGCTCAATTCGTTTCTTAAAGCGTGGCTCTCAAAGGCAAAGAGCAAGGGGCTCAGGTCTGAGCTAAACTGTCTTTATAAGACAAATTCTCAACCTTTGCCTCCCACCCCTACCCACAAACCATTAATCACAATGAACCATTCCCTATTTCCTTTTAAATCACTAAAGGATGGACCAAGTGGGAGAGTGGGAGGAACTGAATGCAATTCTTCCCCACTACTTAGGGAAAACAAGCACCAGGTATTTCATTTACTTACTGGTTTCTTTTTCAACTAATTTTTAGATATCTGTCATTAATGTGTGCTTCTCAAGGACAGAGATCCTATCTTCCTTTCTTCCAGCTTTTCTATCTTATTATACCATCTCCATAAAATCCTCCTCTAAGACTCTGATTAATTCTTCCATCCATGGGCATTCCAATCTACTTTATAACTATCACTCTAATCTAATATCTTATCATTTGCCTCTTTCTATCTAGAAAACCCTTGCTTCTGTCTATTTGCTAATCTATGGCCCTCAAAATCTTCAAGATCTAGTAAAACTCTGAAAATTTTTTTCTTAAAATGTGGCTTCATTCAATGATGATAAACTATCCTGTGAATTATTTTCAACTTAATATGTGTGTGTGTGGGTGGGTGTGGGTGTGTGTCTGTGTGTGTACCACCAAATTTAATAGGCTTTGTGAGGGGAGATGTAGTGTTTCTTTTTTTAGCATATAATGTGCATACTAGTTGTTGAATACATATTTTTGACAATCACTCAAATATATACCGCACATGAAAACCAAGATGTGAAACAATAAAAGCAGAATGTCTCTGGGTGGTAGTTAAAAAGATAGGCTAAGCCTTGCCTTCAGCCTCCCTGAACTTGGGATAACTCAAAGAGATTCCCCACATATTCAATGAGCAGAATTTAAAAACCACTGATCTACACTCATTTCTTGCCTCATACAGAATTTGCTAATTCAATACCATGATATATGGTCATGTGATCCCTAATTAGCTGACTTTTGCAACAGAATTTCATTGCTTAACAAGCATCCTCACCCATAAAACTATAAAACATCTATTTTTGTTTCTAGATAAAACATCTACATCTATAAAATATCTATTTCTTAACTGACCTATCAACACAAATCTAACCCAATTTCTAACTAAACAATCCCTTGCTTACTGAATCAATTTGATTTTTCAAATTGAAAGTAGAAAATATCTATTTTCCATCTCTTAAACTCTTGCTTATGATTCAGTAAGCAAGGGTTTGTGTTTAGTTAAGATATTGGGTTAGATTTGTGTTGATAGGTCAGTTAAGAAATAGATATTTTCTCTCAACTTCTAATTTCAGACTTCTTGTAGATAACGTTGTTCAAGCTGATCTTTCAACATGCATTGATGTCATATTTTACTAAGTTGATAAATTGAAAGCATAGAGTCTTTTTCCTTTCTTTATATTGAATGAAGTCTTCAATGCCATCATGAACTCTCTAATAGCCTAAAGACATACAGCTTTTCAATGCTTAATTGTAAGAAAATAAGAGGAAAACAGGCAACTAGGAAAGTAGAGTGAAAAGTAGTCAACATCACAAAGCTGAAAATGCAAATGGAAGGTGTAATTACTGGAAATGAGAAGACAAAATATATGTTGTACTGCTATTTATAAAAAACAAGAAAATGTTCATTAACTAAAAGATAAAGAAAAATGTAAGGATTTTTCAAAGTACCTGATTAGTGTCAGGCATTGTAAAAGGTATCTTATATCCGTTAGTTCCTGAATCTATCACAAAGATGTATGAGGGAGAGGTTACTTTCTCCACTTTACAGCAAATTAGTTATAAAGCTTAGATTTGAACTCAAGCCTTTCTTAACTTTCTATCTATTTTTCCTTAAAGTATTCTGCAAGGTAGAAATAATGGAAGGGAAATAAAGTTTTTAAAATAAAATTTTAACTTTTATCTACTAACCAGCTAGCATAAGCCAATATTCATACACTGCTTAGTTCATTTAAACCTCAAACATATCACTACTGTTCACTGAGGAAAAAACGTGGTTGAAGATCTGTAATCTGTCAAAAAGCTGGCTTCTTGGTTTCAAAGTAAAGGCTCCAGTTGATGGACTAAATTTTTTAAAATTTGTATGTTTCTGTGTTCCAAAGTATAAAAATTATTCATATGTGTTACATTTGTTCATACAACAAAGTCTGCAAGGGGCTATGATTTTGGGGAAAAGGTTTGCTTTTTGGGGATTGGGGTCTGATTTATTTTGCTCACTAGTTTTCCCTTTTTCTTTTCCTATAGGCATGTTCATATTTTACATCTAATGCTTTGCCATTGAAGATTACTTTCATCAATGCTAATCCGATGGGCAAAAACATCAGCATTATTTTTAAGGTATGGTAGCGCTCTTAAAACATGAATTGATTCCATACACAGAACTATCGATTTATTACTCACAAAAAGAAATTGTTGTGGCTATTTTCCTCCAGCAACAACACATAGGTTTTTCAGTTATTTTAGAGTCTGCCTTTTTACAGGATTATATATAGTATGTGCCAAACTCCAATTGGCAATAAATCAAACATTACTGGCTCAAAGCCAGGGAGCCTTCAGTGCAAAACCTAAGAGAATATAATTCAGTAAATGAAGTGATATGATTGCTTTTAAGTGGCAGATAAAGTTGAATGTGAGGAAAGTTTTATTTTGGTCTAGATACTAAATTGGGATCAAAATTAACTGGAACTGAAATGACATAAGTTAATTTAACATTAAATTCTTGCCTGCTAGCACTTGTTCATTTTAGTAATTTGAGTTTTTTTTAATAAAAAAGTAAATATGGGTCATTTCAGTCTTCATCATTAATCCCACTGGAAAAACAGAGAAAAGGTAGTAACAGGTTTATAAGCACGTAGGAAAGAGGGAACAGAGAGGGAGATTAGGGTAAAAAGTAAGAATATGCCCGTCTTCCAGTTTATTTGGCCAATTATTCAGCCAAGCCCGTGCAACAAGGTCTCAGAGTGAATCTTTGGTGAATTCTCACTGTCTATTTTGGAGGATAATGAGTAGTGTGCCCAGACTTTTGCTTTGTCATGTCACCTCAAGAGTTAGTGGTCCCACAATGCTGTACTTTTCATGAAGGGGAAAAAAGAAAACACAAAATCTTATCTTGGCAGGATTTTCCGTGTATAATTTAGAAAGTGTTTTCAAAACGAAATTTCTTATTTGTTTAAAAGGATAGAACTATCCTTCCCCTTTGGACATATGCAATCTCCTTAACCAATACATGACTATCACCACTTTATCATTTCTTATTATCAAAAATCATTTTCTCTGAAAACCTTTTAACTATCTTCAAAATAATTTGAGAAATCACTGATTTAAAGTCTAATCAATCATATGGATGCTATTTATACTCCCAGTCAAGAAGCTCTTGGTATTCTAACTGCATATCGGTGCATAAATTTATGACATACCAAATAATGTTTCACTTAGAAAGAGATCTCTCTTGGCTAAGTTTGAAATTTGAATAAACATTCATCCAGCCTGTCTTTGCCAGACTTTGAATCTGAGAAATCACACGTGGATAATAAATTGAAAATTATTATCAAGGAACAACATTCCAAGCAGCACCTCTAATTTGATGGTTGAAGCTTCTGTAATTATTTAAAAGGAAGTTCTCATTTAAAAATTTTTTTTATCAGAAACACAAGGTAATTTTAGTGCTAACAAAACCATTAAAACCACTCTAAGTCAGGCTAGAAATGTATCCAAGGAGAAAAGTGACATGTACTGTATTTGACTGCTTTTAATTAACAAATTCAAGGAAAAACCCAGGGTCTATAATTTTGTTTTTAACAGGCTGGAGATGATCTTCGTCAGGATATGCTTGTTCTGCAGCTTATTCAAGTGATGGACAATATTTGGCTGCAGGAAGGCTTGGATATGCAAATGATCATTTATAGATGTCTATCCACAGGAAAAGACCAAGGTCAGTATAGATTAGAAAGTGCGCTGGCTCACATTATTTATTTCACACATTCACTAGTAATAGGCTACGAAACTTTCTCCAGCTTTCGTTTTAAACTACAAGTTTGAAAATCCAAAGAACTATACACATTCTTCTTTTTTTAAAGAATTATTTTCAAAAATGATAAGCCAACAGAATTTATATAAAGCATAATATGCTTTTAGGTATTAATTAGGACCTTCACATTACAAATGTTAACTGTGATTTTATTTTATGTGTCTTTAAGAGTGAGTTTCATTAATAACTTACTGTTATTTTTCTCATTTTCTTATATAAAGCCTACTCATTTTTAAAAGAATACAATTGTTACTTATTAACACAAAATCTACACATTTTCAAGTGCTGAAAGGAGTTCTGGAAATCCTAAACACATTATAAACCTTAATTTAATTTCTAAAATACTTTTGAGTAGATAAAATATCAACAGTCAATGTTGGCCACACATGTAAATATTGAACATATGTCAGCATTTCTTTTCCTTTATAAAAGCCAAGAAATCAATATGAAAACATAATTATACTTATGCACATTTTCAGTGAAAGTAATGTCAATAGACCACCCAAATTATTACTAAAACATCAGAGGTAGAATTGCACTTAATTACAATAATGCCAAATTAAAGAGACAACAATATCTAAGATATCTTATAAATTTTTTTACATATAACCATTGCCACTTAGAATTTTATTAAATTAATTGGTATGAATTATAGCACATACATGTGCATAAACAAAGGGATGAAATCATAGAACTGGAGAGGGGATCTAGACCATGTAGTCATTTTTTTTTTTTTAATTCAAGCAGAGCTACAATTTAAACCTGTCATCACAAGAGAACTGTCATGCCATGGATCCTCACTGCCTGAGGTCCCACCAGCAGGCTCAATACCCCAGTCAACAGTTGAGATTTTAGATGCTAAGTATGAAAACACCTCCAAATTCACTCGCCACTTAATACCTTACAATGACTGCATTACAGTCGTACTAGCCAATTGATTTGATTCTGATAACAGGGCTCCTACTTCCATGCCAAGTGTCCCACTCTAAATACTTTCTAAATCTCTAGTTCCTACAACAGTCATTTATCCTTGCTACCATGAGATTGTTATTCCTTGCATCTTACCCTACTTTTTCTCACGTAAGTGACCTAATGCTTTCCTATCCTAAAATGCTGAAATAGAATAATGCTACATAATCCAAGCTGAGATCTTTGATGTTACATGAATCACCTTTTCTCCAGATATTGAATAAATTACTGATCCCAGTGGAATTTTTAAATTTCATCTCATTTCTATTTATAATCATGGAATGTAACCAAGGCTGAATCTTTTAGTTAATAAAATAATTCAGCAGAAATAACTATAGACTTATCCAAAGTTGTAGATGTCGCAAGACAAAAGTTATTTTTCTTCTCTGTCTACCAACAACAACCTTCAATAGCTGTAAGATTTCAGAGGGCATTATACTGACAAAATAATTCTTCAAGAAAAATAGAGATCATTAAAACAAATATCATTTTTAGAAGATTAGGTTGCATTTTTAATCAGGTTCCAAGGCTTACTGAATACCTACTTTTCTCAAGAAATGTCACAACGTGAGATGGGAAATGCATGCTAAAATGAGCTAAATAGAGTTGTGCCCTTGAGGAGAGTAAACTCCAGTTTCCACGAAGTTTCCATGACTTTATCAACATTATTGCTGAGTATCATTCTCATGGTCACTTTGTATGTAATGTCCTAGGAGTTCTGAGAGAAATTTTCAGGGCAAATAAAAATTCTTCAGGATTTATTTTATCATTGGTCCCCCAACTTTGATGAACATAAAAATTACATAGGGGGATGGAAAGAGTAGATACAACCTACCCCCAACCCAAGCGCACTAAATCAGACTTCCCCGGAGGTGGAGGAGAGGCTCAAAGGTTGATTGCAAAACGCTGCTCAGGTGTTTCTTATGCACCCTTGTCTGAAAGACACCGCCTCATACAACACCACCTTGGGTAATTTTATCCCTAAGAGCCTTGCTACTTAAAGTGTGAACCACAGACCCACAGCACTGACATCACCTAGGAACTTGTTAGAAATGCAGAATCTCAGGCCGCACGCCTGCCATACTCAATTAGAACATTTTAACAAAATCTCCAAACATATTAGTGCGTTTTCACACTGCTATAAATACCTGTGAGAGGTGACAGCGTGCTGGCAGTCCTCACAGCCCTCGCTCGCTCTCGGCGCCTCCTCTGCCTGGGCTCCCACTTTGGCGGCACTTGAGGAGCCCTTCAGCCGGCCGCTGCTGTGTGGGAGCCCCTTTCTGGGCTGGCCAAGGCCGGAGCTGGCTCCCTCAGCTTGCGGGGAGTTATGGAGGGAGAGGCGCGGCCGGGAACCGGGCTGCGCCCAGTGCTTGCCGGCCGGCTGGAGTTCCAGGTGGGCGTGGGCTTGGCGGGCCCCGCACTCGGAGCGGCCGGCCGGCCCTGCCGGCCCGGGCAATGAGGAGCTTAGCACCTTGGCCAGCGGCGGCGGAGGGTGTGCTGGGTCCCCCAGCAGTGCCGGCCCACCAGCGCTGCGCTGGATTTCTCGCCGGGCCTTAGCTGCCTTCCCGCGGGGCAAGGCTCGGGACCTGCAGCCAGCCATGCCTGAGCCTCCCCAAGCCTCCATGTGCTCCTGTGCAGCCGAGCCTCCCCTACGAGCGCGGCCCCCTGCTCCACGGCGCCCAGTCCCATCGACCACCTAAGGGCTGAGGAGTGTGGGCGCACGGCGCAGGACTGGCAGGCAGCTCCACCTGCAGCCCCAATGCGAGATCCACTGGGTGACGCCAGCTGGGCTCCTGAGTCTGGTAGGGACGTGAACCTTTACCTCTACCTCAGGGATTGTAAATGCACCAATCAGCGCCGTGTCAAAACAGACCACTCGGCTCTACCAATCAGCAGGATGTGGGTGGAGCCAGATAAAAGAATAAAAGCAGGCTGCCCAAGCCAGCAGTGGCAACCCACTCAGGTCCCCTTCCACACTGTGGAAGCTTTGTTCTCTCGCTCTTTGCAATAAATCCTGCTGCTGCTCACTCTTTGGGTCCACACTGCCTTTATGAGCTGCAACCCTCACCGCGAAGGTCTGTAGCTTCACTCCTGAAACCAGCGGGACCACGAACCCACCGGGAGGAACGAACAACTCCAGACACACCGCCTTAAGAGCTGTAACACTCACCGCGTAGGTCCGCAGCTTCACTCCTGAGCCAGCGAGACCACGAACCCACCAGAAGGAAGAAACTCCGAACACATCCGAACATCAGAAAGAACAAACTCCAGACGCGCCACCTTAAGAGCTGTAACACTCACCGCGAAGGTCCGCGGCTTCATTCTTGAAGTCAGTGAGACCAGGAACCCAGCAATTCCGGACGCACCTGGACTGGGTAATTAATAAAGGAAAGAGGTTAAATGGCTCACAGTTCCACATGGCTGGGGAGGCCTCAGGAAACTTATATTCATGGCGGAAGGTGAAGCGGAAGCAAGGGCCTTTTTCACAAGGTGGCAGGAAAAAAAGGGGGAGAATGGGGTACCTGCTAAACATTAATAAAACCATCAAATCTTGTGAGAACTCACTCACTATCATGAGAACAGCATGGGGGAAAACTGTCCACATGATCTGATCACCTCCCACCAGGTCCCTCCTTCCACACGTGGGGATTATGGGGATTATAAATTGAGATGAGATTTGACTGGGGACACAGCTAAACCATACAACAGAGTTATTTGTTGCATTAAAATTTGAGAAATATTGCATTAAAGGACTATAAGAGTGAAACCACACATATTACTCTATGTACACAGAATTATGTTCGAAGAATTTAAATAGTGTATGATATATACTAGCTTAAAATGTATAAAATGTAATTTATGATTTCAATTAATGAGCAGAATTTAGCCACCATGATTACTATAAATTAGATACAAGGTTTTCTGGATAGTCAGCAATTCAAGGCTTGTGATCAGTGTCTTGGGATTTAGCAAACATTAACTCCCTAGATCAACGTAGTTGGAAAAGCAATTGACATTGCTGCAGCAAAGTATCCAAAAAGGTGGAATCATCTAAGTCCTAATTTTGGGCATGGTCAAAGGTAAGATGGCATTGAAACACTCAGCAACCATGTAGAAAGTGACTTTCTTCAGGAAGTATTAAATAGAGGAACTGAAAAAATGAGGAGGGAAATTTTCAGGATTAAAAAGCATCACCTACTGACATAAAATGTTTTAAATCTGCTATCTCCCTTAACACACATGAGAAAACCTGGGCAACAGCCAAATACTATTAGGAGAGAAGGGAGAAGTGTCTTGATACTATGGATATTCCCAGGACCTGTCTCTGGGATGTGAAATTTCCTTCTGATCCACAAATGTAGATGCCCAATGATCATAACAGGACTATCAGATATTAAGAGAAATTAAGGCTGCAAACTAGCTGTAACTGACCAAATTCAGCACAGATAAGCCTTTTGTTTATCACCACCATAATCTACTTTAATGTTGTTTAATTTGAATGCTTTTTAGGTAGATCATTAAATGGTCAATTTAAAAAACTCAACCATCTCTCTGTTCATATAGTTATATTTGTGTCCCTGGTCTCTCTGGGAATTTGAGTTTGCAACTCCTGCAATTGTCGAGACTATGGAAATCAGAAACTCTAGACTTTAATTTATTTTAACGACTTTATTTATAATACTGTACTTTGCGGGTTGTTTTGTAGACATTATCCCTGAGAGAGCTTTAAGTACTGGATCTAAATTGCTGTTCTGTACAGTATGAAAATCAGAAGGTTTGCAAATATTTACATTCCAATAACCTTACGAGCACAATAAAAGAAAGCCTTGATGGATATATGGCCAGCGGAGCAAAGTTCCTATTGAAGTTCAATCAATATATGCTCCCTTTAAAAAAAATTACTATTGTAGTTTCTCTTTAATGTTGACTGAGAAGGAAGGAGCAGGTGGCTCTCTAGATGTTCACTGCTGAGTTATTCTGTTCACTCCCGCAAATGTAACATTTAACTGTGAAGCTTTTTTTAACCCGAACATTGATTTTTATAATATATGTGCAATGTTTGTTATGGAGAGTGTATTTGGCTCCCTTAAATTGTAAATATATTTGTTATCCAAGCTTAAATGTCCTCCCTTAAACTGTAAATGAGTGCACCAGCCATGTGATAATTAATTCACTACTCAGTGGGGTCTCTGTTCATCATCAACATTGGCTTGCTACCATAGCTCTAGAAAAAATATTAAAGCTGCTTCTGATTAATCCGATCCAAACACAAGTAGCCTCATTGTTCTCCAGGATTTTGGGAAGAATTAGAAAGAGATGCATCTAGATAAGCCTCCTCCAGAAAAGAAGATTTGAAAAGGAAAGGGGTAATCCAGTAGTGCTGGAAGCTATTGTTGTTATATTTCCTAAGGCTCCCTCATCTTGTGATGAAGGAATTGTCTCTGTAATCTTTTTTTTCTCTACCAGGATTGGTGCAGATGGTACCTGATGCTGTGACCCTAGCAAAGATTCATCGCCATTCTGGACTGATAGGACCATTGAAAGAAAATACAATTAAAAAGTGGTTCAGTCAGCACAACCACTTAAAGGCAGATTATGAAAAGGTTTGTCCTGTTGCAGATCATTTTAAATAATGTACTTAAATAAGAATATGCTCTGGTTCATTAGATATTCTGATTTGTAGAAAAGTAAATTAAGTGCACTTTGAGTTCTAATTCAATCAGCCCAGTAATTAATTAATCAGCCCAGTTTAAATGATATATTAACTACATAAAAGTTTCTGCATTTTATTTAGTTTCTGGGTGAAATTCCTGGTTATCAATAAAGATTTTTTTTTGCTCAGCTGCCATCCTGACATCAATCTTACACCAGAAACAATAACCCTTGAAATTACCTCATTTAAGTAATCTACAACTTCTATAAATATCCCTTCTTTTCTTTGCAATACATTTCTTCTGCCATTCCCCACTTTTTCGTCTCCCATTTTCTTAATGGTTTGCAAAATGCAAAACAGAGTTTATGTATGTCATAATTTTACCAAATGTACTGTTTTATTTGACTGCAAACACTTTTTCTCAATGTTTACTTCATTCTGGTATCTGGCTTGCAGTGTACAGTTGTGCAGGTTCTGCCCTGTATTAGGGATCTTGGCTAAGGAGATGAGTGTGGCTAGAACCAGTCCTTGGTCCACTTGCCAAGCTATGATCTAGTACAGCTGGGTCCACCCAGAGGAAGGAGCACCTAAATGCTAATTCATGCAAAAAATGCACCATTAGATTTGCTTGGTACTATCCTGTGCACTGAAATCCCCTTATTTTGAGAAATTCCTCAAACCTGGGTAAACTGGGATGATTGGTCACCCTACCTATGATAAAAAGGCCATGATAAAATAGACCCCAGAGTTCATCTATTCCACACTTCCATAACATTGTGTTGGAGCAAAATACAAGCTTTACAGGCCAAATAATAAATAATTAGATAAAATTACCTTGAAGTCTACTTTTTAGCTGTTCCCAAAATTATAACTTCAGTTTTGCATTAATCCTTGTGGTTACGTTATTTCCAAATACATCGCTCTTCACAACCACCATTTGAAGGATATGTTTTATTATTTTCACTTTCTAAGTGAAGAACATTTGGATTGACAAATTAAGTGACTTGCTTAGGCATGTAGGAAACCTAGAACTAAGGCACCCTAGCATGTAGCCTGGTGACCTAGCCTTCACTACATCAAGGCAGCCCCTCCATGCTAGGAGACCCATAACCTTATCCCAACCAGTCATTCCTGGTTACACCACCAAGTTGATGAAATGATGTATACCCAGGAGATCATTTTGGACGCAAAGTGTATTTTTGGAAAGAAACATCTGCTCATTAGAGAAACATAAACACAAATTGACTTAATGATAATCTGCTTCCACCCACACAGGCATTCACTGATATATATGTACTATACCAAACAGCTTCAGACATCAACTACATTGATGACCTATTTGTAAAAATACACATAAAATGTTACAGATTTCTCAGTATAGCTTTCTCTGTATTCCAAAATTTCAAATATTCAACCATTGATATTTTAAAATTCCTCTGGGAATAGGCAATATTGGGGCGTATTGTTCCTCCTTTTACTTTGAAAAAAAATCATTCAATATTGTATATTTGAGGTATCAAAAAATGACACTAGGAAACCTCTCTAGTGAACCAATGAAAATTAGCTCCATCTGAATGAAAGAAATATTTTCCGCAGTTTCAGTGAAAACATTCATCTATTAGGCTAAAGAACAGTTGTTTCATATTCTTCTGTAGCAGATCAAGAATCAGCTGCTTAACTGTACCCTCCTGTCCACTGAGATGTAGAAATTTTTCCTGATTATGTAATTTTGCTTATCATTTACTTTTTATGATTACCTCTGATGCTAATGCATTTGCTCATTTTTTGTTGTTATTTTTGCATGATTGTTTTTCAATGAATTAGGCCTTGAGGAACTTTTTCTACTCCTGTGCTGGCTGGTGTGTGGTAACATTCATCCTGGGAGTATGTGACCGTCACAATGATAATATCATGCTGACAAAGTCGGGCCACATGTTTCATATTGACTTTGGAAAATTCTTAGGTCATGCACAAACATTTGGAGGGATAAAAAGGTCAGTGCACAAATGTTTATTACAGTAATTAAGCAGTGTCCTAAGCAATATGTATAACATGTAATTGCATAGAAACCCTGCTGATGACTTGCTCCCATCTCTCAAATCCCCCCAGGTAATATAAACATGATAATATATCTAATAAGATTGAAGAAAAGTTTTAAAGTAGATTTTTAATGCAACAAATTTGATTTCCTCAAATTGGTAGTAGACTAAACTGGTCTTCCCCCATGAGAAGCAGCTAATCCTGTTTTAGTCTGTCATTTGAAGTAATATTGTTTGTTTCCTTATGAACCTTGAATGGACAATGAGGTATGAATTGATGATCTCAAAACATCTGCTATATTGCTCATAGCAAATCATCACTGGTCTACACATATTAATACTAGCTTACTTCCCACACTGAACTAGCCATACATCATTCCACAGATATTTAGGGAATACCTACTATTCAAGGATATAACAGTAAACAAGACAGACACAAACCCTGATCTCTTTCTAGTAGGGGTGACAGACATTAAACAAGTTTACAAGCTAAGAAATGACTTGAGAAAATGAGAAGTTATTTTAGAAAACTAAGGCAGAGAAATGGAATAGAAAGTAACTGGAGTGGGGATACTATTTTAAAGAGGCATCTCGGAAGACATGACAAAGAGCTGTGTCCTTATGACCACCTCATGGAGATCCATGAGAAGAGAATTCCAGGAAGAAACAACAGCACATACAATAGCAGTGAGCACAGAAATGAGCATGGCATGTTCCAGTGACAAGAAGACCTGGAGTCTGGAGATGGGATGGAGAGGGGCGGGCAGTAGGAGGTAAGGGTGAAGAGTTTGGTGGAGGCCCAATCAGGTAGGGCACAGAGGGCATATAGAGTGTGGCTTTTATTTTTTAAGTTCAGGAGAAACTTTTCAATTTTAGTGGTTTTCAAAAGCTTTCTTTGATACCTTGTGTAATGGAGACCAGTGAAGAGACTACTGCAATAAAGTGAGACCAGTAAAGGTAGAAGTAGTAAAAACCGACAGATTCAGAATATATTTTGAAGACAGAGCCACAGGATCTGCTAATTGATTGGACGTTGGCTGTGATTAATGAACTGGAGGAGGGGCACAGAAGGTCAGAGAAGAAAACATTCAAGGATGATGCCTAGATTGTTTTATCTTAGCAAATGACTGAATAATTATATTATTTACTGAAATAAGGAATACTGATAGATGAATAGGTTTTGTTTCATTTTCTTTAAGCCGAAAGTAAGGAAATCAGAAGTTGAACACTAAAAGTCTTTAAAAATATATTTTATATGAAGGTAGAAATAGGATCAAGCCATTCCAAAGACTAATTAGTCACTTTCGCCTGAGAACAGCCCCTCAATATAAGAAATAATAATATTTCTTACAAGATAATGTGATCGAATTTATACCAGATGGCCATAACCTGGCATTAAAATGCCAACATAAACTACATGATATATACAAATGGATTATTTTACTTTCTGTTACTCTCAATACATTGCTTTCTTTAATAAACAGCCTCGAAAAATTTACCACATATTCATTCACTTCTTTTTCTTTTACTTTTTTTTTTTTGAGATGGAGTCTCATTCTGTCGCCCAGGCTAGAGTGCAGTGGCATGATCTTGGATGACTGCAACCTCTACCTCCTGGGTTCAAGCGATTCTCCTGCCTCAGCCTCCGGAGTAGCTGGGACTACAGGAGTGTGCCACCATGCCTGGCTAATATTTGTATTTTTAGTAGAGGTGGGGTTTCGCCATGTTGGCCAGGCTGGTCTCGAACTCCTGGCCTCAAGTGATCTCCTGCCTCGGCCTCCCAAAGTGCGGGGATTAGAGGTGTGAGCCACCGTGCCTGGCCTTCATTCGCTTCTTAAATGTCCACTGGGAATGGTCTGTGTGCCAAGGACTGTGATAAACATTGGAGATACAAAGATAATTAATATGCATTTACCATGAAAGTTAGGGATACTCTTTCAAGTACTGTGAATACAGACACATAAATGATTATTATAAAATGTTATAAGGGCAGAGATAGAGAAATGTACAGACCATGAGAATGTCATAGAGGAGGGATACCTAGCTTATGAGGGACAAATGTCAATTAACATACTTGAGTGTATATAAAATTTATTCATGTAACAGTTTTTTCCTGAACTCTATCTACCTTTTTCTAAAAATTCAAAGATTCAGTTTGGACATCTTTTTTTTTAATTTTGATGTTTTGTACACTGGCAATTTGGAGTACCCTTATTCATTTATTGCACTGGCTTCTGTATTGTTCATGTGAGTGGTTTAAAATGAAAAAAGATATTTCAGCTCTACAGAAAAAGTTCCAGTTGGCAGACATAAAAAAGTAAAGAAAAGATTATTAAAACAGTATGGTAAGTTCATATACCACGGTCTGTAGAGAATATCAAGCTCCAGTTTAGCTGCTTGTTGATGCTACAGCAGCTACTGCTACTTCTAGAGTTTGGCAATTTTAAACCTTTCTTAAGCAGTATCATAGGTCAATTAAAAATGTGCCCAGCATACAGCCACACTCATAATCGGTTCTTAATATTTTCTGCTGAATTAAGCAGCCAATAAACCAATCATCAACCATTCAATAATTATTGATAGGATGAATGAAAATGAAGTTGCCACTGTCTTCCTTTGAGAATATTAGTTATTAACCACCAGCTAAGGAGGCCAACTGCAGCTCCATGAGCCATATGGATTATTGTTTCTAAGATTTTATGTCCGCTGGTGGCTCCCATAAGGCTCATTGGCAGTGTCTCCTTGGATTACTTTCTCAATGCTGATACATTTGCTCTAAGTTTGTTTAATGGTAAAACTGAACCATACCTATTACACTATCTTTTGAATTGTAGGAAGCATCTAATATTTCTCCTCCTAAGCTCTTTCAGTTTCTGGAATTCACAGAACGTTGTTTTCTAGGACAGCTAACTTCTTCCATACTAGGTTCATTGTTTGTTCTTATTGTTTTTTAGGTACACAAAAGTCCTTTTACAAGTCTTATAGGTCCTATAAGTAGGACCTTTGTATTCCCCTAGGATAAATGAAAGTGCTTATTTGTCCCACATTTATTATGTTATGGACCCCCTTTGTAGAGAGAAACCTAGCCCACACCTAGTTTCTGTACACATACTCAGATGTATTAACCCACTTATGCTGGAGGTTGCAAATTTTTTTTGTGAAAAATCAGACCTTAGCAATGACCTTGAGCAGTAGGATATAAATAACTCCTACAAGCTTAGCGTTCCAGTAATGGAACACTAGACATAAATGAGTTTAATAACACCCCCCATAATATACAAAACCAGATTTATAAATCATGCCCTAGGACTGTCATAATGTCTCATAGTCTGACAAGATCATAAAATGCTCCAATACCAAACAACAATAACCCTAGGTCATAGTCTTTAATTAAAATGCTGCACCCACTGGAAGCATAGAGTTTATATGTACAGATACACGTGTTTCTTCTATTGTCTATTTCTTAAAAACATGGAAGGGAAAAGCATTTGTATAACTTTTTATGGTTTACACAATATTATTATTATTATTATTGCTTTTTTATTTTTATTTATTTATTTTTTGAGATGGAGTCTCGCTCTGTCACCGAGGCTGGAGTGCAGTGGCACAATCTCAGCTCACTGAAATCTCCACCTCCCTGGTTCAAGCAATTCCCCTGCCTCAGCCTCCTGAGTAGCTGTAATTACATGCCACCACGCCTGGCTAATTTTTTTTGTATTTTAGTAGAGACAGGGTTTCACTCTGTTGGCCAGACTGGTCTCGAACTCCCGACCTCAGGCAATTCGCCCGCCTCGGCCTCTCAAAGTGCTGAGATTACAGGCGTGAGCCACTGCACCCAGTTACAAAATATTGTTAACATATATTAACTAATTCATTGTGTATTAACTAACACAGCAAAGAGGTGATATAAGAAGGATCTTGAGAAAAAAACATTTCTCACTGGGCTGCTGCCCTTTATACTCATGCTTACATCACCATTCCGGAACATCTCACACTAAGCATCTGTGTTACTCTCTTTAGGATATGTTACAGACATTGAGCTCTCCTGGCTCTTAAATTAAATTGAGTCAGCAAAGCCACTCTCTCATTTGGAATCTATGCTCAGGTGTCCCTGAACAATTCCTCTGAATTCAGTTCTCCAGGAATCTGGAAATTCTATTTCGACACTCAGACCAACTCTGAGGCTCCCATAAACTTTCAAACTTCTAAGAGAGAAAAATTAAATCTTAGTTATGATTATGAAGGATTTCACATCCTGCATATAAACAAATGATCCCTTCTTATTGGCTTTAGCTGTGAGACTAGATAAAGAGAATTTATACCATCAGATTAAATCAAAGAACAACTGAGGTATTACTTAATGATTCTGGGGAAAATTTGGCTAATCTTTATAATGGAAACAATAAGGAATTTCTCCAGCTCTCTGAAACCAGTTGGTTTTTCTTTTGAACTATTGCCTAATTATTATCTTCTTTTTTGGGGGACATGGTCTCACTCTGTCACCAAGGCTGGAGTGCAGTGGCACAATCATGGCTCACTGCAGCCTTTACCTCCCTGGACTCAGGCGATCCTCCCACCTCAGCCTCCCAAGTAGCTGGGACCAGAGGCATGCACCACCAAACCCAGCTAACTTTTTTATTGTTTTGTAGAGATAGGGTCTCACCATGTTGCCCAGGCTGGTCTTCAACTCCTAGGCTCAAACAATTTGGACCTCGGCCCAAAATGCTGGAATTATAGGCATGTGCCACAGTGCCCGACCTATCTTCATTTTTTAATTTTCTTTCACCGATACAAATTAAAGTGGCCAACAAATTGTGCATCCACAATTTTGCACTCAATTCCACTGTAACAATGATTTCTACAGAGTGATTTTTCATTACATAAAAGATTTCACTGTAGTAATAAACTCAAAATTTCAACTCAATAATTTCTTGATAATTACATGCTCTCATAAAGCAGGAGAAATTGAGAAAAACATTTATTACTGATGTTTGTTGCTCTCCTAGCTCTTTATTTCATACTTTTATTTTTTAGACTAGACAGTGTTTTCATATTCTATATGGCCTTTCGCTTTGCTGATGCTAGCCTTGCATTAAGTGTTTTTTGTAGCTTTCTTTCTAGATAATTTTAAAGGGCAATATGACCAGTGTTTAAGGTCAGGTACACTGGAGACAGACTATGTGTTTTTGTTTTGTTTTTATTTTTATTTTTGAAAAAGTTATTATTTATGTTATTTATGATTGACAGATCATAGTTGTTTGCATTTATGGGATACAATGTGACGAAATCAAACTCGTTAACACAGCCACCACCTTGCTTACCTATCACTTTTTTATGGTGAGACATTTGAAATTTACTCTATTATTTTTACATTTATAATACATTACTATTGACTGTAGTCAACTGATGGACAATAGATCTAAAAGTCTATTCCTACTGTCTATCTGAAACTTTATACTCTTTGATCAATAGCTCCCATTCCCCCCAACTCCTCACTCCCTAAGACTCTGATAATCACCATTCTACTCCTACAAATTAAACTTTATTAGATTTCACATGTATGTGAGATCATGTGATTTTTTCTGTGGTTGGCTTATTTCACTTAGCATAATGCTCCCTGGATTCATTCATGTTGTCATAAATGACAGAATTTCCCCTCTTTTAAAACTAAATAGTATTTCATTGTGTGTACGTACTACATTTTCTTAATCTCTTCATCCATTGATGGACATTTATTTGTTTCCATATCTTGGCTATTGTGAACAATACTGCAAAGAATATGACAGTGAAGACATTCTTGCAACATATTGATTTCCATTCTTTTGAAGAAATACCCAGGAGCGAGATTATTCGGTCATACGGTAGTTCTATTTTTAGTTTCTAGAGGAAAGTGGATGCTGTTTTCCATAATTGCTGTACTAATTTATGTTCCCACAAACATTGCATAATTTCCCTTTTTTTAAACCCTCCCCAACACTTAATCTTTCATGTTTTTGATAAATCCATTCTAACAGATGTGAGGTGGTTTCTCAGTGTGGCTCTAATCGCATTTCCTTGATAATTAGTGATGCCTAACAGTTTATGTACTTATTGGCCATTTATATGTCTTCTTTTGAGAAATGTCTATTTAGGTTCTTTGCTTATTTTTTTAATGTTTATTTGTTTTCTTGCTATTAAGTTATTTGAGTTTCTTATATATTTTGGATACTAACCCATTATCAGACAAATGGTTTGCAAACATTTTCTCAGATTCTATGGGCCATCTCTTCAGTTTGCTAATTGTTTCCTTTACTGAGTAGAAGTGTTTTAGTTTGATGCCTTCCATTTGTCTATTTTTGCTTTTGTTGCATGTGCTTTTGGGGTCTTATCCAAAAAAAATTGCTGAGACCAATGTCATGGAGATTTCCCCTTATGTCTTCTTCTAGCAGTTTTATAGTTTCAAGTCTTATATTTAAGTAATTTCTCCATTTTGAGCTATTTTTTGTGGTTGATGTAAGCTAAGTTCCTAATTTTATTCTTCATGTGAATATCCAGTTTATCAAACACAATTTATTGAAAGACTGTCTTCTTTCCATCATGTGTTCTTGGCACCTTTGTCAAAAACAAGTTGACCATAAATGCATGGGTTTATTTCTGGGTTTTCTATCTTGTTCCCGTTTGTTCAATGTATCTATTTTTATGCCAGGACCATGCTGTTTTGATTACAATCACTTTATAATATGTCTTGAAGTTGGGTAGTGTGATTCCTCTAGCTTTGTTCTTTTTGCTCAAGATTGTTTTGGCTGCTTGGGATCTTTTGTGGTTCCATGATAAGGATTGTTTGTCCATTTGTGTGAAAAAAAAATGACATCTGGTTTTTATAGGAATTGCACTGAATCTGTAGATTGCTTTGGGTAATACGGACATTTTAAAAATATTAATTCTTCCAATCCAAGAACACAGAAAATCTTTTAAGTTTTTTTCAGTTTCTTTCATCCGTGTTTTACAGTGTTCACTATACAAGTCCTTTACTTCCTTGGTTAAATTTGCACCTAAGTATTTGATTTTTTGTTGCCCCCATAAATGGGATTTTCTTAATTTTTTTCCAGATAGTTCATTATTAGTATATAGAAATGCTACTGATTTTTGTATGTTTGTTTTGTGTCTTGCAACTTTAGTGAATTCCTTTATCAGTTCTAACAGTTCTTTAGTGGAGTCTTCAGGATTTTCTATATATATCATGTCACCAGCAAATAGAAACAATTTCACTTCTTCCTTTCCTATTAGGATGCCTTCAATTTTCTTTTTGTCTTGCCTAACTGCTCTGGCAACTTCCAGTACTATGCTGAAAAGAAGTGGTAAGAATGGGCATCCTTGTCCTGTCTCTGATCTTAGAGGAAAAGCTTTCAACTTTTCACCATTGAGAATAAAATTAGCTATGAGTTTGTCATATATGGCCTTTATTGTCCTGAGGTACATATCCTTTATACTTAATCTGTGGAGAGTTTTTATCATGAAGGTATGTTACATTTTGTCACGTGATTTTTCTGCATCCAGTGAGATGATGATGTTATTTTTATCCTTCATTTTGTAAATTTAGTGTATCACATTTATTAATCTGGGTATGTTGAACCATCCTTGGATCCCAGGGTAAATCCCTCTGGACCATGGTGAATGATTCTTTTAATGTGTTCTGGAATTCAGCTTTCTAATAATATTTTCTTGAGTATTTTTGCATCTACGTTAATTAGAAATATTGGCCTGTAATTTTCTTTTCTTGTAGTGTGCTTTTCTGGGTTTGATATCAAGATAATGCTAGTCTTATAAAATGAGTTTGAAAGAATTTCTTCTATTTCATTTTTGTGGAAGAGTTTGAAAAGAATTGGTATTCTTTTTTTTTTATGTTTGATAGAATTCAGGAGTAAAGCTGTCCAGTTGTGGGCTTTTCTTTGATGAGAGACTTTTTATTACTGATCCAATCTCCTTACTCATTATTGGGCTATTCAGATTTTCTGCTGCTTTCTGATTCAGTCTTGGTAGATTGTATGTGTCTAGGAATTTATCCAATTCTTCAAGGTTATCCAATTTTTTGGCATATAATTGCTCATCCCATTTTTTAATGATCCTTTCTATTACAGTGGCATCAGTTATAATGTCTCCTCTTTCACTTTTGATTCGTTTATTTGAATAGTCTTTCTTTTTTTCCTAGTTAGTCTAGTAAGCAGTTTGTATCACCATCTTGTAAACAGTTTATTACAAAATGCAAACCATCTAGTAAACGGTTTGTATTTTGTATTTTGTTTATCTTTTCAAAAAACAACTGTGTGATTTTTTTTCTGTTGTTTTTTAGTGCTTATTTCGTTAATTTCTGCTCTGGTCTTTGTTATTTCCTTTCATTTGCCAGCTTTGAACTAAGGTAGTTCTTCTGTCTCTAGACTTTTGAGGCGTTATGTTACATTGCTTATTTGTGATTTTTCTTCTGCTTTGACATAGACATTTATTGCTATGAACTTCCCACTTGGAACTGCTTTTGCTGCATGCAATATGCTTTAGTCTGTTTTGTTTTTATTTTTGTCTCCATGTACTTTTTATATTTTCTGTGACCCATTGGTTGTTTATGAGCATGTTGTTTAATTTCCACATAGTTGAGTATTTTCCACATTTCTCCTGTAGTTGATTTCTAGTTTTACAGCATTGTGATCCAAAAATATACTTAATATAATTTCAATCACCTTGAATTTGTTGTTTTCTTTTGTGACCTTACACGATCTATCCTGGAGAATGTTTCATGTGCACCTGAGAAGAATGGGTATCCTACTGCTATTGGATGGAATGTTTTGTATTTGGTCTAAAGTATAATCTACGTCCAATATTTCTTTATTGATTTTATTTCAATCCCTGAACACAGGGTCTTTCTATTGTTTTCTTTGAATTCTTTCTTTAATGCATAATAGTTTTTATCGCAGAGATCTTTTACCTCCTTGGTTAAACTTATTTCTATTTTACTTTTTTGTGACCATTGTAAAAGGAAGTGCCTTTTTGATGTCTTTTTCAGGTAGTTCTCTACTGGCATATAGAATTGCTACTAATCTTGTGTATTGATTTTGTATCCTGCAACTTTATTGAATTTGTTTATTTGTTATGGCAAATTTTTTGTGAAGTCTTTAGTATTTCTATGTAAATGATCATGTCATCTGCAAACACAGACAAATTTGACTTCCTGCTTTCCTATTTGAATGTTCTTTTTTTCTTTCTCTTGCCAAATTGCTCTGAGTAGGACTTCCAACACTATGTTGAAGAAAAGTGGTTAAAGTGGGCATCCTTGTCTTCTTGTTCCGGATCTTAGAGGAACAATTTTAACTTTTCCTCATTTTGTATGATGTTAGCTGTGGGTTTGTCATATATTGACTTTATAATGAGTATTTTCCTTTTAAACCTAATTTGTTGAGAGTTTTTATCATGAAGGATGTTAAATTTTATAAAATACTTTTTCTATAACTCTTGAAGCAATTATATGATTTGTGTCCTTGATTCTATTATTGTGATGTATCACACCTATTTATTTGCAGCTGAATCATCCTTGCATCTCTGATATAAATCCCACTTGATCATGGTGACTGATCTTTTTAATGTGTTGTTGAATTGGTTTGCTAGTAATTTGTTGGGGATTTTTGCATCTATGCTCATCAGACCTGTGGTTTTCTTTTTTTGTTGTGTGCTTCTCTGGTATTGGAACTAGTGTAATGCTGGCCTCATAAGATGAGTTTGGAATGATTCTCCGCTTTTTTCTATTTTTGGAAGAGTTTGGTAAGAATTTGTATTAGTTCTTTTTCAAATAGAATTCAGCAGTAAAACCATCAGGCTCTGGGCTTTTCTTTGATGAAAGAGTCTTTATTACTACTTCTGTCTTGTTACACATGATTAGTTTGTTCAGGTTTTCTATTTCTTCATGATTTAATCTTGGTATATTATATGTATCCAGTAATTTACCTATTTCTGCTGGATTTTCCAGTTTGTTGGCATATAATTGCCCATAATAGTCTCTTCTGAGCCTTTGTATTTCTATCATATCAGTCGTAATGTCCCTTTCAAAAATCTTTGATTTTACTTGTCTTTGCTCTTTTTTTCTTAGTCTAGCTAAATGTTTGTGAATTTTATTTATTTATTTTTAAAGAACCAACTATCTTCGTCATTGATCTTGTGTATTTGTTTTAATCTCTCATTTATTTCTGTTCTGATCTTTGTTGTTTCTTTCCTTCCACTAATTTGGGGCTTAGTTTGTTCCTGTTTTTCTAGTTCCATGAGGTATAACTTTAGGTTGTTTTTTAAATATCTTTCTATTTTGTTGATGTATGCATTTATTAATATAAATTTCCCTCATAGAACTGCTTTTGCTATATCCCACAGATTCTAGTAGGTTGTGTTTCCATTTGAACTTGCCTCAAGGAATTTTTTTAAATTTTCTATTTAACTTTTTCCTTAAAAATTAGTCTTTATACTAAATATATAAATGGCTTGCACATCATAATTATAGTATTACGTTATTCTGACTTTGTCTGTGTACTCACTTTTACCAGTGATTTTAATACATTCAGGTGTTTTCTTATTACATGTTAGCATTCTTTTCATTGAGAATAAACAACTCCTTTTAGCATTTCATGTAAGACAGATCCGGTGTAAATGAATTCCTTCAGTTTTTATTTTTCTAGAAAAGTCTTTGTCTCTCCATGATGTTTTAAGAATAGCTTTGCTGAGTACTGTATTATTGACTGATGGTTTTTTTTTTTTTTTCATTCAGCATTTTGAATATGTTATCCTGCTTTCTCCTGCCCTGCAGGGTTTCTGCCGTGAAACCCACTGAAAGCTGGATTGAGTCTCGGCTAAAAATACGTTTCTCTTCTCTTGCTGCTTTCAGCATTCTTTCTTTGTCTTTAATTTTTGATAATTTGATTATAATGTGTCTTGGGGAATTTCTCCTTAGTTTAAAATTTGATTGGTGACCTCTGGGCTTCCTCTACCTGAACAATGTCATAGATTTGGAAAATTTTCAGACATTATATCCTTAAATATGCTTCCTAGACCTTTTTCTCTCTCCTCCTTTTTGGGAATTATTATTATGTGGCGCTTAGTTTGCTTGATGGTGGCCCATAATTCCCATAGGTCTTTTTCACTCTATTTTCTTTTTTCCTTCTCTGATTGGGTAATTTCACATATCTGGTCTTGAAGCTCACTGACTTTTGTGTGAACAAGTCTAAATGGGGTTTTCTGATGAGTTTTTCAGTACAGTTATTGTGGTTTTTTCTTTCTAGGATTCCTATTTGGTTTTTCATTAAATTGTTCCTCTGTCTTTGTCAAATTTTTTATTTCTGGATGGTTTTCCAAATTTTATTTATATTTTTTAAACATTTTCTTTGTTATTCACTGAATTCCTTTAAGAAGATTATTCTGAATTCTTTATCAGACATTTTATAGAACTTCAATTTTTCTGTGTCCATTATTGGAACTTTGTTGATGTTGTTTTTCTTTTTTCTTTGCTTTGCTTTTCCTTTTTTTTTTTTTTGACAGTGTCAACTATCCCTAAGTTTTCACAATCCTTGCATATTTTCACTGATGCTCACACATTTGAGAAGTTGGCCATGTCTTCCAGCTTTTGCAGGTGATCTTTGGTGGTTTGGTACTTAACATTAGAACATAATCATTTGTCTGCTGTTACTTTCCATTCTGGGGAAGACTTATCGTGAGTACCAGAACTAAAATACTGCACAAGACCTAACTTGCTGCCCTGCCATTGTTTCTCAGTCTGGGGAACGCTTACAAAGAGCACCAAAACTTAAGCCACAGCAGAAATTAATACGATATTGATTCTTTCTATCCATGAGGATGGGATGTTTTTCCATTTGTTTGCGTCTTCTTTTATTTCCTTGAGCAGTAGTTTGTAGTTTTCCTTGAAGAGGTCCTTCACATCCCTTGTTAACTGTATTCCTAGGTATTTTATTCTCTTTGTAGCAGTTGTGAATGGGAGTTCATTCATGATTTGAGTCTCTGTTTGTCTATTGTTGAAGTATAGGAGTGCCTGTGATTTTTGCACATTGATTTTGTATCCTGAGACTTTGCTGAAGTTGCTTATCAGCTTAAGGAGTTTTGGGGCTGAGATGATGGGGTTTTCTAAATATAGAATCATGTTGCCTGCAAACAGAGACAATTTGACTTCCTCTCTTCCTATTTGAATACTCTTTATTTCTTTTCTTGCCTGATTGCCCTGGCCAGAACTTCCAATACTATGTTGAATAGGAGTGGTGAAAGAGGGCTTCCTTATCTTGTGCTGGTTTTCAAAGGGAATGCTTCCAGCTTTTGCCCATTCAGTATGATATTGGGTGTGGGTCTGTCATAAATAGCTCTTATTATTTTGAGATATGTTCCATCAATACCAAGTTTACTGAGAGTTTTTAACATGAAGGGATGTTGAATTTTATCAAAGGCCTTTTCTGCATCTATTGAGATAACCATGTGGTTTTTGTCATTGATTCTGTTTATATGACGATGGATTACATTTATTGATTTGCGTATGTTGAACCAGCCTTGCACCCCAGGGATGAAGCTGACTTGATTGTGGTGGATAAGCTTTTTGATACGCTGCTGGATTCGGTTTGCCAATATTTTATTGAGGATTTTCGCATTGATGTTCATCAGGGATGTTGGCCTGAAGTTTTCTTTTTTTGTTGTGCCTCTGCCAGGTTTTGGCATCAGGATGATGCTGACCTCAGAAAATGAGTTAGGGAGAAGTCCCACCTTCTAAATTGTTTGGAATAGTTTCAGAAGGAATGGTATCAGCTCCTCTTTGTACCACTGTAGAATTCGGCTATGAATCTGTCTGGTCCTGGACTATTTTTGGTTAGTAGGCTATTAATTACTGCCTCAATTTCTGAGCTTGTTCTTGGTATATTCAGGGATTTGACTTCCTCTTGGTTCAATATTGGGAGGGTGTATGTGTCCAGGAATTTATGTGTTTCTTCTAGATTTTCTAGTTTATTTGCGTAGAGGTGTTTATAGTATTCTCTGATGGTAGTTTGTATTTCTGTGGGGTCAGTGTTGATACCCCCTTTATCACTTTTTATTGTGTCTATTTGATCCTTCTCTCTTTTCTTCTTTATTATTCTAGATAGCTATCTATTTTGTTAATTTTTTCAAAAAACAAGCTCCTGGATTCATTGATTTTTTTGGAGGTTTTTTGTATCTCTATCACCTTCAATTCTGCTTTAATCTTAGTTAATTCTTGTCTTCTAGCTTTTTGATTAGTTTGCTCTTGCTTCTCTAGCACTTTTAATTTAATTGTGATGTTAGAGTGCTGATGTGAGATATTTCCAGCTTTCTGATGTGGATATTTAGTGCTATAAATTTCCCTGTTAACACTGCTTTAGCTGTGTCCCAGAGATGCTGACATGTTGTCTCTTTGTTCTCATTGGTTTCAAAGAACTTCTTGATTTCTGCCTTAATTTCACTATTTACCCAGGAGTCATTCAGGAGCTGGTTGTTCAATTTCTATGTAATTGTGTGGTTTTGAGTGAGTTTCTTAATACTGAGTTCTAATTTGATTGCACTGTGGTCTGAGAGATCGTGTTATGATTTCAATTCTTTTGCATTTGCTGAGGAGTGTTTTACTTCCAATTATATGGTCAATTTTATAAGTAAGTGCCATGTGGCACTGAGAATGTGTATCCTGTTGATCTGGGGTGGAGAGTTCTGTAGATGTCTGTTAGGTCCACTTGATCCAGAGCTGAGTTCAAGTCCTTAATATCCTTGTTAATTTTCTGTCTCGTTGTATTGACAGTGGGATGTTAAAGTATCCCACTATTATTGTGTGGGAGTCTCAGTCTCTTTGTTGGTCTCTAAGAACTTGTTTTATGAATCTGGGTGCTCCTGTACTGGGTGCATATATAAGAATAGTTAGCTCTTCTTGTTGAATTGATCCATTTACCATTATGTAATGCCCTTCTTTGTCTTTTTTGATCTTTGTTGGTTTAAAGTCCGTTTTGTCAGAGACTAGGATTACAACCCCTGCTTTCTTTTGCTTTCCATTTACTTGGGAAGTTTACCTCCAGCCCTTTATTTTGAGCCCATATGTGTCTTTGTATGTGAGATGAGTCTCCTGAATTCAGCACACCGATTGGTCTTGACTCTTTATCCAATTTGTCAGTGTGTGTCTTTTAGTTGGGACATTTAGCCCATTTACATTTAAGATTAATATTGTTATGTGTGAATTTAATCCTGTCATCATGATGCTATCTGGTTATTTTGCACACTAGTTGCTGCAGTTTCTTCACAGTGTCATTAGTCTTTATATTTTGGTGTGTTTTTGCAGTGTCTGGTACCGGTTTTTCCTTTCCATATTTAATGCTTCCTTCAGGAGCTCCTCCAAGCCTGGTGGTGATGAAATCCCTCACCTTCTCTCCACTATTATCCTATGACCCTGCCACATCCCCCTCTCCAAGAAACACCCAAGAATGATCAATAAATACTAAAAAAAAAAAAAAAAAAAAAAAAGAATGTTGAATATCGGCCACCCCTCTCTTCTGTCTTGTAGGGTTTCTGCTGAGAGGCCTGCTGTTAGTCTGATGGGCTTACCTTTGTAGGTGGCCTGGCATTTCTTTCTGGTTGCCCTTAACATTTTTTCCTTCATTTCAACCGTGGAGAATCTGATGATTATGTGTCTTGGGATTGATCTTCTCAGAGATTGTCTTAGTGGTGTCCTCTGAATTTCCTGAATTTGAATATTGGCCTGTCTTGCTAGGTTGGGAAAGTTCTTCAGGATAATATCCTGAAGTGTGTTTTCCAACTTAGTTCCATTCTCTGATTCTCTTTCAGGTACTCCAATCAGTCATAGCTTTGGTCTTTTTACATAGTCCCATATTTCTTGGAGGTTTTGTTCATTCCTTTTCATTCTTTTTCTCTAATCTCGTCTGCCTTCCTTTCAGCAAGATAGTCTTCAAACTCTGATATTCTTTCTTCCATTTGGTCAACTAAGCTATTGATACTTGTTTATGCTTCACGAAGTTCTTGTGCTGTATTTTTCAGCTCCATTAGGTCATTTATGTTCCTCTCTAAACTGGTTATTCTAGTTAGCACCTCCTGTAACCTTTTATCAAGGTTCTTAGCTTCTTTGCATTGGGTTAGAATATGCTCCTCTAGTGCAGCGTAGCTTGCTATTACCCCCCTTCTGAAGCCTACTTCTGTCAATTTTTCCATCTCATCCTCTGTCCAGTTCTGCACCCTTGCTGGACAGGTGTTGCAGTCAGTTGTAGGAGATGAGGCACTCTGGCCTTTTGGATTTTCAGCGTTTGTTTGCTGATTCTTTCTCATCTTCATGAGACAAACTCACAAATTCTTCGTGAGTTTGTCTAGTTTCGATCTTTGAGTCTGCTGACCCTTGGATGGGGTTTTTGTGGGGACCTTTTTTGTTGATGCTGTTGTTGTTGCATTCTGTTTGTTTGTTTTTTTTCTTTTAATGGTCAGGTCCCTCTTCTGTAGGGCTGCTGCAGTTTGCTGGGGGTTCACTTCAGGCTCTATTCATCTGGTAACTCCCATGTGTGGAGATGTCACTCGAGAAGGCTGGAGAACAGCAAAGGTGGGTGCCTGTGCCTTCTCCTGGGATTTCTGACCTTGAGGGGCACTGACCTGATGCCATTAGGAATGCTCCTGTATTGGGTGTCTGACAACCTCTGTTGGAGGGTCTCACCCAGTTGGGTGGCATGGGGAGCAGGACTCGTTTAACGAAGCACTTTGACTGTCCTGTGGTAGAAGGGTTGTGCTTCACTGTGGGGAAAACCCACTCATATGGGCTGCCCAATTCTTCAGAACTAGCAGGAGGAAAGACTAGGTCTGCTGGCCTGCCGAATCTGTGGCTACCCGTCCTCTTAGGGGCTCAGGCCCAGGGAGATCAGAGTTCTGTCCCCAAGCCCCTGGCTGGAGTTGTTGGAGTTCCTACAGGGAGGCCCTGCCCAGTGAGTAGGAGTGGGTCAGGGTCAGGCATGAAGAGGCACTCTGGCCACAGTCTGCCATAGCTTGTGTGTTGGGCTGTGGGGTATACCTCTTGAGACCAAGCTTTCCAGCCTCCTTGGCTCCAGCCAGGAGGGGTGGGGGGTTAGGAAGGGGGAGTGCAGCCTGGAGCTATAGAGATGGCTGCCGCCCATCCCCCGCCCTGGGATCTTAGTTTGTTAGGTAGCTCTATCCCAGTGTCGACTGCCGCCTTTCCCACAAGGACCTCACAGGGCTTAGACAGCAGGCAACTGCAGCTGTGGTGCTGGCCACCTCTCCTCCCAGGAGCTCAGCAGGCTTAAGCAGATTTTAGCCGAGTGGCTGTTGAGAATCTGTGCGGCTCCATGGTTAGGACCCTAGGCCCCAGTGGTGTGGGATCTTCCAAATCATGGGTTGCACAGTTCCATGGAAAAAGCATGGTTTCCTATGCAGGGTAGCACGCTCACTTACTGCCTCCCTTGGCTGGGGGGTGGGGGCTGCCCTGCCCTATGTGGCTCTCAGGTGGCCCACTGCACCATACTGCTCTTCCTTCCTCTCTGTGGGTCACACCAGCTGCCTACTCAGTTCTAATGACAGAACCTGGATACCTTAATTGCCAGTGCAGGATTTGCACACTGTTATGGTTCTTTTCAATGGAAGCCTCTGATAGCTGCTGCTTCTAGTTGGCCATCTTGGCCCTGCCCCTAATTTGTATCTCTTAACAATTTACTTCAGCAGTTGTTTTTAATAGCTTTTTCTTCTAACTCTCTAAAACTGCTTTACACACCACCCTTAGAGTGTTAGAGAATTCTGAGTATGGATATGCATCACTTATACCATTGAGCCTTTTTTTCTCGTTTTCATTTGTTTTTTGTTATTAATTAGCAGACTTTTATTTTAGCTTAAATAACTCCCATTAGCAATTCCTGTAAAACAGGGCTAGTGGTGATGAACTCCATTAGCTTTTATTTTTTCCCTCATTTCTGAAGGACAACTTTGCCAGGTAAAGTATTCTTGTTGGCAGGTTTTTTTTTTTTTCTTCAGCAATTTGAATATATCATCCTATTCTCTCCTGGCTTGCAGGGTCTCTGCTGCAAAATCTGTTTAAAGTCATATTTGTAGTCCATTGAATGTGATATCTTCTTTATATGTTGTTGCTTTTATTATTCTTTCCTTACCTTTGATTTTTGATAATTGGAGTGTGATGTCTTGGGGATTTCCTCTTTGAGTTGAATTTAATTGATGACTTCTGAATTTTCTATATCTGAACATTGTCATCTTTCCTCAGATTTGAGACATTTTTCATCATTATTTTATTAAATATGCTTTCTAGGCCCTTTTCTCTCTCCTCTCCTTTAGGAACTCCTACTATTTGAAGGTTAGTTCACTTGACAGTGGCTCTTAATTCTCATAAACTTTCTTCATTCTTTTTCATTATGTTTTTCTTTTTGTTTCTCTGATTGGATAATTTCAGATGTCCTGTCTTTGTGCTCACTGTTTTTTTCTTTTGCTCGATCATGTCTACTATTGAAGCTTTCTAATAACTTTTTCAGTTCAGTTATTGTATTCTTTATCTCTAGAATTTTTACTTGGGTTTTTGGTATTTTTTATATTTCTTTGTAAGATGTATTCTTTTGTTTTCCATATTTCATTTAATTTTCTATCTGAATTTTCTTTTAGTGCCTTGAACTGCTTTAAGAGTATTCTGAATATTTTATCAGACATTTCATAGTACTCCATTTCTTCATGGTCTGTTACTGGCATTTTATTAGTTTCCTTTGGCAGTGTCATATTTCCATGATTTTTTATAATCCTTGTGTCCTTATATTAGTGCCTGCATATGTGAGGACATCATCACCTCTTCCAGTCATTGTTTGTGTTTTTTGATGGTGATAGAGCTGTACTATTTAGTATAACCTAGAATTCTGGTTGGGCCAGCTGGTAGCAACATTGGTAGGATCACTGCTCTGCAGCTAAAGTTGTGCAGGACCAAATACTTCATTTATAGGTAATTACTGATCTGTAGGTGCCTCCTAGCATGGGGAAGACAACAAGAGCATTGGGCTCAGTTGGATTACCTGTTCATTTCTAGGATTGGGTAGGGCCAAATGCTCCCTCCATGGGTAACTGCTAATCTGCAGTTGCCTTCAAGTCTGGGAAAGACTTAATGCAAGCATTGAAATTAGTTGGATCACCTCTTCATGGCCAGAGTTGGGCAGGGCCAGATACTCTGTGGATAATCACTGATCTGCAGTTCCTCCCCAGTATGGGGAAAACTTAAATTTGAGTACCGAAACTTAGGGGATTACCTCTCCACTGGTAGGACTGAGCAAGTTCGGATACTCTCTCCATGGGCAATCACTGATCTACAGTTGCCTGTCAACCCTGGGAAGACTTGTGAGAGCATCTGGGCTGTGTGGGGAAGCTGTCTAAGGATTGGACCATGAAATATCCATGAACTATGTTTTCTCCATTATAATGTTGTTGCTAGTCTCTCTGGTATGGCACCTCCACTGGCCAGATGAAGAGCAACCCCCACAATCTGTGTGCTGGTGGCTGAGAGCCCCACTCCTTTTCTTTTTTTCTAAATGAGCCCAGGTGGTTTAACCTTGTTGGTACTCCTAGCATTTCCTTTGAGACAAGACAGGAGTGAGCCTCCTGCAAAGGGTCCCAGAAAAGTGGGAAGACTGAATGTGTGCCTCCAACTCACATTTGTCTCTGTAGAAACTGCAAGTCCAGGGAAATTATCTGTGGATGATGCTGTGCTAGCTTGAAGGAGCGGTGACACAATCAAAGAGAACCATTTCTTTTACTGTGTAATCATAGCCCTTCTAGATTCTGCAGTCCAAAGGGTGTCTCAGCTTCACTCTCAAGTTTTAGGATATTCAGGGTGGTATTCTCGCCTGTGGATAGTTGCTAATTGAATTTCTGGGTATGGGGGTAGTGAGGCCACAGAAATCTTTGTCACTTTGTTGATGTCACTCTTCCAATGTGTTATTTTAATCCTGTATTAGTATATGTTAATGGTGTGACCTTAAACTAGTGGCTTCTTTGTGCCTCAGTTTTCTTTTTTTTTTTTTTCTTTTGAGCCGGAGTTCCAACCTTGTTGCCCAGGCTGAAGTGCAACATCGCAATCTTGGCTCACTGCAACCTCCGCCTCCCAGGTTCAAGTGATTCTCCTGCCTCAGCCTCCTGAGTAGCTGGGATTACAGGTGCCCACCACCACGCCTGGCTAATTTTTTTGTATTTTTAGTAGAGATAGGATTTTGCCATGTTGGCCAGGCTGGTCTCAAACTCCTGACCTCAGGTGATCCACCTGCCTTGGCCTCCCAAAGTGCTAGGATTACAGGCATGAGCCACCCACCCGGCCTGTGCCTCAGTTTTCTTGTTTAAAAAACAGATTTTTTTTTGAAGATTAAATGAATTGATATCAGTAAAATTCTTAGAAGAATGTCCAGCACTAAGTGAGGGCTTTATAAAAGTTTGTTGCAATTAATGTAAGTGTTCCAAATGAAGTGATGAGAAATTAGTTACATCTCTGGGTAATTGTTTTTTCTTTTATTTAAAATTATCTAAGTTTATTTTTGCTATTTTTAAAAAATCTGTATATTGGGCCAGACCTGATGGCTCATGCCTATAATCCCAGCACTTTGGGAGGCCAAGGCAGGTGGATCACCTGAGGTCAGAAGTTTGAGACCAGCTGGGCCAACATGATAAAACCCCGTCCCTACTAAAAATACAAAAAATTAGCTGGGCATAGTGGCTGGCAACTGTAATCACAGCTACTCGAGAGGCTGAGGCAGGAGAATCGCGTGAACCCGGGAGGCAGAGTTTGCAGTGAACCAAGATTGCACCACTGTTACTCCAACCTGGGCAACAAAAGCAAAACCCCATCTCAAAAAAAAAAATCTGTATATCGAAGTTCATAAATTGAACTATTAGTCATTTAAGTTCTCTGAGTTTGAGGCTTGTTGACTGACAGACTGGATCACACTTTTTGTCAGGTTTAGATTGGGAGGTATTTCATCAAGTCATCCCTAACTTCTAATACAATTTCAGATACAAGCAGAGGTATGCTGAACCTGGCCCATACTGTTTTGCGAGAGCCAATTGTGTGTCCTTCTTCTCAATTCTGTATTTAATGACATCACATTGATACCCTAAAATCACCCATAATGGGAGTATTTACACCACATAAAATTGGCAAATGCCACAAATCAGAGCTTTTTTCCTAAGGAAACAAAGTAAGCCAGCTATTAAATATTCATCACTGCATAACAGGACATAAATCCACTTTAAAGACATAGAAAATGATTCCAGAACTCAGCAAAATAAAAATCAACCTCTGTTCTTTTCCTATTGAAATATTTACACCCAGATGATCAAAATATCATATATCAGTCTTATCACAACGTTGTTTAAACACTCTATAAGTTTTATCCCAATAGACAACAAATTACCTACTATAATTAATCTCAGCATTTTCATCCCAATACTATTCACAAAAATTCCCTGTGTTTATAATCATTTTGATATTATTTTCAATAGTTAATTACCACTGATTTTTTTAAAAGTTAATTTAATTTCTAATTTGAGTATTACAGTACTTATATTCTAAATCTTCCCAATTTAAAACTATCTTTTAACAAAAAAACTCCCTTAACAGATTAAAGGAGTAATTGTGTCTTACTCCAATCATTCTCCTTCAGTACAATATTCACAGTGATCCAAATGATAGGTAATAATAATCTCCTTCATGCTTTAATTACTACCTTAGTTTTCTTTGAAATTAGGTGATTCTCATTGGTCTGTTATTCACAATTGCTTTCTCAGAAACATGGTGGTTTCTTTTTACTCACAGCAGGCCTTTGTATCATCTGAGTTTTCTAGAAAGGAAACATACTTTCCAGTATCTCTCCAACTGTGAGTGTTTTAAGGATATCTTTGTAGCCTAAGCACCAAGCATAGAGCAGAGGTTCAATTTCAGTTGATTGTAGGATCATTCCAAAATGTCATCACGTTTACTTTCCTTGACCCAAGAACCTGAGAGGGTACGATTTTTCTAAATATAAATTTATTAAGAACGTGCTATATTCTGTAACCCTAGCTGGAAATTTACCAAGGGTTTTTTGTTTGTTGTTTGTTTGTTTTGGTTTTGTTTTGTTTTTTAACCTGATGGTTACTCTTCATGTGAGGATGAAGTCTTCTGCCAGTCACAGAGCCATTCCTAGGCAAACTACACCTCACATTTAAATAGTGCTTTGGATGTTACAAAGCGCTCTCACTTACTCACACGGACCATTTCAAGAAACAAAGTTTGTTTTATCGATCTCATCTTCTCACTATTACTTCTCCCTTTTTGACTTTACCTCATCGTTCTACTGTTTTATTGCATGATTTCTTTTGAATAGCTCCCTTATATCAACCCCTGATTATAAGTAAAAACAGTTTCTCTGATAAGACAAATAAATTTTCTCCAAAGAGAGACTTTGTGGGTTTTCAGATGAAAAGAGTAAAGGATGACTGAGAAGGGAAAAATGTTTGTGAGAGAGATGAAATAAAAGAACAAAGGAAGGATCCACTTACATGGTGTAAGGATTCTGCCCTCTCACACTCAGTAAGCCAATGCCCCATTGTGAACAAAGCAAGCATAAGATGGAAGGCATGAATGCTGATTCCTCAGCTGGTCTAAGGTACAATGTGCTTGCCAATATAAGGATCTCATAGCGTTGACTCTAAATTCAGTTTTAGACTAAATTTGTAGAATAATACAAATGTCTCCTAAACATAAGCTTAGTATAAGAACTTTATGTAGTATCCAACTAAAGAAATAGTGCCCCACTTCTGTTGCTGGGGGAAACAACTATGGGGTTCAATTTATTAAGAGATAATATGCACATTCAATGCCTCATACATACATTTTGATTATGCACATGGTAACTTTATGGGTTATTTAAATGTTTTTACAGCTAACTTAGGCTGTTCTTGATTTTCACCTTCAACCTGATTTTAGAAACTAATGTGTATTTAAAATGCAATTTCACCCAAGAGTTATAGCATTGTTAATGTTTTCCTCATATCCAGACTAGACTACTTCTGTTTCAAGTATAGACTGGAATTCCATGCGAAACATAGCTGTGCTCTTTCCTCAAAGAGCTCTTTCCTCTAAACTCAACTTCAAAGAAAAAAAAAAAGTGGGCAGTTGAAGGATCTAATCAGCCTCTTTTTGTCTTATGAAATTCTGATCTACTATGAATTCAGACACAATATATTATACTTAGGAAAGGAGACTTGATAATTTTGAAGAAATAGTTGTTTTAATCACCCTTATCAAATAAGAGAGATGCTGTATTTGAGCCTGAGAGGAACCAGAGTTAGTAACTAAAGTTATTAATCTATTGATGATCAGGGACTTCCAGGGGTCTAATTTAGGACACACATTACATTTACAAGAGACTGAACCAGGAAAAAAAATTGTTTTACACTTAAAAGACTAACTAAGGCTGTCCTTAGTTAATAATTGCAGAGAGCTTGGAGATCTCACAGGGTGTTAAATGTTCTTTCTATAATAGTACATGCACTCTCATGTTCTCATCATATTGTACATGTGAGGTTTTCTGTGTTGCTTAATTATCTAATGTTCTATCCTATCCAATGGAGATTCCAAATTTGCCTTCTCAATTAACTCATGGATATTAGACAAGAGACTTGTGTTCTTTCTGCTGAACAGCAAAATGTGCTCTCTGAAATGTAGGTCATTTGTGATATCAAGAACAGTATAAGCTTAAACATTCCCCAATGTGCTTTGTAGTCATTATTTCTATTCCCATTCACTATTATGGGAGTCTACAACTTTTAGAAATCTTTAAACAATATACATTAATGTTATTATTATATTTCCTAGGAATAAAAATAGTTGAAATTCAAAGAATTAATACAAATAATGTTAATAATAAAAACAAAATGTGCCTTATTACTAAGTCCCACTAAGTTTTAGTTTGGGGTACAAATGTATTATTCAAACACTCAAGTCTTTCAGTTTGGGATTTAAGCTTGCATACTTTTATTTACTGACTTTATCAGTTGCTCAAATAAAATACTGGATAAACTAAACTATAAGAGGAAGAAATATCTATGTTCACAGAGTCCAGCAGACTAATTCTACTATCACGAATTATTGATAGAGTTCTATCTTTTCATTCCACTTTCCATATCTCCATATCCCCTGCCTCTATCATGAATATCAAACATGTAGCTCTTCTCAAATTGCTCTGGATTTGGTGCAGCTTGTCACTGGCCTGGCACAATCAAGTGCCCTGTAGCATGGTGCTGCATCGTCAAGTGAAGAAGATCAGATTATAAAGGAAATGGTCAAAAATACCCTTTAAAGTCTCATATGTACTTGCTATGCACTAGCTGCATTAATTCTTACAGAAACTCTTTGAGGTAGATACTGTTATTTTCTCTATTTCACAAATGAAGAACTGAGACAGAGAGAAGTCTTAGTTGTTAAAATTTGTTCAAAGTTGTAGGTAATAAGTAGATGGTAGAATCTTTGGAAGATGCCATGATATTCCCATTTCTCGATAATCCCAACACAGCCTACGCTTTTTCCAGCATTGGGATAGATGACTGTTTCTTTAGTTAGCATCTTGCATTTATGACCCTGATGTATATTAAATTCATACCTTTAAAAACTACAATTAAATGTCATGAAAGGTGGTTGCACTGCAAGAGGCATGCAAAAACTAAGTCCAAGTGTTAAAGTATCAGGATCACTTTCTCATCATTGGGCATTTTCTCTTTGAGTGAAAAGGCAGGCAGAATTGCTTACTCTGTTTTAAGATTTTTCTTACTTTTTTAAAAAAAATCTAATAGGTACAGTTAAGCTCATGTAAGTTAAACATTTATGATATTTTACTCTAATTTCAGAGCCTACCAGAGTCTATCCTATTGAGATTAGTATGTCTGAAGACCACCCTGAACTGTTGGGAAGCAACCCAGTGGTATTATCTAGACGCATAATTCACATTTGAGGAAACTGCCTCTGTGAATTATTTTGTTTTTAAATAGCTTATGTAGGTAACACTTGAAAATCAAACATCATTCATTTTTTGAGTACGTATGTATTTGTTTAAAGAATAATTCAATAAATAAAAGGCTGATAACTTTAAGGATACAGCTCCTCAGCTATTTCAGAGTTCATTTATTACAATTAGCATCCTTGTCCATTTCTTTAATATTGTGTTTTAAAATATGGCCATTTCCACTGTGAGGGCTGGTGCTATTGGAAAGATTTCAAGAGGAAGTGCAATATGAACAGGATTTTAAAGAAAGGATTGGACTTGAATTTGTGGGAAAGGTGGGGGAAAGACAGCCTAGAGCAGAACATATTATGAACAGAAATGTGGAAGCAGAAGATAACCAAGTGCCACAACCCACCCATCTGTTGTCTCTGTTCTATGCACAGCAGCCAAGGGCTCTAAGACCACATGCCAGAGCAAACATGTCACTAGTTTAAAATGAGGCACCCTCATGGCCCAGCAATGGCACATGTCTGTGGCCATCCCACTATTTCACTCTCTACAACAATTGGCACCCTAACCTCTCAAGCATAAACCTCAGATCACTCCTACCAACTCCCTGCTTTAAGCAGATGACCATACTTACTTTCTTGAGAAAAATAAAATCATCAGAACAGAGTCTACTTTTCTACCCAATAAAAATCTCACACACTCTTCTTCCTTTCTCTTATAATAGAAGACCTGTTTTTCCCTTCTGAAGTCAGTCCTTCCATCTGTGCTTTGAAGCCATTCTCCTCCTACCTTCTGATGAACATTGTACTATCAATAATTCATTTTTCTTGAATATTTATCCTTTCCCTCTCAAATAATATTTTTAAATAAGCTTGTCTCTCCAAAGTTTAAATAACCTTGCCTCAAAATCTCCAGGCTTCATGCCATTTTGCTCGCCTTCACAAATTTCCTGGAGGAGTTGTCTATAAACTCTTGATCTCCATTCCTTACCTCTTGTTCAATCCATAACCACTTGATCTGGTTTTATTCTTCATTACTTGATAAGATCAACAATGACCTGATATGGCTTGGCTCTGCGTGCCCACCCAAATCTCACGTTGAATTGTAATCCCCAATGTTACAGGAGGGACCTGGAGAGAGGTGATTAGATCATGGGGGTGGATTTAACCCTTGCTGTTCTTGTGATAGGCAGTGAATTCTCATGAGAACTGGTTGTTTAAAAATGTGTAGCACTTCCCCCTCACCTGCTCCACCACGTGAAGATGGTGCCTGCTTCCCCTCACCTTATGCCATGATTGTAGTTTCTTGAGGCCTCCCCATCCATGCCTCCTGTACAGCTGGTAGAACTGTGAGTCAATTAAACCTCTTTTCTCCATAAATTTCCCAGTCTCGGGTATTTCTTTATAGCAGTGTGAGAATGGAATAATACACCTTTGGGATACTAGACCTAAAAATACTTATTCATCATTTTATTTGATTTACCTGCAAATTTCAACAATGTTAACTATTCCTTCCTCAAAGTATCTTCTTCACATGCCTTATGTAATGTATCATCACCCTCTAGTTTTTCTCCCTTTCTTGATATCTAATTCAAAATTATTTCCTTCTACCAAGTTACCAAAAGATTGATTTCCCAAGATTTGTCTTAGTGCTTTTCTCATCTCACTCTACAGTTTCCATCAAACTGTTATCATCTATATATATTATCTATGTCAAGGTTTCTATCAATATCTATATCCAGATAACTCACAATAAAAAAATATATTTTAAATAATACTTTTTATTTTGAGATAATTGAAGATTCATATGCAGTTGTAATAAATAATACAAAGAGATTCCATAAATCCTTTACTAGTTTCCTCCAATGGTAACATCTTACAGAATTACAGTACAGTTCCTGCAACCAGGATACTGATATCAATACATTCAAAATACAGAACAATTTCATCCTCCAGATTCTTCAGGTTGCCCTTTTGTAGCCACATTCACTTCCCTCTCACCTTCTTCCCCACTTCATTCTTATCCCCTGACAACCACTAATCTGTTCTCAATTCCTATGTTTTTGTCATTTCAAGTATGTTATATAAATAGAACCATGCAGTATGCAATTTTTATTGATTGGCTCTTTTCACACAAAATAATTCTCTGAAGATTAATTCAAGCTGTTGTGTTTTCAAAATTATGTTATTTTATTGACAAATAACATTTCTTAATATGTATGTACCATGTATTGTTTAACCATTCACCCATTGAAGGACATCTTAGTTGTTTGCATTTTCTGGCTATTAAGAATAAAGCTATTGCAAACAATTCATTTGTAAGTCTCTGTGAACATGTATTTCTCTGAGGTAAATGTCCAAAAGTATAATTTCTGGGTTGTATGGTAGTTGTATCTTGTTGTTGTTTTTAAGAAACTGCCAAGTGATTTTCCAGAGTGACTATACCACTTCACATTTTCACCAGCAATGTGTGAGTAATCCAGTTTCTACACATCTTTGCCAGTGTTTGGTATTGTTTTATTATTTTTTATCTAGCCATTTTGATAGGTGGGTAGTGATATCTCATTGTGGGTTTAAGTTGCATTTTCCTAGTGGTTAATAATGTTGAACATCTTTTTATATGTTTATTTACAATCTGCAAGTCATCTTCTGTGAAACATCTCTTTATCTCTTTTGCTCATTTTCTAATTATATTGTTTGATTTTTATGGTTAAATTTTGAGAATTTTTAAAATAGACACTCCAGATACTGGCAGTTTGCTGGCTATGTGTTGGCAAATATTATCTTCTAGTCTATAGTTTGTCTTTTCATCTCCTTATTATTTTTCACAAGACAGACATGTTGAAATTTTAAAATTCTTTGCATAGCCCTAAATGTAAAAGACTTTCTCCTTTTTTTTCCTAAAAGTTGTATAACTTTACATTTTATATTTAAGTCTGTGAACCATTGTAAGTTAATTTTTGTATTAGGTATGAAGTTTGGGTCGTTTATATTTTTACATATGGGTGTCTAATTGTTCCAGTATCATCGGTTCAAGAGGCTAACCTGTCTTCACTGAATTACTTTTACAACTTTGTACAAAATCAGTTGGGCATGTATTTGTGTGGGTCTGTTTCTATATTATTTATTCTGTTCCATTAGCCTATGTGTATTCTGCCACCAATACCAATTTTCTTACTGAACTGTCTCTGACAGTACCCTGTGGGGGATTGAAGTGCCACATCACAGTCTGGTAGGAGTGGGAGTGTTGGCTGCCTACCTTGCCCTTGGCTGGTGTAGGGGAGAAGTGGTGTCACAGTGTCTTCCCTGATATTTAACTGGAGTAGAGTGGTTACAATCTAAAAGTTTGCTGTTTTTTTTTTTTTTTTTTCAGCTGCCCCTTTAAAGCAGGCTTTTCTTTGGGGCTTTTTGAATTGCCTGCTTTAGCAGCATGTATTTCATGCCTAGAATATATGAGGCAAAAAAGAAAACCCAGAAAACTCACCTCCATGTTGTTACTTGAGTCCTGACATCCCTAGGTAGTCTGTCTTCTTTATGCCTGTCAGAGTCACCTTATGTTTGCTTTGTATATAATTTCCAGAGTTCTTAATATACTCAGTGGGAGGAACAAGGAAAAATATGCCTACTTCATCTTCCCAGAATCAGAAGTTTCACTCACAAAATTTTACCTCCAACCTAAATCTTTTCTCCATGGTCCAGAAATGAGTACCCTCATTTTAATCTGCATTTGTATGTCTCAAAGCCACCTCAAATATAACTTAAGCTCAAAGCTCAGCTACCTCCAAATGTTGCACTGCAGTCTTCCTGCTACACAAGGGAAAAAGTTAAAGTTCTTCTTGGCACCTCTTCTCCCTCTCATTCTAATTATCGTGAAATCCTATTGATTTTTTTTTCTCTGAAATATGCTTTTAAGTCTTCCCACTTCTCTGTTATCTGTATGCCACAACTCTAATCTAAGCTACTATCATATCTGGTCAAAATGTTTTGCAAAAGTCTCTTGTCTGATCTGCTCATATATACCCTTCCTGCTCCAAACCCTTCTCTGTATTGTTAGTGGAGTAATCTTTTCAAAACACTATTGTTCTTATTTAATAAATTTATAATGCTTTTAGAACATTGATTTTTTAAAATCTTTCACCTCACAAGCCTTGCACAAATCTATTATAGAAGCCCAGTATTTGTTGATAAATAACTACAGTGTATATCTCCCTGATTAGATTCAATTCACCTAACAGACAGAAATATACCCTAAAACTCTACATATCTTTAGTTCAGTGGTGATCTGCAAATGCTTAATGATAATGATCTTGGTATTCTAATGACTATACAAGGAGATTATATATACAGTATGGCTAGAAGGAAAACATGTGAAAGTAATAAACAGCAAACTATTAATTGTCCTGCTATTTCTTTTTTTTTTTTTTTTTTTTTTTTCTGAGACAGAGCCTTGCTCTGTCTCCCAGGCTGGAGTGCAGTGGCACAATCTTGGCTCACTGCAACCTCCCCCTCCAGGGTTCAAACAATTCTTGTGCCTCAGCCTCCCGAGTAGCTGGGATTACAGGTGTGTGCCACTGTGCCTGGATAACTTTTGTATTTTTTGTAGAGATAGGGTTTCACCATGTTGCTCAGACTGGCCTCAAGCTCCTGGCCTCCGATAATCCACCCTGCTCAGCCTCCCAAAGTGCTGGGATTACAGGTGTGAGCCACCATGCCCAGCCTCTTGCTATTTCTTACATCAAGTGAATTTATTTGTCTGCTTAATAATTATTATCCGTAATATAAGTGTTCTTACATTTCTAAGTATATATACATTTTTAAACCACCAACTCACTTCTCACCCCTATTGGAAATCTGTAAAATAATCACTCTCTGCATTTAAAAATAATAATAACTTCAGGGAAAAATGGTCATAAGTTAATGAAAATATTAATTTTGACAACAAAAATGACAGAATCGTTACAAATATGTTTGTACTTATGGCCTTCCCAAATAAATGTCAAATTGTTACAAGCTCTTCACTATATGAGCTATGTTTATTTATTGTTGCATTCATCGCATGTAAGAGAATAACATCAAAATATTGTTTCTGATGTTAAGACTATATAAAAGGAAGGTGGACTACTTCCTCTGCTCTTGAAAATCATACGGGTCATTTGGATTAAAAAAAAAGAAAGGCTTCTGATCCTGACAAGGTTTGGGTTAATTGGAGAAGACTAATAAGACAAGATTTTTGGTCCTGATATCTAAATCAGTTTTAGAACATCAGGTGAGAAAGAGAGAGATGAAAAAAAAAAAAAAGTAGTTACAATATGAATAAAAGGTACAGAAGCAAGAACAGGTGGGACTTTGGTAAGCAAAGGTAAAACCACTAATCTAGAAAAAAAAAGTTAGGATTGTCACAGCAAGAAATATCTATAGTTTATTTTTATAGCTATAAATAAGATTTTCAATATATAATTCAAAATATAATCACAGTATAGACCATGAGAGATCAAATTTAGAATATTCCCTTTTGTCACAACCAATTTATACCTCAGATTTATAAGTAATGCTTAAATTTCAGAGATAAACTCCAACACATTAATTCTATAACATAGGAATAGGTTTACATTTCAGTGGACTGATAAATTTTATCCTAACTGAAATTTCTACATCTTACAGGAATAGATGGGATTTTGTTTCACATATGAAGTTTCTTTTCATTTATAGACAAGTTTAGGGTAATTCTGAGGTTTAAAAAAATTGCTCAGAAGTGAGCCATGAAAATCATATAGAAAAGATACAGAATTTTATTTTGTTGGATCTACTGAAAATTTAGACTATGATAATGTTTAAGCACAACTAAAATTTGTTTCTTTAATATTACTTTATATTTTATTTAATTTGTATATGTTTCTTTTGTGTATTTAACTTTCTGTTATGGTGTTTCTGCATCTGATTTCTAATAATGGTGACTATGGACAAAAGAAATGTGTTATCTCATGAACTTGAGCATAACTACAGAAACCTCCCAAGAGAAATTAATTTGATCCATCATAATTCTCCTTATTGAAAAGAGAAAAGTATATTCATCATATTAGGAGAAAAAGTTTCAGGAAGTTGTAAAAAATTAATACTCTTCTAAAATTATTTCCGAAGTTCTACTTGATATAGTAAACACAGCATAGAGAGTAGGGTGGAAAAACTATTAGAAAACTGTTACATATAAAATTAAGATATTTTTCTGATTATGAAAATCTATGATATTGCTAAAACTCTACTAAAATATTGGCAATAGTGATGAGTGAGTGAGCAATATATAAAAAATGCTATCAGCTATCGCAAGGACAAAAAACCAAACACCGCATGTTCTCACTCACAGGTGGGAATTGAACAATGAGATCACATGGACACAGGAAGGGGAACATCACACACCAGGGCCTGCTGTGGGGTGGGGGAAGAGGGGTAGGGATAGCATTAGGAGATATACCTAATGTTAAATGAAGAGTTAATGGGTGCAGCACACCAACATGGCACATGTATACATATGTAACAAATCTGCATGTTGTGCACATGTACCCTAAAACTTAAAGTATAATTAAAAAAATGCTATCAAATTCAAAGATCCACTTACGGGTTTATGCAGCAAGAGAGGTTACATGGAGTAACAGAGTAAATTAAATCTTGGAATAAGGATGAGATTTTTCTGATAGATTTTTGAAGAGACAAGGAAATTTAGTGATAACAAGGTTCAGCTATGAGAACACTTGGCTGTTTGCAGACAATACTATTTAAAATTTGGTGAGTGCTTACTACATGCTAGGCTATGTTGTAAGCACTTGCACATGCTATGACCCATTTGATTCTCTCAACCATACCAAGAGTCAAGTGCTCTTATCTCCATTTTACAAAGAAGGAGATTAGAGAACGGAGAGATTAAGTCACCCAGAGTCATAGAACTACTATAGTTAAGTGGTGAAGCCATGATTTGAAACCTGGTTCACAGGCCCACAGTTTGTGCCTCTGCAAAAGCCTCTCTCTAATGTGAGCAGTTCACAAATGTGCCACCCTCCCTATGTGTCAGGCATTTATGTACATGTACATTTCCTAAGTTAATCCTCACAGCAATTCTAAGAGTTAGGTGGTTTAGAGATGAAGGATTGAGACATAGCAGGTCCAGAATTAGAACCTATGCTATATCTCATGTTTTCAACATCTCTTCTCCCAGCTTGGCTAAAGTCAAGAACTTGTAAAATAATTCATAGAATATAGGTTGGATAAGTCAATGAAGGCCAAATAAAAAAGGATTTTGAACCAAAATTTTAAAATTTAGACCTGATACTTTAGACATAGTCCGCAGTGTATGTATGTGCTCAATAAATTTTGTTGAAGAAATGAATGAATATAAACAGAAGTGAAGGTACTGGTATTCCAGCCTTTCCTCCAGGCATTGTGGTAGCATGGATTACAAAATAAAGTTTCTAAATAAAATAATCATAGCCAAAAAACTCGAGTGTTTGTTTTATTTTAAAGATTTTGCCTGCAATTAGACCCCCCTGTCCCAAACCTGCCACAAATTGACGAAGTTGTAGCTTTCTGATATAAATATCCACACTACTGAAAGGTCTCATTAACTGTCAGATCAGTGAAATTTTTCACTCCATTGTATTTTTACTGAAATAGCTAAGCATAAGCAACAAAAAGAAAACAATTATGTTTTATTATTTAAAACAAAAATAAGAATTTCCCTCAATAATCCATGACTTTTTAAATTGCTACTTGGTCTAACCTTTCACCAAATTAGTGTCAAATTGGCCTAAGGTATCAAAACTCTGTGTTCTTATTCAATGAGTGGTAATTCCTCCAACAGGGATGTTTCCAATCCTCTCTCTGCTATTCTCTGTTAGAATTGCTAATATTTCATCTCAGCCCTATCCGTATCTTAAATGACATGATAAAAAAACTGACAAAGGTGGGGGACGTGGGACCATCTTCTCTCTGGTCTTTTGTTTTCTTATTTTTCCATCCTTAGACTACAGTGGTCAGTATTACTTACATAATGATATGGTCTACTCATATCTTCCTTTCTGACCAGCGTTTTTACTGGGTCCAGTGTGAAATAAAATATAGCTACCTTTTTTCTCCTTCACTAAGCATATGCCAGTGAATTGGTAACATCTGCTTGCTTCTTAGCTTTTACCAGAAACTTTTTTCCTAAAGGGTCATCATACAAGGAAATTTTTTTTAATACTATAAGGTCAAACACATCTGTTCGATCATATCAAAATTTAGCAGAAAATGTACTTTTTATAAAGACTCTATAAATATCAGCTTCACTATGAATTGGCCTTTATGTTACTTTTAATGAATAATATTCCCCTCCAAATGTAATTTAGAATTAAACATTTCAGACAATATAGTTGACATTGTAAAATATCTTATCCTTTTCTCTCTATTGCAGCATGGTTATTCAAAGCCTACAATTATGCAGTTTCTCAAGCTGCCTCACAATGAAGGAAATTTATCTATTACAGTAGAGAAAAAAAAAAGAAAATTCAAATGAAAATAAGTCGTTATAACTGCTGATTTAACCTGACAAACCATTTCTCTTCCTTCGAATGATTGCTACTGTTTTTGGTTTACAGGGACCGAGCTCCTTTCATTTTTACTTCAGAGATGGAATACTTTATTACAGAGGGTGGGAAAAACCCACAGCATTTTCAAGATTTTGTGGAACTTTGCTGTCGTGCTTATAATATTATCAGAAAGCACAGCCAACTGCTCTTGAACCTGCTGGAAATGGTAAGTCCCTTGGGAAAAAAAAACAAAAATAATAAGCTTCATTTATGCCTCTGCTTCAGTAGTCTATTTTTACTAATGGCTTGGAGTTCCCCAAGGAGCTATTCGGAAGAGAAAGGAATGAGAAAACTAAGAGTACCATTGTACAGCTTATAAACGTATTTCTTAATAATTTAATATGTTCGTTCATAGTTATTGTCTCAAACATTCCTATTCGTATCAATATTGATGCAGGTAGGGGTTATCCCACTATATTTTGACTAATGTTCAAGGACAGTAATTTTAAAAATAATGCCTTCAGTCATACTAGGCATTAGGATCTTTCAAAAATGCCTTATATATACTATCTCATTTATATATCATGACAACCTAATAGTGTAGACCAGGCAAGAATTTTCCCTGGCTGTCCATTCCAAACTCCACCTTTGATCACTTGCCAATTTCCCACATTAAGAAACTGAGAGTCAAAAGTGGAAAGTGAGTTGCTAGCAACTCAGCTTTTCGTGGTATGCATTAGGTGTACTGAGTCATGGTCCTACACACTCTCTTGTGACCAACAGGGGAAAATTTAAGGTTTTATTCCACTGTTCACTTTAAAGAGATGGAGACCAGATATGTACCATGAGGGAAGAAAAATCTGATAGAAATATCTTCTAGGAGAGGGATATAGTGATTCCTCTAGGCACATACGTACACACTAGTGATTGCAGCAAACTATACATGGGAAACATACATTTGGTCTATCAGCATGGGATTTGGAGTCTATGAAAAATAACTGATTTAGAGCTTCCAGATGACAATAATTCTACCAGATGTTGTTAAGGGTACAAACATGGCAGGCAGACCTTTCTGGGTTTCAATCCTAGTTTGGCATTTTACTGGCTACATTCTTCAGGACATGTTAACCCCCAAAAGACTATTTCCTTATCTGTTAAATGAAGATAACAACATCTACCTTGTAGAGTTAATGAATAAATGACCTAGTAGTGAATTCTTTGCATGGCCCAGGCATTGTGCTAAGTGCTTTGTGTGTATTAATTGATTTAAAATTCATAACAACCCTAACAGATCATTAACATAAAGCACTTAGCACAGTACTTGCCATTTAGTAGACTTCAATTCATTTATGTTATTATACTAGATCCTTGTTAATTTATAAGGCCACTGTCCAATGTAATATCCTCTAGTCACGTTTGTTTATATTTAAATTAATTTTTATTAAACAAAATTTAAAATTCCAGTCTTCAATTTCACTGATCACATTTCAAGTACTCAGTAGCCACGTTTGGCTAGTGGCATCATATTGGTCAGCACAGATAGGAAACTTCCATCACCACAGAAAAGTTCCATTGGTTAGTACAGAACAAATGTTGACTTTGTTGCAAGGAAGATTTGATTTGGATTCTTGTTTTAACTTTCAAACAACATATTCACCTTACTTCTCTCCACTTTGCCTTGAAAGATAAGTATCTCTAAAAATATTATAAACATGTCCTTCATATGCAAAGATATTGGTTTCTTCTTGTGTAAAGTGGATATATAAAGTTCTACCCATCTCCGAAATCTTCAAGATTACTTTTCAGTAATAGCCAAGGATTCTTATTGGTAAATTTGCATTCTATCTCCCAATTCTATTAGGCCGTTTTGCAAGTATGAGATGACTACGGTTTATAATGTGTCTGTACCACAAACAAACAAACAAAAAAACCCTATAAGGATTAAGTCTGTGATTCTGACCCCATTTAAATAATAAATATCCAGGTAGTATCAAGTCTATGTCTCCTTGGACTCTAGCAAGCTCTAGCTCATGAATTCATGAGCTCTTGAGTGTTTACCACAGGCTAGAAATTGCAAGGATACATTAACATAAGAGACCCAGAGTCTTAAAATTTTCAACTTAATGAGGAAGATAAAATTTATTTACATAAAAGACCGAGGTATCCAGCATTTCTAAATGCCTATAATGATATAAATAACTACATGTGAGGAATAGTACCCAATTTTAACAATTGCTTTAACCTGCTCCAGATATTTCAAAAATAAACCCAAAACAGAAAAGCACAAATATAAGTTATGCTGTTTCTCAGGTGACACTAAAATTATGCTGATGAAAACTGAGCATGTTAAAATAATGTGAAAGAACAGCTCTTTCAGAAAGCTATCAGTGGGCTTTTTTTCTCTTGTTTAATAAACTTTTCTACATACCTTAACAAAGCATTCAGCATAAGAGTCATGATATGTTAAACAATCACCAAAGAGAATGTATAGTGGTATTTTATTTAAAAGAAGTAACTGTGGTATTTTATTCATAAGTATTAAAATAATTTATCATTAATCACTTGTTGAAAATTTCTGGAATATAGTATATCCAAAAAAACTTCTATGCTCTAATTATTCAGCTCTTTTAGGCTAAGGAAGAAAATTTGGCAGTGGAAGGCACTAATCCAGAGTAAACATATAATCTTAGATTTAGGCTCTCACAGAAATTGAAATAGAGATCAGAAGCAATGTGGACCAATTAAACTAATGAATAAATACATGTAAAACAGCACTGTGTTATTACCTCAGTTTCTGTTCATTTACCTCTCAACTCTCTTCTTCTCAACTGTGTTATCTTATGGGACTGTAGATCATCAAAGCATTTAGTGAAAGTTTCAGGACCACCCTTTCTTTGGTATAGCTTCTTATAAAATAAAACCAAGTTTAAATTTGTGAAAGACTATTTTCTACTTATGTATGTAATCTATTCATTAATTCTGTCTCAACCCGACTCTTTTATGTTAAATTCTTTAAAAAGAATTCAGTCTACTTACCATGACCCAGTTACAACTTGAGAAATACTTGACATGGGTCATAAATTCTATCTTGTGCAAATGATCAGTCCCCAGGATTATGGGCCACAGACATTTGGTGGGTCCACTACAGAGTTAATGGCTCATCCTTAGTAAAGAGCAGCATGTCTCCAGATATCCATATTGCTTTTTATTTACTCCTGAGAAAAGCGGGGTAAAAAGTAATCCATGAAATTCCCATCTTGCTTAAAAGTAACATCTGTAGGAGACCCAAGAGTATTGCCGGCTGAGTTCCCGAAAATAAAAGCCTGTGTTTCATCAGCTTTTCTCTCATTAAAAAATCAATATCAGCTATTATGGAAGGCTCCCAGAGAACACAGAGACCATTTGCCCAGTTTAAAATGTTTATCACACCCATTATTATATTAGATATTTCCCATCAGAGATCTTCCTAACTTCTCTATGTGATGGGGAAGAGTGTCTGCTTTTCTGAGCATAACTGTTAAAATAGATTTGGACTTAAGAGAACAGAAGTAAAGACTTCAAAAATGTTCCTGACTTTTAAAAAGGGACGTATCTATTCATTACCTGTATCTGTTCACTTCCTGTTCTAGCTTCCCTTTCCCTTGGTATTGCCCCAATTAAAGTTATTACCCATGCAGTCTAGAGTTGGGGGCACCAGAACCATGTGGCTAGGGGTCAGAGAAGAGACATAGCTAAGTGTACCCGGCTAAGAGGCCATCCTTACTCTGTGATTTGCAGAGTCAACACTCAAAGTCTCCTCTCCAAGGAACAGAACACATTAATAAGGGCAAACTTGGCACATGTTACCTTTAGTCAGATACATGGTGGGGAGAGAACTATTATAGGTTCATCTGGTATGAAGCAGTCTGTACTTGGCAGCTAGTGTGTGACATGTGTGGGTTATGTGTGTGGGTGTTGGCAAGGGAACGAGTAAGTATAGGGTCCACTTTCCAGAGAAATGTTTGATAGAGTTCTAACCAAGCAGGTGTGAATTCAGGGTATCCAGAGAAACTGGAATGCAATTCAGACCTTACAGAAGAAGCCTATCCTTAGAAAATGGATAGTTATGGTGTGATAAAGAAGAAATCTGCCTCAATGAGCACACGGAAGTCTCCAAACCTCTTAGTACAGAACTAGTAAGATAAAACCTAATCTAGATTCTAGTGGCTATCGGGAATGTGTCTTCCTATGGTTGATTTTGTTAAGTTTACTAGTCAGCATTAAATTTGCTAATTGTAGGTTTTCATTGCCTAATAGCATCAAGTATTTTTTTCTCTCTTATTTTAAACTTTTATTTTAGATTCAGGGGTACATGTGAAGGTTGGTTACATAGGTAAACTTCTGTCACAGGGATTTGATGTACAGATTATTTCATCGCCCAGGTATTAAGCCCAGTACCCAATAGTTATCTTTTCTGCTTCTCACCCTCCTCCTACCCTCGCCCCTCAAGTAGATCCCAGTGCCTGTTGTTTCTGTCTTTGTGTTCATGAGTTCTCACCATTTAGCTCCCTCTTATAAGTGAGAATATGCAGTATGTGGTTTTCTGTTCCTGCATTAGTTTGCTAAGGATAATAGCCTCCAGCTCCACCCATGTTCCAGTAAAAGACATGATCTCATTTTTTTGTAAGGCTTCATAGTATTCTATGGTGTATATGTGCCACATTTTCTTAATCCAATCTGTCATTGATGGGCATTTAGGTTGATTCCATGTCTTTGCTATTGTAAATAGTGCTGCAGTGAACATTTGTGTTCATGTGTCTTTACGGTAGAATGATATACCCACAATGAGATTGCTGTGTCTAATGGTAGTTCTGCTTTTAGCTCTTTGAGGAATCACCATACTGCTTTTCACAATGGTTGAACTAATTTATACTCCAACCAACAGTGTGTAAGTGTTCCCGTTTCTCTGCAACCTTGCCAGCATCTGTTATTTTCTGACTTTTTAGTAATAGCCATTCTGACTGGTGTGAGATGGTATCTCATTGTGGTTTTGATTTGCATTTCTCTAGTAATCAGTGACATTGAGCTTTTTTTCATATGCTTGTTGGACACATGTATGCCTTCTTTTGAGAAGTGTCTGTTCATGTCCTTTGCCCACTTTTTAATGGGTTTTTTTGTTTTTCCTTGTAAATTTGTTTAAGTTTCTTATAGACGCTGGGTATTAGACCTTTGTCAGATACATAGTTTGCAAATATTTTATCTCGTTCTGTAGGTTGCCCGTTTACTCCGTTGATAGTTTCTTTTGCTGTGCAGAAGCTCTTAAGTTTAATTAGATCCCACCTGCCAATTTTTGCTCTCATTGCGATTGCTTTTGGTGTCTTCATCATGAAATCTTTGCCCATTCCTATGTCCAGGATGGTGTTGCCCAGGTTGTCTTCCAGATTTTTATAGCTTTGGGTTTTATATTTAAGTCTTTAATCCATCTTGAGTTGATTTTTATATATGGTGTAAGGAAGGAGTCCAGCTTCAATCTTCTGCATATGGCTAGCCAGTTATCCCAACAGCATTTGTTGAATAGGGAGTCCTTTCCACACTGCTTGTTTTTGTCAGCTTAGTAAAAGATCAGATGATCATAATTGTGCGGCCTTATTTCTGGCCTCTCTATTTTGTTCCATTGGCCTGTGTGCCTATTTTTGTACCAGTACCATGCTGTTTTGGTTACCTTAGCCTGAATCATGTGTTTTTTTATTCATGCATTCATTATCCCAGACATTTATTAAAATCTAGCTATTTACAAAGTGCCGTGCTGTGCAATGTACACAATTCAACATTAAATACAAATCCAGTTCCTGTTCTCAAAGAACTTAAGATCTAATATGACAAACATACATATGAACAAAACACAGTAAAAGCTAGGAAGCAATACGTACTATGAAAGAAGTAGAACCAAAATATGATTGTACAAAGAAAGCAGTCATTAAATCTCATGAAGAGGATCAGTGATGCTTCAAGGAGGAAGCTGAGCCTTGAAAAAGAATTTCAGTGACAAGGAAAGAGAGAAAAGGCAATTCCAGCTGAGAGAAAAATGTATGTGTGGAGGTTTAATGAGCATGGGCATGATGTGTAGTAAATGAAGGTAACCAAGTGTGCCCAGTCTGTGCTATAGATGGAAATCTCTGTAGAAGATGAGGCTGGAGTGATAGGTTACAGTGTGATTATAAAAGACATTTGTGACCAGAATGAGGATTTTAGACTTTAGTACCTAGACACTTGACAAACTAGAAGTTTGTATGCTTATGATAAAGAAGTACCATTATCTAGCTGGGATCTTAGGCAGATAACAGAGTTTATGTAATTAAAGAGATAAGGATTGGAGAACAAGATAAAAGTTATTCAAGATATCTGGGCAAATGAAGATGAGGGGCTGAATTAGGACAATGATAATTACAATGAAAAGGGGGATGAATACAAGAGACTGCTGAGGAGTGTTTTTAATAGAATGAAGTAATTGATTATAGGAACCAGGAAAAAGAGAGAATCAAAGAAGATATGAATTTCTTGTTAGTTGGGCAGTGGTGGCAGTGTAAATGAAACAGAAAAAAAAGAAGGAAAAGTTTATGTGAGAAGAGAATTTGCTGTAATTTAGATGTCATGAGTTTAAGATGCTAATAGATCATCCAGGAGGATAGAGAGTTGACAACTCTCCAGGACTCCCTCATCCATCTCCTTGGTTTCAATTATCATTTATATGCTAATGACAGTCAAATCTGTATTATAGCATGTGCTTTGGACCCTCTCAATATGTCCAATCTATCTCCCAGTTTTCTCAATTCTACTTCCTACATTTATTTAAAATCCAATGACTGATCTTCATTCCTAACCAGTCTCCTAATCTAGCCTCTAAACGGGCCTCATTTTAGTCCATTTTCCATACATAACCACAATGATCTTTCAAGACACAATTAAATCTCTTACTCTCATGTTAAAACACTTAAAGAGCTTTCTTGTTTTTTTGTACTTTAGGATAGAGTACAAAATCCTTAATGTTGCCAGAATGTCTTATCCTACTTGCCTTTCATCCCCATCTCTTGCTGCTCACCCATGTAATACTCGGTTCCAGAAAGCCAGCCTGGGTTTCTTTCTGCAGACATATTAAAGACATCTTGCTTTCCTTTGTATGTCTTGCTTTCCTATACATGCTGCTTCCTGAGCCTGGGTGGGGATGGTGGGAAAAAAGAATAGTTTTTATACCATTCTTTTTCTCATTTGAACTTCAGCAAGTTAATCACAATTTCACCCATCTTCCAAAACCATATTCTCACTTTACCCTTTGTTTTAAGGATCGATAGTATCATTCTTAACATCTTATTGTAAGAGGGCCTTTATTCCAGAGCAGTAAATAATTTATCATCTTAGTCATAGAAGTGCTGATAACAGTCTTCATTTTTTTTTTTGCAAAGTTCAAATTTAGTTTAGAAAGTTCTATTATTTTCTTTAAAAAAAAGTAGTCTAAAGAGATTATAATTCCCTCAGTCTACACTGTAATATAAACAAAATATCTTCCTGATAATTGGCAGGAAAATATCTTATACAATTCATCCTTAATTATTTATTGCCTTAGTAAATGCAGTCACCATTTAAGTAGGGAAAATTGTATTCTTCTAGTGAGAATCATGGAGTCATAAAAGAACATAGGATTAAGAACCAGAGCGGTGAGTTTTATACTCTATGTTTGCACATCATTTGACCTGGACATATCACTTACAGTTTTGTGGAGATTAAACTTTTCTTCTCTAAAATGCATATTATTATATAATTTTTGTGTAATATTTTGTAATGTATAAACCTCTTTCTTATTTTATATCTATTTTAAAAACGAGAAAATGAAGACTCAGAGGTTAAGGAACTTTCTCAAAATCACATAGATTTTAAATGATGGGTCCACAAATTCTCACATGGGGATAATATCATGCTTATTTCACTGGTTTATGATGAGAATAAAACTGAATTATTAATCTACAAGAATGTTCCAATTATAGTGGTTCTTTTGTTATAGTTGTTATTGCTGTTGTCTCTACTACTTAATAGAAGAGATTAAAAACGCACGAACTTATATGCATTCGTGTATATAAACTGAAAGACATTGCCATGCAAACTTGGGTCTAGATGTCTCTGGGTAGAATTAATCAAGTAAGCTTGATTGTATCTGCATTTATTCTGTCTTCTTTTTGCTTTGCTTGTTCTTGTTGTGGTTAAGATGCTGTATGCAGGACTGCCTGAGCTAAGTGGAATTCAAGACCTGAAATATGTGTATAATAATCTTCGTCCACAAGACACAGACCTGGAAGCAACAAGTCATTTTACCAAGTAAGATCACCTATGAATGTGTGAGCATGCATGCATGAATGTACGCAGACACATGTTCCACAGTGGAGATGATTTCAGGTTGACCAGTCATTGGTATGAAGCTGTTGTTTCTAGAACAAGCTTGTGTTCCCTTTCCCAAAGAGCAGAAAGGAAGCAATGTGAATGTCTAGCAGAAGGCCTTAGTCAGTGTTTCTGCAGCATGTCATTGTTTGCTAACCAGCCTCTTCATCTAACAGATTGCTCAATAAGAGGTCATTGAAAAGAGCAAGAGCTGACATAAATAAATTGGTTGTTCTACTTGAACTATGTCCAGAAAAACAATTTGGAAAAAGAGATTTATGATGAGATATGTACTCACTACTTTCCTATGTAAGACAATACAAATATTGGGATATTTGGTCAAAGACCTGTGACTCTCTTCTACTTTTAATCTATTTTTTATTAAACAAGTCCAGCAAAACACTGATGTATATCAAGGTAAGAATCTGGGCAGAATATGATGAATATCAGACCCCAAATCTGGTCAAAAGGACAGTACATTTTATAAGATCTTTTTGAATTTTTCTTTTTAAATGGATATATAATTCCTGGCAAATTTTAGGTGCTCAATAAATGTTAGCAGTAATTATTTTCCTACAAACAGGAGAGAAAAACTGCATTCTTTCTTTCCTGTAACCTCTTAATTGTGGTCTTGAGTCTAATTTTTAATTGTTCTAATATTTTCCACTGAAAATTTATAAACAGAGATTATATTCTTTTAAGTGGAATGTATGCTTTAAAGAAAATCATGATTATAATAAAACCTCTTCCAGGTTTTACTTTTTCTTTCACCCTTCCAGAATATACAGCAAGAAATTGCTTCCCACTCCAATGGTGGCAGTGCGGCTTCATGGGGATGTCGTACACACTTGGGGAATTTCACTTGGCTCAGGGATTTCTGTTTCATGAACTTGAATGGGTGTGCTGCCCTTGTTGTTGAAAAGAGACAATGTGACAGAATCACAAAATATTACAGCTGGAAGAGCCTTTATAGTTTATTTATTCTGACAATAGACATTCAAGTGAGAAAACTGAGATACAGAGAATTGTCTTGCCCACAATTAGTAGAAGTAGCAAGAAACAGTGTCTGGTCCCTCTAGTCCTGGGTTTTTCCAGTACTCAATATTGGAAATTATATGATATGATTATGGAACTCCAGGAAGAGTTGTTGCAAAAACAAAACAAAACAAAACAAAAAAAACCCTGCCTTCTTGCTATCTAGTTCATTAGAGATCCCTTAAGGGAGTCCAGCAGGTTGTCTTAGTCTTGAAAAATGCCCTTTAATAGTACAATGACCTCTGAAAGAAGCATTTGTTTACATCTACTAGCAAAATCCCAAGTAATTGATGTTCGACTGTGGCCAAAGACATTAGCTTGAAGACTTGGGGAGGTATTTTAGACCCTTTATTTCAAGGATCAGGAACTCTACAGTTATCTCAACTAATGGGGATGGGTGCCTTGCATGAGAAAACCCAGGGAAAGCCTCAGGAAGAACAGAAGGGCAGCGTCACAGAGTCTGGAAGGTCCTTCAGAATTGAAGGCAGCTCCAGGGACCACATCAGCAGGAACTTACTCCTTCCCCTCTGACTGTTTAACCCGAGTACAAAACTCCATCCCATGCAGGTGGGTTTACGTGGTAGCAAAAATAGCCCCCTGAGGGTATCCCTTCAGGAGAGGATCTGAGTAGGATTCTTTTCTTTAAAATGGCTGCAGCATGGCAGACACAATGATTGACATGTCAGTGGGGCTGGGTGGGAAGACAAAGGAGGAGCATGGAGAAAGCTAGGGAAGGTAGAAAAAAGGAATGCAAAGTTGGACTGCAAGGCCTGTGTTCGAGATGTGTCATTGTGTGGGCAGAACAATTATAGTGCTGTAGCTTACTATTAGTCCCTCCTGAAAAAGGAAATGCCATATATGTATTTGGATGAAAAAAGTTCTTTCAGGCCCTGGCCAAAAGAGAAATGTAAATAGGCTTTATTCATCTGCCAGAATTCCATCTCTCCCTATCCCTCTACTTCATGCAACACACTGAGATCTGTAAAGAGCATAATCTTGGATATCAGTGATCTTGCCTACGGTGACCTATCTCCCCTTCCCATTCAAGAGGACATGAACTAACGTGGAAGTAGATCTGAAGCTAGAACCTCATGGCAGTGAGGCGGACCTTGTGATCCTGCCTGCATACCTCTGCCAGGCCAATCTTCCCACTTACCAATGTTATGTGGTATGTTCTGTTAATTAAACTTCTTTCTATGACTTTGGAATAAAGAACTTGTTCTCCATTGAAGCCTTAAAAGGCATCAAATTATGGAAACTAGGACACATCATTTCTCAGTTCAATAATTTTCCTTGGTGTGCCATCTCCTGTCTCTCACTTCCTAGGACCTTATAATCTGATTGTCTTTGTCAAGATTTATCCAACTACCCGCCCCCTGTCTCCATTATTCCACATGAATCCTTTTCTGGATAGGCCATTCTCTCCATGTATATTCATTCCTGCATTGTCTGTTTAACTCGCTTTGCTAGCTCACTAGAAACACTCCAATGGAATCATAAAATTTCTGGAATACAGGAAGATTCTGATCTAACTTTTAATCCCACCCATCCCTTGATATTCTGGACAGCTAGTACCTCATCCATGAAACCTTATCTGATCATTCCAGTACTTCCCAATCTTTTCTTCTATAATTCTCTCGAACATGCCGTCTTTTGTGCTGTCCTTAATTTATTACTGAATTACATACTGTCTTGTATATCAGTTTAATTAATATATTGATGAGTTACATCAATTTCTCCCAAGTAAAGCAGGGAATGTATTCCCAATTCTAAGAATATCTGAATATGAAACAAGCCCTATTTAACAGAAAATGCAATTTAAACATCAAATATCAAGTATATAAAAAGCATATAATAATAACTACAACTTAATGCAGTGCTTCTTGTGTGTCAAGCCCTGTTCTAAGTGCTTTTCTTACAGTAATGTATTTAACTGTCATAACAATCCTATGAGGTATTAATATCTTTATCTACATTTTTATACTAGTGAATTGAGACCCCAAGGAAGTTAAATAATTTACCAGAGAACGTTCTCTATGCTCAAAATCACCTCTTCCATATGTGGGCTCTCAGGAATGTGCTGCTTTGTAATTCAGACCACAGTCTTCTCAAGGTTTTTCAGAGCCTGCGTTGGCTGAAGTTGAACAAAGATATATTCTCCAGCCTTTCTCAGGCACTCATCCTTTTATCCGGAATACCTCAAGCATCAGCAGAGAACAGAAGTTCCTTTCTGGAACTGCTATCTCTATGCTACCACCAGGAGTCCCCTGGATATTTGGTTCCAGATCTGCTTTGCTGCCCTGAGAGACCCCTAAAGGGTAACTTGGCAGCTGACTTCCTGGAAGTCACCTTCCTTCCTTTTCCTTTTGTGGCCCATTCCACAATGCCATGAGCCTCTCTCTACTTTTTTTTTCTTCTCAGAGAAATATCCCATGAGGCTCACTATCCCCTAACTTCCAAGAGCCCATCTCAGTCATATTTTTTAATCTTAAAGTCTCAATTACATACCTTTATTTTTAGACATGATTTAATGTGCAAGTAGCATATCTGTTCAATTTCTCTGTGTTTCTTGCTCAGCATATATACATCAAGCACTGAGGATCTTTTCTATCACACATCCCATCTAGCACTATGAACAATCTCTTACAGAGGGGCCAGCAGCCTCCATTAATTGTAACTGTAACTACCATTTAGAAATATTTCCTGAGATCTATCATTTGTATATTATAAATTTCTGAAACAAATTATGTATTATGTTGTTTGGAAATCCTTAAACAATGAATAGAGTGAATTTATGAAAGCAGCCTGGGATAATTAAAAACAACTTTAATGGAACTCTAAATAACAGGATACCCATGACTCAAATAACTGTTAAAAATAATGTAGACTTGTTTACTTTGTGTAAATAATATTGCTATTTTGTGCTGTGTTCCCTGATATCACATGGATTTTAAAACTTAGGGAGACTAAATGCAGACCTCGTTGCACATAATTCACCAAAAAAAAAATGGTTTGTCATAGATCCATCATTGGTGTCTTCGTGCTTCAATGAGTGGCATTAATTCATAGATAGATAATTGATAAAAGTATATTATATACATATAATATGAGCCCCTCTATATTTAAACTCCTTGTTCTTTTTATTTCTTTGTTCTGATAGGCTAAAAGTATTTTATGCCACTGTTTATTGTGATACAACTACTAAGTTACAGACAAAAGTAAGACAAGAAAACCCCTTCTCCCTTCTCCACTAGGCTCACAGATTGGGATCCCGAGCCAAGACCAGGCCATCTGAGACATAACATATGTGGCTACTTTAAGTGCCCTGGTCCTAACTACAATATTAGCACTAAAGGGCTGCCCCTCTTGACCCTATTTGAGACTTGAAAGAAATAAACAGCTTTTTCCTGCCTCTTGGAGAATGTACTCTATTTATGAACAACCCAAGATTTTTCCTCACTCTTGGACATATCCATTCTAGGTCAAGAGCTGATCCTAAGAGTTTCAGGCGATGCTGCATACTGTGTGGAATTTAAAATCCTGTACAATTAATGGTATTTAGAGGGAAAATGGAAAGTAAAATTGGTTTGCTGGCCACAAATGCTTTTCACATCATCATCAACTACTCTCTGTTTCCCTTACTCTCTTTCACTCCCCTTACAGCTGAGTGCTGTTGAATAGAATCAAGAAAGTATCATGACACAGTCCACTGCAAATTGATACTCTCATGTAATATCTCTGCAGAGACCACTGCTAGGCAACAAAGGCAGCCATCCATTAAAATGTTGTCCAAAAGGGTTATTTCAGAAATTTCAATCACTCTCAAACCTCGGGTTAGCTGTCCTCATCAAGAGCTAACCTATTTCACAGACCAGACTGGGATCATTAAGCATAAACTTCCCTGCCTACCTCCCCTCCCACATAGAGATAGTGCTTTTCATTCTATCCATTTTCTCCTCCAAGAGAGTGAGAGGACATTTTTCATGTATGCTCAGATATTCCACTTGGCCTGCCATGTAAGTTCTCATTTAGTAAGTATATGATCTGCTCGTCAGCTAAAACTGAAGCCAGCTTCAAGCAAAACAAAACCCCACACTTCAAAAAACAAAACCCAAAACAAAACAACAAGACAAATTGTTTGCAATCATGAGCTATTTTGACAGCAAAAGAACCCCGTCTGGTAGCCTTAGATTAAAGGCTCTACATGGAGTCAAACTGTAAGCTAAGAAATCCCAGAAACCAATAGGGCTTGGCTAGTTTCTAGTGGAAACACACAGGCCTTCTACTCTGTTTACCTCTGCTTAGCATATTCTATTGTTCCCTGCTCATTGCCCAATATTCCTCAGTGTAAATTCCAGAGAGAGGCAAACTCTTTGACTTAACTAGTTGCCTTTGTCCTTATTGGACAAGTTCCTTCATGTGAAGCCACAGTGGATTTCGTTGCCCAGCCGTATTCTTATCATAGGCCACCCTTTCACAGAAAAATAGCCTAGAGCTTCTTCTGTGAACTTTGAGCTGTGAGGGAAGTCTTAGGAGGGGCCATTAGGCAGAATAGGCACAGTGACCATCCAACAGGTACAACTTTGAAGCCGTTGGAAATGTGGATGGCATCCCGAGAGTGCACCTGGCCTCCACATCATGGACACAGGAGCCAGAATCCCTGCACCACTGAGGGTTTGCAGACTCAATTTCAGAAATTCTTTGTTCCCCTCATTCCTCATTTATTTCTCACGGCTAGGGTGTGAGACAAGACTCTTTATGCTCAAATGTCTTAAAACATAGTTCAATGATTTTATATCTTTTTTCTCTTCAAAACTGAGAAATAGCATGAGATGGAAATGCAAATCCTTGTATACTTTTATCATTAAATTTTCTTATTTTTTTTACTGTGATGCGAACTGTGGTTACAATTCCACAAATAAGAGCCAATGTTTTCCTTTGTCTTAGCTTAACAATTGATACCTACAGAAATAAACACTACCAAGGGGAGATAGGGACACAGAACCAAGAGAAAATAACAATCAAGAAGTCCAGCTTTTCCTAAATAAGAAAGCAGATTCAAAGGAAAATGTAAATTAAAACAAGTAGAAATTTCTCCTCTCATTGTGAAAGTCTCCCATTATTTTTAGTTATAATAACAAACCTGAACTAAATTAGCTTTATAAACTATTTTTAACTGCAGATATAACCACTTATAATATCTGTACTTCCTAAGTTGCACGGCCCAGTCACATTCATTATGATGTTTGATAGTGTGCTTGCTGTTCTTAATTTCTGCAGTAGGGGAAATGCTGTTTTTGAATTATATGAATTAAACTGAGAATTTGCCTAAATTGCCTAAATTCCAAGTCAGGATACACCTTAGCTATTAAGCTTTGAAAAAAGATATCGTAAACTCTTCAGGAGACTATCAGTCTAAAGGTTAAAAGCATTTGAAAAGTTTAATGTACCCACCAAGAGTACCAGAAATCATTACTGAAAAAAGATGAATAGTCCAGATGGCGCTGTTTCCCAACAGCTGTTTTATGCACAACAGCGCTGTGTACCTGTTAATCCCCATTGATATTTCTGACCCTACGCATTGCATACAATTACTATATACCAGTGATTTAACAAGCAATTAGGCTACAATCGTTTACTATTTTAAAACATATTTTTCACATTTTAAAGATTTTTATTAGCACCATTTATCACTATTGATTTTTCTTTACTGTTGCATGTTAAGATTTATTTTTTTTGCTTTGCATACAACTTCCTTTTAATATCATTAATAAAATAAAATGGCTTTGGGAGTGGGAACTGAAAACTGGAATATCATTTCACTGGCATATCACTTTATTCATAGTAAGACTAGCCCATCAACCCTTCCCTGGTTCCTTGATTCAGTTTGTTCTGATTTGGTCACTTTCATAAGGCATCTATCTAAAAAGGTAAAAGAATGATCCACTCCCAGCCAAGTCCACAGAGCCTAAAACTCTTGTTTGAATGCAGTTTGGTGCCTGTGATGACATTTACGTAAGACTAGCTGAACTTGTAGCATGAATTCTGAAGACTTGAAACCTCAACTTGGAAAACAACAAAGACCTTTAAGTTTGTTAGTCTTTAAGCCATATCTAAACTGTAAAGCAGGAAAAGGGGATGGGGAGAAGAAATAAAATAAGAAAATAAACACTAAAGATGCTGCTTGTTCTTATCCTTACCTAATATCTCTCTTGTAGGAGTTCAAGAGAGCACCACAAGTCAGTTTCCTTTGAACAATAAATTTATACATTCATTTTCTCTTGTATCCCTCTTTGTATAGTTTGCTACCTTTTAGACTCATATGCATTTATTTCTTTACTCATTGGTAGTAGATTTTCTGAAATAATATTTGCTTAATACTATTTAATTTCCAAAGACTTTTCCTACTTTATCTAATTTCATCCTATCAATGATCCTGGGAAATGGCATGGCTTAGCAATCAGTTATGTTTTATAAATACAGCAATTGAGTCTCCTGAAGTCATTCAACAATGACTTTCTTGAGATCACTGGCATGAGTCACCAACTGCATTTTATAGATGCAACAGTTGAATATCCTAAAATTGTTCAACAATTACTTTCTTGAGATCATGGGTAGACCTAGTGAGTACAGATTAGAACAAGGTTTATTTCTTGCATAATGAGCGCTCTTCCCAGGACACAACTATGCCAAATCATGTGGAAAAAAGTTCTGCATATGGAACTCTTAATGTCCTGACTGTCAGATAAATATAAATGTTCTTTAACTTTAGTGTCTTCAGATTAGTTGAAAGACCATCATAAGAAAAACATCTACATGCTTATAGCTGTGTTTCTCAAATTGGCATACCACGCTATCAAAGCCCCAAGGATTCATGTGACATATCCTTTTTAGTATCTTATTTTGTTTAAAGGATTAGAATATAAACTGTAAAGTTTGGAGTCAAATGTGTACCTACACATTACATACATGTGCAACCAAAATCATCATGTGCTTTTTCCATGTGTGCAATTTTGAATTTTTAAGAATAAAAGTGCATAGAAATGAATTGTTTTATCATGTACCCAGAATACATTAGCAATGATTGTCACTGAGCTCATTTAGGAATAGTAAATTTTTTTGCTTAAAAAATATGTGTTTGAATACTTAGTGCAGTATGAATTTGTAGTAAAATAGGAATTATCCGAAAGCATACTCATAAGCTTAAGTAAAAGAAAGCACTGGTCATATATTTCAGAGATTACAAATTCAATGCCGAACTACTGATTTTCTTTATGCGATAAAAGAAACTATGACAAAGTTTTATTAATTCATTGTTCCCCTTGAATGATTAAGAGTGACTTGTAAAGCTGGACACTCAGTCAGTAACTTCAATACAAAAAACAAAGTAATGTGTTTCTTGCACATGCCAGAATACTGCAATGAAATGAAGTTTGAGATTTAGATGAAGAAATTTGTTCATGGGGAGTCAGTCAATTGCAACTCTTCCTGTATTTATATATTATGAACTTACAGTATCAGTGGTAAAATAAAGAATGTTCTCATGCAAATTCCTTCACAGAAGCCTTATGAGAAATATTTTCCTGTGACTATTAAAGAGACTGACCATTGAAACAGTTATTCTATCCAACTGCCAAATATATGAACAATTTAAACTGTAAATTGAAATACGCTGTCATAGAAATCTCCATCAGGTGTTGCCTAAGAACCTTGGTTCAACTGCCAATGGCATCGTAGTCATCTCTCCTCAATGCTTAGTCTGATGTAGCTCATAAAGCAGCGAAAAATGTTTGCCATTTGTAGTCACATATCAACATAAATGTGAATTTATATTTAATTTGAGAAAAAATAATCTGCCTAGATGCTGAACCTGACACAGAAGATCAGAGCTCTGGATTCAACTCAGTTTTCTGAGACTGATAGACTCAATTGCCCATTCACACACACAGTGCTAAGAAACCTGTTAGAAGCAATTGTTTCTGATGATAAGCAATTAAAATATTTAGTTTGTATAAAAAGTGCATGTATTATGAAGTAGAATACAATGTATACACATTTTTTAAGATAGGACCTAAGGCTTAAGAAATTTTATGCTTATTATAGGTCCCTTTAGACTATGTTCCTTGGCAGCTAGAAATATGTTACATTTTTTTTACCTAAGGGTTATTTCTATGTAAAAATCAAAGGTTCATTGTCTTAGTACCTTTGATCCACCTGAGAATTCCACAAGTTATTGGCTTATTTTTCTCTGAAAGACAAAATTGAATTATTGTTTGCTTTTTAAAATCCACAGTGAGAGCAAAGACTAAGGAATCAGATAAACATGAGTAGAATTCTTCAGTTACTACTTCTTAGTTGATGTCACCTTTGGTATGCATTTAACTTCTCCTGGTCATTTTCTTATCTATTGCTGAAATAATTGGACTGCTCTTCTCTAAGGATGAAAAGATTAACATGAAGCATTTAGTGTACTACCTGCCAAGGGATATATACTTCCTCAGGGCAGAAATTTGGTTTCTCTTCTTTACCTCCCAGCACATAGAATAGTGCCTAGCAAGGGAGAGTTAAAAGTGTTTATCAAGACTGCTTGGAGACTTCCCTTAGGAAACTTAAGAGCTAAAATCCTCCCAGCTGCTGCTTTATTCCTGTAATATAAGGATAATCCAAAGCATAATCCTGCTAATGCTGCCATTAAACAAAATAAATCAGGGAGCTATTACTTGGATAAATTAGATCCTCACAGAGGCCTGAAACCGACTACACTCAGAGCCCCAGTCCCAAGTCCAATTACAGTTAACAGCACTGTTTTGTCTGACCCGTTAAGTCTGACACCTGAGAGATAGGAGATGGATTTGAGTGAAAGTCTGCCCCCAAACCATGGGCTGACCATAAAGTCTCACCCTTCATCTTCAGACTTCTTACATCCTAACTGTTGGGCAATGTAAGAATAAGGTATGGGCATAGTTGAGATTTTTGTGAGGGTGAGTTCATCAAAACTTAACATTTATGATTCACAAAACTTAAAACTGATATCTTCATGAGAAGTGAGTGCATGCTGTCACCCTAAAGCTTTTCACTCCAGCAAATAAAATGTGTTCAGTAAATGTTTGTTGGATCGATGTTCAATGAATGAATGGTAGAGTCTCCATAAATCATGATTAATATTATACTCCTGCTATTATCCTCATGTCTTTAAAGTGCTGATGAAGAAATAATGTTTTGTACTGCACTGTGCACCTGTAAATTCATAAGTGCAAACAACATCTTTAGAAATGGTGAACACTGGGATGAATAATGGGATCAGAGTCATATTTTAACTTTCTTAGCAAGTTTTGGCCTAACTTGATGTATAATAGTGGAAAAATTTGGAATTTATTCAAAAAAGTTTAAGACCAGAACAAGATAAATGGCCTTGAATCTTTATGAAATTGAAGGGAAAATTATTAAACATAATTGAAGTACATTTTTAACATTGAGGACATGGCAGATTAGTTGTAAAGAAGGCATTGCATGATCACTTTGATAGATGCCAACCCAGAAAAGTCATACTGGATTACATTCAACATCCATTCCTCCTGGAAAGTTTTAGTACACTCAGAATAGATCCAAGCTTAGATAAGCATCATACTTTCAAAAGTTAAAAATGATAAGCATTCTTATTAATGGTGGGGAAAAGATAGTATCTTCTATATTGATAATAAAGCTCTCTAATTAAACTTTGTTATGAAGTTATTTTTTCAAGTGAATAATACAATAATTAATACGATCCCAGAGAATTGACACACACACACACAAACAAATCAAAATAACAAGAATTTAGTAAAATAAGTGGTTACAAAGTAAACATTTAAGACTCAGTACTTTAAAAATTAAAAAGAAAATATATGATCACCTAAATAGATACAGAAAGTGTAGTTAATAAAATGTAGAACCATTCATTTAGGAAAAAAATAGAAATAGAAAAGAATGTCATTAACGTATAGCTAAAAACCTACAGAAAACATTACGCTTAACAGTAAACATTGAAAGTTTTTCCTTTGTAATCAGGAACACACCAAAAATGGTTGCTATCACCACTTCCATTTAATATTGAAGTGGAAGTTTCTTAGCAGTGCAGAGTGACAAAAACAGCCACTACCATTATTTGCAGGTTACATGACTGTGTACATACAAATTTCAAAAGAATATGCATATGTTGTTAGAATTAATAAGAGTTAAAGATCTACTCATATATTATCAAATATGAATTAAAAGTTAGTACAAGATAGCATTTATGCCATACAAAATATGCCAAACCAAAGAATAACTCCAACAAAAAATATGCAAGACCAAACTAAATAGAACGATATACCACATTCGTGAACTGAATGTCTTAATACTACAGAGATGTTAATATTCTCCAAATTGATTTCTAATTTACATACAGTACATTCAAAATCCTTACCTATTGGTTTTGTGTGTGGGTGAACTTGATAAGCTAATTCTAAAATATATTTAGGAGGCCAAAGGGCCTAGAATAGTGAAGAGCCCCCTAAAGAAAATGAGGTAAAATAATCATTCTTCTGGATTTCAAGATGTACTATAAAGTTCCAGCTATTTAGGATAGTATAATACTGACACAGAGATAGACAAAGAGATAAATGCAACAAAACGAGGAGGCCAGAAACAGTCTTGTGTATATACAGACCCTTGGTTTTGGACAAAGTTAAACAGTAAAGAAAAAAATGTCTTTGCAAGTTAAAAAATTGTTACATTAAACATTGTTCATCCCTATTTGGAGAAACCATATAGCCATTTAAAAATATGATTTAATGCTATGTTCTGAATTAGAAAGATTGTTCAGTCATTCAACAAATATTTTTGGATCACTTACTATGTACCAGTTACTATTAATTTTTCCCTGTAAAATATATTATTAAGTTAACAAAAACAAATTGCAACATTACATACAATTGTGATTCTTCTCTAACTCTCATCTCACACAAAGTCAAAGTTCTTATGCAATTGTGCCCTTTAGGTCTTTGATTCCCTTCTTTCTCTACTGACTTTGTGTCAGCCACACTGCTGCTCATTAAACACTCTAGTCATTCATCTGCCTCTGAGCTTGTGGACTAGCTGTTGCTTCTGCCTAAAATGCATTTCATCAGAATTCCCATGGCCTACTTTCATGGCAAGTTAAGGTCTTTGTCAAATCATTCAGCTCATCTTTCAGTGAGATGAGCACTTTTCAGTGGGCATCCTATTTAAAACTGTAAAGCTATTATCTACCCCCATACTTCCTCTCCTTATTTCCTATTTTCTTTTATAATACATATTACTTTATCAAATTCTATATTTTTACTTGATTAATTACCATCAGAATTTTAGATTATACAAACTCTAAAAGGGCGAAAAACTTCCATCTCTTCTGTTCATTGCTAAATCCCATCACCAGAATAGTACCTGGCATACAATAGGAATAAGGACAATGTGTGTGTCTATGTGTTTGCATGTCTGTATGTTTGCATGTCTCTGTGTTTGCACAAATATATAGAGAAAGTTCAAAAAAGAATGATGTCAAACTGCTTACAGTGGTTATTTCTGGGGAGGAGCACTGGCCTCCTGTGGAGAAAAGAAAAAGGGAACCTTCCACATTTTACTTTATATTTTCCTGTGTTGCTTGAATTATATATGCTAAAATGCCAAGTTTTTAAATGTCCCTAAATCTCTTACATACAACAGGCAAATCAACCAGGATAGCAAAATCCAAAAGCTTGGACAACATTTATGACAAAACTAGGCAACAAGGTATACCCTAAGAACCATACAATAAAAGCAGGTGGAGGCAAACCATTAAATTACAAGATTTGTGTCGTATGAGCATTTGGACAGAAGGAAGCTAAGGGAAACCACAGGTACTCTGGCTGACCTGAGAGCAGTACTCCAAAAGAGTCAACAGTTATTTGTTGGAAGCTGAGCAGGCTAATTTGAGAAAAGCAGTTGAAATTGGAAGTACTTTTTGCATACTCTATTTCACAGGCAAGGGTGAGGGTTCTGTGGCAAATATAAAAATATTAGGCAATCTATGAATTCTCAACTGGGGCTTTCTTCCAAAAAAAAAGGTCTCTCTCACACTGAAGAGAAACTGTTGGACATATAATCCAAATTGCATGGACAAGAGATAATATTAGCAAAGGGAAAATCAAAGTCCAGAAAAAGTTGGAGGGAGGAGATCAAAGGAGAAATATCTCAGAATGTATTGTATGAAATTATATATATATATATATATATATATATATATATATATATATATATAGAGAGAGAGAGAGAGAGAGAGAGAGAGAGAGAGAGAGAGAGAGACAGTTTTGCTCTTGTTGCCTAGGCTGGAATGCAGTGGCCCAGTCTCGGCTCACTGCAACCTCCACCTCCCAGATCCAAGCAATTCTCCTGCCTCAGCCTCACAAGTAACTGGGATTACAGGCATCTGCCACCATGCCTGGCTAATTTTTTGTATTTTTAGTAGAGATGGGGTTTCACTGGTCTCAAACTCCTGACCTCAGGTGATCCACCGGCCTCTGCCTCCCAAAGTGCTGGGATTACAGGCATGAGCCACCGCACCTGGCCAAAATAATTTTTTTTTAATCACTATGTGACAGCAACAGATAGGAAAGCCCCAGACCGTAAAAAATCCTCTACTCCTTCCTGAAAGTTCAGGAATACTCATTTTATATAAAAATGAACAAGAAAAGTGACCATGGTTGAAAGTCATATAGAATTATAACAAGAAAAAGATAAATAAGAAGCAAAATAATATCCTTAAAAAAAGTGGGCCAGAAAGACATGCCCACCAAAAAGATAAACTGTATCCTTATATTTAATTGAGATAAAAGAAATGAAGAAAATGATAAATATGTGAAGGAACAACATAGACCACAATTAGGAAACCTCAGAAAGGAAGTGACTGAACCCAAGAAAGAATTAGAAATAAAAGAAAACATGATTTTACAAACAATAAGCTAGAAGAGACATGGGAATAAACAAACACAACAAAACACACAATGCCTCAAGAGAGAAGGTAAAAACAGAGAGGACTTTTAAAATAAAAAAGAAATAAAGGCACTGAAGATCCAATGTACATATAATAGTAGTCCCTGAGAAAAAGAAAATGAAATAATATATAAAACTATATCAAAACTAAATAGCATATTTAGTATTTTAACAAATACTAAGACTATAAGAAAAAAATTTCAAAAGTGAAAGGATTTGAAATTACATATTGAAAGGGCACTATTTAAAAAAATGACCCAGAAAAACCAATACAGAAGCATGTTTTAGAAAAACTACTGAACTTTGCAGAAAGAGAAACTTCCTTTAAGCATGTAGGCAGGAAGACTAACTCACTTATATGGTAAACAATTTACTATGTCATCAGAGTTTTGAACAGTAATCCTTTATTCCAGAAGAAAATAGAATAGCTTTATGGCACTCAAAAAGAAAATGTGAGCTAATGATGTTATATCAAGGCAAACTAACTTTCAAGTATAAAGGCCACAGACCAACTGTTGTCAGCTTACAAGAATTCAGAAACTTATTTCCTTGAGCACTTCTTAAAGAATTTACTGGAACATGAGTTTCAGATAATCAAAGTGACTGTAGAGATGTGGGCACAAAGACTGGTAGAGAGTTTAAAATTAAGTGAAGGTTATAAGAGAAACTGCAAAGTGTGTTTAGTATACATACTATATGATAGAGTTCAATTGTACTATACGGTACAGTTCAATTGTACTATACAATCGTAGGTCAATAAAAAAATGGAGGTGGGTTTAGACAGGCATACTGGCACATGCCTCTAACCCTAGCTACTCAGGAAGCTGAGGAGGGAAGATCCTTTGAGCCTAGGATTCAGAGGCTGTAGTGAGCTACTATCTCACCACTGTATTCCAGCCTGGGTGACAGAGTAAGACCCTATCTCTGAAAATAAAAAAAGGAAGTAGGGGCTAGGAAGCACAAATTAAAAGTAGAATAAGCATACTGTTTGCTTTATGGTATTAACTGAGTTTAAAAGGGTAATATCACAAGTCAGATACTGGAGAAAAGGGAACGAACAGTATGAAAAAAGAAGCTATTAGCTGATTTCAATATTGCTCTCAACAGAGAATGAATTAAAAATAAAAAAAGAAGAGGTAAAGGAAAATATAGAAATAAATTATTACACCATTAGAATGCAAACTTTCTTAAATACAAAAAAAAACCTTTAAAAAGCAGAGACAACAAAAATAAAAACACCAAAAACAAAGGAAAACAAATCAAAGAATGAAAAATATTTAATATAAAATACGTGTCTGTTAAATATAGTATTTAAGTATGCTACCTTTTTTAAAGATAGAAAAACATAAAAATATACAAAAATAAAATTTAAATTAAAAATTAAACAATGAAAGTTGAGCCATAAGTGTTAAAACTGTTTACATATAAGGAAAGGGAAAGAATAGGGTAGAAAGTATGGGAATAGCTACTAGGCTTCTTGGAATTTGCGTTACTTCTGGAATGTTGTAAATACTTTTAATAATTATAAGCTGGAATTAAATTTTTTAAAAATTCCCCCAAATAAACAACAAAATCTTTTTTTGTTGTTGTTGTTTTTGAGACGGAGTCTCGCTCTGTCACCAGGCTGGAGTGCAGCCGCAGGATCTCGGCTCATTGCAAGCTCCGCCTCCCGGGTTCACGCCATTCTCCTGCCTCAGGCTCCCGAGTAGCTGGGACTACAGGCACCCGCCACCACGCCCGGCTAATTTTTTTGTATTTTTAGTAGAAACAGGGTTTCACCGTGTTAGCCAGGCTGGTCTCGATCTCCTGACCTCGTGATCCGCCCGCCTCGGCCTTCCAAAGTGCTGGGATTACAGGCGTGAGCCACCGCGCCGGGCCACAACAAAATCTTTTTAAAACGTAGTCACACAATATAGCAACTACAGTTTTATATTTCATCACAAGAGTTTCTTGTATGTTTATTTGCTAACAACTCCAGATGCAAACTTGAAGTTTATACAAATAACGTTTAATTGTTGGGCTCCAAATAAACATACATGGTTCTTGGCTTTTTCCCCTCATACTGACAAACACAAGGAAACAGATCATAAATGAAATGAGTAGATGCAGAGGAGTGTCACTCACTATCTTTTCTTTTACATTTCTCTAGGAAAATAAAGGAAAGTCTGGAGTGTTTCCCTGTTAAATTGAATAACTTGATCCACACACTTGCACAAATGTCAGCCATAAGCCCTGCCAAATCTACTTCACAGACTTTTCCTCAGGAATCCTGTTTGCTGAGTACAACTAGGTCGATTGAAAGAGCAACAATTTTAGGGTTCAGCAAGAAATCCAGTAATGTAAGTTTAAAGTCCGTCATCTTGACTTACGTATCACTTGACTTTATCTCAGACTTCTCTTCACTATGCTACACAGCCTTTCTTATAGCATAATTTTTTACTAAGCAAATGAAAAATAATTTACAATTTAAGCAGAAGTGTCATTAAGAGGATGTTCCAAGGAAAAATCATAACAACAAGACTATGAGTAGAGAACCATCAAAGAGAACAATTCCTGCCCTGTGGTAGAGTATAAATCAAGAACTAATTAAAATGTCCACAAGAACAGCAAAAATTAGGCAATCTGTTCCTAGCACATACAATTGTGATACTCTTAGATATTATTTATATTTAATTTTGCCTTTACAAAATGCATCTCCTAGCTTTTATGATAATGTTTTGCAGAAAGGTACTTCCTTTGTTTGGTTTACATAAAATCGGGTTTTAGAGTGTATCACAGGCTGATATTGCCATCTTTTGATTTCTATCTATTTACTTTCTGCAGCTGTATCTGATCCAGGTGACACACAGCAACAACGAAACAAGCCTGACAGAAAAATCATTTGAGCAGTTTTCAAAACTTCACAGCCAACTTCAGAAGCAGTTTGCATCACTGACTCTCCCAGAGTAAGGCACTGTCCTTTTACATTGTTTTGCCTTCAGTACTTGTCCTTGAGCAAAAAGAAAAATTATGGTTATGGGATTTTCTATTTGTGAGAAACACAGTATTCTGACTCCAATGCCATTGAATCTATCCCAGCAGAGAGTCTGAATTGCTCTCAGAGTGAAGAATCTTTTGTCTCATAAAACAGAACAAGATTTGCAATTTTCTTTTTACTTCCAGTCATTGATTTTGTAGACAGACAATTTCAAAAGCTACTTCGTTTTTCTTCGATTATTGGGAAAATAGTCTCATTTGCCTGTTTTTAATTTAATCCTCTTAGTTATTTTTTATAAAAATACAATTGAAATTGAAATTGCAGAAGAAAATTGGATATGTTTACTTTTTCAACAAATAACTGTAATATAAAGCCTATATATACACATAGGCTTATTAATATACATATTTAATTATATATAATTATATATGCTTATTATATATTTAATTTCAATACCAGAAAAAATGTAAATGTATTTATATCAATTCATATGTTACTAACTCATTTTGTGCCATTGATTTTTAACTTTTAAATTATTAACTTGCATTATCTAAATTGAATTTGTTATTTTGTTCATTTTGAAGCCATCTTGAAAATCATTATTTTCATTTATGTTGTAATGGAAAAATGTTAAACATAAGCAAACTAAAAATATCATTAAAATAACTGCTGTTCAAATAACCCTTCAAAAATTCATCACTTAGAAGCAGTCAAATTTTGATCATAGACTTCAGTCTATAAAAAAGGTGTATCTTGATTTTAAAAATGTGAGCTTTCCAGAAATCATGATATTGCATTTAGGTTAATCAGATGTTTTATCTACAGTGAGATTTTTGTTAAGTAAAGTAAATGGTCCTTTTATGATGTAATTGTTTATACTTTACCTGGCATACTTGATACATGTGGATTTTTACTCGGCTTTCAGGATTTAGTCACCTTCCAAAATATAAATATAAGCAAAGTTAGTGCATAGGGAGATATTGCACAATATTAAAAATTGAGTAGTTCACATTCATGAAAAAAAAAACTGTACTGGCATATGTAACAGGGATTTTTGAAATTCAGATGCTTTGAGCATCAGGAAGTCCAGAAATTAAGAGCATACTCAAGAGACTGAGAGGGAGGCAAAGTCATTCTGGCAACTTTTAGAAGGAACATCAAGTTTTAGAATTATCACAAAATCTGATAGAATAACTGAAAAAAAGAGACACAGGCAAAAAAAAGCTCAACGTTTGGCTGCAAATACCACATTCAACATCAATGTTTGCCATGATACCCTACTAATTAATAATTGAGAAGAATATGTTAATCTTTGTTTAACGGCTATCCTTTTTTGGTTTCAAAAATGTCTCTGTTCTACACTGTACCTCACCAATACATATCAGTATAACTTGTAAAACTTTAAAAATTCTAATAATCTATCTCAATTGGCCTCTTTTCAGTTTTCAGCTTTTGTTAGGATTCTGCTTTGCTCATTACTGCTGCCTGGAGGTTCTTACATTGATTTTCAAACTGTGTAAGCAACCTGTGGAGGCAAGGAACATTTTGTCCTATGTTCCCTGAACACTGTTTGCATGCTGACACTCACAAAGGGGCCCAGGCTTACAGTGATGCACATAAATGAAAGATGAAGATTCCCTATGACTTCTAAAATTACTGAGAGAAGCCCTACGAGAGTTATGTAAATGTCATCTGGAAGGCATGATCAGAAAGTCAGAGTCATGAAGAATGAAATTCTAATCAGTTCATACCATCTAACAGTGGACTTCAAATCAGCTATTTGTGTTTCTGGGTAACTTCCAGGGGTACACGACATGAAAATATTCCTTAAAATTAATAATCTTTTTTAGAAAAGTAATATGCTTGGCGAGAGTTGACTTTCTTCTCCCAACCATCCAAAATTTTATTTTGGTACACTGATCAGGCTATAGAAACTTCTGAGGACAAGACAAAAGGGCAAATCAAAATATTGGTGTTGGTATTGAGAAAATGAATTACTCTAATAATGAAATATCAAATCAAATCTTTGTCAGATGTTTTCTAATCTTTGTTGTGAATGAAATTGAGGGAGGATATGATGATACTGTCAGACAAAAGGTCATTAAAAAGTAATTTTCAATAACTGCTGTATTTGACATATAACTCGAAGAAGTTTCAATTAAATGACAGTATTATAGAACCATTCCTCAACTTTCATGTACTCATTTATACATAAGATGTTTTAGTACATATATCTATAAAAATATTAACAAAATAGCAGAATTGACGTAGACTTCTGTTTTGTTCTATCAACAAGGAAAACTCACACGGACATGTGAATTAATACTTAAAACCAGCCTAATCTCTCATTTATCAAATTCATTTCTCCCAAAAAAACTATGCATATATGGATATGTAGAATATAGATCTATCTCTCTACCTACCTATCTATCTATCTTCTATGCTATATGCTCAATTGATTGTATACTGGTACTAATTTTCATGATTAAATTTGGATAAAAATTTTAAAGACTTTTAAGTCTTAGGGTCTGCAAGAGACTTAAAAAAATAAAATGTTCATTGTTAAAATATACAAGCATAGAGTTTTGGACTTTCCTGACATTTCCAACAGTAATCAGTGGGGTGGCATGAAATTATCACATACATCTTTATCTTTGCTGACTGTCCTTTACTATCCTCCATGTTCATTTCCCCTCCAAGCATGGTAGCCAAGCCGTGGTTCCTACCAAAGAAGCAGAAGTGTGGATGAGGCAGCAGTATGATTGGAGTCAGAGGAGGCTGCTAGGTAGTTCCTAAAAGGGTATACGTAGACAGCAAGATATGTTACCAAATGCTACCCATTACCAGTCATCCCACCTAATAATTGGTCTTAATGAAGTCCAACCCATCAAGATGAATCATCAGATTGTGCAAAGGAAATTCTGCAAATAGTCAGACTCTTGGGGAAAGTGTTACTATTTTCTAGAAGGCTAAGAGCAGATGGACGCATATGTCACTTGCTAAAATGCTTAATTTAGTTAGTGTAATGGTGTCTCTAGTGAACCCAGAAGAAACAATAGAATCTGAACCTTTTTAAAAATTTTGAACCATTAACTTCAGACAGTCTTTTTTTAAGACCCCACATATATTTAAAAGACAAAATGTGTGGTCTGCCATAAATATAGTAAGAAGGGACATATAAATGAATTTAATGTGTCAAATTAAATTAAGTTAGTATTAATATTAATGACCATTAATATGGCATGAATGACCACAGCCATATTAATAAAATTCTGAGGATTAATCACGTAGACTATGACTTTTTCAAATGTTTTCATTGGCCCTTCCATCTGATACAGCTGTAACTACATGAACAATCTTAAGATGAAAAGGCCAGTTTTCAAACTAATGAAGATAACTTTTTTTTCTCTTAAAACAGGTTTCCTCATTGGTGGCACCTACCTTTTACAAATTCAGATCACAGAAGATTCAGAGATCTAAATCATTACATGGAACAGATATTAAATGTATCACATGAAGTTACAAACGTATGTTATAATTAATTTTTCTATTTTTACATAAAACATCAACTATTTTATATTTTATTCGTGAGTGTGGTGGTTTATGTCTGTAATGCCAGTACTTTGGGAGGTCAAGGTGGGATGATTGCTTAAAGCCAGGAGTTTAAGTCAATCCTGGGCCACAAAACGAGACCTCATCTCTACAAAAAATTTTTCAAATTATCCAGGCATAGTGACACATGCCTGTAGTCCCAGCTATTCAGGAGGCTGAGGCAGAAGAATCATTTGAGCCCAGGAGTTGGAAGCTGCAGTGAGCTATGATAGTGCCACTGCACTCTAGCCTGGGTGACAGACCCAGATTCTGTCTCTAATAATAATAATATTTTATGATAACATTCTTTGGGTTCATTCATTCAATGAATATGTATGCCTAATTTGTATAAAATACATGAACTGAGAATTGTGGAGCAGCAAAACAAGTATAGAACCTTGACTTCAAATAACTTCAATGAAATAATATGTGATAAATGGACTATCAGTGCCGTGAAGTGCTCTAGAGTTTTAGAGGAGTAAGAATCATTCCCGATGCAATAATAAAGTTTCAAGGAGAAGAGGGCATCTGAGCCGAGCCTTTAACACTGAGTAGGATTAAACAGAGGTGGTCTGGGGAAGTGTCTCAACAATATAAGAAAATTTATGAGTGAGAAAAACCAAAAAGAAATAGTATTCTTAAAATTTGAATATGTTGCTGCTGTGACAAGTTACCACACACCTGGTGGCTTTAAACAGTACATATCAATTTTCTTTCAGTTCTGGAATTTAGAAGTCTGAAAAACAGGTTTTATGGAATTAAAATGAAAATGTTAGTGGGCTGGTTCTGGAATCTTTTCAATTTCTAGAGGCTGCTTGTGTTCCTTGGCTTGTGGCTCTCTTCCAGCGACACAGTGGCACACTTTGACCTCTGAGTGTGTCATCACATCTTCTTTGGCTCAAATTCTGACCCTCCTGCCTCCCTCTCAGAAGGGCTCTTGTGATTACACTGTGTCCATCTGGGCAATTTAGGATAATCTCACCGTCTCAGGATTCCTAATGTAATTTTATCTGCAAAGTCTCTTTTGCCATGTAAGGTAACATATTCAGTTTCCAGGGATTAGGACATGAACATCTTTTGGTAGGGGGTATTATTCTGCCTATCACGGGGATCTAAGAAAATGTGCAAGGACACAGCTCTGATGGATCTCAGCATTCTTGTGAGGTAAGAGTTTGGACGCCAAGCCCAAGTTGTTAGAAACTAAAACTAAGCCTTAGAGAGCTTGTTAGTCAGGGTTCTCTAGAGAAACTGAACCAACAAAATTGTGTGTGTGTGTGTGTGTGTGTGTGTGTCTGTGTGTGTGTGAGACAGAGAGAGAAAGAAAAGAAGAAATTTGTTTAATTGGCTCACATGATTGTGGAGGTGCAAATCCAAAATCTGTAGGGTGGGCTGGCAGGCCGGAGACCAGAGGAGATTATTTACCATCTGAGTCCCAAGACATTCTGCTCAGAGGTCAGTCTTTGTTCTGTTCAGGTATTCAATTGATTGGATGAGGCCTACCCATATTATGAAGAGTAATATGTTTTACTCAAACTCTGCCAATTTCAATATGAATCTCATCCAAAAAAACACTTTCACAGAAACATCCACAATAATGTTTGACCAAATACAGGGGCACTGTGACCCAGCCAAGTTGACAGACAAAATTAACCATCACAAGAGTCGTGAGGAACTAAAAACATTGTGAAGTACAATGCCCCTCACCACTTTGGTAGATCTTGGCCCTCCTTACTAGACTAGCACATTGTTCTTCTTACTATTTTTTTTCACTTTGAAATTGTAAAATGTAAACACACTCAGAAACATCCACAAAAGAAAATTGAACAGTTCAAGGGTAAATTATAAGAACACCCATGTAACCACGCAGTAGTTTCAAAACATGTCTGAAAATGCTTTGCCACCCTCCCATCAAGAGGAGGCAGCTTGTGTCCCAACCTCTTGATCCCAAGAGGGCTTCTGTCATTTGCTCATCAAATAGAATATGGTGGAAGTGACCCTTTATGACTTCCAAGATAGGTTAGAAAATGCCACGCACCTTCTAACAATTTCTTTTGGAATGGTCACTGCGGGAGCCTTCAGTTGCCATCTTTCAAGCTGACCTACCCTGAGTCTGCCCGGCAGAGAAACCAAAAAGATCAAATCCGAAGAGAGATATCTAAGGAACAGCAACTGTTCCAGTCCCCAGCTGGGACTCCATCCCCAACCACCAAATGATCACAGTTTCATCAGAGATCCCAAGCAGAACACCCAGCTGAGCCCTCTCGAACACCTGAACTAAGAGATAATAATAGAATGACTGGTTTTAGGCCAACAATGCAGTGATAGCCCATTTCCAAGGTTCATGGATTTTTATTGTTGTATAATATTTTATTATACAAATATATTAGAATTTATCTGTAGATACTTCTCTACATAGACTTTTGGAATGTTTCCAGTTTGGGGCTATTACAAACCATACTGTTATGAACATTCTTTCACATGCATGACTCAGTATCCCCATGTTGTTCCTATACCCAGGAATAGAATTTCCAGATTGTAGGATATACTTATTTCAACCTTATAATGACCAGTTTGTTCTCTCATTTGCAATAAATACATTTTCCAATTTTCTATACTTGGTCTTTTTAATCTTTTAAATTTGGGCCATTCTGGTTGGTGTGCGTCTCATTGAACTCTTAGCTTGCATTTTCCTGTTGCTATTGAGCTTGAACACTTTTTGATATGTTTTTTGGTCATTCGGATATCTTCTTTCATGAAGTGCCAGTTCATGTCTCTTTACCATTTTTCTATTGAATAATTTAATATTCATTTATTGATTCATTTCTTGGTTGAAATTGTTGGAAGGTGTATTTCTTCATATATTCTACTCTGTACCTTGTCCCTTTGCTCTATCATGTCTTCTGATGAATAGAAATGCTTAATTTTAATGAAGTGAAATGTATCAATATTTTCTTAGTAAGAACATACCCTACCTCAATGTCATAAATGTGTGAATCTTTTGTGGTGATCCATGATCAACGGCTCTTCTCCTTTATTCAGGTTTACAATGTGCCTTTCATGTAATACTTCTTTATCCATAAATAAAATGCACACTTTTTTTTTTTTTGAGATGGAGTTTTGCTCGTCACCCACGCTGGAGTGCAATGGCCTGATCTCGGCTCACCGCAACCTCTGCCTCCAAGGTTCAAGCAATTCTCCCGCCTCAGCCTCCCCAGTAGCTGGGATTACAGGCGCCCACCACCACACCCAGCCTATTTTTGTATTTTTAATAGAGACGGGGTTTTGCCATGTTAGCCAGGCTGGTCTTGAACTCCTGACCTCAGGTGATCCACCTGCCTCAGCCTCCCAAAGTGCTGGGATTACAGGCGTGATCCCACTGTGCCCAGCCTGAGATGCACACTTTATTAATACACACACTCAAGCAGCAAGTAGAGAACAAGAGAGAGAGGGCAAGGGACCTGTGGACCAAAGCCTTTATTGCAGTATAGGGCATTATCCAAGCAGGTTTCCCACAGGGAGTTCTAATTAGAGGATTTAGGGCAAGCAGGTGCAGGTTCTATAGAGTTGAATGGTGACTGAAGTTAGTCATTGTAGCATATCTATGCAATGCAAGCAGTGTGTGGGTATGAGTAGAGTGAGTCAAGAAGTTTATATCTATCTGACCCATAGAGAGATGGTCACCAGGAGGTAGTTGTATAAGAAAGATCTGGATCGACCACATCAAGGAGCTCGAAGGCAGAGAACCGAAAACTGTCAAAGATGACTAAGAGTTTCTTCTAGTATTTGAAAGTGCAACTTATATTCAAAATAAATGCCACGGCAAAGGAAAATTATAGAGATTCACTACAGATGGCTGCTTAACTTTACTTTCAACCTATCTAACTTACACATTTAAAATTCGACTCCCTTCTAGTAAAGGTTTGATTGCACCCCACAAATCTCTCTATACAATATTGTATATACAAATTTGATATACAATACCATATTTTCTTTCTTATTCTTTCAAAATATTTATAAACTTTTCATTGTGATTTCTCTTGTGGCCATGGATTTTTAGGAAATACTTTTTAATTTTTTCAAATATATTTAGCCTCTTTTTTGTTATTTCTAGATTAAGTATGTCAGAGAATACACCTATAGTTTCAATTTTTTCTAAATTTTGCAATGTTTTATGATCCTAAATATGGGCAATTTCGGTAAAAATTCCATGCATGCTTTAGAAGAATGCACCCTGTAGTTGTGAGATGCAGTGTTCTACACGTGTATATTAGTGCAAATTGTCATCTTGACTGGTTTTTGTTTGTTTGTACCAGTAGAGGTTTATAGAAATATTCCACTATATTTATACATCTAACTACTTCTCATTATCTTCCTGTTAATTTTTGCTTTATATATTTTGTGACTGTTATTAGGATCACTTACATGGAGAATTGTTATATTTTTCCCATTATATTGAAATTTTCACTAACGTTCACGTGTCTCTCCTATCTCTAACGATGCCTTTTGTCTGAAAAATCTTTCTTCTGTATTACTAATATAGCCAAGCCAGCTTTATTTTGGCTAGTGTCTGCATGATACAACTTTTTCCATTGCTTTACTTTCATCATTTCATATTTTTCCATTTCAATGATCACTCTTATAAGCAACACACAGATGGGTTTTTTTCTAAATCCAGTAACATAATTTTCATCTTTTACTTGTACTGCTTAATTATTTACACTTGCTACTGTCATTGATAAATACATGTGTGCATGTGTCTATGTGTATATGTTATACTCAAGTCTATCACCTAATGCTTTTTCTCTTTTCTTCCATTCTTTTTTTAAATTTAGTATTTATTTTTCCATTTTGTCCTATGTAACCTCAGTAGTTATAAACTCTTCTCCTGTTAGGAATTACCATAGACATTAAACTATGTGTCTTTGACTTATTTAAGTCTAAAATAAATTAGAATTTTTATGAATTTCCCAATGATACAAGGTCCTTAGAGCCCTATGCCTATTTAACCCACTTGTGTCTTATATTATTTACAAATAATGTACATCTATATCTGTATCTATAAACTGAAGTAGTTATTATTTTTAATTCATATAATCAACTTTTTTTAGTCTTTTATTCTTCAGGGATATTTTTGCTGACAATACTATTTTAATAGCAATTATATAAAAATATATATATTTATATATAAAGTTATATATCATACGGCCTTATTGTAATTATATAAAATATATATAAAGCGATATATATAAAGCTATATATAATATATAATAAAGCTTTATGTTATTAAATATAAAATTTATATAATAAAGCTTTATATAGGTAGCTATATCCATATATCTGCTGATATATATAAATGTAATCTGCTGATATATATAAATATAATCTGCTGATACATATCTGGTTTTGTTTTTTTGCACTTTTACTATAATCTACTCAGATGTAATGTTGTTACTTTTATCATGCTTGAGCTTCAGAGGTTCTTGAATTTGTGCTATGATGTCTTTCATCAGTTTTGGAAAGTTTTCAGACATTGTGACTTCAAATATTGCTTGTACCATTTCTTCTCTTTTTCTAGGACTGTAATAACATATATGTTAAACCTTTTCACTATATCCTTTATGCCTCCTACTCCTTACTCTTACTCCTGTATTTTTTAATTATTTTGTTTCTTCATGCCTCATTCTGAGTAGCTTCTTCTGACATAACTTCTGGGTTATTAATTCTCTTTTATCTGTGTTTAATATGTTATTAAACTCATTCTTTGAGTTCTTAATTTCAAACATTATGTTTTTCAGTTTTATGATTTCCATTTTTATGTGAGTTCCCCATTTTTACTGAAAATCTCAGCCTTTTTTATTATATCTGCAAATAGTAAGCATAGTTATTTTTAAATCTTTCTTAAAACGCCACTATTGAGAATCACTGCATGTATGATTCTAATGTGTAATGTTTCTACTGATTTTCAATCATGTAGTCTTGTTCACTTGTGAGTTTAGTTATTTTCTTTTTTTATTGTGGCCAGATATTATACTGCAATATCCTTTGTAGAAATAATTTACCACCTAGGTTACTATTATCTTAGTGTGGAAAAGAATTAAATATAGGGACATTAGCAATCTGAGATTGCCAAAATTCAATTGCAGCAATTCAGATTATTCGAAACTGAACTATAGCCTTTGTGAGGGCCTCTTTCTGGTTCATCCTTATTCCTCAGATACAGCCATCTGGGGTCCAGACTCAAGGAGAGGCAGATTCACCAGAAGCCTACCTGGCAGTCCTGGCTTCAATTTCCTTTTCTCCTGTGTCTGCAAAGTGGTCAAAAGTGCTGCTTAACTTCTCAGCCTCTCAACTGCTCCCACTTGTGTGAGTAAACACCCACAACAGAGAAGCAGTGCCAAATCCTGGACCCACATTCCTGAATTTGTGCCTTCCTTCCAGATCCTACCCTGGTAATTTTTCATTATCTTGTTGGCTGTCTAACACTTTCCAGCAAAGTTTAAAAAGCAAATGTCTAGCTGTTTCAATTATTCTCATTAGGATATTTGGACAAAATGGCCTAACCTACTATCACCAGAAAATGGAGTCTAAAACTGCAGCCATCACCCAAGCTACCCCTGGTTTTAAGAGATAGCTGCCATTTTGCTTCTCCGTCTCTTTCTTGTGCTCTACTACAGCCATTCTCTCATAGGTTGCTATTGTAGGGTCTCAGTCTGTGGTCACTTTCCAGCCCAAAAAGTATTAAAGGATTTCTTATTGGGCTGTTTGCTGCTACCCACCAGTGGCTCTGAGAATAGCCTAGAAAATTGAAGGGAAATGCTAAACCCTAATTCTGTCCCATCTCACATGTGGATCAAAAAAGGCTTTTAAGATCACACAAATACACACACGTACTCTATATATGCACAGAACATACAACTTCTGAATGCTAAAAGGAGCTCTAATTTTCTTTACTGTTAGGTTCTCATATCATCATCCTGTATGAAGGACTCATCTTATTTGAGATGAATGCTACATTTCATAGGGAGGCACCAAACTAACAGAATATTCTAGATTTCTTGGAGAGACACAGGATCTTTTAGTGATTTATCTGAAACATTATCCTTAAAAGTAAAGAGTACAAGGCCTTTTGGATTTTTTGCGTTTTGATGTAAGAGTGAAGAACAGTTATAGAATATTTTTAGCTAGTCCTCAGATCTTGATAACTTTAATGTCACCCATGAGAACCCATTTCTAATATTAACGCGACTAGTCAATAAGCCACCATTTTTATAAAGAAAAACTTATCTGTAACATTCAGTTTGCTAGTTACTAAAATGCCTATTATCAAGTTCTGAGTGAATAACAGAAGCACATGTACTGACTGCATCTAGAATGGGCTTCTTGATTAGAATACTAAAAACCCCCTCCTTTTTCCCTCCCCATACCACTGCCCCAATTGTGCATCTTTGATTAGGGCATTAACAGGTCATTCCTAGACTCGACTCTGCAGTCTTGATTAAATGCTAGCAGCACTTGGGTTATACCTTGACTTAAGAGACATATATATAATATCATGTTGCACATACAGACATATTTCAAAGTAAATTACAGGCATTGTAACAGTAGGAAAACAGCTAACCCCGTAACTAGAACTTACTAAAGGGCAAAAGAGCTTTATTTTTTTCTCAGCTGTCAGTTCAACAACATTTCTTTTCCACTGGATCTTGGGAAAGCCTTTAGATGAAATTACATCTCAAGTCATGGTTTAAATTTCTTTTGTTACATGCTATATAATAGATTGAATCAGTACATATAAAAAAAACTTACTGAAATTTAAAAATATATCAATGCATATATACAAAATAGCCTCCTAATTGTAAAATAGACTCACTGACTCAGCATGTTGGCTTATTGCTGTGCCTCCTAGTTCAGTAATATTGTGGTTTAATGATAAATAGATGTACTTAAAGAAGAAAATCCTAGGTCATAGGGGTCCTAAGCACTGTTAGAGAAAACCTGAGCTGTCAATCAGGACTGCATTAGATTGCATATAGTCAGGAGCAAGAAGAGGTGAAGCTTTTAGATCCCTTTCAGCAGTTACTAAGAAAACAAGTGGTTCTCAAATTATAGTTCCTATATGGTGCTGGGAACCTCACCTTGAAACTGATATAAGAATGTTAAATATTGGCCCTATCTAGAGCTACTAAATCAGAAACTTAAGAGGTGGGACCCAGCAATCTTTGTTTTTAACAAGTCCTCCAGAAGATCTCAATACATGGTAGTATTTGAGAACCATCGTCTCAGACAATAAATATCTTCCCATTTATTTTTCAGTTTAAATATGGTCAGTCATTTGGCCTCCAACATAGCAGGTACTCAAGTATTCTATTATATTATTGATTCTTAGCAAATTTTGATACAAGAACATTGTGCTGCAATATTATTTCAAGGCTGGTAGACTCTCAGCTGGAGATGCTATGTTGTGTCAAAGGGCAACTGCCTGAGCACCTAAGGAGGTGTACTCAACTAATTCCAAGTGAGGTAGAGAAGGCATCCCAGATGGTATGGCATTTAAGATGATATTAAAGGGCAAGTAGCAGTTGGTAACTGGAAATCGGGAAAAGTCGTGCTAGGCAAAGAGAACTGCAAAAACAAAACATTATGGTTACACGCTTTCTCCTGTTTAGAAACTTAAAGAACAAAATGACTATATTTATCTCTATTTTTACCCCATGTCTAGCACTAATACTCTTACCAATGTTTATTAGTGTTTTTGAATGAGTAAATGAATAACAAAATCATTAGCACATACTAGCCTATAAAACTTCTGCTGCTATTGAAAACCTAAGGGACTGAAAGATTGCATCTGAGAAGTGATTAGCCATGGTCTCTAAACTTGTTTATTCTTATATCTTATCAAGTTTTTATTTAAATAATTGCTCATGGTTCCAAAATATATAACTCATTTAAATATATTTTATACACAAACTACTATACAAATAGTGACACACATTTTAAAACTTGCAGAAAATGAAAAATTTAGAAAAAGAAGTTTGAATGTTATTACAAAATAAACATTCATAGTACTTTTAATATTTTCCTTCACTTCAGTGCATAATCCCACATGAAGGTCATGACAGACACCTCTGGCATTGTAGAGAATGATCGTGGGAATCCTCTTCACTGCCAGCTCTGGGGTAGGCTGCACTGGTTGCCTAGTGCCATGCCCAGGAACATTGCCTGGCCATGGGCAGAAAGGATGAATGGTAATAGCACACCAAATCATGACTGTGCCCTCCAGAAAGATCACTCAGATTATGTAAATCACATTTGTAATGTATCTGTTATGAGCAAAGGGAAAGAAATGAACAGTATGTGCTCACTCACTATGAAGATAGAATAGTGTAATAGGGAAACAGAGTATAATAATATTAGTAGTAGGAGGAAACAAAGAAGTAAAATAAAATAATTGTTGAAAACACTGTTAACAAAACAATAGGAAAGCAAGATATTGTATGTGCATTCTCAATATAAAATTATATAACATGTCTTAATCTATTTGCCTTTCTGTCTCAGTCAGTGGAGAATGAATTATGACTAAGGCTTCTGCCCTAGAGAATCAAGGAAACTTAATTCATCACATTGGGTTCCAAGTGATTTTTGCATGTTAAAGAAGCACATAGAATGTTGACATCTTAATGTCCCTCACTGATGCTGACATTCTCTGAAGGTCACGTCTGTTCATTTATACTGTAGTCAAGGGCTGTGGATATGGCAGTAGCTGTAAAGGAAAGTGCTAAGGGAATGGTGGATGGATTATTATCTTTGCATGCTGAGGGCTGTCTTACTGATTATAATAAAGCAGTTTGGAGACAATACCTGTGCAACAACTGCTGAAATTGTCAGGTTTGGGCTATGTAAGCTGAGGCCAATAAGTGCAAAGTAAAAAGGCATCTGATTTCTGGGACTGGTGTGAAGAAGGTGAATATTGGAAGCAGCAGACTTTCAATAGGAAACTCCTAAATGTATCTGCTATGAAATCTCACAGGATGGGTTAAGATAGAAGTATTAGCAGAGGGCTGTCATGAGAGCAGAAGGCAAAGAAGCCAGGCATGCACAGGCAGAGAAGGTTTTTTGTAAAGGTGTACACAGCACAGCACGGCAAGGCTTAATGAATATTGTTGCCCATCATACTCATTGCTGCATGGGGACATAAGACCAAAACCACCAAACATAGCTTTTGCTGTTTTTGTCACATCCACATTTACAAATGTGCTAATTAAAGTACTACCCTAGAGGCCCTGAGGAGAGATGTTTTCGTCTTGTTTTGTGTCTCTTTTAATCTCCATTGGTCAGTATTTACGGAAAGCAAGGCTAAAGAAATTCCAGGCACTACATTGTTTTTATATTGAATTGAATTAAAATCTAATGGGAGAAGGCATTTATATCATCAAACATGAAGTACTGTTGTGAAATCACATAGCCTAAAAATACTCCAAGTGAGAATATTTCAGCCATCTTCTAACACTGGAGTTTCAAGGAGGGGAATCCTGTCTTGTTCCATAATAGTCTCATACTAAAAGAAGCTAAAATTATAGATATAATAGCTTCTCCCAAGGTATCATCCTGGTAATTAACGTAGTTGATTTTGCATAATGAATATTTAGGGTACCATACCTTCCTGAGATGTACAATCTACATCTCACTTATTATTTGCCCTTTCTGGACTACAAAATAAATAAAGTAGTGCTATGTTGATAGCTGCCAAATCATCAAAAATTAAATGTGGACAGTGAGGAGCCTCGGCGTATTAGCTGCCACATTGAAAATCACTGTCTTAGTCATTCAACAAATGTTTATTGATTGCCTACATTTTATACTCTCTGGCCAGGGGTGCCAAAATAGTACCTGGTAACCAATTGTTTTAGAATAAACTGGGAAGGTTTTAAAGGGATTGTTCAGAGCCCCATCCTTAAACATGCTGGTTCTAAAGGTAGAAGGTGATATATTAGGTATCTGTCTTGCATTTCAATAATTCTAGTGATTCAGATGCACGACCAGGTCTGGGAAACTCTACCCCAGAAAGTAGGAAGCTGAATCAGACACAATGCTGCCATGAGAAGCTTACAGTCTGTGTCTATATTCTGTCTATGTTGATATGCACCAGTGGCTTCATAAAGTCTTTTATAACTTCACACGTTGGGTTTTTTTTCCTCCTATATTCCAAAGGAATTTTATGGGACTTGGGATAATATTCATTATATGAGTTATATTGTGATAGAACAGTAATGATGTCATCAGATGTTGCTCAGCATTAATAAGCAGTGTGATCTGACTAATCACTCATGCTCTCTGTGTTGCATAATGTAGTCAGATTTTAACTATCTGCAAGTAAGTTAGTCCTCATGAAAGCATTATGCATCTCCATATGTTTATGGACACTTGCCTAAGTCAGTTTGTTTATATTCAAGAAATAAAAACATAATTTTAAGATTAAATGAAACATTATTGGCCTAAAGATCACATAAATAATTCCAAACCAAATCATGTTATTTTCAGATTTTTAAAATCTTGTATTACCGATACAGCTCCCTTTCTTCATATATATTAACATAGTTATATCTACATAAACATTAGAATTTATGTAGTCTATATGCCATAAATATTTTTACTATTTTAAGTGATATGAACGTCTTAGATGTTTTCATGCATTCACAAATTCTCTTTTCTCTTGTTAATAAAACAAGAGATTTAACTTGAATCTATACTATTTATGCTGAATACTTCCGTAATAGAATAATCTGCATCTCTGATTCTAGAAAAATTCTCCTAAAATGTTTTTCACATTTTATAGTTGCTAGTCTTATGACAACATAGGAAAAGTAAAGATAATCCTATACGCTTCTACACTAAAACACACCCCAATTTTAGTTACGTGATATATTTATTTATAACAATTATAAAATTATTTAATATCATTACATAACTTGTAAAGACTTTAAATTTTTACTGACACTATGTGTAACACTCTTGATTAAGAGCTTTAAGTTGGTTGCAGACAAGAAATTAGAGAGATTAAAAATAATGCAACATATATTTTACTCTCATTGAGTTTACAGTACTGTAATAAATACAGACATGAATATAAATAACATATGACAGTGAGTGGAAAAATGGAAGAAAAGTAGAAAATGTAGCTTTAACATGAAATCGTACAACCTTAACTTGCTAATATGAAATATTATTATGTGCCCTTCTAGTATAATTCTTAATTATAAGCAGTCTTACTTTTGCCAAGGGAATGAGATAAAGAGACTTCTTTAAAGGCCAGAATTGGTTAAGTTAGATGGGCAAGAGGTCTCTGGGGATTTGTTCTAAAGATACAAGAGCAGCCCAGGTGGAGGGATGCCTATAAATCTCTGAGATCTCTCTGTCTGTTCCTCTGTCTGTCTCTCTCTCTCTCTCTCCCACACACATGCACACAACTGACAAAAGAAAATGGACTATCCTAATACCTCTTCTGATGGAGTTGATCAGTTTAGACATCCTCGTTCCATATCCACCTGGCTTGTCTTTTAGCTTCACTCTTTTCCTCAAAATGGATTTAAGCTTTTTTTCTTTCAGTGTTTGTAGTTCATTTAAGTTCATTCTTGTCGTGCTAACAAGAATTCCTTTCCTTCTTAAAATTTTGCTCTGTTTTGGTGGAATTGTGTTGTGGACTAAATAAGATCTTTATAAAGAATAATAGAAACTGCTGGGCGTGGTGGCTTATGCCTGTAATCCCAGCACTTTGGGAGGCCGAGGTGGGTGGATCACGAGGTCAAGAGATCAAGACCATCCTGGCCAACATGGTGAAACCCTGTGTCTACTAAAAATACAAAAATTAGCCAGGCGTGGTGGCGCGCACCTGTAGTCCCAGCTACTTGGGAGGCTGAGGCAGGAGAATTGCTTGAACCCACGAGGTGGAGGTTGCAGTGAGCCGAGTTCGCACCACTGCACTCCAGCCTGGCAATAGAGTAAGACTCTGTCTCAAAAAAAAAAAAAAGAGAGAGAGAGAGTAATAGAAACATGTAATAAAAGTAATAGCAAATGATAGCAGTACCTAAATAAATGTGTACCCATATTTGAGGTTAGCTGAGATATTCAAACAGCTGTTGTTTTTAAAAATTTTAAAGCCATATTCACTGTGAGCTTTAGCTCTTCTCAGTACTGTTGTTCATTACCAGAAGTTCCCTAAAATAAGAAATTGATATTACTTAAGGTTTAAGCAGTGTTATTTTTTTAAAGCAGAAATCAAATGTCAAAATAAATCCAAATGGATAAATCCTATCTTAATCGTGAGCATATGTTTCTTGTTCCCTGCTTGCTAAACCCAGATGTTAATTACTACATTTGTGACGACATTGCTCTTTTCTTATTTGGAGCTAGCTGAGATTATGTTGCACGCAGGATAAATGTCATATGTGTACCATCAGTAAAGCCAAGATTACTTTACACAGTCTACTAAAATGTTGATGACATTTTAAACTAGAATTGTAAAGGATTCTTTAAAAGTTCACTATTCTTCATAGTGTCATTCTTCCATGTAACTCTAATATGAATATAGTGGGTGGAACTACATTAAAGACTGGACATTCTGACACACTGCTTTATAAAAAAAGCAATAAAATAAAATTACTGTTCAACTTTGATTTAAAACTCTTATGGAAATTCGTTTTTAAATTCACATTTTTACAGCACTTCATCGTGTTTGAGAGAGACAGATTTAGCTTATTGTTTTAACTCACTAAAGCTAAATCTTGCAGCCAATTCTAGATGTTGGCTGACCAGTTAATAAATGGGAATGCTCACTGAGCTGTTTTTAGAGAAAGAAAAAATTGATCTTGCTGTTATATTACATTACTTCTGGCCTTTGCAAGTACTTTAACTCTGTAGTCTTTGATAACAAGAATATGTTCAGATGACATAGGAAAAGCACTTAGGTTTTAAGTAACTTTGAATTGATCAACTCTCTGAAAAAATCAATCATATTAAATTGTAAATGACAACATAATTGGCAAACAAAGTATCTGAACTTAAACTGTAAACTGATGAAGATTTTAATTTAAAATTATTCAGTTGGGTTTCAAATTTGTTCTTTATTGATTGCACTGTTAAATTTAAAAGCACATTATTAGACATTGAAAATCCTATATTAGATAAACATATCTACTCTGACAGTGAAAAAAATACATACATAAAACCTCATAGAGCATTTCATTTAGCTTAACACATTTAGCTGAGTCATTGATACCAAAGGACAGTAACTTTAGATCCCCTAAGAAAAATCCCAAACGTTTATTTATTTATTCACCAAATATGTAATGCTCTACATAGGAGAAGTGTTCCAAATATCTAACAACTCTTAGTGCACAAGCACTGACCTAGTCAGGATGATTGCCAACCACTAATGTGCCTTTATGGACTGACAAGCTTGCACTGGCTGAACATTTACTGTGATGGCAAAAACTTGGGAATGGAGAGTGGGGCAAGAAGGAGTTTGAATCTAAACCCACTACATTTGAGTTGCCTATAAGGCTTCCAGAGACGTCAAGTAGGAAGGTGGATTCATGTATCTCAAGTTTAGGGGGGAAGTTAGGCTGGAAATACTGATAATGCAGTTGTCAGCAAATAATTGATTATCAAAGGCATGAGACAGGATAAGATTACTTAGGGTGAGAGTGTAAATATGAAAAAGAAGCAGTCTGAGGACTAGACTGTGCAGAACCCCAATTTTAAAGCTTGAAGAGATACAGGAGAATCAACAAAGGAGGCTGAGCAGGAGCAACCAGTTGGACACCAGAAGACTGTGGTGCCTGGAATTTCAGAGAAAAGCATATTTCAAAGAAGAAGGGATAATGAGCTGCGTCAAATGCTACTGATGGTCAAAAATTGAGAATTGACCACTGGATTAAGCAAAAATGGGTATGATTAGTGAAATGAAGAAAAACAGTTTCAAAGCAGGCTGGACAGGATGGCCAGCTAGAAGCAGCTAGTGTGCATAGCTCTCATGGAGAGAAATAGAAGGGGCAAGGAAATACAGCACCTGCGATTGAAGCATCCGGGCTCACACATTGGGATTCATCAAGAAAACGAGTCAACCCACAGAGAATGGAGAAAAGCAACAACTGCCCACTCAGAAGTAACACAGAAACAGGGGAACCTCCCCAGCCCAGGGAAATGGTAAGTGAGTGAGCAAACCCCAGGAACCACAGTTTTCACATGGATCTTTGCAACCCTTGGGTCAGGAGATCCCCTGGTGAACCCACTCCACCAGGGCCTTCAGTCTGACAGACTGAGCTACGTAGAATCTTGGCGGAGCGGCCACTAAGACACACGTGAAGCACCAGGAGCTTTAGATACCGGGCTTCCTAGCAAAAGTGGCTGCAACTCTGCCAAAGCGAAAGGTTAGACTCCTATACATACACCTAAGAAAGGGGCTGAATCCAGGGGGCTGAGCAGCAATGGTGTGCAGGCTCCGCTTCCACAGAACCTGGCAGGATGAGACCCACTGGCTGAGAATTTCAGTCAGTCACTACGGTAGCAGCATTACACCTCCCTGAGACAGAGCTCCCAGAGGGAGGGGTGGGCTGCCATCTTTGCTGTTTTGCAGCCTTAGCAGTTACTGCCTTCAGTGCAGCCACCCTAAGAAAAAGCAGTCAGACTGCTTTTCTTTTTTATGTGGGACCCTGACCCCTCTTCTCCTCACTGGGCAAGGACCTCCCAGCTGGTATCACCAGCCACTCTCACCCAGTGTTTTCTAATTGGCAGTGGTTCCAAGCCTCTCTGGGATGAAGCTCCCACAGAGAGGGACAGGCTGCCATCTTTGCTCTTTCACAGCTTTAGCTGTTGTTGTTTTCAGGTGCTAGAGAGTCCGGGGTGACTTTAGGCTGGAGCAGTCCCGTGGCACAGCACAGCAGCTCTGTGGAGAAGCAGCCAGACTGCTTTTTCATATGGATTCTGAATCCTATTTCTCTTCACTGGGCAGAATCTCCTGACTGAGGTCTACAACCACCCCTGTCAGTGTGTTCAGGCCAGCAACAAGTCCATACCTCCCTTGGATAGAGACAGAGCTCCCAGAGAGAAGGGCAAGCCACTATATTTGCTGTTTCAAAGCCTTTGCTGTTGCTACCTTCACTGTAGGTGCTGAAAAATCCAAGGTGACTGGGGACTAGAGCAGACCCCCAGCATACTGCAGCCCTACAGAAAAGTGGCCAGACTGTTTGTTACATGGGTCCCCAGCCCTGTATCTCCTCAGTGGGTGGGTCCTCCTGGCCTGAGTCTCCAGCATCCCTCGTTAGGAATATCGAGACAGTAACAGCTCTGCAAATCCCTGAGACAGAGCTCCCAGTGGGAGGGGTGGGTTGCCACCTCTGCTGTTTTGCAGCCCTTGTCCTGCTGTCTCCAGGCTCTGGAGAGTCTGTGGAGATCAGGGGCTGGTCCAGACCCCCAGCACAGAGCACCCACCACACAGAAAAGTGGACATACTGTTTGCCACACAGGTCCTGGTCATCACTTCTTACTAGGCAGGGCTTCCCAACCTGGGACTGCAGCACAACTACCCTTCCCCTGCCTAACCACTTTAATCAGAGGCAGCCCACCAGTTAAAGGAACACCCACATTCAAAGATAAGAAAAAAAAAAATGCAGGAGCTCCAGCAACTCAAATGGCCAGTTATGTCCTCCAAATGACTGCACTAGTTCTCCAACAAGGGTTCTTAACTAGGCTGAGTTGGCTGGAATGACAGAAATAGAATTAAGGATATGGATAGGAACAAAGATCATTGATGCTCAGGAGAACAGCAAAACCCAACCCATAAGAATCACAATAAAATAATACAGGAGCTGACAGATAAAATAGACAGTTTTTTAAATAGACAGTTTTTTTGTTTTTTTGTTTTTTTTTTTGAGACAGAGTCTCGCTCTGTCGCCCAGGCTGGAGTTCAGTGGCGTGATCTCGGCTCACCACAAGGTCCACCTCCCGGTTCACGCCATTCTCCTGCCCCAGCCTCCTGAGTAGCTGGGACTACAGGCACCCGCCACTGTGCCCAGCTAATTTTTTTTTTTTGTATTTTTGGTAGAGACAGGGTTTCACTGTGGTCTCGATCTCCTGATCTCATGATCCGCCTGCCTTGGCCTTCCAAAGTGCTGGGATTACAGGCATGAGCCACCATGCCTGGCTAAATAGACAGTATTTTTAAAAACCCTAATAGATCTGATAAAGCAGAAAAACATGCTAAAAGTATTTTACGATACAATTACAAATATTAACAGCAGATTAGACCAAGCTGGGGAAAGAATTTTGGAACTTGAAGACTGGCTCTCTGAAATAAGACAGTCAGACAAAAGTAAAGAGAAAAAGAATGAAAAGAAACGAACAAAACCTCTGAGACATATGGAATCAAGTAAAGAAGCCAAATCTATGAATTATTGACATCTCTGAAGGAATCGGGAGAAAGCAAACAACTTGGAAATATATTTCTGAATATAATCAATTGAAAACTTCCCCAACATTGCTAGAGAGGAAAACAATAAAACTCAGTAAATATAGAGGACCCCTGCAAGATTCTACAGAAGATAATCATCCCAAGACACATAACTATCAGATTTTCCAAGATTGAAATGAAAGAAAAAATATTAAAAGGAGCTAGAGAGAAAGGGAAGGTCACCTACAAAGGGAACACCATCAGGCTAACAGTGGACCTCTCAGCAGGAAATCTATAAGCCAGAAGAGGCTGGGGGCCTGTATTCAACATACTTAAAGAAAAAAAATCTTCAACCAAGAATTTTATATGAACCAAATTAAGCTTTCTCAGTGAAGGAGAAATAAGATCCTTTTCAAATAAGCAAATGCTGATGGAGTCCGCTACCACCAGACCTGCCTTACAAGAGATCGTGAAAGGAGCACTAAATATAGAAAGGAAGCATTATTATCAGATGATACAGAAACACACTTAAGTACACCGACCAGTGACACTCTAAAGCAAACACACAAACAAGCTGGCATGATAACCAGCTAACAATACAATTACAGGATCAAATCCACATGTAACAAAACTAAACTTGAATGTAAATGGGCTAAATACCACATTTAAAAAGAGTGGTCAACTGGATAGAAAAGCAAGACCCAGTGGTATGCTATCTTTAAGAGTCCCATCTCACACACAGTGACACAAATAGACTCAAAATAAAGGGATGGAAGAAAATCCACCAAGCAAATGGAAATCAGAAAAAAAAAGCAAGAGTTGTAATCCTAATTTCCAACAAAACAGACATTAAACCAACAAAGATAAGAAAAGAAAAAAAAAAGAGAAGGGCATTACATAATGGTAAAGCATTGAATTCAACAAGAAGACTTAACTATCCTAAACATATATGCAGCCAACACAGGAACACCCAGATTCATGAAGCAAGTTCTTAGAGACCTACACAGAGATTAGACTCCCACACAATAATAGTGTGAGACTTCAACACTCCACTGACAGTACTAGACAGATCATTGAGGCAGAAAATTAACAAAGATGTTGAGGACCTGAACTCAACATTGGACCAAATGGATCTAACAGACGTCTTTGGAATTCTCCACCCAAAAACAACAGAACATACATTTTTCTTATTGCCACATGGCACATACTCTAAAATCAATCACACAATTGGACAAATAACAATGCTCAGCAAATTCAAAATAACCAGAATGATACCAAACACTTTCTCAGACCACAGCAAAATAAAAATAGAAATCAAGACTAAAAATATTGCTCAAAACTATGCAATTACATGGAAGTTAAACAGCTTACTCCTGAATGACTTTGGGGTATACAATGAAATTAAGGCAGAAATCAAGAAGTTCTTTGAAACTAATAAGAACAAAGTTACAACATACCAAAATTTCTGGGACACAGCTAAAGCAGTGTTAAGAGGGACATTTATAGCTCTAAACACCCACATCAAAAAGTTAGAAACATCTCAAATTAACAACCTAACATCACAACTAAAAGAACTAGGGTATCAAGAGCAAACCAACCCCAAAGCTAGCAGAAGAGTAACCAGATAAGAAATGACCAAGCAATATGAAATAACCAAAATCAGAGCTTAACTGAAGGAGATCAAGACACAAAAAACCTCAAAGAATCAATCAATCTAGGAGTTAATTTTTTGAAAAAATTAGTAAGATAGATAGGCCATTAGCTAGACTAACAAAGAAGAAAAGAGAGAAGATCCAAATAAACACAATTAGAAATGACAAAGGGGACATTACCATTGACCTCACAAAAATACAGACAACCATCAGAGACTTACTTATGAGCACCTCTATGCGCACAAACTAGAAAACCTGAAAGGGATGGATAAATTCCTGGACACCATCCCAAGACTGAACCAGGAAGAAATTAATTCCCTAAACAGGCCAATAATGAGCTCTGAAATTGAATCAGTAATAAATAACCTAGTAACCAAAAAAAGCCCAGGATCAGAAAGATTCATAGCTGAATTCTACCAGATGTTTAAAGAAGAGCTGTAAAATTATTACTGAAACTGTTCCAAAAAATTGAGAAGAGACTTTTCCCCAGTTCATTCCATGAGGCCAGCATCATCCTGATACCAAAGCCTGGCAGAGACACAACAAATAAAGAAAACTTCAGGCCAAAATAACATTGATTCAAAGATTCTCAACTAAATATTTGCAAACCAAATCAGAAGCACATAAAAAAGCTAATTCACCACAATGAAGTAGGCTTCATCCCTGGGATGAAAGGTTGGGTCAACATATGCAAATCAATAAATGTAATTCATCACACAAATAGAACTAAACACAAAAACCACATGACTATCCCAATAGATGCAGAAAAGGCGTTTGATAAAATTCAACATCCCTTCATTTAAAAAAACTCAATAAACTAGATACCAAAGGAACCTATCTCAAAATAATAGATGCCATCTATAACAAACCCACAGCCAACATCATACTGAATGGACAAAAGCTGGAAGCATTCCCCTTGAAAATCCGCACAAGTTAAGGATGTCTTCCCTCATCACTCCTATTCAACATAGTATTGGAAGTCGTGGCCAGAGCAATAAGGCGAGAGAAATAAATAAAGGGCATCCAAATAGGAAGATAGGAAGTCAAGCTATCTCTGTTTGCAAATGGCATGATACTATATCTCAAAAACCCCATTGTCTCAGCCCAAAAGCTCCTTAAGCTAACAGACAACTTCAGCAAAGTTTTGGGATACAAATCAACATACAGAAAGGAGTAGCATTCCTATACACCAACAAAGTCAAGCCAACAGCCAAATCAAGAATGAAATCCCTTTCATAATTGCCATAAAAAGAATAAAATACCTAGGAACACAACTAACCAGAGAGGTGAATGATCTCTACAATGAGAATTACAAAACACTGCTCAAAGAAATCAAAGATGACACACAAATGGAAAAACATTCCATGCTCATGGATAGAAAGATTAATATCATTAAAATGGCCATACTGCTCAAAACAATTTACAGAGTCAATGCTATTCCTGTCAAGCTACCAATGACATTCTTCACAGAACTGGAAAAAACTATTTTAAAATTCATATGAAACCAAAAACCAACAACAACAATAACAACCAAACAAAACAAAACAAAACAAAACAAAACAAACACCTGAATAGCCAACCCAATCCTAAGCAAAAAACAAAACTGGAGGCATCATGTTACCCAACTTCAGAACTATACTACAGGGAGACAGTAACTAAAACAGCATGGTACTGATTAAAAAAAAAAAGACATATATATCAATAGAACAGAATAACGAGCCCAGAAATAAGGCTGCACACCTATAGCCAACCGTTTTTTGACAAACCTGACAAAAGCAATGGGGAAAGCACTCCCTATTCAATACATGCTGCTGAGATAACTGGCTCACCATACGCAGAAGACTGAAACTGGACCCCTTCTTTATGCCATATACAAAATCCACTCAAGATGGTATAAAGACTTACATATAAAACCCAAAACTATAAAAGCCCTAGAAGACAACCTAAACAATACCACTATGAACATAGGAACAGGCAAAGATTTCATGATGAAGACACCAAAATCAATCACATCAAAAGGAAAAATTGAGAAATGGGATCTAATTAAACTTAAGAGCTTCTGCACAGCAAAAGAAATAATTAACAGAGTAAGCAGAAAACCTACTGAATGAGAGAAAATACTTGCAAACTATGCATCTGACAAAGGTCTAATATGCACATCTATAAGAAACTTAAATTTACAGGAAAAAAAACAACCCCATTAAAATGTGGACAAAGGACATGAACAGACACTTTTCAAAAGAAGACATACATGTAGCCAAGAAGCATAGGAAAAATTACTCATATCACTGATCATTACAGAAATGCAAATCAAAACCAGTGAGGTACCATCTTACACCAGTCAGAATAGCTATTATTAAAAAGTCAAAAAATAACAGGTGCTGGAGAGGTTATGGAGAAAAAGGAATGCTTATACACTGTTGTTGGGAGTGTAAATTAGTCCAGCCCATTGTGGAAAGCAGTATGGTGATTCCTCAAGAAGCTAGAAAGAGAACTACCACTTGACCTAGCAATCCCATTACTGGATATCTACCCAAAGAAATATAAATCATCCTATCATAAAGACACATACACGTGTAGGCTTATTGCAACACTATTTACAATAGCAAAGAAATGGAATCAACCTAAATGCCCTCAATGGCAGGTTGGATGAAGAAAATATGGCACATATACACCATGAAATGCTATGCGGTCATAAAAAAGAGCAAGATCATGTCCTCTTCAGGAACATGGATGGAGCTGGAGGCCACTATTCTTAGCAAACTAATGCAGGAACAGAAAACCAATTACCAAATGTTCTCATTTATAAGTGGGAGCTAAATTATGAGAACACATGAACACAAAGACAGGAACAACAGATACTGGAGTCTACTTGAGGGTGGACGATAGGAGGAGAGAGAGGATCAGAAAAAATAACTACAGGGAACCCATATAACAAACCTGCACATGTACCTGTGAGCTTAAAAGTTTTTTAAAAAAAGAAAGAAGATTAAAGTTTTAATCAGGAGATCTATTTATGGATCTATTAATAAATTAGATATGATTTTAAAATTAAAAAAAGGAAAAGAAAAACAGTGTGATGGGAATGTTAGGAACAAAAACTTGATTGGAATTGCTTAAGGGAGAATGTAAAGAAAGGAATTTGAGATAGAAAGCAGAAAGCAATCCTTGCAGGAGCTTTGCTCTAAAGATGAAAGAGTGTGCAGAGAAATGTAGGTCAAGATTTTTCTTTGTTAAAATAAATTATAGCATCTTTATGAATTCCAGTGACCTAAGACCAGTAGGCAAGTGTGTTAACAAGAGGTAGAGGGCAGTATAGTCAGTAGACATGCTATTCAAATCAGGGCATTTTTATGAAGGAAGGAAAAATAGAGGTTAGAGGAGCAAGTAAATACAAAGAGGATGCCTACCCCACCTTCTTCTGGGACAAGGATTATTAAGAAAATGAGAGGGAACACAGATACCAATTCAGAGACTTAAAGGGGAAGAAGAATGGAGCACTCAGAGAATACAATTTGTTTAGCACATAAGGAATTTTGCCCATGGCATTCTCCAAGGCTAATTGCTGTCTTTTCTTTTTTCCACAATGCTCCATTTTCATCTTTCTTAAAACAAACAGGATTGTAATGCTTTTCTTCTTTACATTGATAAATAGGTCAAACTAGCCTTAAGCTAGAAGAGGAATGTCCTCTAGGTTCCCTATGAAATTCTCTCTTGCTCTCTCCTGCCTGTACCCCATCAGCACTCTTCACTTCTATAGTCCATTTTCAGTGGTTACATAAGTGAGCCTGGACTTGGTAACCACACAGTCCCAGTTGTGTTTGTACTGATTCCAAACAATCATTTATTCTCTCTGGTATCCAACTTTCTCATTTATAGTATACAGTAGTTAAATTCAGAGTTTTTTTTTTTTTTTCACCTGGGAAACTACAACCACTTGAGGAATTAAGCAGAAAAGAAACGTTCTTCATAATGTGAGAATCTTCTAGGTATTTCAGGACACTTAGGATAAGTGACATTGCCCATTAATTTCTAGTTGTATCCTCCAGTCCTTGACACAGCCAAAAGGATGGCCACATACTTTCCGAACACCTCATATTCCAGGATTGATAGATATAATATGGGTTACCCAGGTAAATTTGAATTTTCCATAAACCATAAAGTTTTTAGTAAAAGTATGTCCAAAATATTGTATGGGTACCCTCTGTTTTTATTACTCTAGCTGGTAACCCTACATATGGGGAACCCTCCTGCATACATCGTAGACTATGTGAAAATGGCCCCTTAGAGTTGTGCGGTATCCAACCTACACTACTAAATGTGGCAACACTGCTTAGAGGTCAATACCAGTGGAGAACACCGGCATAGGTTATTAATGAGAGCAAATGTAGCACTGATAATTCTATAAATCTTCAGACTATCTATTGGTGCAATGTGAAAAAAAGCTGTGGGAGGCATACATATAAGCAAAGTCAAGTCTCAGAAAATTTAAAAGTTGATCATTTTGAGATCCAGTAATATTACTTTTTGTACCTTCTTCATCTCTTTTATTGATTTATCCCTCTCTTGACTCTGGATCTTGTTTGTTTATTCCCAGGAGAGAAAATAACCTTGTTACAATAAGAAGTTAGTATTTAGTCATCCACACCCAGAATTATAAATGAGGACTTGAAGGATATGACGGTGTAAACACAAGGGAATAATTAGCTAGTAGTGACATTTCAGACACCAATTGGAAAGATTTCTTTCCTACTATTGAAGTTTAATAACCATTGGATGGTGAGGTCAAAATGTCACCAAAGAAAAGTAATTGACTAGTTGTCAAAAGGCCAAAGAAGGTCAAATTTCCTTAAACAGATTCTGCAGTCTGAGGTTTGATTTTATGCTTTCAAAATAAAAAATCTTGACTCTGTCATCTCCTTGAATATGAGTCCATTTCTTAAAAGTAGACTTCTATTAAACAAGTTCACAAGAGATCAATTCACAGATGAAAATTGGCAACTGACTAATTTACAATGATACATAGAAGAAAATTGGTGACTAATTTACAATGATGCATAAACTGCTGTGCAGATAAGAATACCTGCATTTGAAACTGATGTATTCTACATTTGAAGACAGACATCAGTTTGTTTCTGTTAACTAGTATTTATTGAAAGAAACACTGTTTTATTGAAGAGGAGCATAAGGGAATAAGTCACAATCTCTGTACTTGTATTTTACTAATATTAACAAGAGTGAAGAAAAGAGAACATGACAAACCCTGGGCAAATGGGTGGATAGGGGCAGAAAAGAAAGAGAAAGGAAAATATAGGAAGACAAGGAAGTGAGAGACCATGACACATTTGAGAAAGTAAATATAATTCAGCAAAGGTAAGCATTAAGCACCAGATGAGAAAGGGTGAGAGAAGAACATAGGGAAATGAGCAAGATCCCAGTCAAGAGCAGTCTTACAAGCTTTGTTCAGCAGTTGGTCTGTTTCCTAAGAGTAATGCAGAATCACTACAGGTTTTAAGCAGTTAATTATTAGATTTTCATTTTGAAAGATCTGTTGAGCAATTGTGTAGAGACTGGATTGGATTAAAGGGTAGCAAGATAAGTATAAAGGGCCCAAGATAAGCATTAAGGCTATAACATAGATGAGAATTGATGATGTTGGAACTAGATGATATTAGTATACCTGGAAGAAGATGAATAGGTGAGCTATTTAGCAGGTACAATCGACAGGATTTAGCAATTAATTTTATGTATGGGGTGAGGAGAACAGAGAGTCCAAGTAGGTACACTCTATTGTGAGCATGGACATAGGAGAAGCAGCAAATTGAGGTGAAGGAAAGGAAAAACTATTTAGTGGTACACTTTTGTGGTTTGATTTGTGCTTAGAAGAGTCAAGTGAACCAGTGAAAAGATATTTTGAGATAGAAGGCTTAGGTTTAGGAGACAAATCTGGAATAAATGTTTAGATTTATGCATCATTATAGATGTCACCAAAGACCATAATATTACCCAGAAAGGATACATTAGAGTAATAAGAGAGATGGGCCTAGAAGTGAGAAACACTTAAACTTAAATCACAAGCAAAAGGAAAAGGAGTCCACAAAAAAGTCTCAGAAGTGATGGCAATAGAAAGGGAAGACAGTCACTTGGGAGAACATGTAATATAAAAGCAAAGACAAGACAGAATTCACTAAAAATGGAATAGCTATATCATGACAAAGGAAATTCCCATTGGTTTTGAAATATATATGTATGTAGTTTTTAAGAGAGGGCTTGTTAGAGAAGATAATTAGAGCATTTTTCAGAGGACATTTAGTGGCAGAAACCTGAATGTAGTTGATCATAAAGTGAGTAGAAATTGAAGAAGTGGAATCAGTGTGAGTGCAGACAATTCTTCCCATAGGTTTGTTTGCATCAGGGAAGAGAAAAATAACACACAATTTGCAAGGGGCATTAATGACAAAATTCGATTTATGTGTGAGTATATTTTGGGTGGTTTGACTCACCTGTTTGTTAGTTTTTAAAATTGACAGAATTGACCATATTTTATGTTGATGAGGAAAAACGGAAGAAGAGTGAAGTGGCTAAAATATAGATGGGAATCTTCTACAAGGTTCCTGAGGAGGAACTAATAGAATCCAGGACACAGGTAAAGGGTTCAGCATTAGATGGTTTGCCAGGGCTGCCATAACAACCTACTATAAATTGGGTGACTTAAACAACAGAATGTTATTGTTTCACAGTTCTGGAAGCTAAAAGTCTGATATAAAGATGTCTGTAGGGTTGGTTCCTTCTGATGGCTATGAGGAAAGAATCTATTCCAGGTCTTTCTCCTTGGTTTGTAGATGGTCATCTTCTTCCTATGTCTCTTCACCTTGTCTTCCTTCTATGAGTGTGTCCACATTTCCTCTTTTTATAAAGACACCAGTCAATTGGATTAGGGGCCCACTCTACTCAAGTATTACCCCATCCTAAGTTAGCTAATTACATCAGCAATGACCTTATTTCCAAATAATATCATGTCCTGGAGTACTGGTTATTAGAACTTTAAGATACGAATTTGGGAGGGGGAAATAATTCAACTATGACAGAGGGAAAGACACATTTTTTTTTCCATTGTAAGCGGATGGAAAGCTGTGTGTCTGTAGATTTTATGGCAGGAAGTTTAGGAATTTCCATCTGCCTTTTATTTTCTTGGAAGTAGAGACAGTCATTAGCAGAGAAGGAGTCAGAGTTGGAAGTTAAAGTCTCCTGGGGAAGAGTAGAAAAAGCCATTGGACAGAGTGAGAGAAAAGAACAGGGAGGCTGTCAGGCAGCTTTGACAGCTACTATGGCATCAGCCTGTGAAAGGTAGTCCAGGGAAATAATCAATTATTCTTTGGTGCCCTTTAGATAATAATGTAAGATCTCATGGAGAGGACTACTTTGGTCATATAGTAGCTTCCAACAAAATGTATGCCAGTTTTACTAAGGAAAAGCTGTTCTCAGACTTCCCAGTTAGCCATTCATTTGGAGATCAGGTTAAATGTCAATTTGTGATTATCACTATTTAAAAGAGAAGCATGCATCTCTGTACATAGTAAAATTATTTATAACTGAAATTTTTATTAAAGTAATATAATCTGTTTTCTCCACTTAATTGTGTTCTAAAGAGAGAGAATACCTTATGCATCTTTCTGTCTTGATATATCCCCTGATTCTCTCTCTTTAGAAAACAATTAAGTGGAGAAAACAGATTATATTACTTTAATAAAAATTCTAGTTATAAATAATTTTACTATGTACAGAGAACCATGCCTCTCTTTTAAATTCCTCAGTGCTCTGAGTGTAGTCAGTACTCAGCGAGTATTCCTAGAATTGAACCTTGAGTAGTAGTGGTTACTCACTAACTGAGCCTGTCTGTCCCACTCACAGTAATTTTTCTCAGAAAGGCCATCCAAGGATACACCTTGTTTTCGAAAATTGAGATGTGAAATGCATGCATATTTGTAAAATTCAAGAATGTGGACATTTATGATGAGGTCCAAGAGCAGAGCACACTTGAACCTCTTGAAGAAATGGAAAGTAATCTGACCTTCAGTCACACAAAAGTTTAGTTTAACTTAATGGTAAGATGATAGCACTGACTTAATTAACCTTTCTAATATACTTTCTCTCTATTTGTAGAATCTATAACAGGTATCTATTTTAAAATGATATATATGGCAATTTTATGTAATAATGAATAGCAGTAACAAATATAAGAAATAAAGAAATATTATGTTTCATTTTGTTTTTCAGAGTGATTGTGTACTTAGCTTTTTCCTCTCTGAGGCTGTGCAACAAACAGTTGAAGAATCATCACCTGTGTACCTAGGTAAGTAAATTTGTCATTATATTACGTACAGTGATTTTCAAAATAATTGGACAAAAAGATATCACAACTAATTTTTTTCAATTTTTCAATTAAAATCTCTTTTTAAGAGTAAGACTTTAATACTCTTTTCTAACCATTTCCATAGCGTAAACTTGAATAATCCAGATTTTGAAAAAATAAAACATGAGGTTGTAGAATTCTAGAGGTGTGGGGCTTTGATGAAAGGTTGACTCTATTTTGTCACTAGTCTCTCAAGAAAATTGTTTCTCTGTGTTTCAAGAAATTAAATTGCAGACCACTGTCAAATCTTTTTTATTTTGATTATAATATTATTTCTTTGAAAGGTGTTTTGAAATACATTTGCACACATTAAAAATTTAGGATTATTATTGCAAAAACTAAAATGGTTGAGAACTTTTTTTATTTCTTACATCATAGAATATTCAAGATTTGTTTCAACAGTGATGAGTGACAAAAGATTTGATTCTCAATACATTTAGATTATCGGCTACATATTAAATATAATCTATTATCTTAAAACAACAGAATACATATTTCCTAGCACAATATGCAAACTAATATAATAAGCAAGGATTAGCAGGAAGTTATTCCTTCTTGTGCTAATCAAATTATTTTCTTTTTCATGTTTTTGAATTCTTAATTCTTTTGTCACAGAACATTAGCTGGTTGTAAGCAAGAAGCACAATATTTATTTTAAGCACTATTCCTGGCTGTTAGTTGAAAATAGGTGTATGTTGTTAAATGATTACAGGGTGAAATCATTCGAGTGTATTAAAGTGTTGGTTAACCTAGGAAAACATTAAGCAAAAAACTCAGATTTCACTAGTTTACTACCTCTGCAAGTTAATTAAGAGGGTGGATTCCAGATACCTGTGTATCTAGGCACCTGACTTAGAAAAATAATAGTAATATTTAACTCTAAATCTGGGAGATACTAATACTCTTTGCCTTTACTCACTAACTAAACATGCCTTGGGAGAACAATTGAGGAATTTAAGGAATTTATTTTTTTCAAATGCCAATTCAATCATCTCTCTTCTCTAGTTAAACCTTCTCTTTGGCTTCTGATTGCCCTTAGGCAGGGCCAGCTGTATCCACTTGTGACCTGCACAGTCACACAGGGCAGGGTGCTTAAAAAGTTCTTGCACTTGATTTAATACTCTGCTGCCACTGTCTTGAAATTCTTAATAAGTTTTGAAAAATCATCCCCACATTTTTATTTTGCACTGAGCCCCACCAATTATGTAGCTGGTCTTGCCCTTTGGATAAACATCAAAACTCTCATCATGGGATTCCAGCAGAATATGGTCTTTGCTATACACGCCTAGAATGTTATTTCTTCAAAACACTCATTGCCATGATAATTCTTGCTTGTGTGTTTATCTGTAGACTAGAAATCCACTGGGGATAATCCATGTCCATATGGCTCACCATTGTATCCCTGGGGTCATGCACAGTGTCTGGCCTACTATAGTTGTTCAATAAATAATTACTGAATAAATGATTGATGACAGAAAGAACAACTATGAAGGACACCTTGATATTCTCTATCAAGGTAGCATGGCATTTGTAAAATAATTTTTGATTTTGGTTTTTTCTCTCTTGTCCTTATCAAAATCGTGCTATTCCTCCCAAACTGATTACTTCATGTGTAAATGTTCTGGCACAAGAAATTCAGGGTCTCCGAACTGCTAAAATTATCTTAAAGTTATCACTTGGAATAAAAAAACTACAAATTATTACACTAAATATTATGGATACCAGACTCAACAAAGCAGTAACCAAAAAAGTTGCTGGATTTTATTTTAAGTGTATATTCTTTAACTCTCTAATGACATGATCCTATATATTCTCCCAAAATTAATATAGCCCACATACCAAATAATACCTCCACAAAAAAATAAAATAAAATTATCTACTCACAACTACTACATAGCTTTGACACCCAGAAGATAGTTATTTGTCAAGGTACAGAAATAATAACATAGGTAATGGAGTAGAACATGATCAAACACAGCAATTGTCAGGGTTAAGAGGATGAGTTAATGAGCATGATTAAGCACCATTAAAAATTACAAATGATTGCAAACACAAGCTTTCAATCATTACCTCGTATCACTACCTCCCATTTGAGATGTTATTTTGAAAGAGAACTTGAGGCCATGCCATCTACATGCCAGGGTCTCACTAGTTAATGGTCTAGCTACTCGCTCTGGCAGAGCCCAGATCAATTATCCATGGGTTGAAGTATGGTACTCAGGTTTTCAATTAAAATGTTAATGATGTGAAAGGCCAAGCAGTGTAAGAATAGAACTATTTAAAAATAAATATTTGTGTTAAGTTGTTTCTGAAACATTCAGTTGAAAGCTTTAACATAGTAGCCATTTTGCTATGTTGTATGACCTCATGTTTTTAATTAGAAAAATATTTTGGACTTTTACTTTGATCTGGGAAGAAAAAGATTAAAAAATGATGAGTTAGAGGGCTTTCTCTAATTACCTCATCTCTAACATCTGAGTGTGAAGGATATAAGTAAAATCTAAGAAATCAAGCAATAAAAAAATCTATATCTGTGTTAGGGAAACACCAAAACACCGAGAAAAATCGCAACATTGAATATAATTGGGTGGTAGATGAAATAGAGTTAGAAAGATTGTGCACACTAATTTCACCTTTATCTTTATCCACTTATGAAACAAGTATTGTCAAAAGAAATAAAAAGTCTAAGGCTATTAAATAAAGGCAGCTGCTAAAACAAAAGTAACAACTTTCTTAGGTATCACAAATACATGAAAATAAAAGCAAATTACTTAGCAAAAGACTTTCTTTAAAAATCATAAAAATAATAATATAAAGCATTAAAATAGACCTAAGAGAAAACTAATCTATTATATTAATAAGTATAAATGGGCTTAACTCATCTATTAAGGAAGTTGTTTTCCAAATTGGAACAAAAATGCAAATCATAACTCTATGTGAAAACACACCTATATTTTATTGAGGATTTTTGTATCAATCACCACTCCTATTCAACATAGTGTTGGAAGTTCTGGCCAGGGCAATTAGACAGGAGAAGGAAATAAAGGGTATTCAATTAGGAAAAGAGGAAGTCAAATTGTCCCTGTTTGCAGACGACATGATTGTATATCTAGAAAACCCCATTGTCTCAGCCCAAAATCTCCTTAAGCTGATAAGCAACTTCAGCAAAGTCTCAGGATACAAAATCAATGTACAAAAATCACAAGCATTCTTATACACCAATAACAGACAAACAGAGAGCCAAATCATGAGTGAACTCCCATTCACAATTGCTTCAAAGATAATGAAATACCTAGGAATCCAACTTACAAGGGATGTGAAGGACCTCTTCAAGGAGAACTACAAACCACTGCTCAAGGAAATAAAAGAGGATACAAACAAATGGAAGAATATTCCATGCTCATGGGTAGGAAGAATCAATATCATGAAAATGGCCATACTGCCCAAGGTAATTTAGAGATTCAATGCCATCCCCATCAAGCTACCAATGACTTTCTTCACAGAATTGGAAACAACTACTTTAAAGTTCATATGGAACCAAAAAAGAGCCCGCGTTGCCAAGTCAATCCTAAGCCAAAAGAACAAAGCTGGAGGCATCACACTACCTGACTTCAAACTATACTACAAGGCTACAGTAACCAAAACAGCATGGTACTGGTACCAAAACAGAGATATAGATCAATGGAACAGAACAGAGCCCTCAGAAAAAACGCCGCATATCTACAACTATCTGATCTTTGACAAACCTGAGAAAAACAAGCAATGGGGAAAGGATTCCCTATTTAATAAATGGTGCTGGGAAAACTGGCTAGCCATATGTAGAAAGCTGAAACTGGAACCCTTCCTTACACCTTATACAAAAATCAATTCAAGATGGATTAAAGACTTAAACGTTAGACCTAAAACCATAAAACCCTAGAAGAAAACCTAGGCATTACCATTCAGGACATAGGCATGGGCAAGGACTTCATGTCTAAAACACCAAAAGCAATGGCAACAAAAGCCAAAATTGACAAATGGGATCTAATTAAACTAAAGAACTTCTGCACAGCAAAAGAAACTACCATCAGAGTGAACAGGCAACCTACAAAATGGGAGAAAATTTTCGCAACCTACTCATCTGACAAAGGGCTAATATCCAGAATCTACAATGAACTCAAACAAATTTACAAGAAAAAACAAACAACCCCATCAAAAAGTGGGCGAAGGACATGAACAGACGCTTCTCAAAAGAAGACATTTATGCAGCCAAAAAACACATGAGAAAATGCTCACCATCACTGGCCATCAGAGAAATGCAAATCAAAACCACAATGAGATACCATCTCACACCAGTTAGAATGGCAATCATTAAAAAGTCAGGAAACAACAGGTGCTGGAGAGGATGTGGAGAAATAGGAACACTTTTACACTGTTGGTGGGACTGTAAACTAGTTCAACCACTGTGGAAGTCAGTGTGGCAATTCCTCAGGGATCTAGAACTAGAAATACCATTTGACCCAGCCATCCCATTACTGGGTATATACCCAAAGGACTATAAATCATGCTGCTCTAAAGACACATGCACACGTATGCTTATTGCGGCATTATTCACAATAGCAAAGACTTGGAACCAACCCAAATGTCCAACAATGAAAGACTGGATTAAGAAAATGTGGCACATATACACCATGGAATACTATGCAGCCATAAAAAATGATGAGTTCATGTCCTTTGTAGGGACATGGATGAAATTGGAAATCATCATTCTCAGTAAACTATCGCAAGAGCAAAAAACCAAACACCGCATATTCTCACTCATAGGTGGGAATTGAACAATGAGAACACATGGACACAGGAAGGGGAACATCACACTCTGGGGACTGTTGTGGGGTAGGGGGAGGCGGGAGGGATAGCACTGGGAGATATACCTAATGCTAGATGACGAGTTAGTGGGTGCAGCACACCAGCATGGCACATGTATACATATGCAACTAACCTGCACATTGTGTACATGTACCCTAAAACTTAAAGTATAATAATAAATGAATGAATAAATAAATAAATATAAATAAAAAAAAATAAAAATAAAAATAAAGAAAACACACCTAAAACAAAGTGATTGTGAAAGGTTGAAAATTAAAATATAGCCATAGGTATATTAGGCAAAGCAAGAAAATTCAATCAGAGGTCACAATCTTGATGAAGAAAAAGAGGAATTTAGGCTAAAAAGCATTGAATTAAATAAGAGAATTTTATAATGAGTACAGTTCTCAATAAAGATAGGCGCAGTTATGACTTCATATCAAATAATTTGACAGCAACATATATAAAGCAGAAATTATTGAACACACAAGAAGAAACACATAAAAACACACTAGTAGTAGGATACTCTATTTCACATCTTGATTTATGAAAGACCAAATGGAAAAACCTAAGTAGATTTATAGAAAAATAAAGTAGTCAATAAGTCAAAACTTTATCCTGAAAAAAAATGTATCTTCTCTTCAAATGCCTATGAAAGTTTATAAAATAGATGATATATTTGACTACAGAAAAGTTCAATAAAGTCCAAAAAGTAAAAATAATGTAGTTGAAATTCTTTAATCATTTAATCACTTTAACAAAGTGAAAATTTAATGGAAATTTTCAGAAAACTAGAAGACACTTAGGTTTAGGAATTAAAAAAAAATCTTTTGAAGAACTGTTGGATCAAATGGATTACAGAAAAAATTTGCAAAATTTCTAAAGACTAGCAATAGTGAAATACTACATCTCAGAAACCATGAAAGACAAAACTATGCTCAGAGGAATATTGGAATAAAAGTTACAAACCAAACCAAATAAACCAAAAAAGGATAAAGATAAAAGTAGACTTCAAATAGTTAGAACAAAGAAAACACTGGAACAAATCAGAAGTAAAAAGTAAACAATAAAATAAATGAGTCACTATCTAACCTAATCAAAAATGGGGAGTAATGCAAGTACGCAAATATTAATACAAAAGGAAATGCAAGAATTAACCATAGAAAGATGAAATTATAGTAACAGACTACCTGTTCAACTCCATGAGAAAATAAATTTGTAAATCTGTCTGAAATTGATAATTTTCTAGGAAAAAAAAATTTACTTGGCCCAGAGAAGATGATTCTAACAAGATTAAGTTTGATCAAATAAATACAATATAATGCTTCAAAATGCAAGCAAAACTTTTACATTTTTCAAAAATACCAAGTTCAGATAATTTCCAGAGGAATTCTACCAAACTCCTTAAAAGCAGACAATTTCATGTTACTTAAACACTTCCAGAGCAGAGAAAAAGAAAGAAAATTTTCCATATGACTTTTATGATGCACATAAAGTATTTACACCAATAGTTTCAAGGATTACAAGGGTGGCAAATAAGAAATCACAGACCAATCTCACTTAAGAATATCAAGGAAAAATTCTAAATAAAATATTAGCCAAAATAATCCATCAGCACACTAAAGGAATATAATTCACCATGACAGAAATGCAAGAACAGTTCAATATTAGTACTATACATAATATATAATACATATTATCATATTGATAGATTTAAGGATAAAAATCACATGGTCACCTCTATAGACCCTGAAAAGGCATTTGATAAAATTGAATGACCTTTCTTAACAAAACAACCAATAAAATAAAAATTAAAAAAAAAAAAATCCTGTCATTTGTGGTAACTTGGATGGAACTGGAGGACATTATGTTAAGTGAAATAAGCCAGGAACAGAAAGTTCAACACCATATATTTTCACTCATATGTGGAAGCTTAAAAACGCTGATCTCAAATAAGTAAAAAGTAGAACAGAGGATACTAGAGGGTGAGAAAGGTGGGGGTAAAGGAGAGATGGAGAGAGATTTTTTTAAAGAATACAAAATTACAGCTAGATAGGTGGAACAAGATCTAGGGTTCTATACTACGTAGGATGTAGGATGACTATAGTTAATCATAATATGTTAATGATGAATCTGTAAATTACTTTGGGCAGTATGGCCATTTTAATGATATTGATACTTCTAGTCTATGGGCATGGAATTTTTTTTCATTCAAATTACCAATGTCATTTTTCACAGAGTTTGAAAAAACTATTCTAAAATTCATGTGATACAACAACAAAAAACGTCCAAATAGCAAAGCAAAAAGAACAAAGCCAGAAGCATCACATGACCTGACTTTCAACTATACTGGACATTAGAGAGCCGGGCTTAGGGAAATACAGGGGTAGAGGAAGCAGCAGAAAGGCCCTGTGAGCTCGCTGGGTCCCCAAGCAGCCCATTCCTGCCTGGCACCACAGGGATCCATCAGTGGGGTGGCCAGAGGAGGGGGTAAAACTGCACAGGGAGAAAGAATTCTCTAGCTGAACTCTGTAACAATTTGAATGGGGCTAGAAGCCTCCTGGCCAGAACTCAGGGGAGGGCACGAATCCGGCTTGGAGACTTCACAGGTAGGGGAAGAACTAAAGCCCTTTTCTTTTGCAGCTGGGAGGTGGAAAGCTTTGGGCAACTTTTCGAGCCTGACTCGCCCTCCACCTGGAAACAGACTGTTGCAGGGGGGCACGGTGGGAGTGAGACTGGCCATTCAGTTTGTGTGGGAGCTGGGTGAGGCCTGTTACTGCCAGCTTTCCCCCACTTCCCTGACAACATGCATGACTTAGTTGAGGCAGCCATAATCCTCCTAGGCACATAACTCCAGTGACCCGGGACCTCACGCCCACCCCCCACAGCAGTCGCAGCAAGACCAGCCCAAGGAGAGTCTGAGCTCAGACACGCCTAGCCCCACCCCCACCTGATGGTCCCTCCCTACCCACCCTGGTAGTGGGTGACAAAGGACATATAATTGTGGGAGTTCTAGGACCCCGCCCACTGCTGGTCCCCCTCCACATTACTACAGCTGATGCTTTCTGGAAAGCTCCACCTCCTGACAGGAGGCCATCAGCACAAGAGCATTAAACCACCAAAGCTAAGGACCCCCACAGAGTCTATTCCACCCTCTGCCACCTCACCAAAACAGATGCTGGTATCCATGGCTGAGAGACCCACAGACAGTTCACATCACAGGACTCTGTGCAGACAGCCCCCAGTACCAGCCCAAAGCCAGGTAGGCTCACTGGGTGAATGAACCCGGAAGAGAGACAACAATCACTGCACTTCAGCTCACTGGAAGCCACATCCACAGTAAAAGGGGGAGAGTACTACATCAAGGAACACCCCATGGGACAAAAAAATCTGAACAACATCCTTCAGCCCTTGACTTTCCCTGTGACAGAAACTGCCCAAATGAGAAGGAACCAGAAAACCAACCCTGGTAATATGAAAAAACAAGGCTCATCAACACCCACTAAAAATCACACTAGTTCACCAGCAATGGATCCAAACCAAGAAGAAATCCCTGATTTACCTGAAAAAGAATTCAAGAGGTTAGTTATTAAGCTAATCAGGGAAAGACCAGATAAAAGGCAAAGGCCAATGCAAGAAAATCCAAAATATGTTACAAGAAGTGAAGGGAAAAATATTCAAGGAAATAGATATCTTAAAAAACAATCAAATATTCAGGAAACTTCAGACACATTTTTAGAAATGCAAAATGCTCTGGAAATTCTCAGCAATATAATTGAATAAGTAGAAGAAAGAAACTCAGAGCTTGAAGACAAGGTCTTTGAATTAACCTTGTCTAACAAAGACAAAGAAAAAAGAAAAAGAAAATATGAACAAAGCCTCCAAGAAGTCTGGGATTATGTTAAATGACCAAACCTAAGAATAATCGGTGTTTCTTAGGAAGAAGACATTTCTAAAAGCTTGGAAAACATATCTGGGGGAATAACCAAGCAAAACTTCCCCAGCCTTGCCGGAGTCCTAGACATGCAAATATAAGAAGCACTAAGAACACCTGGGAATTCCTGGCAAAAAGTTCTTCTCCTGAGCACATTGTCATCAGGTTATCCAAATTAAGACAAGGGAAAGAATCTTAAGACCTGTGAGACAGAAGCACCAGTTAACCTATAAAGGAAAAGCTATCAGATTAACAGCAGATTTCTCAGCAAAAACCCTACAAGCTAGAAAGCATTTGGGCCCTATATTCAGCCTCCTAAAACAAAACAATTATCAGCCAAGAGTTTTGTATCCAGCGAAACTAAGCATCATTTATGAAGGAAAGATACAGTCTTTTTCAGACAAACAAATGCTGAGAGAATTCACCATTACCAAATCACTACCACAAGAACTGCTAAAAAGAGCTCCAAATCTTGAAACAAATCCTGGAAACACATCAAAAAGAATCTCTTTAAAGCATAAATCACACAGGACTTATGAAACAAAAATGCAAGTTAAAAAGCTAAAACAAACAAAAAAAACAAAATGAAAATACACAGGCAACAAAGAGCATGATGAATGCAATGGTACCTCACATTTCAATACTAACATTGAAGGTAAATGGCCTAAATGCTCCACTTAAAAGATACAGAACCACAGAATGCATAAGAACTCACCAACCATCTGCTGCCTTCAGGAGACTCACCTAACACATAAGCATTCATATAAACTTAGAGTAAATAGGTAGAAAAAGGCATTTCATGCAAATGTACACCAAAAGCGAGCAGGGTTAGCTATTCTTATATCAGACAAAACAAACTTTAAAGCAACCACAGTTAAAAGAGACAAAGAGGGACAGTATATAATGGTAAAAAGCCTTGTCCAACAGGAAACTATCACAAACCTAAACATATATGCACCTAACACTGGGGCTCCCAAAGTTATAAAACAATTACTAAAAGACCTAAAAAATGAGATAGACAGCAACACAATAATAGTAGGGGACTTCAATACTCTGCTGACAGCACTAGACAGGTCATCAAGACAGAAAGTCAACTGAGAAACAATGAATTTAAACTATACCTTGGAGCAAATGGACTTAACAGATATATCTAGAACATTTCATCCAGCAACCACAGAATACACATTCCACTCAACAGTGCCTGGAACTTTCTCCAAGATAGACCATATGACAGGCCATAAAATGAGCCTCAATAAAGTTAAGAAAATTGAAATTATATCAAACACTCTCTCAGACTACAATGGATTAAAACTGAAAATCAACTCCAAAAGGAACCTTCAAAACCACACAAATACATGGAAATTAAATAACCTGCTCCTGAATGAGTGTTGGGTCAAAAATGAAACCAAGATGGAAATTAAAAAAATTCTTTGAACTGAATGACAGTAATGACACAACCTATCAAAACCTCTGGGATACAGCTAAGGCTGTGCTAAGAGGAAAGTTCCCAGCCTGCCTACATCAAAAAGTCTGAAAGAGCACACACACAATCTAAGGTCACACCTCAAGGAACTAGAGAAACAAGAACAAGCCAAACCCACACTCAGCAGAAGACAGGAAATAACCAAGATCAGAGCAGAACTAAATGAAATTGAAACAAAAAAATTACAAAAGATGAATGAAACAAAAAGCTGGTTCTTTGGAAATACAAATAAAATTGATAGACCATTAGCAAGATTAACCAAGAAAAGAAAGAAAATCCAAATAACTTCATGGAGAAATGAAACGGGAGATATTACAACAGATACCACTGAAACACAAAAGATCATTCAAGGGTACTATGAACACCTTTACACACATAATCTAGAAAACCTAGAAGACATGGATGAATTCCTGGAAAAATACAACCCTTGTAGCTTAAATCAGGAATAATTAGATACCCTGAACAGACCAATAATAAGCAGTGAGATTAAAATGGTAGTTAATAAATTACTGACCAAAAATCCAGGATCAGATGGATTCACAGCAGAATTCTATCAGACGTTCAAAGAAGAATTGGTACCAATCCTTTTGACACTATTCCACAAGATAGAGAAAGAAGGACCTCTCCCTAATTCATTATATGAAGCCAGCATTATGCTAATACCAAAACTAGGACAGGACACAACCAAAAAAGATAACTACAGACCTATATCCTTGATGAACACAGTCATCCTTAAAATTAAAAATATTTTAACAGCTCTTGGGGTGACTATAAATGGTTAATCTAAGCATAGTTGAATCCCTCAGACTAACTTGAAGCAGAAGACCAAAATATCTTAGCGTCTTCTTGAACATATTAAGCTATTCACAAATGTCCCTCTTGAGTTCATTTAACCTGTTTTTCTTATGTTGTAGCCGCCTTTCTTGACTCTCTACAGCATGGTGCTTATAAACCAGGCGCTTATAAACACAGGCTTTGGAGATCACTTAAACCTGCACCGTTTATTGTCTCTATGACCTTGGACCAAGTGCCTGAGTTTCCTCATGTGTAAAATGGAGATAATACAAATTTCATAGATTTGCTATGATGATTGAATGCGTTACTGTACATAAAGCTCTTAGCCTGGCATACAGTCAAAGCTACAGAAATAATAAGCCTCTCTACTCCTACTGCTACATTGACTACTGAGTGTCAATTCCTAGTGGTGTGAGTTTTCACTGGGTTCTGAACTCCGGCATGTTTTGATGGACACTTTAGTTACTAATCTTGAGCAAGAGGTGGAGGGAGAACTATCATCTTCAGTCAGTTCAAGTGGCAATTGTACTTTTACTATTTAGGCAGTCAATCACAAATTTATGCTAATTTTCTACCTTTGAATTAAAACTTCTCTGATTAAATACATTGGCTGTCTACTTAACAATTCTTCCACTCTTTAATTCAAATATAATGTTCGTTGTGCCTCAAAACGTCATCAGCATTTTTAGCACCTTTATACCAAACATCTTTTTATTATGAAATGCAATTTACTTCAGTCTTACTAAGAACTATCTCATAGTATCTCTGTGTTAGTCTATATAGTCTCTCCCAGTTAGTGTAATCAAGATATTATAAGTGATTTTTTCTTATATTACCATTGCAATTGTAAAAAACATCCTTTTCAATGTCACAAATCCATATTATTAACAATAAAATTAATATCACCTCATACAATGTATAAATTATTCAAATAAACATGTAGAAGGCTTTGAAAAGTTATATATTTGAAAATTATACTGATCAGGTGTAACTACACTGCTCAGGTATAATTTTCAAATCTTAGAGAAGATTAGAAAGTTAAGATTGACTTTCTGATGACCATTGACAAATTCTTTGTTATTAATAAATTGATCTCTAAATTACCCCAGATAACATACAACCAAAGATTATAAGGGAAATATTAGTAAAACTATAAATTATGTTTAATCCTTGGGAAGTAAACAATAAATTTTTAATTAAAAAAACTAAATTTCTCATTTTAACGATGTTGCGATACAAATCAAAAGAAAAATTAAGGTTACTCTTGTTATTAAATAAATGTTTAATGTGCACATTATGGAGTAAGCATTGGCTTTGCCCCTTGGGGATATAGGGGTAAAAAGTAAGCCCTGAGATAGATTGTAATCCCCTAAACAAACTGAGACATATAAAATAATTACAATGTAACATTTCACGATAAGGGCTGTGCTAGGAGAGTTCAGGGAAAGATGACCACACAAACTATTTTGCGTTTTAATTAAGCTTTGAAGAAAGGTAGAAGTTCAATAGACAAAAATGGTTAACAAAATGATTTTAATTGAAAGGAATAATATGAGAAACTACTAGAAAGAAATAGTAGAGCCTGTTTGTAGAACTAAACATACGAATGAAAGTATAGAATAGCTACAGTAATCAAAACAGCATGGTACTGGTACCAAAACAGAGATATAGATCAATGGAACAGAACAGAGCCCTCAGAAATAATGCCGCTTATCTACAACTATCTGATCTTAGACAAACCTGACAAAAACAAGAAATGGGGAAAGGATTCCCTATTTAATAAATGGTGCTGGGAAAACTGGCTAGCCATATGTAGAAAGCTGAAACTGGATCCCTTCCTTACACCTTATACAAAAATTAATTCAAGATGGATTAAAGACTTAAATGTTAGACCTAAAACCATAAAACCCTAGAAGAAAACCTAGGCAATACCATTCAGGACATAGGCATGGGCGAGGACTTCATGTCTAAAACACCAAAAACAATGGCAACAAAAGCCAAAATTGGCAAATGGGATCTAATTAAACTAAAGAGCTTCTGCACAGAAAAAGAAACTACCATCAGAGTGAACAGGCAACCTACAGAATGGGAGAAAATTTTTGCAATCTACTCATCTGACAAAGGGCTAGTATCCAGAATCTACAATGAACTCAAACAAATTTACAAGAAAAAAACAGACAACCCCATCAACAAGTGGGCGAAGAATATAAATAAGACACTTCTCAAAAGAAGACATTTATGCAGCCAAAAGACACATGAAAAAATGCTCATCATCACTGGCCATCAGAGAAATGCAAATCAAAACCACACTGAGATACCATCTCACACCAGTTAGAATGGCCATCATTAAAAAGTCAGGAAACAACAGGATGTGGAGGATGTGGAGGATGTGGAGAAATAGGAACACTTTTACACTGTTGGTGGGCTATAAACTGGTTCAACCATTGTGGAAGTCAGTGTGGTGATTCCTCAAGGATCTAGAACTAGAAATACCATTAGACCCAGCCATCCCATTACTGGGTATATACCCAAAGGATTATAAATCATGCTGCTATAAAGACACATGCACACGTATGTTTATTGCGGCACTATTCACAATAGCAAAGACTTAGAACCAACCCAAATGTCCAACAATGATAGACTGGATTAAGAAAATGTGGCACATATACACCATGGAATACTATGCAGCCATAAAAAATGATGAGTTCATATCCTTTGTAGGGACATGGATGAAGCTGGAAACCATCATTCTCAGCAAACTATGGCAAGGACAAAAGACCAAACACTGCATGTTCTCACTCATAGGTGGGAATTGAACAATGAGAACACATGGACACAGGAAGGGGAGCATCACACACTGGGGCCTGTTGTGGGGTGGGGGGAGGGGGGAGGAATAGCATTAGGAGATATACCTAATGTTAAATGACAAGTTAATGGGTGCAGCACACCAACATGGCACATGTATATATATGTAACAAACCTGCACGTTGTGCACATGTACCCTAAAACTTAAAGTATAATAATAAAAAAAGTATAGAATAAAAGTGGGAAATAAAACAGTAATAAGAAGTTACAATACAAGGCTGAGAAATTTAGACCTTTTTTCATAAGCAATGGAAATCTCTGAAAGGCATTTTGATCAAAAAATAATCTTATGAAAGTTGTCGTCTGAAACTTACATTGGTAATGGTATACAAATAGATTTGGATTCTGTGCAGGGGGTGGGAGGAGTGAATGAATGTCCTAGTAGTTTAGGCAAAACGTTTATATGAGTTTGAATTAGCTGCTATGGGATGAGAAAAAAGAGATTAGTGCAAATTGACCACTTACTACGTGACAACTTTTGAATTTTATCAGTTAATCATCTCAACCACCTATCTCAAAAAGTAACTATTATTTCCATTTTATATAAAGTTGATTAATTTAGTCATGATGACACAGTCATGAATAGTAGTGCTGGGCCTTGAACCCCAGGTTCACTGATTTCTAAAGGCCACACTTTTAATCTCTATGACCTCTAATACTTTAAGCTCATTATAGTGAATGCTAAGGAGAAAATTGGAGCCAAAAATGGCACTGAGGTTTTAAGCTTAAGTTGTTGAGAAAATAATGGTATCAATCAAAACAAAATATGAAATATTAGGGGAAGAGTTAGTTAAAGATTAGACACAAATCCCATCTCTATGTAACCAACTGCCTCCTGAAGAGCATTAAGATTCTTCAACATTATCTGAAGAATGTTTCTTCTACTTGTTATTTATTGGTCCTGTTTTAGTTTTTAAATGTTTGATTGTTCCTGTGCTGAGCTTTTTCCAACTGAACTCACTGAAATTCTATTCTTTTATCAGGTGAGAAGTTTCCAGACAAGAAGCCTAAGGTGCAGTTAGTCATATCCTACGAGGATGTGAAGCTGACCATACTAGTGAAACACATGAAAAACATTGTAAGTTTATTATGTATAATAAGAAACATGTAAGCCTACATCCAGAAATCACTTACCTCCTTTGGGCAATTAGTGTCAACATTAGCTAGAAGAATGGGTATCTCCGCCAAGTTTAAGTAAGAAACAATGAGCCAATTACAATATTTTTGCCTCGGGATGATTGTGATCCTTGGGGTAAAGACTCTAAAATACTTCACAAGGAAAGTCCTAGAATGAACATTAAACTTTATTCAAAATGTCAGGAAAAAGACTAGGGAAAAGGCTCTGAAAAAGCAGGATTAGCTGGAGGATTGAAGGGTAAAAGAAAAAAGGCTGGGTCCCATATTTCCTTCTCCTCAAAAAATAATAGTGTTTTGAGAATGGAAACCCCATCTTTGTTTCCGTTTCCCCATCCCAGAACCTAGAACAAAATCTGTAGTTAGCCTCCAAAGAAAACTAAAAGTTCCACTCTCTATTACATGCCACTTAAGGTTGGGGCAAGTCAGAGGCAATGATGGTAACTGGGCCATATCATTAAGAAAGAGAGGAAGCATTCTGTGTCACAGGATAAGTGACTAATGACCCGAGTTGGGGTGCAGCAAACATAGAAGGAAAACACGAAACCTCACCAACTATTTTAATCTTCCTTGAGCCTAGACAAAATGGGTTCTCCACGTGGTATAACTTCCCAGGAGACTATATCAGGTGTGGAGAAAGTCAGTAACACAATTTTTGCTCTCTTCTTTGTGCACATAAATCTCTGAGGATGCCTTTGGAAGGATCTAAAAGAGCAAACTCTTCTCCATATGACACACATCCATAACATATTGAAACAATAAATATTTGTTTGGTGAACAAATAATTGGCATAATTTGAAGAGAATATGTTCATTACAAATTCATTATTAGTCAGACATCCAAGAAGGCGTGTTTGCAAACCTCTGGTGCTCACTATCAGCAATTTTTGTAGTATCTGGGCAAATATTTTAACATTTTCTTGCAAATCTTTTTCTAATTAAAACAATTATTTTCCATTGTTTTTCATTAGATAATCAATCTTAAATGAGAATAGCAGTTTTTAAAGAAACCCTTACATTGCAAAATGAAGATTCAGTTAGACATTATTTATGGCTATATGCATGTTGATGGACTTTAAGCAACTATATAAACATATATGATAAAACAATAGAATATTAAGAAATATTAATCAAGTTAACAGAACTTACATATGTACTTCATATATGAAAATTAGTCTTGAACATAGTCCTTTTAGAAATGATATATTTATTCCAGTAATGTTATCATTGCTCAAAACATTTTAGAGCACACCTGATGAAATTGCTTTTAGACTGGGCATGTAAACCACACAGTAAACTTGGTGATATTACTCAATGGTCACTCCTAGTTTTTGATCAGAAGTGATATTAACCAACCTAGTCATCCATTTCATTCACCAGATGAATCACCAAATTACTTTTGACAGTTTTCAAAAATGCATTTTACACTCAGATGAAATTACAGTACCAATGAAGATCTTCAAAGTGAATGTCATGCAAGCATGAAGCAGGGATAGGAGGAGTGAATGGGAAAGAGCAAGAGTTTCAGATTGAGATCAAGTTATAGGTAAATAGAAAATGACCAAATGACCCTAAAAAATGTGAAAAAACACTTAGGGCCATGAGAACCTCTATAATACCAATGCTCTCAAAAAGAGTTACTAATGATGTAGTAATACTTGTTTCAGTCTGCCTTCTCAGTTTACTTGCTAGTTCCTCTCTTCTCCCTAATCTCTTAACATTGAAAGATTTTAGTGCCTTAAAATTCAATCCTAGGCCTCTCCTTTTTCTACCTCAAGCCTCATGGCTTTAAACATTACTTACTTGTTTTTCTTTTCCAAATCTACAATTCCAGCTTGGAAATCTCATCTGAAATCCAGAGTTATATGTACAGCTGACTATCAACAACTCTAGTATAAGTATAATAAGTGTCTCAGACTCAATATGCACCAAAATTCTCGTGACTGCCCCACTAAACCTACATCGTTTGCCACCTTTTTCATCTCAGTAAATAGCACCTTCATTCTCTAGTTACTCAGGTTAAAAACCTAGAGTCATTTTGACTCCTCTCCTTCCCCACAAGCTACATCCATATTACCAGCAAATTCTGTCATTCTGCTTTCAAAATAAATCCAGAACACACCAACTTTCTCCTCCACTGCTTCCACTTTTGGTTGAAGTCACCAGCATCTCTTACTTGAATTACTGCTATAGTTTCTTAACAGTTGTCCCTGCTTCTGTCCTTCTTTATAATCTCTTTTTAATCTAGCAGCCTGAATGTTCCTTTGAGAATAAAAGTCAGATCCTGTCATTCCTCTCTTCATATCCCTTTGCGGAAGGAGTCTTATATCAGTTGCAATGAAAGCCAAGGTACTTGTTAATGACCTGTGAGACCCTGTCAATCTTCACTTCTTGGCCTCTTAACCTCATCTCCAGCCACAGACTCCCTCAGTCACTCCGTGCCAGCCTCAGTGCCTTCTTTGCTGTTCCTTGAATATGGCAGGCATGTTGCTGCCCCAGGACCTTTGTATCTGCTACTCCATTTACCTAGAATGTTCTTCCCAAGCTCATGGATCAATATTCTCTGTGGCTCAATCTCACATGTCCCGAATGCTTGTATTTTACTCTCACCTTTTCAGTAAAGTCCTATCTGACTCCCAAATTTAAAACTACAACACTGCTCCTCTTTGTTGTCACTTTTAACCTTTCTTTTCTACTTTCTTTCCTCCCCTGTGCCACTGCTATAACCCAAGGTGTATAGAATAGGGCCAAGTATATAGTAGGTACTCAGTAAAGCCTTGGTTAAATAAAAGAATGTCGACTTACTTCTCATGTGAACAACTAAGGACTAGGATGTTTTCATCTTCCAAAAATCATCACAGCAAAGTTATGCATTGCATTTTCCACAGCTTCCTTTAAATGATTATTTTGTTTCTTCTGCTTAAAACAACTTTCTACTATAAATGACATAAAAATCCATCTATAAATTCTCAACATATTTTATTTGCTAATTTCAAGTTTTAGCTAATTGTTATTTGTCGATCCTTTAGTATGTTCCCATACCAAAATAATTAGACTAACATTGTGCTGGATTTTACATTAATATTAAAATGAATTATTATGCCTAGAGTTCTGTTATGTTTAATGTTAAGTTTGATGAAAAGTATTGTTTATCTTTTATTAAATCTATGAAGCTTTGCTCTGAGAGTTACTTTCCTCCTGTGAGATCACAAACTAAAATAAAATTGCTAAAATTCTTTCCCTTTCAAAGCATCACAATATGATTCACTCTAGCACACAGAGACTGATGAAGTAGTGCAAGTATTTAAAAGCTTGGCCATGATTTTCTAAAACACCATTTCAGTTTATATGACAAAGAAACATATAAAGAACAGTTAGATTTGAAATATTTTTAAAAACTCTCTCTAGCACTTTTCCATGTATCCGTCCTTAAAATGCTCTCTTTCATTGATGTCTACAATGTCTCTCCATGCATTTTATGCTGACTTCATGGATTTTTTTCTAGTCTGTGTAGTTTCTAGGCTGCTCTCTTCTCCCTGCTCCAGAATGTTCGCATTCCAGAAGGTGCTAAACATAACCAATAGGATGAAACTCTCTTCTGATATTGAATCTACCCACACTTTCTTAGGCTCTTAGAACAAGGAGCAAGAAATGTCAGGAAAGATAGAAGACAACTCAAAGGTGGTACCTTCAATCCTTTCATAAGACAAAAGATGGGAAAAGTAGTTTCTATATGAAAATTAACATGAGAGAGAGAGAAGTAGAGTCAAACACAAGAACCCCCCCACACACTAAAACTGTATTACTTTTAATTTTTTTATTTAAACTCTTCTTTTACATTTTTAATGTGTCTGAGTGTAGCCTGGGGGTCCTTGTTTTTAAAATACATATTTCTGGGTGCCACTCCTAGTAATTTTGATTCTGTAAGTATAGATTGGGCTATCTGCATCTGCACAATACAGGCATCTCTTGGTCCCATGGATTCCTCTACCGTCTCTTTCATTTCTAGACTTCTTTCCTCTCTCCTGCTGCATAATATGAGCATTCCAGAAGCCTCTCTGGTGCAAATGGTTCATGGACCACTTTGAAAAAATAACCCAAGTGGCTAGTACCCTAATGTCCCAAATGGCACTCTACACACAATGTGGTGAGTTCGGTACTTGGCACCAAGTAAATTGTGGTGCCTTTGATGTAGAACAAAGACAACACTTGGACTTGGTGAAGATAACAACTGAGGGTTGTGAAAATAAAGCACAGACAATGGCAATGTTTGACATATAAAAACAACATGTTCTGCATATCTTTTTAAAATTAACTTGGCTGAGTCCTCTGATAGTCTTAATTTTTTGTTGTTTTTTAAAATCTAGATTCTTAAAGGAAATTTGTCTTTGTTTCATCCTAGATGCACTTCAATCTAAATAAATGTCAATTTTTAAAATAAAGGATGATTTCCTAATAACAATCGTCTTATCAAATGTGTTTTTCCTTCATTCCGTGAATGAAAATTGTTCTTCCAGAGTTGGCCCATTTTGACATTGATCTACCATTTCAAAGAATAAGATACAAAGCAAAGGATAGTGAAGAGTACCTGTCCAGATCTGGATATTCTACTGTGTTTCATGACTTTTTTTGCCAAAGAAACATTGACCCTCAAAGATGACCTATTATTTTTTAATGAAATAAACCATTAATTGTTCTAAAACCTGTTATCAGTGACCTCTTTCTAACAGCTAACAAACACCTTTAACTAGCCCTTCCTTTTTGAACATTTTGTTACCAGCTTTTTCATGAAACTTCACTGGACATTGGCACCAAGCTAATTGTGTCTGCACATTCTCTAAACTACTTGGACAGCACTATTTCTGAGGCTTCCTTGGCTCTTGTAAATTTAAGATAGATGTATGTGTAGTGGCTTAATAAATGTTGGCTTTACCCTTAGCTCTTAAATGTGAAGATTTTCCAGTATTCAGGGCTTTAACTTTTGAAACTAATTTCCTAAGAAATTTTATCCAGTCTTGAAACTTCAAAGATAATATGAATTACTATTAAATTTACATCTCTACATTCAATCTTTCTCTGACCTTCATTTACATGTTTCCAACTGCCTGATGGGCATTTACAGTCCAATATCTTGCCATCTCTTTAAACTGAACAGTTATACAATATGGCCCTCTGCTTACCACTGAAACCATCTTTCATTCTGAATTACTTATTTCTATAAATTGTTGCACCATCATCAAGTAATTCCTGATCAAAACTTCTCTATAATTACTTTTCTTTTCTTTTCTTTTATTATTTCAATGCTTTTTAGGGAACAGGTGCTTTTTGGCTGCATGGAAAAGTTCCCTAGTGGTGATTTCTGAGATTTTGGTGCAATTCGTCACCCAAGCAGTGTACACTGTACCCAATGTGTAGTCTTTTATTTCTCACCCACTTCCCACCCTTCCCCCCAAGTCCCTAAATTTCATTATATCATTATTATTCCTTTGTGTCCTCATAGCTTAGCTCTCACCTATACATGAGAATATAAAATGTTTAGTTTCCCATTCCTGAGTTGCTTCACTTAAAATAATGATCTCCAGCTCCATGCAGGTTTCTGCCAATGCCATTATTTCATTTGTTTTTATGGCTGAGTAGTATTCCACGGTGTGTGTGTGTGTGTGTGTGTGTGTGTGTGTGTGTGTGTATGTGTATATATATATATCACGGTAGTATTACTCAATGGTCACACCTAAATGTGGTATATATATATATACCTAAAATATATATATCATTTTTTTTCACTTGTTGGTTGATGGGCATCTAGACTGTTTCCATATTTTTGCAATTGCAAATTGTGCTGCAATAAACATACATGTGCAAGTGTCTTTCATATAATGACTTCTTTTCCTCTGGGTAGGTGCCCAGTAGTGAGATTGCTGGATCAAATGGTAGCTCTACTTTTTTTCTATATTTCAATTCATTCTTTTACTCATATATATAATCAGCAACAAATCCTTTTAGTTTCTTTTAGATTACTTTTATTATTCTCAAAATCCTATTCAACAGTCTCCATTGATTCATCTATGGGTTACTTTGATTGGCTGCTATAATATTCCTTTCCTTGTTTTCTTCTCTAATTCTCTCCTGCACAAAACATTCTAAGACTGCATTTTACTATATCAATAAAAAATTTTAACAGAGTCTCTGTAAACTTGAAATTTCTTAGCTTAATACCTTATAGTACTATACAATCTAGCTATAACCTACCTCTAATATTCACCTCTCAACACAAAATTTGTATTATATCTAGAAGGATCATTCATTGTTCACTAAATACACACCACTCATTCTATCTGACTAGGTCATACATCTATTTACCTTCTATTTACTGTTTATATCCAATGTAATCTTCTAGGCTTAGGTCAAATTGCTCATCCTCCCTGAAGCTCCTGGGTCACTCCTGCTCCTAGTGACCTTTCTTTTCTTTGGAAACTTTACTATATACACCATCTATTTGATATTCACTGACTTAGCTCTTAAAACTTGGATTATCTTAATTTATCCTGCAGTTTCAATTGTATTGAGAATTCGCTGAGTATAAAAAACTGTGGAAAATATATTTTGAATACAGTGGTTAGCAAAATATTATGCCCTTAACACACAGTTATTAAATAAGCAAATGTTTGCTTAAGTGTACATCATGTGAAAAATATCCACAATCCAGAAAAGCTTAAGCTATATTTATAAATCAATAGCTTTTATCTGTGAATTCAGCTACCTTTAATACTTGACACTAAACTAAGGAAGGTCAAATGTCAAATATTTGATCTTAACATCCGTCTCACTTAAAAATAAAGTGAATTCTTGTTGAAGGCTTTTATTTTTAATGTTCAAAAACCCTGAACACTTTCCTTCTCTCCAGATGACATAGCCATCAATGGATATGTCGCCACATGACTAAAATTTCATTTATTCTCTCTCTGTTCTTTTCTGACAGTCTTGTACCGTAATCTCTGCCCTTTCTCTAAATCTCCCTCAGTTTTACATTCTGACCTAAAAAAGTTCTAACCTACAAAAGAAGCAATAAAGAACTTTAAAGATTGATGAACAAGTACATACCTAAAGAGAATAGCAAAAAGCTGAAAATTTTTGTTTTATAAAATTGTTTTAAAAGAGTCATTTCATTAGAACTATATTTTGAATATGCAAAAAATACAAAATGGATTAAATAATTTCCAGAGATTTAAAAATTTTATTTTTATCCAGTAGTTAAAATACTTTTTATTAACAGCAAATATTAAAATGTAAATGCTGGCAGTCACGCAATTCCTGAATTAAAACTCTAATCTAATGCAGATAAGGCCTTCATTTTGCCAAAAACATTCAAGTCTTTTATCTCATCCCTTTAGCTTACTGAGTGGCAGAATCTTCTTTCTCCTGCTTTATGCTTCTGTATTCCTTCAGGGGAGATTTTTGCCATCTGAGGAAGCAGTCTACCTGTAACTGACCACCTATCTCAGTTATTTGTCCTTATAAAAAATTTGTAAGTGTGCATACAGAGAGATTACCTCAATAAAAGTGTCACCTATCATTCAACTCATTGGAATCCTGCAAATAAACACGTGATACATTCCTTCCTTGCTGCGTGACTTACATAGGAACTATAGACTCTCTGACTTTTCCAGGTTTTTTGTCTTCAGTTTCACTCGCTTTCTATCAATATCATGAAAAGCTTTTTTGCCTATACCATGTATGCCAAGAACTGTCACTTTTATACATGTTTCACCAAAAGAGAGAAAATTTTGTATGCATATTCACAAAATAGTAAACTGAAATTCAGCAAGTTTAAATATTTTTCCAAGATCTCATAACTAAGGGCTGAAATCTAAAGCCTTCACAATTATGAGCCCTTATTTTTGATTCTAGATTGTATTATAGCATTAGCAGTCTATTTTTCTGCTATGTACCTCTAGGCTATACCTGTTCTTGCCAGATACTGCCCAGAAAGACTCTTCAAATGTTTGCCTGGCTCATCAAAAACAGTTTCCAGCCAGAGACCTGAGCATCTTCTTATGTACCCAGGAAATATCCCCAAAGATAGTGGCTACATTGTACTTGGCAAACCCTCTATAGCGGAGACATTACCTAGCTAAATGAAAGAGGATAAAGAGCAAAAGATATTAGGTGTAATGTGAAACCTCTGACAGGCTGATTATAGTAGGCTATTATGTATGTGCTGAGAATTAAAATTAGCTCTTCCAGTTGTGGCATGTGGCATAAGACCACCACAGCCCATCCCACCTACTGATTACAACTATAATTTATGAAAATATATTTTTTAAAACTATATAAGACACCTTAATAATAAACAAAAGGAGGCAAATTGTGAAAGGAAATCAGAACTTGGAGATTTTACCCACATAAGGACGTTTTCTCTACTTTTTTTTTTCTTTTTTAACTTATGTACCTGTAGAGCTGTGCCCTGAGGGTGGACCCTAGTTGCAGAGAAGCAAGATGGTAGTGGCAGCTTTGACAGCAAAATCTCCAACAGAAACTTTGTGTTTCTGACTGAAAGAACCAAGAAACGTGGCCTGTGTTTGCCAGAGACTATAGGAAAGTCCCCGATAAAAGACAGAAGGGTATGCACTAACTCTGTATATAAATCTACACAATTCTCAGCCTAATCCCTGAGCTGCTATTGAGCAGGACAGACTTATATCAGAACAAAAAAGCCTTTGCAAATTTAACTGAGATTTGAACACCTAAAAACAAAAGTTAGAACAGAATTTATATTCCTAATATAACTAGATTGATTGCCTACTTTAAAATGTCAACTTTCTCCAGAAGATTAAACAGCACAGAGTTTCCACAACATAACATTAAAAATATCCACAATACAACTCAAATTGCTTATATAATACCCAGGAAAATACGAACAATCCTCAGTTGAAAAGACAATAGATACACTCTGAAATGATCCAGATTTTGGAGCTGTTGGGCAATATTTTGAAGCAGCTATAATAACTATCCTCCATGAGGTAAGAAAAAAACACACTTGAAATCAATGAAATGTTAGAAATTATTGGCAAGAAATAAAAATCACAAAACAAATGTACATTTAAAGACTGAAAAATAAAATACCTAAAATGATAAATCTTGCTGGATGGACTCAAGAGAAGAATGAAGATGACAGTGAACTTGAAGATAGACTCATAGAAATTATCCAAGCTACAGAACGTAGAGGAAAAAAGATTGAAATAAAAGAGAACAGAAGATTGGGAGTCTGTTGGAAAATATCTAAAGATCTTACATTTGTGCCTTTGGAATCCAAGAAAGACAGAAGAAAGAGGTTGGGGCAGAAAAATATTTGAAGAATTGATAGCCAGAAACTTAGTGAAAGACATAAATTTAATTATATTATATATTATTTAATTATATATTACACATTGTAATAAAACTGCTGAAAACTAAAAACAATCTAAAAATATCTTGAAACAGAGAAAAACAACATATGGTATATGGAGGAATAGTGAAATAATGTAGTCTGGAGACTATGGAGAAACAGCAGAAGGTAGAAGACAGTGGAACGTCTTTAAAATGTCGGCAAAAATGGAAAGAACTGTCAGTTTGGAATTCTATCACCAGAGAAAATATCCTCTGCAGCAAAGGAGAAAGAAATACATATTCTAATAAAAAAACACAAAGAATTTGCCCCAAGCAGACAAACTCTACAAACAAACAAAAAAAGCTAAAGATTTTAATCTCATTCTAATTTCTTAAGACGGAAGCTAAGGCCAATTTGAGATGTTTCATCTTTTATCACATAGGTAATTAGTGTTATAATTTTTTTCTGAGTAATGCTTTAGCTGTATCCCCAAAATTTTGGTATGGTATATTTTCATTTTCTTTCAGTTTATAATTCTTCTAATTTCCCTTTTGATTTTTTCTTTGTCTTTGGATTATTCAGACACATGCTGTTTCACTTTCAAGTATTTGGAAAATTTCCAGAGATGTATCTGTTATTAATATCTAATAATTACATTATGGTCAAAGAACATACTTCGTATGATTTTAATTTTTTTTTTTTTTTTTTGAGATGGAGTCTCACTCCATAGTGGCGCGATCTCGGCTCACTGCAAGCTCCGCCTCCCGGGTTCACGCCATTCTTCTGCCTCAGCCTCCCGAGTAGCTGGGACTACAGGCGTCCACCACCACTCCCGGTTAATTTATTGTATTTTTAGTAGAGACAGGGTTTCACCATGTTAGCCAGGATGTTCTCCATCTCCTGACCTCGTGATCCGCCCACCACGGCCTCCCAAAGTGCTGGGATTACAGGCATGAGCCACCGCGTCCAGCCCCTTAATTTTTTAAAATATATTGAAACTTGTTTTATGTCCCAGGCATGACACATTTGGTAAATATCCCATGTCCAATTGAGAAGGATATGAGTTCTCCTGTTAAACGGAGGGGTCTATGAAAGTCAATTAAGTCACATTGATTATGTTGTTCAGGTCTTTTATAGCCTTACTAATTATCTGTATACTAGTTCTACGAATAATTAAGAGAAAGGTATTAAAATCTCTCTAATTTTTAATTTGTATAATGTTGCATACAAATTTAAGATTGTGTCCTCTTGATTAATTAACCCTGTCATCATTATAAAATGAACATCTTTATTTCTAGTAGTATTTTTTGCCCTCAAAAATACTTTTCCAGGTGGTTATATAGATAATTCAGCTTTCTTTTGATTAATATTAGCATGGTATAGCTTTTCTATTCTTTTATTCTTAACCTATTTGTGTCTTTACATTTAAAGTGGGCTTCTTGTGCATATGACAGATAGATAAATGATTAGACAGACAGATAGATAGATAGATAGATAGATAGATAGATAGATAGATAGGTAACCATACTGTAGGGTGCAGCTAGTAATCCCTGGCATACAAATGTATTGAACCTATACTCATCCATAACTCTTTAAACTTTCCCAAGTGCTATTGCTAAGCCAACTTTTTTTTTTATATTCTGAATTTGCAAAGTGAGTTTTCTACACCCAAAAGAAGAAACTGACATTCAATCTATCTTCAATCTATCCTTTTTAACCTTGTTGGATACAATTCATCATTCCAGTCCCTCTTAATCCTGGTTATTTAATCCAGCATATTCACATTATTGACACATTCATTCTCAGGTTATTGACACGTTCACGTTGCATACCTATATATTTCTTTAAACCATGATAAAAACTGTTTAGTGGTACAGGATAAAGATAAGTATCTAAGGTATATAGGTAGAAAATGCTTATATTTTACCTCTAAATTAGTAAGTTCTTCTTTTTCAATCTGTCTTCTCCCTGTAGTAAGAAAAACATATGAACTTAATCTTCCAGTATTTTATCTGTTTTGTATAGTTTCTCAATAACCACTAACAATGGATAGTTCATCTTCTCTTGTTTGTACAATTTTTTTCAGCATCTGGGAATAGAGGCTGAGTGTCAGGAAGTTTGGAATCATTTAAGGCAGTTCAAAGCAATTTGAAAAAAAAACAAAAAACAGAAAAGAAAAACAAAGAGTTCAATTGCCTGTTAGCTCATAAACAACTCATCAGCATTTGGTATTTAGTACATTCTAAAAAATAAGTGAAGTTTAAAACCTTACTTCTACATGTTATTAAAATAGAGAAATAGAAAAACTTGCCCAACTTCAGAAGACACTTCAGTGACAAAATCTGGGATCTAATTAGAATTCTGAATTTTTAGAAGAAATTTAGTTTGCATGTATTGAGTTAGAAAAAGAATTATATCTACTAGACTGTGACTTCTGTCCAGTTGATAACTTCGTCAAGTCAAAGATTAAATATGTATAACATGTTTTATATATATATGTTATTAACATACATGTGTATAACATGTTTTATATATATGTTATTAACATATATGTATATAACAAGATTATTATACTAGTGAATTTGTTATTTCTTTGAAGGCAGAAGCTATTCTGATCTCCTTTTTGTGCTCTCTTACAATCATGCAAAGTGCTAGACACACGGTGGTTAGATTTTTAAACTTATTTTTAGAAAATAATTATTGAAAATCACCTATTTATCATAAGATTCTTGTTACTGGCTTAAACTGATGTGAAATGAAGTACGAGACCGTGCTAATTTAATTCATAAAGACCTGAAATTATTCCACCTTTATATTAACAATCAACACACACACACACGTTGGAAAGATTATTCTACCATTTATTTTATATTGGATATTGACAAATTATAATTGTATATATGTATGGGGGACATAAATACAAAAGTGATATTATGATTTTTTAATACAACGTGGAATGATTAAATTAAGCTAATTAACATATATCACCTCAAATATTTAACTATTTGTAATTAAAACATTAGAAATTTGCTCTTAGTGATACTGAAATGTACAATACTCAATTATTAGTGATATTCAGCATGCTGTGCTATTGATCTCAAAAATACCCATATTTCTCTTGTCTAACTAGGCTTTGTAACCTTTGACTATCATTTCCCCATTTCCCACACCTCTAGCCTTTGTTAACTGCCATTCTACTCTCTGTTTCTATGAGTTCAATTGTTTTAGATTCCACATATAAGTGAGAACATGCAGTATCTGTCTTCCTGTGTTTGGCTTATTTTACTTAGCGTAATATTCTCCAGTTCTATTCATGTTATTGTAAATGACAGAATTTCTTTTCTTTTGAGGTTTAATAATATTCCATTGTACACAAACACCACATTTTCTTTATCCATTCATTACTTGATGGACACTTGGGTTGATTTCATAATATAGCTATTGTGAATAGTGCTGCAATAAATATGGCAGTGCAGACATCTTTTCAACATACCGGTTTCAAATATTTCATGTAAATGCCCAGAAATGGGGTTGCTGGCTTATATGGCAATCTTGTTTTTAGTTTCTGAGGAACTTCCATACTGTTTTTAAAAATGGTTGTACTAATTTACATTCCCACTGACAGTGACAAGGGTTCCCTTTTCTCCACATTCTTGTCGATAATTGTCTTTTGTCTTTTTGATAATAGCTATTCTAACAGGTGTAAGGTGATATCTCATTGTGATTTTAATGCATCTGCCTAATAATTAGTGATGTTGAGCATTTTTTTCATGTATCTGTTAGCCATTCATAGGTCTTCTTTTGAAGTATGTCTATCTGGGTTTCTTGACCCACTTCTTAATTGAATTGTTTTCTTTCTATAGAGTTGAGTTCCTTATATAATTTGGATATTAATTCCTTATCAGATATATGACTTGCAAATATTTTTTCCATTCTATAGGTTGTCTCTTTGCGTTGTTTATTGTTTCTTTTGCTGTGCAGAAGCTTTTCATTTTGATGTAATCCCATTTGTCTATCTTTGCATTTGTTGTCTGTGCTATGGGATCAAATCTAAAAAATCATTGCTCAGACCAATGTCATGTAGATTTTTCTCTGACTTTTCTTCTCATAGTTTTACAGTTTAAGATCTTATATTTAAGTCTTTAACTCATTTTGAGTTGATTTTTATGTATGGTGTGAGATAAGGGTTCAATTTTATTCTTTTGCATATGAATACCCAATTTTTCCAACACCATTAATTATAGAGGCTGTCCTTTTCTCATCGTATGTTATTGTCACTCTTGTTGATCAATTGACTGTACATGTGGGGGTTCTTGGGCTCTCTAATCTGTTCCATTGGGTTGATATATTTATTTGTACGCCAGTACTAGCTGTTTAATTACTATCATTTTGTTGTATAGTTTGAAATCAGGTAGTATGATGCCTCAGGGTTTGTTCTTTTTGCTCATGATGGCCTTGGCAATTTGGAGTTTTTTGTGGTTCCACGTGAATTTTAGGATTCCTTTTTTTCTATATCTATGAGAGATGAATTTGGAATTCTGATAGTGTTTGCACTGAATCTGTAGATCACTTTTAGGAAATATGGACATTTTAAGAATATTAATTATTCCAATCCATGAATACAGGCTATCTTTCCACGTATTTGTGTTTTCTTCAAATTTTTTCCATTAATGTTTTATATTTTTCAGTGTACAGGTCTTTTGCCTCCTTTGTTAAATTTGTTCCTAAATATTTTTTGTAGCTATTGCAAATGGAATTATTCTCTTGATATCCTTTTTGGAAAGTTCATTGTTAGTCTAGAGAATTGCTACTGATTTTTACATGTTGATTTTGTACCCTACAACTTCGCTGAATTCATTTATCAGTTCTAACAGTTTTTTGGTGGAATCTTTTGAGTTATCTATATATAAAATCATGCCATCTGCAAACAAAGATGATTTAACTTCTTCTTTTCCAGTTTTGATGACTTTTCTTTCTTTCTCCTTTCTAATTGCTCAGGATGGATACTCTAGTGCTATATTGAATAGAAGTGGTTAGAGTAGGCATCCTTTTCCTGCTCTAGATTTTAGAGGAAAAGCTTTCATTTTCCCCATTGAGTATGATGTTAGCTATGGGTTTGTCATATATGGCCTTAATTGTGCTGAGATACATTCTTTCCATACCAAATTTCTTGAAAGTTTTTATCATAAAAGAATGTTGAATTTAATTAAATGCTGCTTTTTTTCTAGTGAGATGATTACATGATTTTGGTCCTTCATTCAGTTAATGCAATGTATCACATTAATTGATTTGCATATGTAGAATCATCCTTGCATCTCAGGGATAAATCCCACTTGTTCGTCGTCAATGATCCTTTTAATGTGTTATTGAATTTGATTTGCTAGTATTTTGTTGAGGATTTTCATGTCTATTAATATGTTTGTGAAGACTATTGGCCTGTAGTTTTCTTTTCTTGTGATTTTCTTCTCTCCCTATATTGTAAGGGTAATGCTGGTCTTGTAAAAAGAGTTTGGAAGTATTTCTTCCTCATCAATTTTTTTGGCAAAGTTTGTGGCAAATTGGTATTATTTCTTCATTAAATATTTGATAGAATACAGCAGTGAAGGCATCAGGTCCTGGGCTTTTTTTTGAGGAGAGACTTTTTATTACTGCTTCAATCTCTTCTCTCATTAATGAACTATTCAGATTTTCTATTTCTTCATGATTCAGTCTTCATAGGTATATGTGTCTAAGAATTAACCCATTTCTTCTAGGTTATCCAATATTTTGGCATACAACTCTCTGTAATAGTCTCTTGTGATCTTTTGTATTCTTTTGGTGCCAGTTGTAATAGCACTTTTTTAATTTCTGATTTTAATTTGAGTCCTCTCTTTTTCTCCTGCTTAGTTTAACTACAGGTTTGTTGATTTTGTTTATCTTTTTAAAAGCCAAACTCTGAGTTTTGTTGATCTTTGTTTTGTTTTTGTAGTCTCATCTATTTCTGCTCTGTTCTTTATTATTTCTTCTGCTAACATTGGGCTTAATTTGTTTGCTTTTTCTATTTCCTTGAAGCACAACATTAAATTGTTTATTTGCAAGTTTTGTTCTTATTTGATATTGGCATTTATTGTTACAAACTTTGTTTTTAGACCTGTTTTTGCTGTATCTCATGTTTTGTTATGTTATGTTTTCATTTTTCCTTGTCTTAAGGTATTTTTTAATTTCCCTTTTAATTTCTTCATTGACCTATTGGCTGTTCAGGGGTGTGTGGTTTAATTTCTATTTATGTGTTAATTTTCTAAAATTCCTCCTGTTACTGATTTCTACTCACATATCATTGTGGTTAGAAAAGGTACTTGCTGTGATTTCAATCTTCCTAATTTTTCTAAGACTTTTATTACGGCCTAACATATGATCTGTCCTGAAGAATATTCTGTGTGTGCTTAAGAGAAAACTTTATTATGTTGCTGTTGGATGGAATGTTCCAGATACATCCATTGCGTCCTTTTGGTCTAAAGTGTTGTTCAAATTCAGTGTTTCCTTATTAATTTTCTGTATGGATGATCTGTCCACTAGTGAAAGTGATGTATCGAAGTTCCCTACCATTATTGTATTGAGAAGAATCTATCCCTTCAGAAACTTTAATATTTGCTTTATACATATAGCTCTTCCACTGTTAGAAGCATATATATTTAAAAGTGCTATGCCCTCTTGATGAATTGACCCCTTTACCATTATACAATGTCTTTGTCTCTTTTTGCAGTTTTTTATTTAAAGTCTATTTTGTCTGATATAAGTATTGCTACCCCTGCTCTTTTTTGGTTTCAGTTTTCACAGACTATTGTTTTTCATCCCCTCACTTTTAGTCTGTGTGTCCTTAAAAGTGAAGTGAACGTCTTGCAGACAGCATATAGTTAGATCCTGTATTTTTTTATCCATTACCTCACTTTGTATCTTTTATTAAAGAATTTAATACATTTACATTCAAAGTAAGTATTGACAGGTAAAGACTTACTAGTATCATTTTGTTACTAACTGTATTGTTTTATTTATGTGTAGATACTTGGTTTTTTTCTTCCTCTGTTGCTGTCTTTCTTTGTGGATTGATGGTTTTCTGTAGTAGTATGTTTTCAATATTTTTATTTGTGTTTTGTGCATTTTCTATAGATTTTTTCTCCTTGGTTACCCTGATGCTTACAAATAATATCTTTCGCTTACAACAGTCTATTTCAAGCCAATAACAATGTAACTTTCATTGCATACAACAACTCTATACTTTTCTCCTCACACACCATTTTATGTTTTTTATGTCTGAATATATATTATTTTGTAATATGTATTCCTTGACAGTTTATTTTAGCTATAGTTCTTATTAATAATTTTGTCTTTGTGCCTGGGATAATATTACTTTACACACCACCGTTATAGTCTTAAGAGTGTTCTGAATGTTGTTCGGTATTATTTATACCATTAGATTTCATGATTTCATAAGTTTCATGTTATTAGCTAACAAATTTTTCTTTCAGTTTAAAGAACTCCCTTTAATAATTTCTGTAATGCAAGCCTAATGATGATTAACTCCCATGGCATGGTTTGTCTGGGAAAGTTTTTATTTCTTCCTTATTTTTGAAAGACAGATTTTCTGGGTAAAATAGTCTTGGTTGGTAGGCTTTTTCTTCTTTCAGCACTTCTACTATATCATCCCACTCTCTCTCCTGGACTGAAGGGTTTCTGCTAAGAAGTTTGCTGGTAGTTGTATTGGGACTCCTTTTGCTGCTCTCAGAATTTTTTCTTTGATTTTTTTAATAGTTTGATTCTTATATGTTGTGTTGAATTCTGAATTTGATTGGAGATTTCTGTGGTTCCTATATTTGGATGTTAGCTTTTTTGGTCATATTAGGGAACTTATCATCCATTATTTCTTTAAATATGCTTTGTGACCCTTGTATTCCTCCTCTCTGTATTTAATTCCTTTTACTCATGGCTTGGGTCTCTTGATGGTGTACCAACATTCCCATAAATTTTCCTTCTTCCATTTTTTTTTTCTTTTTGCTCCTCTGCTTGGATAATTTCAAATGTTCTGTCTTCACACTCACTGATTCTTCAGTGTGATTTCACTGGCTGTTGAAAATTTCTATTGCATTTTTTCAGTTCAGTCATTATATTCTTCTTCTCTATGATTTATTTTTGGGGTTTTAAAATCATTTCTATTTCTTTCTCAAACTTCTCATTTTGTTCAAGTACTGTTTTCCAAATTTTACTTTTTGCCCATATATTCTTGGAGTTCATTGAATTATTTTACGGAGTTATTCTGAATTATTTTTCTGTCATTTCTTAGATATCCCTTTCTTTGGGCGTCATTGCTGGAGCATTTTTGGTTTCTTTTTGAGATGCCATGATTCCTTGAGTTTTTGTAAACCTGTGTCCTTGCATTGGTGTTTGTGCATTTGTGGAGGCAGCCACCTTTTCTGGCCTTTACAAGTGTTCTTTGACAGAGATAGACCTGTGGATGGGTGCAGAATTCTTGTTGTAAGGAGATATAAGTAGGTGACCTCCTATTCTGCCCCATCTTGCTGACATCACTCCTCAGCCATTATTCATTCTACCATTTAACTGAGGCACAAAAACAAATCATATCGCAAGTGCTTTTATTATACACTATTATTTTATAAACAGACCCTTTTCATGATGGCTAACCTGAATTTAAAAACTGCAATGTGACAGGCACATAGATGAGAAAATGCTTTTATATTATGTTGTTTTGTTTCTGGTATAGACCTCAGGTTTTGATAGTTCCATCATATTTTAATCATCAGTTGATTTCCACTAAAGCTTATATTATCCTATGATTGGAGACATTTAAGCTAAAGAAAAGATGAAAAATTCTCATAAATTATTCATTGAAAAGATAATAACCTATTAAATACAATTAAGCCTTAGATTAATCTACAGAAGTTTCCAATGCATCTGATATTTTTAAACCACGTCTGTATCTTCATCACATTCCTGGTAAAACTTGATCTAGAAGTGCTCTTTCTTTCTTGGTCTTTCTTTGTAGTGAATCAATATAGGATCGTGATTAGGAACATAGGTTATATAGAAAAACCTCCTCAATAAACTGAAGCTGATAATCCTGGCCTGAGGATTATTTTAATAGAGTTCTTTAAATATAGTAAATAGTCATTATGTAATAGCTATTATTATTGTTATTATTACTATGAGTGCAAAATAAATATTTTCCCCATATACACATATGAAAATACTGAAGAGTTGCTGGCATACCCCATAATATTAGATGTTTCACTTACTTTATAAACAGTTTAAAATGTGCTTTGTTTTTGTACTAACATGCTACTGCTTTTTTTCTGTTTTGATATATTACCCATGTTTTTAAGATAATTTTAATTTGTTGGTGATAAGAACAATAGTAGCATTGAAAGCCATTTGAAATGCTATATGCAATCTGGGGCAAGAAACAAAGGCAGAAGATTGGTATATTTAATTATTCATGTACTTAAAACAATACCATTTAGAGGTCAACATTGTGAACAAAGAATTACTAATATGCATCATAGATTTTAAGTTTTGCAACCTGAAATAATAACTAAGCTAAGAATCCCCTGTATTCCTCTCTTCAGTTGAGAAAGAAGTATCCTCACTAGTGAATTCTAAGAAGATCCTAAGGTCTTCATTTCCAATCTTTCCAAGTAGTGGGACACCTTTTTAAACTTAGAGAAAATTATCTATCAAGTGTCCCTGAAATCTTTTTAATATCTTATAATTTATCTGGGCACAGTGGCATGGTAGTTCCAGCTACTTGGGAGGCTGAGGCAGGAGGATTTTTTGAGCCAGAGAGTTGGAAGCCAGCTGAGGCAATGTAGTGAGACCCCATCTCTGAAAAAATAATCTGATAATTTAAGAAATATAAAATAATTTTTAAAACCACTATAAATGTAGCAGTGCTTTTAAAAATATTAAAATTGTGGTAACAAGAGCATTTACATATATTTGACAAAATAATAGCAAACTTGAGTGAAATGTATTAATTCCCTCTGTGGAGAATGTTTGGTGTTAACATGGATCCAGCCCCCTGGCCTAACCATGGGTCACCATACGATGCCTCTCCAATAAATTTTGAATAACTTAATATCACCAGAGCAAAGGAATGTGCTGATTTTCTTTTGTTTCTTCCTTGTACTGCACAACAGAGAGGGAGAACTTGCACAGATATGAGAGAGGGCACAGGAATACAGCACAAAAATGTAACTTTAGCTCACAGTCTCTGCCTACAAGGTCCCTAAGAAATGGTCAGGTCATCATCAGCTCCTAGGAGATTTTAAGAACTTCTTGTGCTCATTGCCTAGATTTTCAAGGAGTTAAGGTGGAGAAACCCGGAGAGGTGATGAGGCATATCACAGAGGAGTAAACAAGGCCCCAAGGAAGGAACACAATTAGAGATGAAGTCTCTAAAAGAAAGTGAGGAGGATGGTGACTAAGGATTAATTCTGGGACTAAGTTTGAATAATGCTGTTACAAATAAAGTCTGGCTCCAGTTGGGAGTAGAGGGGATAAAGAAGGGTAGTTGGCGTGTAATTGCCTAATATTGACTCAGAGATAGGATAAGGCCAAAAGTTTAGAAGTGGAGCATTGAGACAAGCAGACTTTGACATGATTACTCCTGATTAGCCACAAAATCCAAATGATGTGCAGGAGAAAGTCACTTCTATCAGAGACATGCCTTCAGATGGCTAGCTGTTTAGGGTAAACACCTAGGATAAACCCGAGATATTTTCACTTTACCCTATGATAGACATTTTATTCCTTGGTATTACAATAAGAAATATTGCAATAGATAACAGGAACTATTTCAATTAAATATCTTTTTTATATTACATTACAAATGATGATTCAACAAATAACTCTGAAGTACTTTCAAAGAGCTAAATATTATTAATACACACCTCATTGACTCAGTCATTTAATAACTATTTAGTATCCACCCTCTACCAAGCACTGTGTTAAGGAAAGGATTTGCTATAAAAGAAAGGAACATTATGAAGGGAAGGCATGACTATGAAAGTAAAGAATAAGATGAAGGGGGCCAGGTGCGGTGGCTCATACCTATAATCCCAGGCAGATTCCTTGAGGTCAGGAATTTGACACCAGCCTGGCCAACATGGTGAAACCCTGTCTCTACTAAAAATATAATAAATTAGCCAGACATAGTGACTCATGCCTATAGTTTCAGCTACTTGGGAGGCTGAGGCAGGAGAATCACTCAAACCTGGGAGAGGGAGGTTGCAGTGAGCCGAGATCATGCCACTGCACCCCAGCCCGGGTAACAGAGCGGGATTTTTTCTCAAAAACAAAATAAACAAAAACAAAAACAACAAAAGAATAAGATGAAAGGAAGCCTGATTCCAAGCAAAAACTTTTAAATTTTAATTGAAGATTTAGAAATATATTGACAGCTTAGAAAGAAGGGTCTAGGATGGGGTTAGGGTAGTAGGGTAGTGAATAACCAATGGAGCAAAGCCCCAAGGGAATGTGGAGTCGGGGAAGAAGTGGAACAAAACATAGACCTTCCCTTTAAATAATTTTGTACCTCATGAGGAAGATGACATACATATCAAACTATTTTTAAAACACTGAAAAATTATGTTTTAACAGCAAATCTAGACTATATAAAATTCAGTTGGTATGAGCAAAAAGAATTAAAGTTAGATGACTTCATATTACCTTCTGAGCACAGTAATATTATTACCTGGAATTCTAAAAGAAAAGAGTACTGTTACTTTATTTCAACCTACCATGAGTAAGGAAGTCCTCTAGATGACATAAGGAAACTTCTCATTGCTTATATTGAGGATCAGACTGAGAATTCTGTATCTCTAACCCTAATCATTCTTCAGGGGAGTGTTAAGTCTTTGTGAAGGTCTAAAATGCAGCCAGAGTTTAAAAAAAAAAATTGCAGTGTAAGACATTTAGACAAGTAGTGGTTATTTAATCATTTTAAAGTAAAATTTAATTTGCATAATTAAATCATAAGGGCAAAGGATGAAATGAGAAGTATTGATGAGGAGACAGCTAGTGATTTCTTTAATAAATTATTTGAGACTTTGAAGGAAGAGGATACGATGCTAGTAAGAAGAAAAACAAATTACTGTTGATAAGACAACAACATTGGGGGGAAGAGAAGTTTCTCTTAAAGATTTGAAAAATCAATGTCTGTGTTTTAAGCTGTTAAAGGACAAACTAAGCCTGCTGCTTACATCTAATGCACTCCCGACTTCAACTAAAACCTGTGCTGTTCTATCATTCTAAAAACTTCACAATATTCAAGGACCTCGTCAAAGACACTAATAACTTAGAAATAGAAGCCCAAACCTTGAGTGTTACTTAATGCTGGGAAAAGGCTCTATACAAATGGATTTTCTTCTTCTGTAATGTGGAGTTTATTCTTCATACAATGGGGAATCCTCGAATGTTCAGAGAAGGAAAGTGACGTAATCAAAGCAGTCTTATGGGAAGATTCAGTACACCAGTGGTATATAGAATGAATGAAGGAAAAGGGTGGGAAAATTAGAAGACTAAAAAGTATTAAAATCCAGTTATAATAAGTCAGGGAATAAAGATATGTGGTGGCAGATGAACCAAAGCGAAAAAGAAGGTGTTCGATCTTGGTACATAGTGGATTTGAAAATCAAGGATGAGGGGGGCACCAGGAAAACTGAGTAGCAGTACTAACAAAGTCTAATTTGTTGGGAAAATCTGTTTTGGAACAGTGAGGAGGAATAGAAGATAGATTCAGATTGAAGTTTATTGAGTGTAAGAATGCTAAGAAGACATCCAGATGGAAATATTCACAGATCTCTAGGCTGGGATCCTAGGGATCAACTAGAGATTCTTATTTGGGAGTCATCTACATCAGTGTTCCCCACTGGGGTCAGTTTTGTATCCTGGGTGACATTTAATGATGTTTGAATACATTTTCAGTTGTCACAACTGGGAGGATGATGGTACTGGCATCTAGTAGGTGGAGACCAGGGACACTGTGAAAATATCCTATGGTGCACAGAACAGCCCGCTGCAACAAAGAATTAAAAGAATTATCTGTCCCAAAGAGTCAATAGTGCCAAGACTAAGAAACCCTGCTCTACATAAATGTCATAATACATTGGAGATACCTTATCCAATCAGTACATACAGTATATTCATGTTTAATTCCTAGGAAATAAAAATAATATCAATGTTTATTCAGCCTTACTGCTTAAGTACTGTCCTCACATTACATGGTATATTATTTAATCTTTAAAATCCCATGATAGGCATTATTTTTATCCTCATTTAGCAGATGAGGAAACATCCAATGAAAAGTTAAGATACCTGCTGTATTAGGGTTCACCAGAAAAACAGAACCAATAATAAGTATAGATATGGACACAGATAGAGATATAGAAAACAGATATGGATACAGACATAGTCATAAGCATCAATATAGACATAAAGAGATTGATCATGAGGAATTGGCTTATGGACATATGGAGTTGCAGCAGTCTCACAATTGGCTGTCCACAAACTGAAGATTCACAAAAACTAAACTGGTGGTGTAGATCCAGTCAAAGTCTGAAGGCCTAAGAACCAGGAGTACAAATGGTGTAAGTCCCAGAGGACCAGAAGAGACTGCTGTCCCAGCTGAAACAGGAAGGAAGAATAAATTATCTTTTTCTCACTTTTTTATTCTATTCAGGATTTGATGCATTAGATTAATGCCCACCCACCCTGGGGATGACAATCTACTTTACTGGGTCTCTGGATTCAAATGCTGATCTCTTTTGGAAACCCCCTCACAGACATACCCTGTATTTAACCTGATATCTGAAATAATATTTAACCTGATATCTGGGCATCCTGTGAATGAGTCAAGTTGACACATTAAATTAACCATCACGAGTTCACTCCCTGTCAACTTGCCACTCATATATATCTCCTTAACAGTCCTTACTCTTCAAGTAAAGACAGTAATGTCATAATTCTGCCAAACATGATACAACTGTGCTCCATACAACCAAAAACATGCTAACGCCATCCTCAGAAAGAGGTAAAGTCCTTGAGTGATGTTTACTCTTCTCCTTGATATTTCATTGTTTAAATACTATGATGTAAAATGAATAATGCTTAAATACTATGATATTAATATAAAGTATGATGTAATAACAAATAACGTAACAAATATATACATAAACACATGTTACATAAGAGAATAAAAGAGGAAAGAAAACAAAGATATTTGCTATACGTACTAAGTGTTCATTACAAAATAAAGAGTAAATACTCATGATACTTAAAATAGTCATCTCTGTAACTGGTCACATTGTCGTAGTTGGTATTTATAACTACCTACTTCCATCCTTTATTCTATTTGCCTTCCGCATATACCTCTGCTGGTCATGTTTCTTTACCTGGTAGGGTAACCCAAACCTTCAAGACGGGTCTGGGCCGTTAGTGATCCTGCCTGGAGTGGTCGTTGTAGTATTCTGTTGACCTTAATTGCAGGGCATGGTAATACTAAGAGTTGCCCTAAATGATCGCCTGTACTCCAGAAGTACTCTTCCTTAGTTCCATTGTGCAGTAGTCGTCCAATTTGCCCTTGTTAGTCAGGATCAATCACTCTAGCCAGAACTGTAACTCCCTTTTTGCCTGGTGGTTCAGAGGCTTGAAGAGCTCAGAGTGGCTGAGTCGAAGTCTTAACATTCAATTCAATGCAATCATTGTTGTGCCTCCCAATGGAAACGTTCCTCTCTGTTTTTATGATTCGGTTTAGAGGAACTAAGATCTCTAGGCTGGTAGTGTGTAAGGGTGTAGGAACAGGAAACAAAAATTTGCTTGTTACTCACTGGGCATAATAGTGTGTGGTGCCATTCCCATTTCCACCCCTTTATTCCTGTACCTGTGAATCTTGGCTATCAGAGAAAGCGCCATATATTGGATGCTGGTTCAGAGCATACACAGCCTTTTGTAGAATCTTGCTGCAGCCTGGCAAGGTATCACCACCTAACTTGAACTGTAACTAAGTCTTCAAAGGCCATTTCATCGTTCTGTAGAGACCAGATGCTTCAGGAGGGTGGGGAACATAGTAAGACCAGTGAAGTCCATGAACATGGGCCCATTGCCATGCTCTTTTTGCTGTGATGTGAGTCCCATAATCATAAACAATGAGGTCCAATAGTGTGAAGCATGATGATAGATCCCTTCTAAGATAAAGGATAAGTTGTTGCAGCTGGCTTCTCCTACAACCAAGAAAGAGGCACAATGACTAGTGGGCCTATGGGATTTTGGAGGCAACGTACTCCTCACATGGAATACTGTGGTGGATAAGGCATTCTACAAGTCCATGGACGGTAGTTCTGACAGAAACTGCACAAGGAACGCAAATCCATTTTCACAGTATTTATTCCAGTAAGAAGAAACACCACTTTTTCATGATGGAAGCAGTCCAATGTAATCAACCGGCCATCAGATAGCTTACCAGCATGGGGAATGATGCCATCTCAGGAACTGAGTGTCAGTCTCTGCTGTTGACATTTTGGGCACTCAGCAGTGGCTGTAGCTGGGTCAGCCTTGATGAATAAAAGTCCGTGTTGCTGAGCTCAGGCAAAACCTCCACCCCTACTACCATGACCACTTTGTTCATGAACCCACTGGGCAATGACAGGGTGACAGGGGAAAGAGGCTAATGAGTATCCACAGAATGGCTCATCTTATCCACTTCATTATTAAAATCTTCTGATGAAGTCACCCTTCAGTGAGCATTCACATGGGATGTGAATATCTTCACTTTTTTTTTGCCCATTTAGAGAGACCTATCCACATGCTACCTCCCCAATCTTCTTGTCACCAGTTTTCCAATCACATTCTTTCTAAGCCCCTGATCACCCAGCCAAACCACTGGCTGCAACCCATGGATCACTGTATAATTACACACCTGGCCATTTCTCCTTCCAAGCAAAGTGAACAAGCAGGTGAACTGCTTGAAATTTTGCCCACTGGGAGGATTTTCCTTCACCACTGTCCTTTAGGGATATCCCAGAAAGGAGCTATAGTGCTAAAGCTGTCCACTTTCAGCTGATGCCTGTATATCATGCAGAACTATCCGTAAACCAGGCCTCATCTTTCTTTCTCTTCCTCTGTCAACTGACCGCAGGGAACTCTTTATGAGGCCACGGGCGCAGTCTGGAGGAAAGAAGTCAGTGCAGCAGCAATGGAAACCATGGGAACTTGGGCCACTTCTTCATGTAACTTATCGTGACACGCCATCAAGGCCAGTTCAGGCCTGATTATGCGTATACCGATTTCATTTGATGATGGAGTATTGTGATGCACACCCAGCTTTATGGCTTCATGAGTGAGATGCCCATCCAATTCGTGATGGGCAACTCGGGGCACACGGCGACATGGTGGCCCACGGTTGAGCATTCAGTCACCACTAAGGCCTAGTAGCAGGTCAAGAGCTATTTCTCAAAAGGAGACAGGTTATCTGCATAAGATGGCAGGCCTTTGCTCCAAAATCCTAAGGGCCTGTGGTGAAATTCACCATAGGGACTTGCAAAGCCTTCAAACATCATCTTTTCTGCCACTGACACTTTAAGCACCATTAGATCTACTGGATCATGTAACCCATGTGGCAAAGCAGCTTGCACAGCAGCTTGGACCTGTTGCAGAACCTTCTCTTCTTCTGAGCCCCACTCAAAACAAGCAGCTTTTCAGGTCACTCAGCAAATGGGCCAGGCTAACACACCCAAATGAGGAGTATGTTGCATCCAAAATCCCATAGGCCCACTAGTCATTGTGCCTCTTTCTTGGTTGTAGGAGAAGCCAGCTGCAACAACGTACCCTTTATCTTAGAAGGGATATATCAACATGCTCCACACCACTGGACCTCTAAAAATTTCACTGAGATAGAAGTCCTTTGAAGTTTAGTCAGCTTTATTTTCCACCCTCTGACATGCAAAAGTCTCACAAATAAGTCTATAGTTAGCATACTGTCATCAGTGTAATGGACCAGTGTGTTACCATATGAACTAAATTATGACATAGAGCTGGAGAGTTGATGTACCCCTGAGGTAGGACAGTGAAGGTGAAGGTGATTTGCTGGTCTTGTCAGCTGAAAGCAAACTGCTTCTGGTGGTCTTTGTTTTTGTTTTGTTTTGTGTTGTTTTGAGATGGAATTTCGCTCTTGTTGCCCAGGCTGGAGTACAATGGCACGATCTCGGCTCACCGCAACCTCTGCCTCGTGGGTTCAAAGGAATCTCCTGCCTCAGCCCCCAAGCAGCTGGGATTACAAGGCACGTGCCACCATGTCCAGTAATTTTGTATTTTTAGTAGAGATGGGGTTTCTCCATGTTGGTCAGGCTGGTCTCGAACTCCCGACCTCATGTGATCCACCCACCTCGGCCTCCCAAAGTGCTGGGATTACAGGTGTGAGCCACTGCACCCCTGGTGGTCTTTGTTAACAGGTATTGATAAAAATAGCATTTGCCAGGTCAATAGCTGCATACCAGGTATCAGGAGATGTGTTAATTTGTGTAAGCAGTGAAACCACATCTAGTATAGCAGCTGCAATTGGAGTTATCACTTGGTTAAGCTGATGATAATCCACTCTCATTCTCCAAGATTCATCCATATGGCCAAATAGGCAAATTGAGTGAGGATGTGGTGGGATTCACCCCCAACCCCTGTGTCTTTCAAGTCCTTGATAGTTGTGCCAGTCTCTGAAATCCCCCCAGTGACATGGCTTTGGTTTATTATTTTCCTAGATAGAGGCAATACTAGTGGCTCCCACTTCACCTTTTTCACCGTAATAGCCCTCACTTCACAGGTCAGGAAACCAATGTGAGGGCTCTGTGAGCTGCTATGTCTATTGCAATTATTCCTTCCAGAATTGAAGAAGTAACCATAGGATGGTTTGAGAATCCACAGGGCCCACTGTGAGACAGACATGAGCTCAAATTCTATTGATCACCTGACCTCTATAAGCCCCCTACTCTGACTGGTGGTCCACAGTGACATTTTGAGTCTCTTGAATTCAGTGTCAGTTGAGAGCCAGTGTCCAGTAGTTCCCAAAAGATCTGATTATATCCTTTCCCCTAGTGCACAGTTTTCCTCGTAAAAACCCATAGGTCCCTTTGAATAAAGATTAACAGTATAAATTTTGGATAGTATCCAAGAGTCTTTCCTCAAGGGGACCCAGTCTCTCCTTCATTCAAGGGTTTCTGGATCTGTAAGCTGACTCAAGTCTAGGAATTAATTGAGAGGCCGTAACTCTCTGTTTTTATGATTCAGGTAAGATTTTGTTCACTTGACCTAGATATTTTTTTTTTTTTTTACAAAAAAATGAAATAAGAATTTGTAGTCTTCCTATTGATTTCACTTCAAGGAACACATAAAAGCTAGCCTACATCATGCGTCTGCAGGAATCAGACTGTTCTGATAGCTGCTTTGGCCCTGCTGTCCGCTATGGTAACCACACCCACCCTGACCTTGGCAGTTTAGCAAGGCAACTTGGCCCCTGCCACACTGGGATCTAATTACCCCCGTTGCATTTAGGTTTCCCAATTCAGTGACTGCAGGTCCTACTGTGAGGCTTGGCCTACAGAGAAGAGTGATCACAGAGCTTTTCAAGGATGCTGGGCCTCCCCTCACAAATTTATTTCTCACAGTGTTGTTGAAAATTGTGTCTTTTGATTACTCTCAGTGTGGGTCTTATATGACGAATCCACTCTCCATATGCTTTTAATCCTTTCTGCTACATTAAATCAAGGCAGGTCCAGCCTGTCCACCTTTTGGTCCATGTGTCAGCCAACCCAGCACACTGTTAGAACCCTTTCTGATTCCCCAAGCTTCAACATTAAATGAAGAATCTCTGCTTAGTGAGCCCGAAACAACAAAAAAATTTAACTTAATATAACTTTATGTTCTTTCTACCATTATTTCACACCCTTAGTGTCCATTCCTACACCTGTTACCCAGATTTCTGTCTGTAAGAATTAGAAAACTCAAGTAATTATTTTGGAGTGTAGCACACATCTTCATGGGTCACACTTTGAACCTCAACTTTAGAAGCCAGCTGGGATTTGAGTTTGGTTATAGGGCTAGAAGCAGAGAGAGATGAGACATGGGGTAGAGGTAAAGGGGTTCTCAGGAGAATTAAAATTGTCTTGCATAGCAGCTGCCTCAGAGGAGGCTATCACTATTTGCTCAGACAGTGCAGAGCTGATCCTCTCAGAGGTTGGAGGTGAAGTAGAGGAGACACCACTGGGGTAAGGAGGCCACTTCCACTAGAAAAGAAGGCTCATCAGAATTTAGGAGCTCCATGTTCCAAACTTGATCAGCGACTTTCTACACAACCCATCCCAAATTACAGAATCTCATCAATGCTTCACTTTAACAGTAGACACTTTGTGAAGCTTGGAGTTCAACTCGCATTGTAATTCAACCAGTGTCAAGCTGAGATTCTGCATTTGGTGTTAAGCAATCTCAGCCCCACAGTACAGGAGATAAGGGTCTCCTTCAGGGCACACATAGAAGTTTTAGGTCATTTATGCAGTCTTTGAGCCACATAACACCCTTACAGACAAACCTAGAAATAATGTTTAACCAGATATCTGGGCATCCCACGACCCAGCCATAATGACACACAAAACTAACCATCATACCTGTCTAAAGCCACATAGCTGGCAAATTTGGGGACCCAGATTTGCAATCAGAAAATCCATTTCCAGAAACATGTTTTACCCACTAAGTTTTACCCACTAAGTTGCAGTATCTAGGGATTATAGGCAGGATATCCTCAAGTTCCAAAACAGATAAGACAGAGAGTTAAACAGAGCAGAAACACTTTTACTACTTCACTCTTCTCACCAAAAAAAAAAAAAAAAAAAAATCTACTCCCAAATATTAATAGCAACTTCTTTCTGTGTCACTGAAGATTTCATTATACCATTGATAGATTTCAGTGCTCCCCCTCCTGGGGGAGGATATCAAATGGCAGAGGTATACCTTGAGCTCCAATAAAGTACCGGTCCTCATTCTTAACATATTGACAAATGAGGGTGTCCAGATATATTTTATCTTATTTGTTAATAATTATAATAAAAACCCAAACTGTCTAATGATATAATTTTTAATATGTAATTTAGAACTGAATAAAATTTAGTCCTATAATAATATATATCATATTTTCTTGCTTTACTACACGTTTTTTTGAGTTCTGAAGAAAGATGTGAAATTAAAGCTAATGGAGCTGGGTGTGGGGGTGCACTGGTTTTCACATGTGAATATCACTGTATTTCAGAGCATTAAAATATATTTCTTGAAAATTACTGATTTAATAGAATTAGTAAACAAAACAAGCACTTAATTCCTCAAATTTTACTTTTAAATCATCTGCTTTAAATATAAATTATACAAATATTTCTCATTTTATAAAACTAGACTTTCAGAGTTTTAGTACCATTTACTCTACAGTTGGTCAAGATCACAAAGGTAAAATCCATTTCTTTCAAGTATGATGGTTTCCAAATTTTTGAAACAGGGGAGTCATTCTTCAAATGATCTATTTAGAAATTAACATATCCATAACAGATTTGAAGGCAAGATGGAAAAGGTGGAAACAAGTTCTGAAGCCAGGAAGGGGAGCTGAGGAGGAGAGAGTTTAAGGAAGAACTGGGGAGTGGAGGTCCAGAGATCCACCCATTTAGCCATGCTATTCAGCAACTGCCTTAGGCAACTTTTGGAGCACCATAGAACATAATTTAAAAGGGATTATCCAACATAATTTAGAGTACTTTAGATGATAAAATTATTATAATCATTTTTAAATCTTGTAGGTATATTAAAGTTATAGCTCTAATTAATATTTTAATTATATTTTATTTTAAAATGTGATATTATATAATATACATATACATATTATTAAATGCTACATCTCATTTTATATATTGAACTTGAATTTTTTAATTTTCAAAAGTGGTGTACCACATCCTGACACTCATATTTTTGTCTCTGCTTGTGGCTAATATTTATCTCTTGACCATATCTGTCAAAATGCAAATTTAGATTTTACAGCAAAAAATTAAAGTAAATTATATGTAATGGACTTTAAATGTAGTTCTCTGACACAACACTTAATTTAAGATGGCCAGCTTTACTCTTTTAAACTGTAGTTTGGAATTATCTTTGAGCATGGATGAATTTCTTTTGATTTTCTCTTATTTTCACATCAACAAAGTGACTGTAATAAATCCTGATCCTGCCTTTGGTCTGGATATTTAGTAGCTCTGTATTTGTTTTCTTTGATAGCAACATGCATTAATATTTATAACCATTTTCCTTTGCAGCATCTCCCAGATGGCTCTGCGCCCAGTGCACATGTTGAATTTTATCTTTTACCATATCCCAGTGAAGTTCGTAGGAGGAAAACAAAATCTGTTCCAAAATGTACGGACCCCACTTACAATGAAATTGTAAGTATAAGTCACCTTTTGTCCAGTCATTTTGTATTTTTCTTACCATTTTTCAGCTTAACAACCAAATATGGAAAATTTGCAGTAATTGGCAGCATTATTTCATAAAGGAAAGATATTTTCCAAAGTAGTCGCAGTATGCTGATCACTCTTCTAGATGCTATGGGCACTGGAAAATACAGATACTGCTTTCAAAGCTCTTATAAACCAATTTGCAAGTATGGCTAACCTCCAGCAAGAGCCCAAGACTTGTTTTGCATACTAACTTTATTCCTGACTTCATCTTATTTTCTCTAACCTTATTCTCCTTTACCTGATTTTCCTTACCTAATAATTTTATCATATACTACCTTGGGTATAACAGTAAATCTCATAAAATCTCTTTTGAAAAACTAAAAAAATAAATACAAAATACAAATGGAAGTTAATGTATATTATAAATAGCTCTCTAATTTATTTGTAATGTGCAATTCCCTAACTTCTTTCTAAGGCAAGCCCCTACATTTATTCTCTTGATTCCATCCTTTCCCATCTCCTCTGCACCTTGCTCAGCTGCTTATTTGTGTTCCTTTTCTTATGGCTGTCTCATCCACAGGATCCTCCACTCAGAAATATTAAAAAACAAAAACAAAAACTCCCCAACTCAGGCTTGCTAAGCAAATTTTCTTTCCCTCACTATCACCTCCAAACTTATCCAAAATTAACCCACATGATCTGCTTTCCCTTCATCTCTCCCTTTCACCCTTGAATGCTTTGCAATGTGGATTCTGACCTTTATTGATAGTACTTTATTCAAGGGGCATCAATAGACTCCTAACTGCTAAATCCAAAGAGCCCTCAGGCTCTCGTGCCTGGATCAGTTATACAGCAGCACTACTGACCACAGCCCCATTCCTGAAACCTCCGTTTTGCTTTTTGAGTTGTACCTTTTCTTAATTCTCTTCCATTTTCTCTACCACTTATTTCTCTACCACTTATTTCCATTTCTCTACCACCTCTCTCATTTTCCTTCATTGTTATTCTTTCTCTTAAAATATTATTGTTTACTGAAGTCACATGATCCATCCTCATCTCCTCTTCCTGTACATACTCTCACATTTATCTTGTGGATCAACAAAGTTTTATTTATCACCTATAGGTAGGTTGCATCTGAATTTACTCCTAAAACCCTGGCTTCTCTCTCTCAAGCTTTTTTTTTTTTTTTTTTTTGAGATGGAGCCCTTCACTCTGTGTCTAGCAGGCTGGAGTGCAGTGGCGCAATCTCAGCTCACCACAACCTCCACCTCCCAGATTCAAGCAATTCTCCTGTTTAAGCCACCCGAGTAACTGAGATTACAAGCTCCCACCACCACATCCAGCTAATTTTTGTATTTTTAGCAGAGACGGGGTTTTGCCGTGTTGGTCAGGCTGGTCTCAAACTCCTGACCTCAGGTGATCCACCGCCTCAGCCTCCCAAAATGTTGGGATTACAGGCGTGAGCCACCATGCCCGGCCTCTGTCACACTTCTACCTGATTACTGGGGAGCTCCATCTGAATGTCTCATAGGCACTTTTAGACCAGGCTTTCCTCCATTCATTCTTTCTTTTATAGATGGTACCTTTGGGGTCGAAACTAAGAAACTCTTTGTCTAGCACTGAGTCTCAAAGATTTTCTCTTATAGTTTTTTCTAAAAGTTGTATAGCTTTACATTTTACATTTAAGTACATTACCCATTTTGAGTTAAATTTTTAATAAAATGTGATGTTTAAGTCAAGGCTCTTTATTTCCCCACTGTGGATACCAATTATTCCAGTACTATTTGTTGAAAAGGCAATTCTTCCTCCACTGAATTTCTTTTGCACGTTTGTCAAAAATCACTTGGGAATATTTGTGTTCTTATACTCTTTTTGTTATCCCATACTTAGCCATATTTTCAGATCACATCAGACAGCTTGTCATTCCCTGAATGGACTGTAGGATTTTGTGATAGAACTCATGCCACCATTCACCTCTCTCTGCCCTTCTCTGCCTGCTTTGAGACTGACCTCAGATGTGAACTCTGCAAACACTGTCACCTCGTGGACTCACACCACACTTATAATCCTTTCTTTAGTCCTACACGGTTTTTCTTCTAGTATATCATAAACTTCTCCAGGGCGGGTTAAATGTCTTATCCTTTTTAATACTTTTAACACTTAGTTACCTCTAAAATGATGTGTAATAAATATTCGGGGCAGTTTTATAAGTGACACTGTGTGTGTGTGTGTGTGTGTGTGTGTGTGTGTGTGTATAAAATGTAAATACATGTATATACTGCATATATATATAGAGAGAGAGAGATTCTCTAAACTGGTAAGGAAAAATATTTTGACACTATTATTTGTCATGATGTCAACAGTGAGAAGCATACACTTCCCAACAATATATCACTGTTTCTTTTCATACTTTTTGAGTACAAGTCTCCATGCCTCACTATCAAGAAACTTCTCAGACCCTGTGTTAGGCATAAGCATTTTCAGTATAAGAAAACATATAATAACAAGAAACCACTAACAATTCAGAACAATTTAAATAAACTTGTGTTTTATTTCAAGCTTTATGTATTATAAGAAAACAGTAGTAAATTATATTCATGGAAAATTATTTTATAATTCTTGCTGTGCACATAACTTTTCTGAGGGCTTGCAATACCTAGGTCCTCACACATCCATAACCCACTGATTAAAACTCACTACAAATCTTTCTCAATTGATCTATACTTGTAGCATGAATAGACACTTTATACTTTGGACACATTTTAAATTGCTTCGAAAGCCATGGTCCATGCATAGCCAATTCCGATGAGAACATAGTCCAATCAAGCAGAAATTTGAAGTAGTGTGTGTATAAGTGATGATTTTAGTAGTAGTCATTAGGACAGTAAGAGGTTTCTAATCATATAAACAATTCTGGCAAAGAAGCTGGGTGAATTCCAAGAGCCAAAAGGAAAAAAAGGCAACAACGGTTAATTTAATTTTTTTCATTCTATGCCTGTATCAACACAACAAGAATATTTATAAGAAATGCAAAGAAGCACACTAGATGTTAACTCTGATTTTACTGTCTCTTGCCCTCAGTTGTGATGTAGGATCCCATCTTTGTGTCAAACTCCTCGATCACTTGTGTGCAACCTCAAGAGCACCTTACTAGATGTCTTTACCAATAAGCCCAGTGCTTACTAGAGAGCCCAGTGAGTTATCACAGGGCATCTACCTTGTTTTAAACTTTTCCTCCACTTCCGCCGCCTCACTGAGTACTGCTGCATCAACCACTCACCACAGCTGGGATTTCTCAAACTGTAAAAGCCGTGTACTGTTCTTGAAGTGGGAGAGGATGACCTCACTCTCCTCTTTATATAAATCTCTCAGAGGAGTACAAAGAAGATATTACACTGCATACCAATGTCTTACAAAGCCTTTTGTGAAAATAGTTCTTTTTATTTTTATTCCTATCCTCCTTTCTCCTTAATATCCAGAGATGAGAGGGGCTGGGTCGGGGACACAGAAAAGTGACAGAGTCTCCACCCTTCCCATACTAAGGCTTTGATGCAGGGCCAAGCTTGTCTATTTGACACTTCGCAGAGTGAGCCCCAATAGGCTTCATCAGCAGTCTCCCTGAAAACCCCTGTCATGTACAAATCCCAGTGATAGGCATGGCTGGTCTCAAGATGGGTCTGGGGCTGGGGGTGTGAGTGCTCAGGGAACTGCCATACAGCTTGAAGAAGCAGAGGTGGGATTCCGGGCTCCAAAGCCTCTTTCCACGCCACTACTTTTGCCATCTTCTTAAAAACCATCATTTTTCACACAATTCATTAGAAATACAGAATTTCTACCCTATGACAGAATTACATGCTTATAATCAATATATTTTGTATATTGTAACCTTTTCTTATATATTATTCTGTTGTAAGGTGTAAAGGGAAAATTAGAAAGAACAGAACAGGAACGTTCTATGCATTTTACATCCCTTAAAATCTCCTGCAGAATATACAGTGATTACTTAGCACAATGCCAAGTATATGGCACACTCAGTAAGCTATAGTTATTGTTATCTGTGTTATAATATTATTGCAATTTCAACATGATGAAAATTGTATTTGTAAGTGAAGACAATGTGACCCAGAGGTTACACAACTAGATGTCAAGCCCAGAACTGCCTGATTCCAAAGCTCATGGTTACCGCACTACACTATGCTGTTATTCCTACCTGTCTCCTCCCACGCAGTACCCCTGTTCTCGCTTTTGAACTCTTTCTTTCATTATCCTGCCTCCTCTACCACTTCCCACAAGCACTAGAGACACTTCAGTTCCTATCTTATTGTCCTCTCATTTCAATCATGAAAATACACTTTAGAATTATTTACTAGACCCTTGTGTCAACTAATGTTCAGTAAATTCTTGGAATGTTCAGTATATGTTAATAGATATTAATTACCTTAAGTGTTTTCTATTAGACGTAATAATTCCAAACCCACACATTTAGTTATTTGTCAGAAGGTAGTAAAGACTTAACTCATGCCTATAGGTAAAAATTATTAGAAAAAGAAATTAAAAGAGCTATTTATTTTTGGTTCTGAGTATGTACCAGAACCATTTTTTTTTGTTCTGAGTATGCAGAATATATATTAAATCCTTTGACGAAAAGGTCTCAAAGAATATAATCATCTCTGTACTTCGCTAACATTAGCCACTAATTATTCTTTGCTCAGTTGAAAAGAGTACTTACTATTTAACAACATCATGGATGCACCAAAGCAATCAGAATAGATATTTATCATCTATAATGTGCAATGATTACAGGTTTATAAAACTTCAGTCACTTTTAAGAAAATAACTTTTCTTAATGAAGCAGAGGGAAAAAATATATGAAGTAATAAAAACTTTGGAAGTTCAAATGTTTGTATTTTAACCAGGAAAGCAATTAACTCCTAAAGTCATTTCTTGAAGCTTTCAGCTTGCTAAATACCTGGAAGACTCAATTCTGTCTGGAAGGGTTTTCTCCAGTCAATTGATGCAAAATACTAAGAAACAACTGTTCCTTTTTGTGTATTTGATGGATCTTTTTCAGCTATAATTTACTGGTGTCTAATATGTTCCAGGCTTTGTAGCAAGGCTTATATTCATTATCTCATTTCTTCCTCCCTATAATGCTAAAAGGTAAGGATTATTATCATCATTATACAAATGAGAAAACACACAGTTGACAACAGATTCATGAAAATATAAATTATTGATATGTTTTTTAAAAACTTACAATTTATGACTTATTCATGCAATTCACAGAGTCCTTAGCCAGACTTCCCCATTTTTCTGCATCATATACAGTCACACTTTGAGGGTTCCTTTCTGTTTTCTCTGTAAAATAAGAGAGGAGTTCATCAGCTGAACATGATGTAGGAAGAAAAATGGAGAATAGTTCAGACAGCTCAAAATACCCACTTAGAGAAAAGGAAAAGGAGTTTACTCTGAAGTCCTAGAAAGATTTCCAGGCAGCATTGGGCATCCAGTTGTTAAAAAGCATGAATTACAGTGGTAGGGTTCTGAGATTTTTTAAGGCAACTCTTAAAATCCTTTATTATCCCAGGAAAACTCAATAGATGAAATGAAATTGTTTCATGCAGATTTTATTTAATGAACATGTATTTTCATAATTAAAACATCAGTAATTTTGAATAAATAAAAGTAACCACAGTATTACTCCTGCATATGTACAAGAAAATATCATTGTGAATGAGCAACACCAGAAAACTAAACCATAATCTCCTGTATGGAATGAGAGTAAAATTCTGGAAGAAGAGGTAGCCAAGAACACTCACATGGATCAGGGTAGACCGCATTCGCATATCATATTGTATCTCATGCCCTTTGATTGAACCTATTTACTTGGTAAGTGAATCATTGTTCAGAGTCACTAACAGATTGACCTGGAACTGAATTTCATTGATAACGTAATGAAAGGTAAGCCTATGCTGTACAAAGTACTGGAAGCTAAATCCATGCTCACAGGGGAGGCCACCCAGTGAACTCAGAGGGCTGCCCTCTCAAGTTGTCTCTTCTGCTTCTTTTTGGCATATATTGAGAAAGTTTCTATCTTGTGACTTGGCTGTAAAAAGCAGGCAAGTTTGTAGCAGCATATGAAATTCCTTTTCTAAATGTGTTCTAAGACATTTCCCTGGTAACCATGCCAGATTTCCACTCAGCTCTCTCCTCCTTTCATGATAAATAACTAATTTCTTAGCGGTACTATGCCTTTACGTTGCTTTACCACTGCAGGTTGCCGATGGACCTGTAACTTACTTCCTGAACATTATAAAAGGACAGCTGACCAGATTCCTTTTGAAAAAAAAAGTCACAAAAAAAGAACAAGACGTGAAACTGTATATACAGCATAATTACAAGTCAGATTCTGAATAAGTGATTATATATAGAAAACAAAAAGAACATCAAAATGTTAACTGTAATTGTCTCCCAATGGTGAAAATTCCAATTATTTTCTTCCTTTTTGGTATTTTTTTTTGTTTCATGCAGATTTTATTTAATAAGCATGTATTTTCATAATTAAAAATTAGTAATTTTGAATAAATAAAAGTAACCACAGTATTATGCCTGCATATGCACAAGAAAATGTCATTGTGCTGCATTTAAGTAGCACAGGAAAATCATAGAAATTGGTCTGTTTCATGGCCACAGAGATGGGAACCATAAAGACTGGAGATTCCAAAAGAGAGAAGAAACAAGAAGGAGACCAAGGGTAGAAAAACTACCTATTGGGTGCTACGTTCACTACTTAGGCAACATGATCATTAGAAGCCCAAACCACAGCATCATGCAATATACCTCTGGTACAAACCTGCACATCTATTCCCCTGAATCTAAAATTGAAAAAAAAAAAAAATAGTCTGCTTTTCCTCATTAACCTTCAACACAGAAGAATGATGTTCTCTTTTTATTTTTATGAATACATAATAGCTGTACATATTTATGGGGTATAAAAGGTGAAGTATATTTAAATTTCTTCCTAGAGAGTAATTTACCATCTTGCTAAATATAGAGTGGGTAATTCTTAGTGGAATCAGTAAATTCTAGGATTCTTACAAAAATAGCCTGTCATTAAACTCTATTGTGTTAGCAGAAACTTCAGCTTTTCAGAATAAAAGTTAGAAATAAAAGAGTCTGACATTAACCTATCTATTCCAGGGTATAAGATATTAGCAGCTAATTTTTTTTATTAAAAGCAATACTCAAAAAAGAGATGTATTTAAGCATTTCTGATTTATATTTTCATTATTTTCTCCGTTTTTAGGTAGTATATGATGAAGTCACAGAGCTCCAAGGACATGTCTTAATGCTTATTGTGAAGAGTAAAACTGTATTTGTGGGAGCAATTAACATCCGACTCTGTAGTGTCCCACTCGATAAAGAAAAATGGTATCCATTAGGAAACAGTATAATTTGACCATTGCTATGAACATATGCATTATTCATTAACTACTTGTATTTTTTTCACTTCTGGGCCTCTGAATCACATAAGTAAGGCATCTTTGTTGTCAAAGACAGCACAGGGTATTAAGGACACAGAAAAAAAATCAGAATTAGTCTTTTGTGTTGTTTATTTTCTACCTGTGCTTTCATTGTTTTTTCATAATCTTTTCTCCTTCAGTGGAGTACTGATTGCATGAAATTTGATGTGTAAAATAATAAAAGACCTTTATTAAATCATTTTAATATATTTTAAATTAAACATAGGTTTACATTTGTTTTAATTGTGTGCCTACAGTTAAAAGCAGTATTTTTAATGTATTTTATAAGAAAGACAATCAAATAAACCTCATCAATTAATTCAAGATCTAGGTATATCTGTAATCAATTTTTAAAACTTAAATTATATATACTTATACCTACTCATAATCTTACTTATTGAGGGAATTGGTATATTTCAGCAGAATGCTATATTATTTTCTATCAGAAAACCAAAACATAAATCCTGAAATTCTTACATTCAATTGTTGGAAGAAACTTCTTTGTAGTTTTTCACCCTCTTCACCACCAATCAATTCATTGTCACTGGATTTCTGCCACCCAGAGGCACGATTTAAACTTGGTTATGCCTGGACTCCAAGATCTCAAACTCTGAAACTCTCCCTTCTGATCAAATTTCTTATCTGTGCACATTATTTTCCTGCTTCTGAACCTACTTTCGTAGTCACCATTACCAGGGCAAACAATCCCACAGATTTCCACCTGCACAGTGGGTAAAATTTAATGCACTATGCCACATTCTTTAAAACAATCAAAAAAATTTTTTAATCTTGCCATTCAAATTACTGAAAAAATTTAAATCCCTGCTTATTCAATGTTTCCCTGTGTATGAATGAAAAAAAATCTAAGCTTTTTCCCATCACCTCCTCTATATCATATGAGCATGTAAATGTATTCATTGAAAATTATTTGAGTATGTGATATGAGCTGATATGGGCTCATTTGAAATACGTGATCATGCAAGTCAAGTGAGCCCTTAATTCTGTATGTTCTTAGTCTATTACTCTCCCTTTCTGCTAGACGATTATACACCCTTCTGTCTGCTGAAACCTCAGCAACTCCTCCCCTAATCCTCACTCTTGGCTGATGGCATTGTTTCCTACATCACTTAAAAATTAGAATCAGTAAAAAGAAACTGCCACAGATTTCCACAACTGCATCTATCCAGGTAAGCAAATTCCATGTTCCACCTCTCTGCTTATTACCAGAGAAGAACTACCCATGCTCCTATCCCAAACCAGTCTCCCAATTTGTACATTTGATCCCATCTCCTCTGACCTACTCCAAAACATTGCTATTGAAATCCTCTTCTACTCAAATCATCATTTCTTTACTGTCTAATGGATAATTCTGGACACCATGCAACCATGATGTTATGTCTCCCATCAAAAAATTAAAACTTTCTCGTTACCCCACTTCCCTGCCAATTGCTGACCCACTACCCTGCTCCTCTTTGCAGCAAAACTCTTCAAAATGGTTGTCTTTACTGCCTCTGGTTTCTCACCTCCAATTTTCTCTTAGAGCCATTACAAGCAGGTATTTGCTCCCACCATTTCAATGAAACTACTTTAGTCAAAATCACTGTTGACCTCCAATTAGCTAAATCCAAAGGTTATTTTTCAGAACTATTCTGATTTACTTGTCAACAGTATTGGATACAATGAGTAACTCTATCTTCCTGGATATATTTTCTTCATTTGGCTTCCAATACCCTACATCCTCTTGTGCTTCCTTTTAGTTATAGTTTAGTTTAGCTTCGTTGCCTTTTTGTTTCTCCTTCTTAGTCTTCTGTGTGGGAGCATGCTCCTCTCCACCACCTCCAGTGCTGGAGTGTCCCAGGGCTCACCCCTTGCTCCCCTTTCCCATCAAGCTTAACTCCTTTAATGATCTCATCTCTCAAGGCTTTATATATCATCTGAATACTGATGATTCCCAGTTTTATAACTCCAGCCCAGAATACCTCCCAGATTCCAGAGATGAGTAACAAACTGCCAACTCAATATTCCCTTGAATTGCTGATAAATATCCCAAACTCAGTATCCCCAAAAGTACACAGGGATCAGGGAAAATATTAGGGTTCTTTTCCCCCAGACCTGTTTTATCCACATCCTTTCCCCTCCTAGTTGATGTCAAACCCATCATTCAGTTGTTAAGAGCAAAAAACTTGAAGCTAACCCAAATTTCTCTCTCTCTCTCTCTCTCTCTCTCTCTCTCTCTCTCTATATATATATATATATGTGTGTGTGTGTGTGTGTGTGTGTGTGTCTGTGTGTCTGTGTATACACACACATTTTTTTTTTAAGAGAATTACATAGGAATTTTTTTAATCTTTGCCATTCAAATTACTGAAAAAATGTAAACACTTGCTAATTAAATGTTTTCCTGTGTATGAAAAAAAATTAAGCTATTTTGTATGCTCATTTACATTACCATATAAACACATGAAAGTCTATACATTTATTTACTGAAAATTTTGAGTGCTTGATATGAGAGCTGATACGGGCTCACTTGAAATACACGAAATACCTATTATTTACATAACTGGAATATAAATGTGTGTGTGTGTGTGTGTGTGTGTGTGTGTGTGTGTGTGTATATATCTATATATATATATATATATATATATATATATATATATATATATATATATATATTCCAGTCCATCAGGAAGTCCTGTTGGCTCCACCTTCAGAATATTTCCCAAATCCAATCACCAACCACTTATCACTCTCCACCTGAAAATACTCTGGTCCAACTTACTGCTATCATCCTTGGCCTGGATTATATAATTGCCTTCTGAACAGTCTCCTCCTTTCTATGCTTACTCTGCTCCTTATAGTCTATTCTCAACACAGCAATGGGAATGGTTATATCATTCTTCTGTTCAAAACTCTGCAGGGGCTTCTAATCTCAGAGTAAAAGCCCAAGCCTTTAAAATAACCTAAAAGGCCCTATGTGATCTGACCTCCCATCCTCATCTCTCTGATTTTAACTCTTATTATATCCTCCTATGCTTATAACATTCAATCAACACTGGCCTCCTTTGTATCTCCTGGACACTCCAGGCACGCTTCATCCCTGGGATCTTTGATCAGCCAACTCCTTCTTCCCAAAATGTGCCTTTGTGCCCTGTATCCATTTGCCTAGCTCCCTTACCTCTCTCAAATCCTGCTCAGATGTCTCCGTCTCTGCCCTGCCTACCTTGAACACCCTATGTGAGATGTTGCAAGCTGCCCTGTCCCTGGAAACACACCAGATCTTTCCTACTCTACACCACTTTTATCTTATGCACTTATCATCTTTGAATATTTTATATAATTTACTTATGTATTTTGCTTATTATTTATGCTTTGTCTCCCTTCACTAGGCAATTAGCCATAAGACTATCAGGAAGTTTAGTTCACTGACAGTAGAGACTTAGATCCAGGCAAGAGAAGTTCTTGCCCTGGTGTCCTCACCATAAAGAACCCTGCCTTCTCTAGTTGTGACTCAGAAACACCCAAAGCCCTCATTCTAGACCACAGTCTAGGTACCTAAGGACCTTGGAACTTCCGGCCTGAACAGCCTTTGAAGGCCTTTTCTCTAGATCCATTCATCTGAAGTCAGACTCACCACCAATGGGAGCAATGCCTGGGCTCCAAGGATAACCAAGGGAAGGCTCCTTGCAGGGTATATGAATGTCGCTGGAATGTGCCAGTTGATTGTTCACAGACATATGCATGAGGCAACCACAGGGCAGGATGGAGCCAGGGGCAGGAATAAATAGAAGGGCATGAAGGAGGTTGAGGATAAGGACCAGCTCTTTCCATTCCATCATAACTCAGCAGGGATCTCTAAGGATTCCAAAAAGCTCATCTCTCCAGGTGTTTAAAAAAGTATATTTATTATTGGAGGAGAATAAAACATATTTTCTTTGTTAGTTTGTTAGTTTTACGTATAACTTTTAAAGTTAGGCAGATGATAATCTGAGTATTATGGACTAAATCATGTACTCCCCAAAATTGATAGGTTGAAGTCCTAACCCCAGGTACCTCAGAATGTGAACTTATTTGGGAAAAAGAAAAAAGGTTACTAAAGATGTAATTATTTAAGATGAGGTCATATGGAGTGAGGTGGTCCCCTAATTCGCCAGTCCCATATACCAGTCACATATAAGTATATGACTGATATACTTATGAAAGGGAGAAATGTGGTCACAGATCTGCACAGAAGGAAAATGTCATATAAACATGAAGGTGAATATTAGAGTGATGCATCTACAAGTCAAGGAATGCTAAAGATTGCCAGAAAACCACTGCGAACTGCAAAAGAGGCATGGCAGAGATTCTTCCCCACAGCTCTCAAAAGGAACCAACCATTGATCTTGGACTTACAGCCTCCAAAGCTGTGGGGGAAAAATACTGTTGCTTAAGCCACTTGGTGTGTGATGCTTTGTGACAGCGGTCCTAGCTAACTAATATATTGGGTCATCATCTGTTGTGTTGTCCCAGCCCCACAAATACTTGGCACAATGTTTTTTAAAATGTGTAAATTATTACCTAAACAAATGATAGAATGGCACACCAGTACAAGAAAAGCAAGGTCCCAGTCTTCACTCACATTCATACAATGTTGCAAAGTTCCTTCAGGCTTTTTACATGTATATTTTATTTGTTCCCTACTAGAAACCTAATGAGGTGGGAAAGAAAGAATTATTATGTCTCCAGAGAGTAGTAACATTCAGTTGTCTCATAGCAACATATCTTTCTATTCAAATGAAATCTTACATTGAACATATACATATATATGTATATGTTCAGAATATACATATTCTGTCTCACACAGAGAGAGAGAGAGAAAGAGAGAGACTGATTTTAGGCTAAGTGAGGATGAGGGAGCTGGAATCTTTGGACACACAGTCACCCCCTCAAACCCCTACCTATCACTCTCATCCTTAAAGTCTCCTCGAAACTTCTGCAAAAACTAAGACATCTCAAAAAGCACAGGCTGGAAAAAAATAAATGAGGTTATAGATCATTGCCTGGCTACTAATATCATAAAACAAAGTGGTTGCAGTAGCAGAGACCCACTCCCAGCATTGGCAGCATGGTTTGGGTCAGGAGTTGATTCCCAGAGGAAATGGATTATTGAGAAGCCATCATTAGTCACATATTACCCATGCCAAAAGTGAAGATTTGATATTACATAGGAAAAACTCCAGTGATAAAAGTAATTTTTCAGCAACTTGAACTCTCATGATGTAACACAAATGTTACAAATTTATGTATATATTATTTCCTAGCACAAAATCTTGAATACTCTCAATGCAATGGGCTTCTTGGCCAAGTCTCACCTGCTAGGCCTGATATTTGAACAGTGACTGAATTCAAAATGTGTTACAAGCTCTAGTAAATTTGTAGCTTAAAATTCTTAACTCCAGACACAGGTATACCTGACTGTTACCTAAACTTCACCAAATTGTGTTCCTTTGTATGTGTGCATGCTATTTTGAAGTGGTTTTAGGGTGACAGAGCACTGGAGGAGACAAAACCAAACGAATTCAAGTGGTATGTTTATATACTTAAGTCACCTCAACCACATGGTGTTAAGTAGACTCTGAGTTTAATAATTAAAGGAAAGACACTCATTATTAGAGTTTGGAGATTCAAACTACAGCTGCAATTATAGGAGGGAAGTGGATTTTATTAACATTTAAAATAAAATATAGGAACTCTTTGTATAAAGAGAAAATGCCCTCTTCCTAGGCTGAGGTTCAGAAATAAGTGACTGAGATTATTGCATGCCCCAAAATTCAGAAAGCAATTTAAAGGACTATACCTGTCAGCCTTCTGGCTCCATGATTCCGATTTACCCCAAGAATCAAGAAATAACTTGAGTAGCTTAAAAAAGAGCCTCATTTTCTGATAGTTTCTTACTATCAGAGCAATGGTAGCAGAAGAAGGAAAATAAAATAGAATGTGTCAAACTGAGTAGTAATGAGAAAGATACTGCCTTAAAAGAAATATTGGGATCTCAAAACACAGACTGGGCAGATATGAAGGGGAAATGAAATGCTAGTAGCTGGAAGAGATAACTATAAAGTTAAAAAGTCAATATACTCAGGTCCAACTTCTCTTGAAGAAGGTAATAGAAAAGAGCAATACATTTTAGTTATTGCCATTTCCAAAAGAAACACTAGTACCTAAAAAAAAAAAAAAAAATCTATCAGATAAGAAAAGGAAAAGCCTTGGAGAGCAGATATAATGATTTCCTGGAAAGACTAAGAATCACACTTGCTTTTTAAAACTCCTCTTAAAGTATCAGCATTATTGTAAGAACAATCAAATCACCTTTTCCTTCAAAACTGGAATAGATCTTTCAAGTGGTTAAGAAAATGTGGTCCGATTTCAGACCGAAATCCCAGGAAAATCAGTATAAAGGATGAAAACGCATCTGTGTCAACTGCAAATGAGCAAAATTATTGCCACGGGTGTTCCCTGAGGAAAAATATTTGGAAAATTTGTGGAACTGTTATTCCAGGTAAAAGTAAAGCAAAGAGAGGACTTATTAAAGGGAAATCAGACAAGATGATTCCAGTTGAGTACTTGGTCTGGATCAGCTCTTGGTCTGATAAGATTATCTTTTACATGGGACTTTCCTACTCATAAGGATCAAGATAATCAAGACTTGTTTGAACAAGGGATAAGTGACAAACATCGAACTCACCGACTTCATCTCTCTTAATGTGGGACATTCTCAAGATAAAATTTTGAGAGTGGAAAGTTGGAAAAACAAATGTTTTGGTCAGAGAGTGAAGGGAAAGGAAAAAGAAAAAAGACACTTAGTTCTGGGAAACAATGTTATCCCTATGTGAAATAAAGAAGTAAACAGACCCATATAAGAAGCTGAATAAAAAGTTATAAACCCAGCCGAAACAGTCTTAAAAGTATACAGAAACAATAATAAAAAAAAATACCAGAGGCTTTTGATGTTTCTTGTTGAGAAAAAGACCATAACAGGAAAATACTGTTAAAGACTTGTGAAATTTAAAAGCTAAGAAGAGAAAGGGTTTTGGAGATCATACGGTGAAAATATTAATCATCACTAGACTCTAATGTATCAGAAACATCAACTGCAGCTTCAGGTAAAGAACCTGCTTCCAGTGGTCCTCCAGCTGAAGGAAAAAAATATTCCCAAAGACACAGGAGCCAACTGAAAGAGTTCCCAATGGCCAAAGCTGGGACAAGTTGGGTAAGTAACATTAAATTATAGCCTGAAGTATAAAATAGTTATCCACGAATCCACACTGCTATAAATGAATAAATAAATAAGTAGGGAGAAAGAAACAAAATCCACGCAGAATTCCTAATTATTTATGGAGATGTTGCACCTGATAAAAGGTAGAACATAGCTACCCATTCCTTACATATGAGCTATGCATAGTGACGTCATCCTGAAGAATATAATATGGAAAAGAGGATTGGGGGATTAACTTTATAGTAGAGAAACCCTGACAAATACTGCCTCAGGCAGGTAGTGAAGGTCAATATCAACAGTGGAAGTCGTGTTGGCAGTATGTACCCTTGACAAGATGTGATGAAAGTGGCACTTTACCTCTGAGGTTTTCCTCCCAAAAACTCACAGCCCCAACCTTATCATGAAAAAAAAAAAAAAAATCAGAACTGACAAATCCCAATTGACAACATTCTACCAAATACTTGACTAGTACTCCTGAAACTGTCAACATCATAAAAAGCAAAGAATGCCTGAGAAACTGTCACAGCCAAGAGGAGCTTCAGGAGACATGACTACTCTATGTAATGTGGTACCCTGGATGGGATCCTGAAACGGAAAAACTAAGTAAATTTGAATTAGGTAAAAAGTAAGTAAATTTTAATTAAAGTGGACTTTAGCTAATAACAATATATCAATATTGGTTCATCAATTGTGACAAATTCTAATATAAGTTGTTAATACTAGTAAAGGAGAGTGACACCAGCAAAAATGGTGAAGTAGGGAAGTCTAAAGTTCCATTCTTCCACAAAAACAGCAAATATGCTGGGCACAGTGGCTCACACCTGTAATCCCAGCACTTTGTGAAGTTGAGACGGAAGCATCATTTGAGCTCAGGAGTTTGAGACCAACCTGGGCAACATAGCAAGACCCTGTCTATACCAAAAAAGCATTAAAAAATATTAGCCAGGTGGCTGGGCGCAGTGGGTCACGCCTGTAATCCCAGCACTTTAGGAGGCTGAGGCGGGTGGATCACGAGCTCAGTAGTTCAAGACCAGCCTGGCCAAGATGGTCTCTACTAAAAATACAAAAATTAGCTGGGCATGGTGGCGGGCGCCTGTAATCCCAGCTACTTGGAAGGCTGAGGCAGAGAATTGCTTGAACCCAGGAGAAGGAGGTTGCAGTGAGACAAGATCACACCACTGGACTCCAGCCTGGGCGACAGAGCGAGACTCTGTCCTGAAAAAAGTAAAATAAAATAAAATAGCCAGGCATGGTTACATGCACCTGGTGTCCCAGCTACTTGGGAAGCTCAGGTGGAAGGATTGCTTGAGGCAGGAGTTCAAGTTAGCAGTGAGCTATGATCATGCCACTGCACTCCAGCCTGGGTGACAGAGCATGACCCTGTCTCAAACAACAGCAACAACAACGACAACAACAACAAAAACACAATTATACAGGCAGAAACGGTCAGAATCAACTTTATTAGAACAATTGAAACCAATCAAATTTTGCAACAACAAAATGAATGCTTAATCAAGAAAAGAGAGTTAAATTTCAGTAAGAGAGATGTGGTGTTAAAGTTACTTTGGCCCCATCTCCTGCTCCCAGCTCAACTTTTTAAGGCAGCCCTAATGACAGCAGCTCACATTTTTTGTATAGGGTCCTAATATGACAGAGAGTAAAATAGATCTCATTCTGACCACAAAGAATTGTGGTTGTTTTGACTTGGCTAGTGATCCCAAAAAAACAAGCCCAAAGGGTTTGTCTTTATTTTAACGAACTCAAATCTCTACCAGTGCTGAGGTGACTACCCAGGGAGAATTTGTTTGAAATATTTATAGGCAGATGTATTTGCCACTGCTGCTGGGGACAAGGAATAATAGAGTTGGAACAAACAATTTACTAACTGAAAAACCTGGGGGCGAAAGACTGGGAAATGAGATGTTTTGGGGAATAAGGGCTCTGAAAAGTTTCCACAAATACCTGGGATTTAGATGACCATATATGTGCCCAGGGATGGGATCATATTCAGAAAATACCTGAGAAGATCCAGAGCTCTTGTCACTGGCTGACCCTCAGGCTCTATGAAAGCACAAATGAAGACTATAGCAGAGTAGTAAGCTTACAAGCTGAAGTGTTGAAGGCATGCCTCAACATTCACATAGAGCCCATATGCAAAGGCTGAAAGATTTCTAATTTTTTGTTGTTGTTTTCGGCTCCAGTAGTTTAAAGAAATCTCTGTAAAATCATTAGCTGAACACCACTAAGCTAACCGAAAAGAGAATCTAGATACAACAATGAATACATACTTTAAAAAATCAGTTCAGAGAAGGCACTAAACAAACAACTACTATAATAAGCAGCAACAACAAACCCCCAAGGAAGAAAGTGAATCTGATTTCTAGAGTTGCCACACTATAATATTCAAAATGTTCAGTCTTCAACAAAAAATTGTGAAGTGTGCAAATAATAAGAAAGTATGGCCCATACACAGAAAAAAAAGGAAAGTAATAGAAATTATCCCTAAGGAAGCTCATCTATTGGACTTACTAGACAGACTTTAAATTAACTATTTAAATATGCTTAAAGCTCTTAAGGAAACCACATACAAAGAACTGAAGAGAACCACTAGAATAATATCACTTCAAATAGAAAACTTCAATAAAGAGACATATTATGAAGTAACCAAAAAAAAATTCTGGATTAAAAAATTATAACAACTGAAATGAAAAATTCACAAAAGAAGTTCAGCAGTACACTTGAGCAGACAGAGGGAAGAATTAGCAAACTTGAAAGTAAGTTCATTGAGATTTCCTAATCTGAGGAACAAAAGGAATAAAGAAAAATCAACAGATCCTAAGAGACCTATGAAATACCACCAAGTATATTAACATTTGCATATTAGGCATCCCAGAAGATAAGAGAGATAAAAAGATAAAAGGACAGAAAGAATATTTAAAGAAATAATGGTCCAAAACATCAATTCACTTGATGAATTACATCCAAGAGGCTCAACAAACTCTAAGTAGGATAAACATAACAAGATTCACAATGAGACACGCTATAATCAAACTGTCAAAAGCAAAAGATAAAGAATCGTAAAAGCAGCAGGAGAGAAGCAAGTCATTATGCACAAGAAATCCTCAATAAGATTAATGGCTGATTGTTACCACAGACCATGGAGGCCAGACATATGAAATATTCAAAGAGCTAAAAGAAAAGACCATCAACCAAGAGATCTATATTTGATAAAAACTATTTTTGAAAAATAAAGGAGAATTTTTTAATAGAAAATCAATATTTTAATAAATAATAGCATTAAAGTACCAGTTTTACATATATACATAACCGACCTGTAACTTTAAGTATTTGGAATAGATGGCTTGAGTTATGCATATAAATTCTTTTAGAAGGTTTTACATATTCTATTTCACAGAGAGTAAAAAGGGAGAGAATGCTATACTTTAGCTTAGGTATTTACTACAATAGAATCTAATTCACCTTCAGAAATGTTCTAAAGTGAATTATTCTATTTGAATGGAAAAAATTTGCATTATGAAACCTGTAAAAATGAGATTTTTGTATTTTTTTTGTACATTTACCTTTCACACAAATTATCTCTTTCTATTGGTGAAGATATTATAATCATGCAAGGAATAACTCATGCTCTATGACTCAGTGCTTTTTGGAGCATGAAGCTTTGTATTGGAGAGGCAAGAGTTGCTATGGAAAGGAAACCAACATGGATAGGAAACAGTAGGGCAGAAGGGAAGACACACTAAAAGTGGGCCAAGATAGGAGGAAGGTAAAAAATAAACAGTAACCATAATTCTCATATTATAGTTGGAGCTAATATATAAAGGTACTCAAAAACTAGCCAACTTTAGGCACTAAATAACCACTTTACCTTTACCATCTTATTTAATCTCATAACAATGCAAAGAGATAAATACTATCACTAGTCCCGTACAATAGATGAGAAAACAAAAGTAGTCAGACAAAATAAGCTGCCCACAGCCATACGCTTGTAACTGGAGGATAAAGAACTCTTTGTTCCCTAAATCACTTGGGATTAAGCGGCTGACCTGATACTCTATCATCCCTGCATACTTAGAGATGATGTTTCATAAACAAGAATATTCTCTCTCTTCTCCAAAATACCATGATCAAAATCAGGAAATTACATAACTATCATTTAATGCATAGACTTCCTTCAAGTTTTATCAATTGTCTCAATAATGTATTTTATAGTGAAAGGATATCCACATTAGAATCACACATTTCATTTACGTGTCAGGCCTCTTAAGTCTCCTTTACTATGGAATAGTTCTCCATTCTTTTTTTTTTTTTTTTTACTATTATTATACTTTAAGTTTTAGGGCACATGTGCACAACGTGCAGGTTTGTTAAATATGTATACACGTGCCATATTGGTGTGCTGCACCCGTTAACTCGTTATTTAGCATTATGTATATCACCTAATGCTAAAATAAAGGAGAAATTAAGACTCTCCCAGATAAAAACTGAGACAGTTAACTGCTAGTTGACTTACTCTATAAGAAATGCTAAAGGGAGTCCTTTGGACTGAAATAAAAGAACTCTAGGCTAACTCAAATTTACATAGAGAAATAAAGAACACTGCTAAAGATAAGTAAATGTAAAAAACAAATGTTGGAGAGAATTCTGGGAAGATGGCACAGTATGAAGCACCAAAAATTTATCTCCCCTCCAACAGAACAATTACACTGACATAATCTGTCTGAGGTAAATATTTTGGAATCTTGGAGTCTACTGAAGGCTTGCTTGCACCTTCCAGGAGAGGACCTGGATAGTAAATTTCAGTACATTTAGGTCAATTTCAGCTCTTAACTCAGCAGTGGCTATCCATCCCCATTCTCCTGCGTATTTCTGGATCAGCTTGCACACAGCTTGCCGAAACCAGCAGGAGCCATAAGGATACTGTCCATTAAATATCAGGGATCTGTGTTCTGATATCTGATTGATGCTCTGATCAAAAAGGCAGAGACACAGACAAAGGTGGGAAGTTTTGTTGCAACTCCTCCTTTGTTGCAAGCCCTTCCCTCTCCAGCTGAAGTGAGATCCAGGGGGGTTTAAAGGGCCAGCGCCTCGGCACCTTTAGTTTTTCTCCTTTTCCCCTTTTGAGAGCCAGACATTAAAGACTAGGACATTAAATTAAAAGCAACCACATATATAGAGGAAATTAGAAAGTAACTGTGCATGCCCGGAGAAAGGTATAGACTCAGAAATGACCAGAAAAGACCTTAGATTTATACCTCAGGCTGGTCCTTGGCACAGAGAAGCCTATATCAATTAAAACAGAACAGATACAGCAAATTCTGGGAAAGGAGAAGAATCTGATTTCCAGAGACATGATATTATTAGATTCATATATATAGCTTTCAACAAAAAAACCACAAGGCATCCAACAAACAGGAAAGTATGTCTCATTCAAAGGAAAAAATAAACCAACAGAAACTGTCCTTCAGAAAGACCTGATGAAATATTTACTAGGCAAAGAGTTTAAAACAATTGATAGTCAAAGAAGTAAAGGAAGATGTAAAGAAAATCAAGAAAACAAAGCATGAACAAAATAAAAAGATCAATAAAAATATAGAAAACCCAAATGAAGCCAAAATGAAATTCTGGAACTGGAAAGTACAACTGAAGACAAAAATTCACTAGAAGAATTGAAGGGTATATATATGAGCAGTTAGAAGAATTGATGAACTTGAGGACAGAACAATGGAAATTACTGAGTTTGGGGAATAGCAATAAAGATTTAAGAAAAGTGAACAGAGCCTAACCAACCTGTAGGATATTATGAAGCAGACCAACATATCCATTGTAAGAGTTCTGCAAGAAGAGAAAGAGGCAAAGGGATTATTTGAAGAAATAGTACCCCAAATATTTCCAAGTGTGATGAGATACAAGAATTATAAACATCCAAGAAGTTTAACGAACTCCAAATGAGATAACTCAGAAAGACCCGTACCAAGACATTATAATCCTACTGCCAAAAATAAAAAAAAAGAGAGAGAGAGAATCTTGAAAGCAGCAAGAGAGAAGTGACACATCACATAAAAAGGCCTTTTCGTAGGATTATATATTTAAAGTGCTAAAAGAAAAACAACTGTCAACCATGAATCCTGTATCTAGCAAAACTGTCCTTCATAAATAAGGGATAAACAAGAATATAAAACAATGTTCAACATTATTAATCAGAAAAATGCAAACCAAAACCACGATGAGAGACCATCTCACACCAGTCAGAATGGCTATTATTAAAAAGTCAAAAAATAACATGCTGGTGAGGCTGTGGAGAAAAGGGGATGCTTATACACTGCTGGTGGGAAAGAAATTAGGTCAGCCATTGTGGAAAGCAGTTTGGTGATTTCTCAGAAAACTTAGAACTACCATTGACCCAGCAATCCCATTATTGGATACACACCCAAAGGAATATAAATTGTTCTACCGTTGTAGAAATATTCACAATAGCAAAGACAATAGGAATCAACCTATGTGCCCATCAACAGTAGTACTGGATTTTTTTAAATGAAGTACACATACACCATGAAATACTACACATCCATAAAAAAAGAACAAGATCATATCATTTGCAGAAACATGAATGGAGCTGGGGGCCATTATCCCATTATCCTAAGTGAACTAACGCAGGAACAGAAAACCAATACTGCGTGTTCTCCCGTATTAAGTAGGAACTAAATCTTGAGTACACATGGACACAAAAATGAGAACAATAGACACTGGGACTACTTGAAGATGGAAAGTGCAAGGAGGGTGAAGATTGAAAAACCACCCACTGGAGTTAAGTAGTTATGCTATGCTACCTAAATAGCATAGGCACTATGCTCATCACCTGGCTGATGAAATAATCTGTACATCAAACCCCTGCAACATGCAACTTACCTATGTAGCAAACCTGAACATGTACCTCTAAACATAAAGGTTTTTAAGTACAATTTTTAAAAAACACAAAATTGAGGGAGAAATTAAGAAATTAATAAATGAGGGAGAAATAAATTTTGTTTATCCCAGATAAACAAAAGCTGAGGAAATTTATGACCCTAGATCTACCCTGCAGGGAATACTAAAGGTGGCCTCACACTTTGAAATAAAAGAGCATTACACAGTTTAAAAAAAAGGCTTTGTGAAGAAGTAAAGATCCACAGTAAAGGTAAATACATGAACAATTATAAAAATTTGTATTATTGTAACTTTGGTCTGCAGCTATACATTTTGTTTTCTACATTATTTAAGATATTAATGCATTAAAAGTAATTATTGGTTCATATATCTGGACCCACAATGTGGAAAGATGTAATTTTGAAGCATCAATAACTGAAAAATGAGGTCTAGTCTGTAAAGGAGCAGAATCTCATATGTTACTGAAGTTAAGCTGTTATAAAATCAAATTAGAGAGTTATAACTTTAGCATGTTAAATGTAATCCCCATGGTAACCAAACAGAAAATGCACATAGAATAAAAACCAAAGGAAATGAGAAAATACTTAAAACATTTAACTACAAAAAACATCAACTAAACACAAAAAGACAGTAATGCAAAGATAACAATTAGGACTATAAAAGCTATAAGGCATGTAGAAACCAAATAGAAAACTGACAGAAGTGCCTCCATATCAGAAATTACTTTAAATATAAGTGGATTAAACTCTCTCCAGTCAAAAGACATAGATGGAAAACTACCTCAGCATAATAAAAGCCACATATGAAAAATCCACAATGAATATTATACTCAATGTTGAAAGACTGAAAGCTTTTCTTCTAAGATCAGGAACAAGGCAAGGGTGAACAGGTTCATCACTTTTATTCAACATAGTACTGGATACTCTATCCAGAGCAGTTAGGCAAGAAAAGGAAATAAAAGACATCTAAATTTGAAAAGAAGAGGCAAAATTATCTTTGTTCACAGATAATACGATCCTGTTTTTAGAAAACCATGAGTCCAGAAAAACTGTTAGAATTAATTAATTTAGCACTTTTTCCTAAACAATACAGTATAATAACTATTTACATAACATTTACATTGTGTCAAGCATAGGTAATGTAGAGATTATTTAAACTACATAGGAGGATATGCATAGGTTATATGCAAATACTATGCTATTTTATATCAGAGATTTGAACTTCTGTGGATTTTGATATCCATAGGAGGTCCTGGAAATAATCCCACATTGATACCAAAGGATGACCTTGTAAAAATTAACTTAAAATATATCCAGTACCTAAACATAACAGCAAAAACTGTAAAACTCTTAGAAAAAAAAACATAGGACAAAAGCTTTATGATGTTGGATTTGGCAATGATTTGTGAGACATGACACCAAAGACACAAACAACAGAAGAAAAAAGAAAGAAATTGAACTTCATGAAAATTGAAAAATGTTGTGCATCTGAAAACACTATCAACAGAGAAAAAGGCAATATACAAAATGGAAGAAAATATTAGCAAATCATACATCTTATAAGGAATTAATATCCAGAATACATAGAGAATTCCTAAAACACAATAACCAATAGCCAAACAACCTGGTTTAAGTAATAGGCTATGGACTTGAATAGACATTTCTCCAAAGAAGATATACAAATGGCTAGTAAGCACATAAAAACATGCTCAACATCACTAATCATTGAAAATGCAAATCAAAACTACAATGATATAACACTCACACTCATTAGGATGGCTACTATCAAAAACCAAACCAGACAAACAAACAAAGACACACCAGAAAATAACAAGCGAGGGTCAGGATGTGGAAGAATTGGAACGCTTATGTACTGTTGGTAGGAACGTAAAATGGTATAGCCACTGTGGGACACAGTTTGGTGGTTCCTCAAAAACTTAAACATAGATTTACCACATAATCCTACAATTCCAGTTCTGAATATATACCAAAAAACACTGAAAGCAGGCTTCTGAAAATATATTTGTACATCCATGTTTATAGCAGCATTGTTCTCAATAGCTTGGGGAGTAACCCAAATATCCATTGATACATAAATGGATAAGGAAACTGTAGTTTATACATACTGTGGAATATTGTTCAGCATTGAAAGGGAAGGAAATTATGGCATATACTACAGCATGGATGAACTTAGAGGGCATTATGCTAAGTGAAATAAGAAAAATCACAAAAAGATAAAGTATGATTCTATTTATATGAGATACTTAAAGTGTTCAAAATCATGGAGACAATGAGTAGAATAGTGGTTGCCAGGTCAGGGATCTAGAACTAGAAAGACCATTTGACCCAGCCATCCCATTATTGGGTATATACCCAAAGGACTATAAATCATGCTGCTATAAAGACACATGCACACGTATGTTTATTGCGGCACTATTCACAATAGCAAAGACTTGGAACCAATCCAAATGTCCAACAATGATAGACTGGATTAAGAAAATGTGGCACATATACACCATGGAATACTATGCAGCCACAAAAAATGATGAGTTCATGTCCTTTGTAGGGACATGGATGAAATTGGAAATCATCATTCTCAGTAAACTATCACAAGGACAAAAAACCAAATACTGCATGTTCTCACTCATAGGTGGGAATTGAACAATGAGGACACATGGACACAGGAAGGGGAACATCACACTCTGGGGACTGTTGTGGGGTGGGGGGAGGGGGGAGGGATAGCATTAGGAAATATACCTAATGCTAAATGACGAGTTGATGGGTGCAGCACAACAGCATGGCACATGCATACATATGTAACTAACCTGCACATTGTGCACATGTACCCTAAAACTTAAAGCATAATAATAATAAAAAATAAAAAAAAATTAAAAAAAATAAGAACAAAGAATGGTGGTTGCCAGGGACTGGTGGAATGGGTAATTGAGGAGTTATTGTTTAAAGGGTATATAGACTTTCAGTTTTGCAAGATGGAAAGAGTTCTGGAGATGGATATTAGTGGTAGTTGTAGAATGAGAATGTATTTAATACCACTGAACTGCACCTCTAAAAATGGCTAAAATAGTATGTTTTATATTATTTGTATTTCACCACAAGAAAAAAAAATTGAGAAACAGTCATTGGTAATGTATTTTAGGTTTGTAATTTCTCTATTTTGTCTGTATTATTTAAAAGATAATTATATAAAACAATAATTATGGCCAGGTGTGGTGGCTCCTGCCTGTAATCCCAGCACTTTGGGAGGCCAAGGCAGGCAGATCACCTGAGGTCGGGAGTTGGAGACTAGCCTGACCAACATAGTGAAACCCTGTCTGTACTGAAAATACAAAAATTAGCCTGGCGGTCTGGACGCAGTGGCTCATGCCTATAATCCCAGAACTTTGGGAGGCTGAGGCAGGTGGATCACGAGGTCAGGAGATCGAGACCATCCTGGACCACATGGTGAAACTCCTTCTCTAGTAAAATACAAAAAATTAGCCAGGCGTAGTGGTGCGCACCTGTAGTCCCAGGTACTTGGGAGGCTGAGGCAGGGGAATCACTTGAACCCAGTAGGCAGAGGTTGCAGTGAGCCAAGATCGCGCCATTGTACTCCAGCCTGGGTGACAGAGATAGACTCCATCTCAAAAAAAAAAAAAAACTAGTTGGGCGTGGTGGTGCATGCCTGAGGTATGGAGCTATATGTGACCAAAGTCTTCGTATACTATTAAATGTTAATTTAAACTAGATTATTATAAATTAAGATATTAATGGTAATCTCCAGGTAAACCATTAAGAAAATAACTTAAAAGTGTATACTAAAACAAATGAAAAAGAAATCAAGTGACACTAGAAAATATCTAACACAAAAGAAAAAAATTATAGAGAAATTAATAATTAAAAGATATTGCCTATAGAAAACAAAGAGAAAATTGGCAAAAGTAAGTCTTTTTATATCTTTAATTTCATTAAATATAAGTAGATTAAACTCTTCAATTAAAGGGCATATTTGGCAAAATGCATTAAGAAGCACGATCCAATTATATACTGTCTACAAGACACTCCTTAGATTTACAGACACAAATATGTTGAAAATGGAAAAATACATTTATGCAAATAGTCTCAAAAAGAGCTGGGGTGGCTATACTAATTTTTAAAATGGACTTCAAGGTGATTGTTGCACGAGACAAAGAAGGACATTATATAATATAAAAGTATCCATCTATTAAGAAGATAAAACAATTATAAATATATAAATGGGAAACCCCCAAAATATGTGAAGCAAAAACTGACAGAATTGAAGAAAGAAACAGATAGTTCAACAACATTTGGAGATTTTAATACCCAACTTTCAATAGGAAAAAGTACTAGACGAAAGACAGAGAAATAGAATACTTGAACAATGCTATAAACCAACTAAAACTACAGACATATATAGAACACATCACTCAACAATAGCAGAATACAAGTTCTTCACAAGTAGACATGAAACATTCTCCAGGATAGACCACATATTAGGTTACAGATGATAGTCTAAACTGGTTATGTGGTATATGGAAACTCCATTTCTTATTTTTGCAATTTTCCTGTAAACCTAAAACTGTTAAGTAAAAGGTTATTTTTAAACAAATTCTCTAGGAGGCAGGTTTCAGGGTTTTAACCACAATTCCTTAGCAAAAAGCAGAGAAAGTAGCAATCATGGCCTAGAACTAAAAATACCGTTTCTCAATAATGGTGTAGGCTATATCACCAGACAGAGTGCATCCTCAATGCATCACAGTGGGGGGAAGTTGCCAGAAACACTAGGCTTAAATGGAGAATGAAAATAAAGGCATTTCAGTATATTGAAAGGGGTCTCAAATAAGGTCTCATGATGAGGGTTGCCACCATTATAAACTTGTAAGCTTTGAATGAAGGCAGGAATAGTTCAAATACGTAAGTGAATATACTACTTCTTAGAGCTATGACAGCATATGACTACCACTTAGAGATATGTGTAATATCTTAATTAAACCCTTGGTGGGAGAAACCTCCTACCAAGAAGTTAACAGTCATCAACTTTTAACTGTTATAAACTGATGGGCACCTGGTGGGGCTAAAATCAAGATTACCTGTATCTATCTGCTCTCATTCAGGTCTCCAGAGTCAATATTATAGTCTTTGACAACACTAAGTACTATGTTTTGAGAATATAATTTTAGTAAAATAACTGCTCTATAAGCTAGAGTTTGGCTTGTTTTTAAAACATATTTAAGACTTTTTTTCTTCTATTTTTACTTGAGATCCTTTCTTCATGATCCTTCTTGTCACCAATTTTCTGTAGTAGGAAAGGGGAAAGGAGTTAGCGTTTATTGAAGACCCAGTTTGTACAAGGCATTGTGCTACTGCTTTACCCACAGCATTTGATTTCATTATCATAAAAGTCTATGAAATAAGCAATAGTATTTCTATGTTTAAAAGAAAATGAAACTCTATAAAGTTAAGAAATGTCCTTGAGCCCAGCAGTCAATCCCAGCTCTGGCTTGACTTCAAACTCCATGCCATTTCCACCACATTGCTCTGCCTTCTTAAGAGGAGAGATTCTGCCCATGGTTCTAGAAGATTCTCTTCCCAGTAAACAGAACAAGGTGGAGAGTGAGACGGGGAGCAGGGGAAAACTTTGAGTCCTGAGGAGAAGCAACAACAACAAAAAAAAAAGGCAAAAGATTTTTACCTAAGGTCTACCTTTAGGACACTACCTAATATAATCAGATTTCTGATACAGTCAAAGTTCGTCTCCACTTAGCGTAATTATACTAAAAGAGTCACTGTCTTTTTCTTAGCCCCAACTTGTATTATCTTAATCTCTCTGTCTCATAGGGACTAGCAGGTAGTGAAATTTAAAAAGAAAAAAAGTCCAGTCATACTTTCAATAACATCCCCTACAGAATATCACAGTAAGCCCATTATTTCTTAAGAAGAAACACACATCACATTTTCATTAAGTATTTACATGAACCTTCCCTACGGATAATAATTCTTTGGAAAGTCAGAGAAACTAAGAACATATCTTTGCCACTTTACCAGTTTACTAATTCCCTTTTGAGGTGATTAAGGGAAAATTTGTAAAAGGAAAACCTTGCTCATCCATCAGAAATCAAATGGAACCCAACCTACACACATGGAGCACCAAGGTGAGACAAGGACTGCAGGGACCACTAACCTGCCTGCCGTCTACTACAACTGAAGCTCCAGGACTGCAACCCTAGTGCCCTTTGCCTTCTTCAAGGAGATCATGCATGCTGGACCATCATCTTCTGGCACACTGAAGATAGGACCAACACCCTGGGGAAGCCCACAGATCATAGCACAACTCATCTCCCTAGAGCAAAGTGCTGCTCACTTCAGGCCAACTCACCTCCAGCCCATAAAGGAAAAGACCATTTATCACTCTCTGGGTAGAAGTGCTCACACCCCAAAGCTATATTTATTGCTTGGGAATGCTGCCTGCTGATATTCACCTCAGGCCTGCCCAGCTCTGATACATATCTACTCATACATCAGAATACACGAGTGCAGAAGGAGCTTACACCGGACAAAAATTCTGATGGATCTTTTTGGACTTTCAATTGTAAATGTCAGCAAAGACGAAATAAATTACTAGATGTGCAAGAAAAAATCGTGAATAAGAGATTAAGAGAGAAGCTCCAGGTGTGTAATTAATTTCCCCCGCTGAGCAAAAGCTAGTGCAGAAAATAGTAATAATAATAATAGCTAATATTTATGTGACACTCTTGTCTCTGTTCTGCATTTTCATGGTACTGTTCCAAATTCTTTATAAACAACAGTTCATTTAAGCCTTGTAACAATGATTATTTTCTTGATTCCTCTGATGGGAAACTAAAGCACACACACAAAAGAAGTTGAGTAATTTTTTTCCAAGGTCCCACAGCTAGTAGGTAGCAAAGGACATGAAGTCAGGCAATCAAGCATCAGAATCCATCCTCTTAACCACTGCACTATATTCTCTTTCCATTATATGTGTGGTCTCTTGTATTCTTACTATGTAGCAGGCACCACAGTAAACATTATTTCATTTAACCTTTATAATAAATTGGTGTGTGGTAAGGATAATTATCCTCACTTTAAATAATCTAATTCATATTATCAGTGAGAGTCTAAAAGATACTGTCTTAATGTGAACTGCTATAATAAAAATACCATAGACTCGGTGGCTTAAACAACAGAAATTTATTTCTCACAGTTCTGGAGGCTGGAAAGTCCAATCCAGCAGATTCAGTTGTTGGTGAGGGCCCCTATTCCTGGCTTCCAGACAGTTGCCTTTGCAGCTGAATCCTCACATGGCAGAGAGAGGAAGCTCTGGTGTCTCTTCCTCTCTTTTTTTTTTGAGACAGATTCTCGCTCTGTCACCCAGGCTAGAGTCCAGAGATGTAATTTCAGCTCACTGCAACCTCCGCCTCCTGGGTTCAAGTGATTCTCCTGCCTCAGCCTCCTGAGTAGCTGGGATTACAGGCGTGTGCCACCATGCCTGGCTAATTTTTGTATTTTTTGTTTGCTCATTTAGCAGAGACAGGGTTTCACCACGTTGCTCAGGCTGGTCTCAAACTCCTGACCTTGTGATCCGCCCACCTGGCCTCCCAAAGTGCTGGGACTACAGGTGTGAGCCACCGCGCCCGGCCCTCTTCCTCTTCTTATAAGGGCATTAATCCTATCATAGTGGCTCAGCCCTTATGTCTTAATTTAAACCTAATTACCTCCCAAAGATCCTACCTCCTAATACCACCCCATTGGGAGTTAGGGCTTCAAAATATGAATTTGGGAATGTTTGGAGAGGACATAAACATTCCATTCACAACAGATATCAGATCATTAGATAGAAGAAGTATGCTGCCTTGAAACAAGATCAATATAAAAATGAAATGCTTTAGGAAATCACTTTTTTCAGAAGAGTTGTTTTATCAGATTGCTACATTTCTCCACAATTACAGAAATTACACACATATGCGCACACACACACACACACAACATCAGAAAGGACACTGCCAAAAATCACATTGTTGATTTAGACATTTCAATTGTCTGTGCCACAGAGAGCTAGAACATAGATATTGTCTAGTTCAGCAACCTCCTTTTTAAAGGGGAGCAAACAAACCATGAGAGTTGAAGGGCCTACCCAAGACAGCTTCAACTACCCAAGATGCATTACCTTCAACACAGTTCTTAACCTCTTTAATCTTATTGTCTTCATCTGCAAAATCTCCAGGGATTGATATGAGGGTTAACTTCCTTTCTGCAGGGTTAACTTCGTTTCTGCATATAAAGCACTTAGGATAATGCTTGGAATATGGTAAGTGGGTAATACATGTCTCTATTACTATTATCATTATTATTATTGCTATTATCAATCTCATGATAAGTGGCAGGCACAGCTCTTCAGTGTTCTTTTTACTTTATCATCCTGAACTATTTTAGGTGCACTTTTCTCACCAATTCCAGAATAACCAATGTTTACATTGTCATGAAACATTCTTTCAAATGAGCTCCTTTACTTGATCAAATCAGTTAGGAAGCTTTCAATTGGAAAAATTATTTAAGAAAACAAACACAGTTTCGGCCGGGCACAGTGGCTCATGCCTGTAATCCCAACACTTTGGGAGGCTGAGGCAGGCAGATCATGAGGTCAGGAGTTAGAGCACCTGGACAACATGGTGAAACCCTGTCTCCACTAAAATACAAAAATTAGCCCAGCTTGGTGGTGTGCGCCTGTAATCCCAGCTACTCAGGAGGCTGAGGCAGGAGAATTACTTGAGCCTGGGAAGTGGAGGTGACAGTGATTTCAGCAGTGAGCCGAAATCAGGCCATTGCCCTCCAGCCCGGGTGACAGGGTGAGACTCCATCTAAAAAAAAAAAAAAAGAAAGAAAGAAAAAGAAAAAGTGCTATCTAGTTCCATTTATTATGAGGATCAAACTAAATAGTGTATGTAAAAACATTTCATAAACTGCTATGCACCATACAGAGAAGATATTGGGATTTTTTTTTATTGGACTGAATCCACAATCGAGTAAGTACAGCTGGGAAGAAACAGACACATGTAGGAGAAAGAACACGAGAGCCTGGCCCCTTTGTGTAATAAGGGACTGTGTGTGACTGCGTCAGCATAATGCAGAAAACCTGAACCTAAAGAAGATCACACATGAGATCAGCACTCCAGAGCTACAGCATTCACTATGGAGGCACCACCCATGTGTGGCTACTCAATTAAAAATGAAACAAAACTACAAATTTGATTTCTCAGGTGTACTAGGCACATCACAAGTGGTGAGGAGGCACATATGGCTAGTGGCTACTATATTGGATATAAAAAAAAATTTCATTATTGCAGACAATTTATGGAAAGGAAAGGCTCCAGAAAAATGATGAAGAAAAGGGAAATTTGAATTTTTTTCCAAAATGCAAAAAGACTGTCTGAGTTCATCCAAGCTGCTATAACAAAAATATCATCCATGGAGGGGCTACAAACAATAGAAATTGATTTCTCACAGTTTTGGAGTTTGAGAAGTTTAAGATCAAGGCGCCTGCAGATTCAATGTCTGGTGAAGGCTCATCTCCCATATATAGCACCTTTTCATGACATCTTGACTTGGTAGAGTGGGCATATAAGAGCCCTAGGGCTCTTTTATCAGGACACAAATCCCATACATGAGGGCTACATCATGACCTAGTCACCCACCAAAGGCCCCACCTACTAATACCATTACTTTGAGGATTCGATTTCAGCATATGAATTTTATGGGGACACAAACATTCAGATCATAGCAAAGACAAGTGAATTTAAAGAGATTATTTTATTTTGCAGTGGATCATGTTTTATGGCTTTATAGTTTCTGACATTTCTCAGTTTGGCAGAATTAGCTTATATTACTTCAGAGAACTGTTCTGTTGTTACTGCTTTTAATGAGAAAATACAACTGTCTTATTCTAACTTAATTCTCAGCACCTCTATTACTCAGTCGTCATTGCTCATCTAGAACAAACCTTTCCCGACAGTTAAGAAAAGGGAAAGGTTTTTAATTGTTTACTTTTACTCATTATGTTATGTGCTCATTTAATGTGTGATCTCTGATTATGTAAGTTTCAAGATAGAATCTGGAATTAAAGTCAAATGACTTGAAAAAAAACTGGTATAAATCTAGGTTAAAACAACTATATAAAAATAAATTTGTGTTGTTTAATATACTCAACATTCCATATGCTGGAGGCTGATTTCTACTCCCACTACTCATCACATTTGAATGAATATGAGAAAATCAGAACATGTAGTTTCATTATTTGACCTTTTCTTTACTGACACTGAGTTTCTTATTGACCAGAACCCAGAAGGGTAGCAAGTCACATTAAGGAACATGACCATCCCAAGGTGACCTCACTGGGAGGAAAATTGAGGAATAGATGCCTTGAACTCTTCCCTCCCTTCAACCTCCTGGTAGGCTGCTCCCCATGGCCTAACCTAACAGGAGCAAGAGGGCACAGAAATGCTTCGATGTAGTCCATTCAGGGCTACTACCTAGGCAGAGGGCAAGGTGAGCAGGATGGAGGGTAGGTCTGCTGAAGGAGCTAAGAGAAAATGTCTGGCTCAGGTGAGGACAACCAAGAACAGCTTTCAGGAAGAAGTGAGATGTGAAGGCTAAATTGTGCACAGATTGGTACATGACACAAAAGATGGCATACATTAAAATACAGAAGTGTTTGCCAAAGTGGTACATAGAAGAGAATTAAAAAGCAGACTAATTTAGCTGAAGCAGAAAAGTTCTAAAAATTAGTTCCAAAAGGTATGAAGAAGACAGGCTTAAGGAACAGGGGAATTTATTCATGTTTTTAATGGTTAAATTGATTCACATACTGCCCCTCATAAAGGGTACAGGAAAAGATCCTTTTAAAAACAAAATTTTAAAAAACTGTTCTTCAGCTATCCCCACTGTAATCCCTACAACATAATTTCAAATTTCACATTTGAAATAGTATATAAGTTATTGAAATGAAAATGTGATATATATGTCCCCACTGAGAAAATACTAGAATAGAAAAATTTGTTGTTATATGAAAATATCATAAACAGAGCCATTTCACCAAGATATACTTTTTACATCCATTATGGAATTCTAAAACTATTAGGGTTTGATGGCAAGGAAAAAGCCAAAAATGAACAAACGAACAAGGCTAGAGAAGCCTTGGATATCTGCAATCCTTTATCTCCCCACAAAGAAAAGACCTATTCTACTAGTTATCTATTGTTATGTAACAAATTACTCCAAAACTTTGCAGCTTAAAAGAATACGCATTAATTATCTCATAGTTTCTGTATGTCAGAAATCCAGGCACAGCTACTGGGCCCTCTGATTCACTGTCTCTCACAAGGCTACAAAGGGTCTGCAGTCTCATCTGACTTCTCATCAGGGGAAGGATCCACTGCCACCCTCTTTCAGTAGCTGTTGGAAGCATTCAGCTCCTCACAAACTGTTGGACTCAGGGCCTCAGTTGCTCACTGGCTGTTCCACAGAAGCTGCCCTGAGCTCTTTGCCACATGGACCTCTTTCACATGGCAGCTTGCTTCATCATAGTGTGCAAGCCAAGAAAACAATTGTCTACTAGCAAGATGGAAGTCACAATCAGAAGTGACATCACCTTCATGTTGCTGTATTCTATTGGATAAAAGCAGATTGTTTAAAGGCAGTGGATTACACAAAGCTGTGAGTATCAGGAAGTGAAGATCACTGGTAGATATCTTACAGTCTGTCTACCACAACTGTGAAGAATAAAATCGAAAGACAAAGAATATTAGAGGGAAAAGCATATAGAAACACATGTATTCAAATACTTTTGGAACTACATTTTAAATGCTTTTCCATTCATTGCACCTTTTAAATATAAGCCACATATATTAAATTCAAACAATAGCTTAATATAATAATGACATTTAGAGAAGCTAAAGGATTTCTCTCATTTCCTGAATTTACTCTCTAAAGTAACACCTTCACACTATCCTCTGGTAACTATCTAAAATTTTGTATGTTTGTTTTACATGTCTGCAATAGAATGTGAGATTTATGACAGTGGAAGCGTGTTGGTTTTGTTTACCACTTTATCTTCAGCTACTATGCCTGGCACGTGATATTTTCTCACTCTATGAATTTTTTGGACAAATAAATTGAGCAAATACATGAATGTCCTCCTAAACTCAGAATTTTAATTCTCTCCAATCAACATTTAATCTAACATTTTCAGTCTGCCAACCATTATTCTTGAGAGAGTAAACCTACATTTTCTTGCTGTCATGCATTATAGTAGATGAAACATGGTCACAAATTTTTTGCAACTACTCCCATGAAGAGGCAAAGCATAATGTTCCACTGCTTGAAGCTAGGCTGGTCTTTTGTTTGCTCTAACTAACACGATAGAGTGAAAGTGATGTTGTATGACTTCTGTAATGAGTTGAAAGTGGTATGGTATGACTTCCATGCTCAGGCCTCAACACAGATTGCACCCTCTGCTCTTGTCCGCTTAGAACACTTCCACCAGCCTGTGAAGAACCCTGGGATGAAAGGTAACCTGGGGAGAGAGAGAAGACTAGCTGACTCAGCTATGTTAGCATTCAACTGAGGCTCCAGTCACGTGAGTGAAGCCATCTTGGAATATCTAGCCCCAGCCAACTCTCTAGATCAGCACTTCCAAAGACGGCAATAGTCTGTAACTACCTTATTCAATATGGTAGCTACTAGCCACTGACAGCTATTGAGCACTGGAAATGTGATTAATAATGTGGCTAGAGAACAAAATTTTAAATTGTATTTGATTTTAATTTATTTAAATATAAGTAGTCAAATTGGACAGAGCTGGTCTAGATGGCTACAGTCACATGAGTAAACTCTCCTCCTCCCTCTCCCACCTGGTAAAACCAGCAAATCAGCTTAGTCCAGCCAAATTGTAGTCTCATAAACAAATCGATGGCTGTTTCAAGCCACTCTGTTTTGGGGAAAGTTTTATAACCATTATAGAAGTCTAGGTACATTGAGACTATACCAACAGATCTTCACATGGATGCAGATAAAAGAGAATATTGATACACTGCTGGTGGGAATGTAAATTAGTACAACCTCTGTGGAAAAAAGTATGGGTATTTCTCACAGAACTAAAAGCAGAACAACCATTCAACTCTGCAATTCCACCACTAGGTATCCACCCAAAGGAAAAGAAATGATTATATCAAAAACATACCTGCACCTGTATGTTTGTCACTGCACTATTCACAATAGCAAAGTCATAGAACCAAGTAAGTGCTCATCAATGGTTGATTGGGTAAATAAAATGTGATATATATATCTATACCATGGAATACTACATAGCCAGGAAAAAGAATAAAATTATATCTTTTGCAGCAACATGGATGGAGCTGGAGTCCATTATTTTAAGTGAAATAACTCAGAAGTATCAAATACCACATGTTCTCACTTATAAGAGGGAGCTAACAATAAGTACAAATGAACAGATAGGTAAATAATAGACACTAGGGACTCAAAAAGGGAAGGGTGGGAGGGGGGTGAGGTTTGAGATTTTACTTTTTGGGTACAATGTTAACTATTAAAATGACAAGCACATTAGAAACTCAAACATCACAATTATATAGCCAGGTAACAAGCCTGAACATATACCTTCTGAATCTATTTAAAAAAAAACTTTTTGAAAGAAAGGAAAAAAAATTATACCATCAACACGAGTCAATAGACCTGTGTCTTTCTCATTCTTCCTGCTTTGCATGGGTGTCCTTAGACATTGCCATCTTGGGACTGTGAGGCAAGAGACAGCTAGAAAATGGACCCAAAACTGAATACATGGAACTGAAAAAACAAGAGAAAGAAACCAGGTCCTAATCATGTTGTTTGACCTTTAGGTCAAGCCTCTTTTGAGACCAGATTTACCTGTTCTCTTTAGCAATATGAGCTAATAAATGTCTATATTTGCTTAAACCACCAAGCCAGGTTCAGTGTACTTTGTAACTGAAAGAATCTAATATAATCCATGTCCCATAGTCAGCTTTTTTGCAGATGTCCCTTTAGCAAACTGAGCATCAGTCTCAGTACATTGACCCCTTGCTTCTTCAGTGAAAATGCCTGCATTTGCCTTGCTAGTATCCCATTGAGTACTCTCAACCACCTGAGGACTCTGTTCTCTCCTGTTATCACTTACATACATGGTAGTTATGTTCATTTTATAGTTAGGTGTCTAAGAAGGGAGTGTATTTCTTACTGTCTGACTCTGTTGTAGACTACAAAGAATAATCAGTCTAGCAAGATGAAAGTAGAACAATAAGCAGGACTATAGTATAAGCATTACTATAAATGTAATGAATTATTACTAACTTGCCTGCCCACTTAACTATTCCTGTTGTCTTACCTTTCTTTCTTCAGCAAAGTCCTAAAAGGTAATAGGTGTTAGAAAAACTAGAAGGTCAGAAGGGAAAGATTATGCTAGGAAGAGGTCTGAAATGGAAACACACATATAAGATTGATCACAGCCATGTAAAATAATAATAACAGGAAGATCTATGCATTCCTCATTTTTTAAAACTTCAGATTCCCAAAGACTGTAAAAGCAAAACTGTTTTTCTTATTTCCCAGAACATCTGGTTCAAACAACTTTGTTGCTTACTGAACAGATATTTGTCATAAATCACCATGAACAATATAAAGATGAATGAGAGTGATTCTTTCCCAAAAGGAAAATAAAAGGTACCAGGGAAGAAAGCTCTGTCTCTCCAGAAAGTTTGATGTAGAAAAGGGGAGTCTGTATCAGGGCTTTGGCTGAACACAAGATACTGTCATATTCCAACAGCAGATCCTGGTCAGGCTGCTTGCCACAATATGATGCACAAATATGTGAGCACTTTAAATCCAGAGAGCAAAATCTAAACCAGCATATGAATTGAGGAAAGATGGCGAGCAAGACAGTTTCTAGAAAGCTAAGCCAGGCACACGACATAGGCTGAATCAGCACCGTGCAATCAAACCGGTAATGAATAGAGGCAAGGCTAGTTGTTTTCAGTCCTGACCACTGATTAGAACAGTGGTTCTCAAATCTGAGCATGCATCTGAATCACATAGAGGGCTGGTTAGAAGGCAGACTGCTTGGCCAGACCTTCTGAGTTTCCAGTTCAGGAGGTCTAGGGTGAAGCCTGTGAATTTTCGTCTCTTAAAATGTCCCCTATGCTGTTTTCACTGGCTGAGGACCTAATGCAGTGCTTTAAGAGCACTGCTTTAGAATAACCTAAAGAATTTTCAAAAATCACAAAGCTGAAGCAGAACGCCACACCAATTTCATCAGAATCTCTTAAAAGGGAGAAAAGACATCAGTATTTTTAAAATGTTCTATATGATTCCAGTGTTCAGATAAGGTTAAGAACAACTGGTCTACATTTAAAACAAAAATAATTATTTGTGTTTTCTAAACATGTAGATAGATCTAAAAAATATAAGCACAAATCTATCCTTCCATTTTGGTTTTAAAATTGTACTTTAATAATTTGTCATAAAACACCTGATATTTATGTGTGAGCATGTGTATCCATATTCATGTGTGCTTGTGTATGTGGTGTGTTTGTGTGTGTGGATGCACATAAATGTATTTCAATCAAGAGAGTATGTCAATTAGCATAAAGAATATGAGAAATATAACTCTCATTGGTTAAATGAATGACATTGTGGATATGTGGATTTGCTATAAATATTATGCAAACAACTCTATACAAGTTTCTAGCAAGCCCAGCTGTCCACAGAGTCTAGAACAGTGCTTTACACCTCCTATTCATTCAATTCTGTGTCCCCACTTAGGAAGGCTTCTATCACCTGATCCAATTAGAGGTCTGGCTAATACTGCTGTTAGAACACACATTGTCACATCTGAGCCAAATAAACCTTTCATGCATCATTTACACAAGTTACTGGTCAGCGTGCTCAAAAGAAAGCCAGAATTATGCTATTTTTCTTTTCAGGATTTGAATTTTTTCAACTTTTTTGAGATATAGTTGAAGTTAATAAAGCTTCACGTTTGAAGTATACAATTTGATTCGTTTTGACATAAGCATATCCCTATTCAACCATCATGATAATTGAGATAAACACTTCCATCCATGCCAAAAATTTCTTGTGGCTCCTTTTAATCCATCCCTCTTTCCATCCCTAACGCCATTCACTGATTTTCTTTCTGTTACTATAGAAATTTAATTTGCATTTTTTGTTCTTTTGAATAAATGGAACCACACAGTACATAACTACCTTTTGCCTACATTCTTTCATTCATTTTAATCATTTTGATTCATTGTTATTAATGCATGTATGAATAGTCTATTCCTTTATTACATTAAATAGTATTGGATATAACATCATTTGTTGTCTATTCACCTGTTCATGAACATTTGGGCTGTTTCCAGTTTGGGGTTATTATAAAAAATCCTTCTATAAACAGTTATGGAAGCCTTTGTGTGGACATGTGTTTTCATTTCCCTTGAGTAAATATCTAGGACCAAAAAGCTTGAGTTATATGGTAGGGATGTGCTTGACTTTGTAAGAAATGGTCAAACTGTTTTCACAGTGATTGTCCCACTTTACATTCCCACTAGCAGTGATTGAGTTCAGTTCTCCACATCCACCTCAACATTTGGTGTGGTCATTTGTGTTTTATTTTAGCAATACTAACGATAACTCATTATAGTGTTAAGTTGCCTTTCTCTGATGATGAATGGCATTGAGCTTCTTTTCATGTGCTTATTAATCATTCACATATTTCCTTTTGGCAAGTGCCTGTTCAAATATTTTGCCCATTTTTCTTACTGGGTTGTCATTATTAAGGTGTAAGTATTCTTCATATAGTCTGGATATAAGTCCTTTGATATATATATAGCTTACCTTATCATTTTCATTATGATGTATTCAAAAGGCAGAAGTTCTTTTTAAAAAAATTTTGATGAAATCAACTCTATCATTTATTTTATGCCTCATGCATTTAATGTTTCAAGAAACCTTTGCTTATCCCAAGACTACAAAGATATTCTATCTGCTTTCTTCTAGAAGTTTCATAACTTTAGCTTTTTCATTTAGGTTTATGACCCATTTTGAGTTAATTTTTGTGTATTGTGCATTAAGTGACAACATTCATTTTTTCCAGATGGCCCTAGATTAATAACCCTGGTTCTGTCATTTACTGTAAACCATAGGCAATGTTTATAATGCCTGTAAACATTGCCTCAATGTTTCCGAGCCTGTGTCATTAACAATACAATGTAAGATTGCTGAAAGGATTAAGATTAATTTTTATTAATATTAGGCACACATTAGGCCCTGGCTAACGTTGCAGATATTGTGATTAATACATTAGAAAAAAGACTGCCCTGCGAGAAGAATGGAAAAGATGACTGAAAGTGTGAAAGTTAAATTATGTACACATGGAAAGTAGAAAAAGGGCACTTATCCCTGAAAACAGGTACATTATAAAGGCATTTAACACCAGCTCCCAGGTGTGCTGAGCTGTTGTGTAAGCGTAGAAGATACATAAAAGAAAATCTATCTCTTCATCAGTTCAAATCCACTTCAATTCAACCCTCCAGTGTTTGGAATGAGGGTTTCCAGTGGCTGGTAGAAGTAGCTTAACTATGAATCCTATAGAATGCTCAAATTTTATGGCCTAAGAATTTAGAATGCATCATAAGAACCCTTTGTTGGTACACATATTTCCAGTGTGTTATTACTTGGAAAGTAATGTAATTAAACAGATGTTTTTGCAGTACTGAGAAGAAAGGGATATTAAGAACTCTTGAAAAATGAAATCCAGTCCATATAGTCCCCCAGTAAAATGTCCATTGTTCAATCCCATAAGCATTTCACTCAAAAGGGATTCCATTCTCTCTGCACTAACCAACAGCACAAGCTTCTTCCTAGTGTGACTCCCAAATTTCCTGAGATTTACACAAAGATTTTGACTAGAACTCCTAGAGGCTCTGTATAAGGGACATGTTTTACATCCCTCAAGACACTCCCTTATATCCAACATTTAAAATGGAGACCTTCTTTTTACAGCTACAGGGAAGCTTCCTCACACCTCTTTCAGAGACAGGGCAACTTTACTCTTTAGCAACCAGCCTGTCATTTACCTCCAGTGACCATCATTTCCCAGACAAAAGTCCAGATAAGTCTGGGTAGAGAGACTGTACTCATCTTCTATTTGAGACCCTAACCAACCACAACCAGAAAAAGAATAAACCCTCAAAATTAACAACATAATTAAACTTTTCTGTAACACATGTAAGTACAAGATAATGGAAGAAGTCAGAATTTGTCCAGCCAAAGACAACCAGGAACACACAGTTGCATCTATTGCTCACTACAAAAGGAGACACAACATGGGAAGCCATAGGGCATCTCAGTAAGAGGGTATTAGAAAGGACTCACTATTGGATTTGGGCTTGGATTAAATGATCTGGGGGAGATTTCAAAAAAGTAGAGTTCTCCTCTGTATTTGGATGTCGTCAAGAACAGGGGTCAATTCTATGATTGGAGTAAATCTTATCTATATGATGAGAGGAGTAAATCAAGGCTAAAGCGATACTTGGTAATAAATTAATAGTCATTTATGTCAGCCAGGATAGGGGAGTGTGTAGCATTGTTGCGTTTGGACGATATTCATGTTTTTGCCGTGCATTCAGTCATGATTCCGGAATGTTCTTGTCTTTGTCGTGTTCCGTCATGGTACAGAGTGGCTGTGTCCGGGTTGATGCTCTGTGAAACTGTTTATTGTTCAACAAGGAAACACGACAGTTTAGCTGTGAGCTCCACGGCAGCTCCTAGCAACACTAAAGTCTGGCTGATAGTACAAAGTTGGTTCCTGACTGTCATTATCAGTTGTAAAGAAGCGTAAGTCAGGGAATATAACCTAATCTAGCAGAACACGGATGGCTTCCCTGAGGAACTGACTTTTAAACTAAGACTTTAAAGTTTAAAAAATCTTCTGTTGCCACAGTCTCAAGGGTTCATTTAGCCTTTTCCGATGTTTTCTTACATTTACCAACACAATTTTTTCTTGTAAATGAATTGTACCTAAAAAGCATTAATCAAATCTATCTTCTCACAACATTCCCAACCTATTCTAAATGTGAGAACATTCCCTGACTCTGGAGTTTTACATGAATAAAATCTGTTAATAGTTCTTGTGAGAAAATTCTAATCAAAATTCTAGTTCAATACATAGGGACATTAAATGATAAATAATGCAAATTTTAAAATGGAACCAAAAATGTTTCAAGACATCATAAGATTCTTGAACAAGAAATAAAATAATTTAATATTTCTCGCAAAGTCCGTATTCCTAATATAGAGTGGAATATTTCAAAATGAACAATTTGGTCTTCAAAATTAGTGAGATAAGTTTGGTACCTAAAGAAAAGGAGAGAAAATAAAATATATCCTTTTTCTCTCTCATTTCAAAGCTTGATGGTATAAATGAGAAGTTTATTCCACTGCAGAATTAATGAACTCTCTTGTAAAACTCGCTTGATTAAAGCCTTTAAATTTCATGGAATTCCAGATCTTCAAAAGGCCTTAGGAGATTAGGGAAGGGTAAAGCGTTGGGTCAATGGGCTGAAACTCCCTCCTGCTGTCATGCTGAACAGTAGATGATTTAAATAAGATCCATTCATTATCTGGCAAAACAGAGGCATCTTTCTAAGAATTGGCTGTGCATCCCTACTGGGAAGGGTGTGCACTGATCTTAAATCCAACAGCCCTTGAGGTGGAAACTGGAAGATTGTGCACTTAGTAACCACATCCATTTCTTACTACCTATGGCTTGGGAATTTGAATTCTCAGTGATACGTTTATTTTAAACATTTAGTACTGAGAGTAAACCATGATAATAGTAAAACATGCTAGTTGGGTTATATTTTCTGGTCATAAAGATATCACGTGTTAGTACACATCCCAAACATTTTATTATTTTAGTTATTAGTTAGGATTCCATTGCAAAAGTCCCTATTAAAAGTCCCTGACTTTGTCAAACTTTGTGCTGGGTGCTTTCACATCACTACTATGCAACAATGTGGTAGAATTAGTATTAATATCAGTGGTTCCATATTGTTCTACATGACATTTAATAAAGCAAAGTTTTGCTGTTGGTAAGAAGTCCAGCAAGTGAGATAGCACAGGAACTTCATCTCTGACCAAGAAACCATCTTGAAAGTATATTTAGTATAGATTCAGAAACATTGCAAATTAATTTAAGATCCAAGCATGTAAGTCCACACAGTAGATCTCTTTTATAGATACGGAGTCTGAATACAGTTTGCAGGCAAATCAATTTTATACACACTCGTAAAAATGGCTGTCTAATTACAGGGTACCAACTCCAGTGCACAGCATCTAAGAACTAGCATAAGAATGCAGGGGCTAATTACTCTCCAGGATATGAAAAGGCTCAGAGGGCCTGGCAATCTAATTCCTTCCCACAAAAATACGCAGTAGTGGGTGTCTAGAAGTTAAAACACTCTTAGATTTCACATTTCTTTTATACTGCTAAATATTTGCCAATGTATATTTTATAATTAGATGTATTTCAAAAGCTTATAAATTCTAGTAATTAAAAATGATACAAGCCAGTTGAAAACAACTCAGCAGCAGAAGGGCAGGAGAAATCAGCAAACAAGAACGCCATGCTGGGTTAGGACCCTCTGAAGTTTCTATTTTCTTTTCTTCCACTGATTTATTTTTGTATATTTTTAAGTGAATGGGCTCAATATTTCTAGTTTTATGAGTAATTATTTTTCTTTATGTTTAAAAAAGAAAACATAAAGACATTCATTTTGGCTGTTTTATTGCGATGCATAGCTAATGATATGTCATTTATCATTAGCTGTTATCTGACGTACCAAACATAAACAAACAGTGAAGCAGGCTCAAGGCTCTCACCCATTCTGGAAAACAGAGGAATACGACGATAACCTGCAAAAGGAATTATATCTAATTAGACCAATAACCAATTAATCAGTGGTGTCTCCAATAGCCTTGCTGAGAAACAAGAGCTCTTTACTAAGCCTACATTAAAAACCATGACTATAGAGTTATATTCCCATCTGGTATATTAATCTTCCACAAAAATTAAATATTTGCATTTTCTATTCTGACTTCCTAACTGCCCAAAACTGAATACACAGCTCATACTTCTCCTTCCGCAAAGCGCTGCATGATCCAAAATTAGCCACCACCCTTCTGCTTCAGGAAGACCTGTTTCCTAGGCACATCTCAGATGCTGTTAGAAAAGTAAGCATATTGAGACAAGGTAATTGGGAGCACAGTGTAAATCACCCTGGAAAGGTGACTCTGCAACATAAAGGTAGTCAGCCCTGAAAAGGGGTCAGGAAAGGATAGTCTCAGGCTCCCAATCTCTTCTCCTCAGGCAGGAAGAATGAGTCACTGCTTCTCCCTTCTGGTTGCCACCCATCATCATTTCTTTATGGTAGTCATGACTACTCTTTACTGAAACAGAAGAACTAGGATGCATGTAAAGAAATGCTTATACATGCCAAGTTTGTCTAATTAGCCTTCCTGTCAGTCCCACACCCCCACCCCACCTTCCACATGAGAACACATTTTTATAATTCCACAGAGAAAAAATATGTGTCAATACATAAAATTTCCTTTACATCCTACTTTATGATAGAGCTATTTGGTATGTCAAAATGTGTCTTTGATATACACAAGTTATATTTAAATGCTGGTACAATCATCTAACTTTTAGGGACATTACCTTTGTTCATGCATAGAAGTGGCAAAGTATATTGCCCAAGAAATTCATTTCCTGCTATTAAACCTTGACCTTCAACAACAAAACGTATCAATGCCAATTCTGGGACATGAATAATAAATGTGAATGTTTCATTCCATCTTGGACTAAAAGCTGAAATATAAAAAAAGAAGATACAAAGAATAATAGATACCATATCTAGGAAAAAATAGATTACATTTGTTCTCCAAACTTTTTCTTTTCAACCCTTTAACAATAATATCTTGTGTTTAGAGCACATAGGTTTTTAATATACTCAGTGTGAGAGGAATAATAACCAGACAATAATGAGTGTTTACTATTGCTGGGCAATGTTCTAAGAATGGATCAACTCAATTAATTCTGATAACCACCCCATCAGGGTGGGATGGGAAAACTGAGCCACAAAGATGTTACATAATTTCCTAAGGTTTCACATATGTGGTCATTAAGTGGCAGATCAGGAATTCAAAAACGGGGAGTCTGACTTCAGAGCAAAAGCTTTTAATCATTATGCAATATGACTGATGTACTTAGGCAATTCTTTAGCAAATAAATTGAGAAATGAAGAAAATTAAGTAACATCATTTTTCTATACTAAGTCCTTGATATGGTTAAGCTTTGTGCCCCCACCCAAATCTCATCTTGAATTGTAATCCCCAGGTGTTTAGGAAGACACCTGGTAGAAAGTGACTGGATTATAGGGGGCTGTTCTCATGATAGTGAGTGAGTACTCATGAGATCTGATGGTTTTATAAGGCAGTTTTCCCCACTCTTACTAGCAATCTCCTGCTGCCACATGAAAAGGTCCAAATTTGTTTCCCCTTCACCTTCCACCATGATTCTAAGTTTCCTGAGGCCTCCCCAGCCATGAGGAACTGTGAGTCAATTAAACCTCTTTCCTTTGTAAGTTATCCAGTCTCAGGTAGAATCTTTAGAGCAATATGAAAATGGACTAATACAGTCAGTCTTATTATGGGAAGAGTTCCATACTTAGTTGTTAGACTGAAAGCTAGATAACAAACTAAAGCCAACTCTTGATCCTTCTTTAGACTAAGTGCTCCTTTCAAAGTCCAAAGTTGATGAATTTCAATCTCTAAGAAAATAAATCATCCCAAGCAACCAATTTCTGCCAAGCAAGAAATCCACATCGTGTCACAGTATGACCCAAATCATCCAAAAAGTAAAGCGTAATTTAACAGAATCAAGAAATTCACATCCAGATTAAATATAAATTCTGCTTAATAAAGACTCAAAGGTTTGGAGAAGAATCATGTGTATTATTTTTCATTTACAAAGGCAATGCTACACTTGCTATGTCAATAGTTTTTGTTCTTTGACTTACATTTCCAGAAGCACTGATGAATTTCTAATTATACTATATCTATGTTTTCTATGGTTCACCTGTGGTCACAAGAGCACATTTACCACATAGCAATCTAGGGTGCAGTCTATGCCCACAGAAATAGTAAACTAATTGGCTCATGCTGGAATAATGACCATATTACCTTGACCTAAGAAGAGAAATAATTTCATGGGGTACAGAGGCAGGTTTAGAGTCAATTCTTTATAGATACTGCAAAACATCTGCAGAAATGTTTATACTGATTTCTTCTTCCTCCAATCCTACTTCATTACACATGTGCCTCTGCCTCCCTTCCATCCTCCTCCTGTATCTCTCTCTGTCACACACACACACGCGCACACACACACACACACACACACATACAATAATATGGATTAATTATAAGAGAAAGCCCTCACTTTCAGTTGTCAACATAAAAAAAAGTAAACCAGGATACCAAATTTGATAGTGATGAAAATAGTTATCCTAGACATGACCAAAACTGAAGAATTATTTCCACATTTTATCCAAATGTTATCCTTTTCCTCCCAGACTCTCATGTCTAGCTAAATCATCTTAAAATTCTTCTTGTCCAGCCATCTGGACGTTGACTTCTGCGCAGTGTTTCTCACTTACATCCCCCATTCCTTTCCTACTGCCACGGCCTCCTTTATACCATGACTTTTATATCCTCTAACCACTGAAATTTTATCCTGACTCTACTTTGTATTTCTCATTTCCCTCTCGTATACTTCTTCTCAAATCTGCAGAAAAAAACCTAACACTCAACTCTGTTAAAGTTATAGCCCTACTTAAAAGTCTGAATTTTATCCATTTTCTAGAAAAAAGAAAGTTCCTGACACCTTAGCATGGCTTTTGAGATTTTCCATGACCCTCCCTAAATAATTTTCTCATTTTATCTCTCACTAATCTTTCTTAAGCACCCTATATTCCACCCATCTTGAGTTTCTTGGCTTTTCTCTAGCATGTTTAAATTGTGTTTTCTTCATATTTTAGGACTTGTGTTCTGTCTCTGGTATGTTTAAATTGTATTTTCTTCATATTTTAAGACTTATATTATGGCTTCTGCCTTAAATGTCCTTGTCCCCAATCTCTAAAAAATTCTACTCATTCTCCAAGAACCATCTCCAAAAGTGCCCCCTTGGAGTACAAATCTTTGTACTCTTCTTGAAGCACGAATTACTCTAAATCATAATTATTTTACTTATAGCATCATCTTTCACACTGAACTATAAACTATCTATAGAAGAGTTCGTTGGTCCATATATAAGAATTCATTTAATAAACAGATTTTAAGTCTTTTACTACTCAGCACAAGGCTTTTAGCATAGCAGAGGCTCAGTAATGTTTGATGAACCAAATTGAATTTCTGCAAGGATATTCCCATAAAATCCAAGGAGGTAATACAAATTCTAGAATCACAGTATTATAAGGGGTGCATTGAATAAATTAAGTTTCTAAGCATTTTGTGATGAAGATTCAAGTAGAGGATGGAGGGAACAAGAGATAGATTATTATAAGCTTCATGACATCAGCAGTTACTATCTCTGGACACAGCCGTAGCAATGTGCCTTCAACTCTAAAGGGTGTCAAATGAGGCAGGAAGTCATCATCAATATCCCTTCCCATTGATAACATAGGATAAGGCAATAAAATCTTTCCAAATCTTTTTCCATGACTTTCGCTCTAGAAGCCACACTGGAAGTATTCAGGGGAGTGCAAAGGAGGCAGACTATGGACATTGTTAGAAATTATTATCCAAGAAGAAAAAGAAAACTGTGCCTGCTACTCTGTCATTGCCATTTGATCTGGAGCATATTTCTAGACTCTGGAATGAAGTCCACTTTGCTTTGAGAATATCCCTTGAAGAAGATTCCAGACTCAAGAATCAGTTCCAATGTCTCCTTCAAGGTGATCCTGACCAGGGATCAATCCCAGGAACCTATCCTTTTCTAATTTCCTTAGTCATTTCAACCTCAGAGAAGAAATGGCAATGCCAGTACTATACTGTGTAAGATGTCATAGCATGCCAGAATGATGAAAATCTTACCAAAGTTATTTCCCTTAATTCTTCACTTCCCTTATGGCAAAAATGACTGAATTATCCAAAAATTCTATCAGTAGGCTTCTATGGCATCCTTAGCCTGATTCAGAAGCCATAGACTTTTAATCTAAAATAATTCAAATAATTCATTATAAAAATATATAATATGCTGTGTCAAAAATCACAAATTTTTGATTTAATACAAAGGCTAGAAGCTAAGTAGATTTGAGGCTGTTAAAATGCCTTCTTAATTCGGTGATATGAGAGAAAACATAAAAAAGAGGTAAATTTTTTTTAAGCAATAATTTTGAAGGTCAGGTACATTTCTGTATTCATAATCTGAAAATACAGCTAAACAACCTAATCATTATAAAAATGTTTTTGTTGCATATAACATTTTGCTAATTTTGGACATAATGGAAAACCCTTGTCTTATGAATAATAAATATGTACAAAAACTCTATCAACATATAATTTGTAAGCTTTCCAACAAGAAGTCTAATGGAAATTCAATAAGGTATATCAGGAGCTCACCATTTTTTTTAATTACACGAGTCTGCTGCTTCATTTGATCATTTGGAACACCAAAAACTTCTATAATTACTAATGAATCACCTTTGTTAGATGATGAATGAGTAAGAGGCAACTGGATACCACTGATGAGCTGCACAAATATATATGAATATAAGAATTTAGCAAGATATTAAGTTACATCACCATTTATTTCAAAATTAAGTTATGTATTACAAAAAGTTGATGGACTCTAAGTCAGCTCCCACAAACATTGAAAGTGGAATACAATACAAATTTTAAAATTTAAGTCTTTTATCCTCAGTTATCAGTAGATAAACACCAAGAATATGTACAAAATTATAGTGAAATCCACAATGTCCACAATTTTTGATTTATTAACATATTTTTGTTTTAAAATCATTTGTTATGATCACATTTCAGGGAATTCAGGTCGAGTTACTCTGATAACGTACTGTTTTTGAATTCATATATATATATATATATGCTGGAAAAAATTTAAAGCAATAGAAATATTACTTTTTAAAAAATGTACCATTTAACTCCCTGTGATAGCATTTTCTGAGTTTCACAAAATCAGTTATTTCATATGTATATTAGGGACTGGGTATCAAAAAAATCTTAACAAAGTAATTAATAATAATTGTATTTAAACTTGTATTTGCCAAGCTAATTGTTGAAGCAAAAATGTGTTATAATTTAAGGAACAAAATGAGCACACAACAAAACTATATTTGAAATGTACTGACTTAGGCTAAGAGATAGAAGATATAAGCCTAAAAACGCAGTTATAAAAATTGAGGCATAATTCCAATTTCTGAAGGTTACATAAGGAGAAACAAATATATAATTAAGTTTGATTATAAAGGAATAAAGAAAGGAAAAGAGGGAAGGAAGGAGGGAGAGAAGGAGTAGAAAAGAAAGGAAAAGAAAAAACACTAATGTGTGATTTTTCCTAATTCCACAGATTACGGCATTAGCTAGAAGCCAGTATGACTATGCAACTGTTTAGCAATCAGCATGGAATGGGCATCAGCATAATTAGACATCAAAGTAACTAGAAAGAACAATGGCCATAAACATATAGTACACTGGTCCCAATACCACTATAGACCCGCTAAATATCACTTTACAGGTAATAGACCCTTCCCAAAATGGAGTAGGTTCAGCTCGGTGTACCTCATTCCAGAAAGAAAAAAAAAATTATCTAATTTTGAAAAACATAATTGAATATGAAAACTGAATGAGAATTTAGGGCAAGCTTGTCCAACCTGCGGGCCACATGTGGCCCATGGTGGCTTTGAATGCGGCCCAACGCAAATTCATAAACTTTCTTAAAACATTATGAGATTCTTTTTGCATTTTTTAAAGCTCATCAGCTATCGTTAGTGTTAGTGTATTTTATGTGTGGCCCAAGATAATTCCTCTTCTTCCAACGTGGCCCAGGGAAGCCAAAATATTGGACACCCCTGGTTTAGGGAGCATTGATCAAATAATTTGTAAATAAATTAACAAATTTGTTTGTACAGGAGCCAATGCAGAGGAAGGGATATCAAACAATAAGCCCTCAGTGGTCAACTCTGTTGTTACCCATTGGCCTTACCCATAAGATTTTGGATTTAGAAAGCAGTCCTGTAGCTTTTATAAATTTGAAAATAACTGGCCTAGACCAAAACTCTCAGATTGCAGGTGACGAAGAGTAAAGCAGCAATGTCAAATGCCTTCATCAAGAACTTAAGAAAGCTTATAGTAAAACTTGGCTCTCTGATTCCCAAATCGTGCCTTCTACTATCTGAGCAAGTCATAAAGTAATCACAAAGCTCCCTAGAGTGATAGAGGCAACAGAGAAAGACCCACATGGCCATGGCAGCAGCTTCCTGGAGAATCATTAACTCTCCATGCCAGTTACACCTCAACAAGAGACTCCTCAGAATACAAACGTGGCACTTGTGAGCATTTGTGCACACTAGCTGCCTTCCACCTTCACTTTCTCAATAAAAGAGCACATATGTTCTCTTTACTATTCATAACAGGAAAAATAATGTATTTGTTCAATGAACCTAGATATATTGGGCATATACTTTGTGTAAGGCACAAATAAGGTGGAACAAAACACATCTGTTTTTTGTTTGTTTGTTTGTTTGTTTGTTTCTTTGAGACGAACTTTGGCTCTTGCTACCCAAGCTGGAGTGCAACGGTGCGACCTCGGCTCACTGCAACCTCTGCCTCCTGGATTCAAGCGATTCTTCTGCCTCAGCCTCCCAAGTAGCTGGGATTACAGTTGGATGCCACCATGCCCAGCTAAGTTTTTGTATGTTTAGTAGAAACAGGGTTTCACCATGTTAGCCAGGCTGGTCTTGAACTCTTGACCTCAGGTAATCTGCCCACCTCAGCCTCCCAAAGTGATGGGATTACAGATGTGAGCCTCCATACCCAGCCCACATCTCTTATCCTTAAAGAATCCTCAGACAAATGGAGAAGACAAGTTACAAGTAAATAAACAATTATAAAACCTTGTGATAAATGCCATAATATATGCATGCAGAGGGTGTTACGGAAAACAGCAAAGCTATGAAAAGAAGCACAGCTAACCTAGCCTAGGAAAATGCTTTCAAAAAGACATGATTCCTAAGTCTTGAAAACTGAGTCAAAATGAAATAGGCAGGTAAGGCTGAAAGAATGCTCTAGTCACAGGAAGAGCCTACGCAATTCGTGGAGGTGAGTCATGGTTAGAGAAGGATCCTAGTTCCACATGGTTGTAGAACAGGATGAAAGGCTAGAAGTGGTGAGAGATAGGGCTAGGCAAGTAGGGCAAGGCCTGACTAAGATAGTAGTCAAGAGACACAAATAAATATTACGTATGCATGATAATATTAGCACTGTAGCAAAATCTCTCCGGTCAACTTGTGGAGAATAGATATGGAGGACTGAGACAGGCTACCTGAAACCATCAGGAAGCCAAAGAAATAGACCTGATGACAGGTAGTAAATTCCTGATACAGGAGAGCAGCAAAATAGGTCAGATCAAGAGAATGGAGAAGGAAAATATTTAGGAATAGAATCAGCAGAATTTAACGTTGGTCTGGATGTGGGATGTGAAGGAGATGTGAAAGATTAGAATGGTTCCCAATTTTCTAGTCCGAGCAGAGTGGAAGAATGGGGCAATTTGTTGACATTTAAGTAAGAGCAGAAGTAGATTTGATTAGGAAGGGATGTTCAAGTTTTACTATTTTAAATTTGACAGAATGGTGATTAAGGAGGTAAGGATGCTCAGTGAGCTAAAATATGCCTTTAGATTCCCAAAATCATGTCCAATTAAAGACTTGAGCATTGTTGGTGGTGAAACTATGAATGTTTATGTAACAGAATCCAAGGAGAATAGTTTGAGACAAGGTTTAAGGAAAGACTTTAGTTAACATAAATATCTTAAGGGAAGGCAGAGAAAGAGGAAGCCACAAGTAAAAATGACAATCACTTGGAAGGTAGGGGGTAAAAGGAGAGTCCAGTCCCAGAGCATAGAAGAGCAATGTGTGTAGAAATGGAAGGGCTCTTCAAAGTGGCTGATTTGCCACTTCTTTTTACCAGATCAACTACAAAAAGATGTCAACATTATAATAGCATTGTAAAGTGAAGTCAGTAGTTAATTCTTTGCCAGACCTTGAAGGAGTACCAACAATCCAGTGTTGTAGGCAATTGCTGCCTATCCATTAAATGCTTCTACATCAGAGTCACAAACTCCTTAACAGACAATACAAAAGCCAGCTACATACTTCACAGGCACTGTTTCCTGCAATGGTCAGGATCATTCTAGTCCTGGTCATCTTTGCTATACTTTCCACATTAATTTCTGGAAAACAGCTCTCAATCCTCCCATTCTCAGCTGAGATAAAGTGGCTAGGTCCTGAAGTAGACGTGGAGTGTAGCTTCCCAAATCCTGTGGTATTACGATGGTGGAAAAAGGAGCTGAGCCAGGAAAAGTCGCAGGAGAAGCACATTCTGGAGGCCCCAGCATTTCTTGCACTCTAACAGCCAGGTAATGGGGAGCAGAGGAGCGCTCAGCAGCTGGCAGAGCTTCACTAAGTAATGACATTGCTGGCCAGGGACAGAAACATAAACACTACAAAATTCCAGGTAGGATCTGAGATGGTTTATACAGTTCTAGGAGTAACTAGTTAAATAGAAAGAGGGACCAATGAAACCATAGCCACTCTATTGATTTGCAAACAACAGGTACAGTTATAGCCTAAAATAGAACTGCTCATAAGTAAGTGGAGAGAAAAAGCAACTAGAGGTTTTTCAAAAGATTTAATGACATTTTAAAAAGAAAATAAGCATAGCACTTAGGTTATAGAGGAAAAAGAAAAACGTTTTGAAAAGTCTTTACTAATGGAAACAAATCTTAGACAACTGCTTTTATGCTCCATAAGGTTTTACAGGATGTGATAAAATAAAAGCTAAAATAATAAGACGAGAGTCTGGAGGAAAGGTGCTAGGTGGGATACAGACAGAAATAAAAAGGAAGCAATATGAGGTCAACCGCAATGGGGCAGGAGGACTAATTATGCAGGAGAAAAAAATCATTTCTACATTGAAATCAGTAAAGAACAAAATCAAATACAGACTTTGAATCATCAACATAAAGAAAAAATGTTAAAAGCTCTCCCAGGCCAAGGCAAGATGGGTCAAAGTCAGAGTGGTGGTCATGGTCCTGGAGGTGGCAAGAAGGATGACAAGCTCTAACAACTCAAGGACAAGAAAAAGAAATATGAACCTCCTGTACCAACTACAGTGGGGAAAAAGAAGAAGAAAACAAAGGGACCAGATGCTGCCAGCAAACTGCCACTGGTGACACCTCACACTCAGTGCCAGTTAAAATTACTGAAGTTAGAGAGAATTAAAGACTATCTTCTCATGGAGGAAGAATTCATTAGAAATCAGGAACAAATGAAACCATTAGAAGAAAAGCAAGAAGGGAAAAGATCAAAAGTGGATGATCTGAGGGGGACCCCAATGTCAGTAGGAATCTTGGAAGAGATCATTGATGACAATCATGCCATCGTGTCTACATCTGTGGGCTCAGAACACTACATCAGCATTCTTTCATTTGCAGACAAGGATCTTCTGGAACCTGGCTGCTCGGTCAGGCTCAACCACAAGGTGCATACCATGATAGGGGTGCTGATGGATGACATGGATCCCCTGGTCACAGTGATGAAGGTGGAAAAGGCCCCCCAAGAGACCTATGCAGATACTGGGGGGTTGGACAACCAAATTCGGGAAATTAAGGAATCTGTGGAGCTTCCTCTCACCCATCCTGAATATTATGAAGAGATGGGTATAAAGCCTCCAAGGGGGTCATTCTCTGTGGTCCACCTGGCACAGGTAAAACCTTGTTAGCCAAAGCAGTAGCAAACCAAACCTCAGCCACTTTCTTGAGAGTGGTTGGCTCTGAACTTATTCAGAAGTACCTAGGTGATGGGCCCAAACTCGGACGGGAATTGTTTCGAGTTGCTGAAGAACGTGCACCGTCCATTGTGTTTATTGATGAAATTGACGCCATTGGGACAAAAAGATATGACTCCAATTCTGGTGGTGAGAGAGAAATTCAGCGAACAACGTTGGAACTGCTGAACCAGTTGGATGGATTTGATTCTAGGGTAGATGTGAAAGCTATCATGGCCACAAACCAAATAGAAACTTTGGATCCAGCGCTTATCAGACCAGGCCGCATTGGCAGGAAGATTGAGTTCCCCCTGCCTGATGAAAAGACGAAGAAGCCCATCTTTCAGATTCACACAAGCAGGATGACGCTGGCTGATGATGTAACCCTGCACGACTTGATCATGGCTAAAGATGACCTCTCTGGTGCTGACATCAAGGCAGTCTGTACAGAAGCTGGTCTGATGGCCTTAAGAGAACGTAGAATGAAAGTAACAAATGAAGACTTCAAAAAATCTAAAGAAAATGTTCTTTATAAGAAACAGGAAGACACCCCTGAGGGGCTGTATCTCTAGTGAACTACGGCTGCCATCAGGAAAATGGTTGGGTGATTTCTCAGTCCCTGAAAGGGATGAGGCTGGGGGAGTTGCCCAGAGGAATCTCTGTTCCCATTGATTTTTATTAGCAAAACATCCTGTGTCTTTTGGAGTACGATGTGTAAGTGCCCACTGGGTGGCCTGTCTGTTGGTCACTGTGCAGCAGTCTGCTTCCCAATAAAGCGCGCTCTTTCACAAACAAACAAACAAAAAAGCTCTCCCAACATGCAGAGGAAAAGGGAATATGTTAAAGTTGACACAAATTAACAGACACTGAAGACAGATACTGGAGAAAGACATATGGATAATTTTTCTTTTTAAGTAATCAAATGATATTCACAGACATATGGGGGGAAGAATCCTGACCTACAAAAGCCTAATTGTGGAGACTGAGGAAAAGAAAAGGGCTCCTAAAATTTCCAGGTAAAATTCATCAAAGGCGAGAAAAAGTAACATGCCCACAAAGTAATTAGTGGGCTGAACTGAGACCTGTATCTCACAATATTAAATGCCTAAATACAATGAAATCATATAGTAGAACTTTGAGAGGAGAAGGTTTTAGCCTCAATATGTCAATTCACAGGCAGATAATCATTCATGTAAAATTACAACAGGAAGACATTTTTCAGATATAGAAGGATGCTGGAATACTACCCACATATAGTACCTGAAAAGATTAACAGAAATTTAAAAGAAATTGAAGCAAATCAGTGGAATTCAAAATACTAATGTACACTATCTAGTTTATATAATAACCAAAAAATGTAAAAGAAAATTTATTAATCTTACCCTTATTGTAAGTGTAATTGGCATACCCTCTTTTATGTTACTTGGGTTAAAGTATGATTTACTCTCTCTTAAGAAATGTGGTTTCAAAATATATCCAGAACCACCATTATCCAAAAATTTCCCATTTTGCAGATCCATGGGCAGACCAGGGGTCTGGAAATTTAAAGCCACTGTAAGAAAGAAGTATTTTGACATTGTCAGGTAATAGAGAATACAAATAAAGGAACACAAACCACTTACTGAAATCTAATAATGGATTCTATGTCCCCAAATGTTCTATGAGCAAGTATCATTAGCCTAATAATTCATGATTTTTAAAACTCTTTCTCCTGCCATGTCTATATTAATGTATATTGATGAGTTGCAAAGTTTAATCTGTAAGTAAATTACTACACAGCTTTGAGTAAAGAAATCAAAATGGTATCCAGTACAGATTACAGAATAACAATGTTCATGTCAGGTAACACTTAAGAAATGTCAGAATAAAGAGTATCAGTGCATTGAATGCAAGAGGTAAAGACATCAACTATGTCATAAATTTTCAAGTCCATGAGATGCTGTTGTCACTTGAGGAGAAAGTGAGAAACAGGCAAAGCAATAATTGTCGTTACAATATGGAAGTACCTCAGTATAGCCTGGTAAATAGCCACTGTAGAGAGTACCACACTCCACCCTCCACCCAGCCCCAATATCCCCCCTCCTCACACCTACAGGCCTTGCCACAATCCAGTAGAAGGGTAACACCTGGTACTTTCTGATGGGTTAGTGCAGTGCTGTACTAGCTGTTCAATTTGGAATAAGAGTCTGGTGAGGGCAAATAACCAAGTTAGGCAATCTTATTCACTTTTCAAAACTATGAATGTAGAAGCTCATGTAAAGTATAAATGATAGAGGTCACTTGATTTGAAGAGGCCTTGAGCATACCTCAAGCAAAGGAATTTGATCTTCAATGTCCATTTGGGTTTCCTTGTTCCCTTCCTCCACTACACATGTCTCATATTAACTCCTCGTGAATTTAACCACCATTCCCCAAACCATCACTGAGATTTACCCCGCTTCAACCCAGATAGGAATGACTTCAACTCTTACAACACATGACCCACCATTAGTGCCTGACCCCAAAGCCCCCGGGCTAAAAAATCTTTTACAGAAAGCCCTTTTCACGAGTTTTTCATACATTCATAAAATGAATTCATTTTATGTTACTTCTGCAAACAACTCAATATCGTATATAACATACCCATTTGACAACCTATATTCCAAAATTCTTGGGGATTAAAATTAGAAGAGTCTGCTCTTGTTGCTTTGGGATATATTCTGGTAATGAACTTCCTGGTGTGAAAAATAAACTCATGGACTGAAAAAGAATAATTAAAACATTGTGAAAGAATTCAAATAAATTTAAAAAGCCACTATATATATATATATATATATATATATATCATATAATTCTATAATAGTTTCAACAATTTTGATATGTATTGTCTTGGCAAAAATTTGCAATTCATGAATATCAAAATAAATCCATGCCTTTATGTTTATAGTATAATTCACTATTATTTAGATGTTAGTGACAATTTTATCATAAAATGTATGTACACTGATCATTCAAGGAAAAAATTGATTAGATAATTTATATATTTTTTACACCCAAATTATTTCACTTTGTTGTAAGAATACATAAAACTCCAAAATATAATCCATTCATTTTTCAAAACAAAAGCAGCATTTTCCCTTATTATTTTTCCACTTTGATTTTCACAGTAGGGCAGAATCATATGGAAGTCACACAAAGCTATACGATTCCAGCTAAATTAATCCTACTGAACATTTCACAGGTTCTCAGGGTTGAAAGGCACCCCAAAGTTGTCCAGTTCGACTTCCAATCCCTTCACTCCAGCATCTTCCCCCAAAGTTTATTCAATCTGTGTTTACATGTCTCCATTGAAAAACTTTCAATGCTTTTAATTATTTCAAATGTCGTTCTTACTGGGATAATCTCTACGTATTTGTAGTATACACACAAACAGGAACAAACATACACACACAGTCTATTTTAGTTTCTGTACATATTCTTTGTGTTTCTTCTTGTCTATATAATATTTAAGTCACTTGAGATTCAAACTAACTTAAACCCTTTACCATTTGGCACCTTCTTCAAATTTTTGAACACAAATTTCATGCTTCTCCAAGGATTTTCTTTTTTCATTAAACAGATCCTGTTTCTGCAACCATTCCTGCTGATATAGTGACTCATCATGGGAGAATGGTTACTGCTTATGGCTCACTTCATTTGCTAAACCAACTAGAATAGAATCACCTCTCCCTTCATCCTAAATACTATTATTTAGGAAGCATTGTCAAATTAAAAATTACAGTTAATTTTATCAATATTTATTTTCAAAAGTTACACATTCCTTGAGAGAAAGTTTATTTTGAAACCATGTGTGTATAAATACAGCATAGGTGTCCAAGTATCATGCTCCCTTATCTAGTCCTAACAGATGTCTGTCCTTAGGCAAAACACATACTCTTCTGAGTCTTAATGTTTCTCATTTACAAAGTAATAAATGTGAATGATGACTAAGGTCTCATAACATAATATGATTTTGTTATTTCTGAGATTAACCTTTAGAAAATAAACATGTTTGTTATTACAAATACAGTTCATGTTTACTGTAAAATAGGAGGACATCAAAGAACAAATCAAACCATATGTCATCATTCAACTGATAACCACTGATAACTCCTTCACATATATCTTCCCATTCTTTTGTATGTGTATAATTTTTAGTTGAATGATAATGTTTGTTCCCTTTCACAAACCGTTATCTTTATTTACTATAATAATGTGAACATCATTTCATTTCAATAATATTCATCTACAACATTATTTTTTAATGATTTTCATTATGTTTATAATAATAATTGGCATCCTTGAAGTTAAACCTTTGCAGACATCATTGATTATTTACTATAACTTTTGGTGCAAGAAAAATGCTCTATGCCCCTTCAAAGAAATGGTAATGTTATACTTTGACTCTACTCAGAACTATCTAATTCCTTTCCAAAATTTTTGCAAGTATTTAATATGATGAGAGTAATACAATTATAATTAATTTATGCTGTGCCTACAGGTCCTGTCCTCATGAACAACATGAGGACCTGTCCTCATGAACAACATGAAGGAACAGAGACCAGTAAAGCATGTCATTCAAACTCTCTTAACCACACCTTACAGCAAGAAATACATTTTACAATCCAACTCACATGCACGATGCACAATTGCTTCATAAAACCATATTTATTATTACTGCTTGCAATACACTTTTCTTCTATTCTATTCTATTCTATTCTATTCTATTCTATTCTATTCTACTCCATTCCATTCCATTCCATCCCATTCCATTCTACTCTATACTACTCTATTCTATTCTATTATTTAACTGTAGTCCAGACCTACTGAATTGATTTTTGGTTACAACACACAGGTTAAAAAAGGAAAAGAGCCTTTAAAAAATCCAGGATCTCTCTAATAGATAGTTAGAGAATATGAACTAAAGTATACTTCAAAATCTTTGGGTATCTATGACCAGCCCAATAAGGTTAATCATTAAAGCTTTCAGAATCCGCATTCCCAAACAGCCAGCAGCTTTTCTCAAGTCAATTGCAGGTGCTGATTTTCCTTCTGTGGTATTTCTACACAAGATGGTAGATTGCATTTTTTTAACTTTTAATTTTTGTGGGTACATAGATAAATATATTTATGGAGTACACGAGATATTTTGACAAAGATATACAATGTCTAGTAACACATCAGGATAAGTGGTGTATCCATCACCCCAAGCATTTATCCTTTGTGTAACAAACAATCCAATTATACTCTTTTAGTTATTTTTAAATGTACAATAAACTATTGTTGACTGTAGTCACCTGTTGCACTATCAAATACTATGTCTTATTCATTCTAACTATAGTTTTGTATCCATTATTGTCCTTACTTCCCCCATACCCCTGCTACTAAAAAAAACTGCCATTTTTTGAGGATTAGCAGAGTCACCTGGCTCTTAAGTTAGTTGCTCATTCCCTTTTAAGTTTGGGACATTCCCCACATAATGAGTCTTCTTTCTATTCTCTTTCTCAGGCCCCGTTTTACCTTGGGCACTGCCAAACAGAATAACCACCTCAGTTTTAGAATTAGAGGCAGTGAAAGGAAGATGCAGAGACAGATGGCACCTCTACAGGTGTGCAGTGGGGCATGCACACTCTGCACAGCCATCTGGTAGTCCAGCCTGGGCGCCATTTCTTCCCCTTCCTTCACCATAGGCATAGAGCCTCCAAGTCTGATTAACCCTACCCTCTTCAATGCCTATTAAATCCACAAAGTTCATCCTGTCTCCACTCTCACTGCCAGAAATCTTTATTACCGCCTTCCTGCCTGCAATCTCACCCTTTGGCTGCTATCAGAGGTATCGTTTAGAAATAGAGTGGATCATGCCACTCCTGAGAGTTCAATCTTCTCCTGCGCACCTTCGCTTCCAGGACAAAGTTCAAGCCTTCTAATTCGGCTCTGCCTCCCTCTGCAGCCCTGTCACTGCTCTCCTATACAAGCTGCTCACCACAGCCCCCCAGCCCTCAACAAATGTGGCCACATCGGACATTCTCAATCAAAATGTCATGGCTTAGGAAAGTTAATTAATGGCTAAGTTCCATGAAATAAAACTTAATGAGACCTGAGGTATGTAACCCCATTCTAAATTATGTTAAATGTGTTGAAATTTTATGAGAATATACATTTTATAAATATCATTGAGCAATCTTAACACCCTAGCAGTGAATCTAACTCATTTAAACATTTCATCTATTTGAGTCACAAAAATTTACCTCGCAATTTTGAAAGTTTTCGGGCTTGTGTCTCCCCAATAGAATTATTTTCATTAAATTGCTGATATAATCTTGAATGTTGAAAGCTTTTGAATTTCTCAGCTTTCGTATAAATGACAAGATCAGATAAGGCCAGAGCAATTTTTAGCTTCCTGGTCTAAAAATAAAATGCAGTAATTTTACATTTTTATGCTAATCATTGGGAAAAAAAATTTTTTCTAGTAAAGAAAATACACTTTCAAACAAATGATTTTCATCTTTTCATAAGATTATCTCCTCAAACACCATTTGATTAACTCAATATGATTATTTTTGGGAACAAAAAAATATTTAATGTTAAGATAAGCTAGCTTAAATTTAAAAATCATGATTAATGTAATAAGTATTGAGGACCACAATTATTACTATTTATTTTTTTCCTAAAGATCTCAGTGTATTCCCATGAATTTTATAATTTTAGGAATTTTTGTCATTAATAAATTTATATTGAAATGACTTCTATTACATAGCGAACATTTGCCATTTCACAACCTGGCATCTATTTCTTTTACACTTCTTTTTAGCCATTTCCCAAGTTTTGTTTTGGGAAAACATTTCTTGCTCATGCTCAATCCAAGTATGAGTCAGGCAGATTGGGCCAGCTAAACAGAGCTTTGCATTCCCCTAGCAACAGTAATTGGTTCTGGGATGTGCGCATAACCAGATCAGAGCCAACGTACAAAAAAAAAAAAAAAAAAAAAAAATAGTTGCTCTGCCAAGAGATAGGCATTCCACTGGATTTGAAGCTGAAATGATATAAAGCTGACTCCTTGCAATAGCCATGCACCAACACAGAGAAAGTGGGAGCAAAGCTGGAGAAAGAATTGAAGTTCTGCTGACTTTATGTGAGACACTATATCAAGTCATTTTTTAAACTAAAATCCCTTTCACTGAACTTTTCATCTATGTAGGCCAATTAATTAATTATCATTTTATTTAAACCAGCTGGATTGGTTTTGTGTCACATGCAACCTAATATACTTTCTTTCATCATGCTAATGTATATACATATAACATTATGTATTATTAATATTGAATCTTGTCTTTGTCTTTACTTGGGACCAGGGAAATTACGTTGTGTATCTCTGCATCTTTTGCACTTCGCACAAAGCCTGTTTCATAAGAATGCATAATATTTATCAATTATAGAGATTTTTTTTTTTTTTTTGAAACAGGATCTCTCATTCTGTTGCCCAGGTTGGAGTGCAATGGCTCGATCTCGGCTCACTGCAACATCCGCGTCCCAGGTTCAAGCAATTCTCCTGCTTCAGCGTCACAAGTAGTTGGAACTACAGGCATGCGTCACCATGCCCGGCTAATTTTTGTATTTTTAGTAGAGACGGGGTTTCACCATGTTGACCAGGCTGATCTCAAACTCCTGACTTCATGTGATCCGCCCACCTCAGCCTCCCAAAGTGCTGGGATTACAGGCATGAGCCACCGTGCTCAGCCTAGAGAAAAAAATGTTTAAGCAGCTAACATAAGAAAAGAGGCAATTTAAAAAATTCATCTTCCACCATCGATGTTTTCAAAGTAAATTGTAAATGATAGACTAGAGTTTTTATAAGAAGGAAAATGATTTTTCTCCAGAATTTTAAAAAAATCTCCAAGAATAAAATTAGAAAACTTTCCAATCACTTGTAAGATTTTCACAAAACACCACCTCACCTTCTTTTTCTTGAAAAGCATTACTCCAGGTAACTTTTTTACCCCTGTTTCCTTGTCTTGATTGTCTCCTAAAACAGATTCCAATACTTCTGATTCTTTGAATTTATCCTCCTCCTCCTCCTCCTCCTCCTCCTCCTCCTCCTCCTCCTCCTCTCCATCTGCCACTTCTTCTTCCCATTCCTCCACCTTACCACGCTTATCAGAACCTTTTCTTTCATGGGTTTCCTTTAAGGTTCCTATTTTCTTATTTTTAACTAATATTTTGAATTTTAGTGCCTAAGGAAACAATTTGAGAGATACAATTACACATTTACAAGTAAATTTGCATTGTAACAGTCACTGAAAAGTGTTTCACTATATTTCCAATTAGCCTACAGTAATAAGATATGTAAGAACTCCATTTTTTCCCATACCCCTATTCACATCTCAGTAGAGGAATGAATACAGTGATATAATGCTATTGATTGTAATTCACCAAAAAATAAGCCTGTTATGATTGAGACTTACCATATGCCATTTTTTTTATATTTCCCAAGTTGGTACTATTCCAACAATTTGAAATATGTGAAAAGTATATATATATAAATACTTACCATGATATTGCAATGAAAATGTTACAACTTCTGGTAGTAAACGCTTCAGCTCATCATTTTCTTATCCAACATTAAAAAGTATTAAATGAAATCAGGTATATTAAAATGTCTATCATAAGTGTCTGGCATCTAGTATAGACTAAATTAAAGATTCGTAATAAAGGCTCTTCAAATTTCTTCTGTATTACACATAAACATCATTAACTTAATATTTTCTGTCCTTCAAACTTAGAAGCATAGCAAAATTTACCATCAGTGTCACTTGTTCTAAATTTGAAGGCTTCTGGTTCCATTCTTTCACTTGGTTATTCCTGCCCTTAGGATAATTTCTTTAATTTAACAAGTACATTTAAGTACCGGCTCTGTTATATACAATGCTGAAATCTGGGTTATAAAGTAAAGTTCTTTTCTCCAGGGAGCTTTGATTGTCCTTTCTCTTTTGTCATCCTCAGGCATCCATTCAAATTATTCCATCATCTTGGGTCTTCCCTCTTTCACAATGACCCTTATGATACTCTCCACTGCAGAGTTTACCAAATGCACTCTGCAATCCCATGTATCAAGAATATTATCAGAAGTGCTTGGGAAAGGGACAAATTCCTAGGATCTACTTCAAAATAAGGGAATCAGAATCTTGAATTGTGGGGCTGGAATTGGGCCTCCTTTAACAAGTCTCTAGGCAATTCTTTTACACACAAGGACTGAATATTGTAGGATAAAGTAACTTTTTTTTTTTTTTTTTTTTGAGACGGAGTCTCACTCTGTCACCCAGGATGGAGTGCAGTGACATGATCTCAGCTCACTGCAACCTCCGCCTCCTGGGTTCAAGAGATTCTCCTGCCTCAGCCTCCCAAGTAGCTGGGATTACAGGGTAACTTTAATTCTTTATTTACTCATTGAAAAGCACCTCCCTGCTTTAATATGGAGCTAAAATTTGAATGAAAGCTATGTACGGGAATGCTAGAAAAATAGATTCATATATAATAGGAAGCGGGATTCTCTTCCAAGAAAGCTGAAAATTATAAGTTCCAGAATTGGACTATGATTTGGGTTTAATCTTTGATGATATGTTTCGAAATTCTTTACTATTTCTTTCCACCACAATTGAACACATTGAGTCTGTGGGCATTCTTATGCCACAAAAGAACCGTGGTCTTTCCATTTATCACACAGTTCATTTTTTTCTGTCTCAGTTCTATCATCAGCCCTATATGTCTTGTCACTAGTGTCACAACACTTTCACTTGAAAATTTTTCACTGATTTAAATAAAATGTTAAAAGAAGTAAAATTTGAAGATCTTCCAAATTTATTATGTCAGGGAGAAAAGTTCAGCCCTGGAAACTTAGTCATGTAATACAGCTGTTTTTCTTCGATGGTGCATGACCATTGCTTTCTGACCTTTGTGTTGAGATGTTATACATTGACCAGACTCCTTATTCTTTATTCAAACCCTGACTAAATGACCTTAGAGATAGAGAACCTTGTGATTACCTCTTTACAATAGAATGTTAAGCAAACCCCTTAGAGTGTAATCAACCGTAGCCAATCAAATCTTAAATCTGTATGTTAACCCTTGTGTGGAAAATACTGTAATTCTGTTCTGTACCTCTGTTTTTGCCTGTATAAAACAATTTTCACTTTTTCCCACACCAGGAGCAATGACTACTATTCTTTGCTGTCTTGTGTGTCCCAGAAAGCTACCCTTACACTATGCACTTGAATAAATTCTTCTAACTGAATCCCAAGCCTTTTGATTATTTTAAGTTGGCAAAAAAAATAAGGAAAATACAGAGGGCAATACCCAAATATTACAAAAATATTGTTATGTCTAGCAAAAATGAAGACATGTCAAAACCAAACTATTTGTTGTTAGACAATACTATTCATCAAAAAGAAAGTTTATTTGTAATCTGATAAAATTTGGGATAGGGAGAAAGGCCCAGCAAAGGAAACTAAGCAGGAGTGGTCAAAGAGGAGTGAGGGAAGGCTAAAGAATGTGGTGTTACAACAGAAAGTAATTCAGGGAAAGGAAGTGGAGGTCGACAGTATTGAATGTTAATGAGAGGACAACCAGATGAAGACTAAAAGAGGTTCATTAGAATTTATCAGTAAGAAAATCTTTGATGAATGTGATGGGAACTTTCCTGTGAAGCAATTAGAAGAGAAAGAGGGACTGAACAGGTTGCAAGGAGACAAGAAAATGAAAATTTGGGCCGTGAGAGGGAGTAATTCCTTTCTTTTTTTCAATATGAAGGAGTTTTGTTCTTTTTGCCCAGGCTGGAGTGCAGTAGCTCAATCTTGGCTCACTGTAACCCCCGCCTCCCGGGTTCAAGCGATTCTCCTGCCTCAGTCTCCCTAGTAGCTGGGATTACAGGTGGATGCCACGACACCCAGCTAATTTTTGTATTTTTAGTAGAGACGGGGTTTCACCATGTTGCTCAAGGCTGGTTGTGAACTCCTAACCTCAGGGGATCCGCCCTCCTCAGCCTCCCAAGGTGCTGGGATTACAGGCATGAGTCACTGCACCGGGCCATAGAGAGGGAGTAATAAAGAGACAGCCAGAGAGAGAAGTGAAGTCCTGATGGTAGATGTGGACGTGATTTTTCAAAGCAAATACTTCAGTATGCTCAAATTAAGACGGAAAGGGTCATAGAGACAGGGAAATTGAAAAGAGTAGATTTTTTAAAGGGGAACTTGCTACCCAGCTGTTGAGATATTGGGTACTGACTATTTATAGTCTAGAACTTTTGCCACTTTCTAGGACTTTTGCCTGTAAAACATACTAAATTTCTGGTCCTTAATACTAATTGCTTTGATATTGTGGACCCATGGGGTAGGAGACACAATCAAAATGTGGGTTGTATGTATATATATATAAATTTTAATCGAAATATATTCACCTAAGCATTCATGAGAACATTCCCTAGGCAACATTGCAAAAATAAACCTCTATACGTGATCAAAACTAAGCATTTTCATTGGTCTCTAGCCCAGTTTCACAGGCCAATATAACAGTGACATGTTTTCATGGACTTTTTTCTTAACCTGAGTTTCTCAGAAAAAAATGTTACCTCTGGTGATGGTAGAGTATCAGGAAAATCATCAAGCATATCAGAAAGCAAGGACTCTCCAAAAGTAGCCTGCAAATTGTCTGCCATTACTTCTTGTTGGGCAGTGGAGCAGTGATTTTCTAAAGAGAGCACCACTGGGTAGTCAGATGTCTAAAAAAGTAACCATTACTATGGTTATTCATCAAAACTTCTAAATAATTGTAAGGCAATTAATATAAGTGCTTAATGTATTTTAAAACTTACTTCTAACGTTTAGTACCTTTGCAAAATAACTATTCTTTAAACTGAAAGTACTTTTGAGTTTGGCAAAACAGAGACCATTAAATCTGCATAAAAAGAAATGTATTACTATTTGCACCAAAAGAATAGGAACAACTGAAGCATCCATCAGTGAGTACTTATTTAAATAAATTATACTGGCCAGGCTCAGTGGCTCACAACTGTAATCCCAGCACTTTGGGAGGCTGAGGCGGGCGGATCACCTGAGGTCAGGAGTTCGAGGCCAGCTTGTCCAGCATAGTGAAACCCCATCTCTACTAAAATCACAAAAATTAGCCAGGTGTGGTAGTGTGTGCCTGTAATCCCAGCTACTCAGGACACTAAGGCAGGAGAATCACTTGAACCCGGGAGGCAGAGATTACAACGAGCCGAGGTTGCGCCATTGCATTCCAGCCTGGGTGACAGAGCAAGACTCCATCTCAAAAATAACAATAATAATAATAAATAAATTATACCATATCCATATAAAGGAATGATATAGACCAATTAAGAAGAAGGCAGGACGAGCATGGTGGCTCACACCTGTAATCCCAGCACTTTGGGAGGCCGAGGCGGGTGGATCACCTGGGGTCAGGAGTTCGAGACCAGGCTGGCCAACATGGCGAAACCCCATCTCTACTAAAAATGCAAAAAAGAAAATTAGCTAGGCGTGGTGGCAGGTGCCTGTAATCCCAGTTACCTGGGAGGCTGAGGCAGGAGAATTGCTTGAACCGGGAGGTGGAGGTTGCAGTGAGCCGAGATTGCACCATTGCACTCCAGCCTGGGTGACGGAATGAGACTCTGTCTCAAAAATAAAAATAAAAAAAAAAAAAGAAGAAGACAGAGCTATCTATACTGCTATAGAAAGTTATCTACGGGTTTATGAAGAAAAGCAAGTTACCAAAAAGTAGCATGCTATATTTTTATTGTTAATATACAAATATTTAGAGATTTTAAAAAGTGAAACAAAAACATTATTAACACTGATGAGTTGGGGGAAATGTCAATATTCTGCTTTTTCAGTTTTAAGTTCTGAAATCAAAACTCATTGTTTTAGAATTAGAAACAAAGATAAAGATATTTCCAGTTTCTAATAGCAAAGGAGTTTTATTAAGTGAAGGTGGCTCTACAAAGGTATTTTCTGCCCTTTCTCATTGCTGTAACTTCAAAACTTGCCATTAAATAGGGAACAAAACATCACTGGATCTTATTTACAATTTTTTTCTTTGTTTTGATTTCATATATACTTATCAGGGCACAAATTTACCAATTTGTAAACAAGCCAGGGAATCACAAGTCTTACTGCATTTTCACAGCACTCAGAACAGGGTCGATTATTACTATGTCTTTTTAATGTATGAGTGTATTGCTCTGTGGCTGCTGTGACAAAAATTACTACAAACCTTGGTGGCTTACAACAACAACATTTATTCTCTCACTGTCTAGTCACCAGAAGTTTGAAATCAGTTTCACTGGTCTCAAATCAAGGTGTTGGTAAGGCTGCACTCCCTTGGAAGGCACTGAAGAAGAATCCTCCTTGCCTCTTCCAGGTTTGGGTGGCTGCCCACATTCCTTGGCTTGTGGCCACATCTCTCTAATCTCTGTCCCTGTCTTCCCACTGCCTCCTCCTCTGGTGTATCAAATCTCTCTCTACTTCCTTCTTATAAAAGTCCTTATGATGGTGTTCAGCGCCTACTCAGATAATCCAGAATAATCTCCCCATCTAGAGGTCTTTAACTTAATTACATCTACAAAGACACTTTTTCCAAATAAAACAACATTTACAAGTTCCAGGAATTAAAACTTAATATTTTTGGAAGCCCTTATTTGACCTACACAATGATCTTCTGAATTAGAGTGAGTCCACTGACTCACTCTGATCCCAAAAGAATAGGTAAAGTTTTTTCCAAATATAATAAGTAATTCTGAGACTGGGCAAAGTGATGGCCTAAAAGGTGGATTCTTCCATGAGGCCCTGATGTCACTGACATCATTTCTCTTTCTTCTTGGCTCCATCTTGTGGGAAGATCCTCTTTCTTTTATCTTCCCTGGCCACATTGAAAGTGGATGTTGAGGAGTTTGCTCTCTTGAAAGCCAAGCAATGTTTGCCCCCCATTTCCTTACCAAAGGCTGTTTTAAGGCTCACCTAAGAGTCATACTTATGAGGGTTTTTGGCAGTATAAGTCCCTTAAAACTTAGATTTCTTATGTATTTATTCTAGTAAACTCATGCAACTAGACCAAGTTATGACTTCCCTAGTCATAATTATTGTCTATGTAATTTCATGTCCTCTTTTTCCAAATAGTGACTACCTTGAGTAGGAAGTCTAAACTTTAATCTTATCTATGCTGCAAAACTGAGTCACCTTGTTCAGCTGGGAAGTCTCATTGAGTCTCCACTGCTCAAAGCCTTGTTTAAAATCTCACTTCTTGCTCTTTTGGGTGTTTTTAAATGCATTTTATTGTGTATACTTAAGGTATACAACATGATGTTATGGAACACACGTAGATAGTAAGAAGGTTATTACAGTGAATCAAATTAACATATCCATCTATCCATCATTTCACAGTTACCCTTTTTAAAATTTTTGTAGCAAGAGCAGCTAAAATCTATTCATTCAGCATGAATACCATATACAGTATAACTTTATTACCTATAATCCTCATATGATACATTAGATGTCTAGACTTTTTCATCCTACATATGTGCTACTTTGTAGCCTCTGACCTACCTTTCTCCATTTTCTTCTCCCTCCCCACACCTCGTTCCTGTCAACCACTGTTTGGTTATCTATCTCTGTACATTTGAGAGTTTTTTTTCTAAATTCCACATAAAAGTGAGATCAGGCATTATTTCTTTCTGTGTCTGGCTTATTTCACTTAACATAATGTCCTCACTCATGCTGTGGTAAATGGAAAGATCTCATTCTTTGTAAAGACTGAATCATATTCCATTGCATATATCCATTTTCTTTATTCATTTGTCTGTCAATGAACACTAGGTTGTTTCCATATCATGTCTATTGTGAACAATTCTACAGTGAACACTGCAGCACAAAAACTTTATGAGATGGTTATTTAATTCCCTTTGGGTATGTACCCAGAAGAGGGATTACTGGGTCATATGGTGGCTCTATTTTTTATTTCTTTAGAAACCTCCATGCTGTATTCCCATTGGTGGTACCAATCTACATTTCCATCATCAGTGTACAGGGTTCCCTTTTTGCCACGCCCTCGCCAACATTTGTTATCATTTGACTTTTTGATGAGACCTTCTAACATGGTAAGACTGTGAGGTGGTATCTCATAGTGGTTTTGATTTGCATTTCCCTGGTGACTAATAATGTTGAGTACCTTTTCATATACTTGTTGGCCATTTTTATGTCTTCTTTGGAGAAATGCCTATTCAGGTTTTTTGTTCATTTTTTAATCAAGTTTTTTTTCCACTAATGAGTTGTATGAATTCTTCATAAATTTTGGATATTACTCCCTTATCAGATACATGGTTTGCAAATATTTTTTCCCCAATTCATAGGCTGCCCTTTGATTTTGTTGGTTGATTGTTTCCTTTGCTGTGCAAAAGCTTATTAGTTTGATGTAGTCCCAGTTATTTATTTTTGCTTTTGTGATCTGAGCTTTTGATGTAATATCAAAATAATAATTGCCAAAGTCAGTGTCTAGGAGCTTTTCTCCTATGTTCCCTTTTAGGGTTTTCATAGTTTCTAATATTATATGTAAGTTTTTTATCCATTTTAACATGATTTGTTGTGTATGGTATAAGATAAGGGTCTAATTTCGTTCTTTAGCATGTCGAAATTCAGTTTTTTCAGTACCATTTATTGAAGACATTATCCTTTACCATTTTGTCTTCTTGGTCTCCTTGACAAAAATTAGGTTGACCATATATGCTTAGGTTGATCTCTAGGCTCTCTATTCTGTTCCACTGGTCTATATGTCTGTTTTTCTGCACAGGACCATGCTGTATTGATTACTATAGCTTTGTAACATAATTTTAAATCAGAAAGTGTGATGCCTCCAACTTTGTTTTCATTTCTCAGAATTATTTTGGCTATTTGAAGTCTTTTATCCTTCTTTACAAATTTTAGGACTTTTTTTTTATTTCTATGAATAATGCCATTGGAATTTTGATAAGAATTGCATTAAATCTGTACACTGTAGCCTAGTATAGTTGTTCACACCTGTAATCCCAGCACTTTGGAAGGCCAAGATGAGAGGATCTTCTGAGGCTGGGACTTTGACACCAGCCTCGACAACATAACAATACCACACCCCAAGGGAAAAAAAACCCTGTGTATTGCTTTAGACAGCATGAACATTTTAACAATATTATTTTATATCTTCTGATTCAGGAGTATAGGATATCTTTTCACGTATTTGTGTCTCCAATTTCTTTCATCCATGTTTTATAGTTTTCAGTATACAGATCTTTCACTTCCTTGGTTAAATTTATTCCTAGATATGTCATTTTTATACTATTGTAAATGAGATTTTTTCTTAATTTCTTTCAATTAGGTCACTATTTGCGTATAAAAATACTACTGATTTAAATATGTCGATTTTGTGTTCTGCAACTTTACTGAATTCATTTATGAGTTCTAACAGGGTTTTTTGTGTGGAATCGTTGGGCTTTTTTACATACAGGATTATGTCATCTGCAAATAAACATAATGTTGCTTCTTTTCTTCCTATTGGAAATAATAGAAAGCATTGCATTTTGTCTCTTTTTCTTATCTAGTTGCCCATTTCTTGCTTTTTGGAATCTTAGAAGCTGTAGGCTTTTCATCCTTGCAAGGCCTTTGAATTTTAAGACTGTCACTATTTTTTTTAATTCATTTTTCCACTCTGAATTAGGTGAGGGAGTTAGCCATGCAAATATTTGGGAAGAGTATTTCATATAAAGGGGGAATAGCAAGTACAAAGGCCTTGAGATATGTCTGAAAAGGACTAAGGAGGCCAGAATGGCCAAGTGAACAGGGATGGAGTAGCAGGAGAGTTAAAATAGGTAATGAAAAACTGACCACTTATGGCCTTGTGAGTCATTGTACAAATTTCAGCTTTTATTTTGAGTGAGGCCGAAGGCTTTGAGAAGGGGAATGACATAGTCTGAGTTACCAAAAATCACTCTGGTTGATATGTTGAGATGAGATTGCAGGGGAATAAGAAAAGAAGCAAGAATATCAGAGAAGAGGGCAGTGGGATCATTTAAATGAGAGGTGATGTTGGTTGACTACGACAGTGACAGTAAAAATGGGCAGAGATAGTTAAATTCAGGATACATTTTAAAAGTAAAGCCACTGCTCAAAAGAAGACATTTATGCAGCCAAAAAACACATGAAAAAATGCTCATCATCACTGGCCGTCAGAGAAATGCAAATCAAAACCACAATGAGATGCAATCTCACACCAGTTAGAATGGCGATCATTAAAAAGTCAGGAAACAACAGGTGCTGGAGAGGATGTGGAGAAATAGGAACACTTTTACACTGTTGGTTGGACTGTAAACTAGTTCAACCATTGTGGAAGTCAGTGTGGCGATTCCTCAGGGATCTAGAACTAGAAATACCATTTGACCCAGCCATCCCATTACTAGGTATATACCCAAAGGACTATAAATCATGCTGCTATAAAGACATATGCACATATATGTTTATTGCGGCACTATTCACAATAGCAAAGAATTGGAACCAACCTAAATATCCAACAACGATAGACTGGATTAAGAAAATGGGGAACATATACACCATGGAATACTATGCAACCATAAAAAATGAAGAGTTCATGTCCTTTGTAGAGACATGGATGAAACTGGAAACCATCATTCTCAGCAAACTATCGCAAGGACAAAAAACCAAACACCGCATGTTCTCACTCATAGGTGGGAATTGAACAATGAGAACACATGGACACAGGAAGGGGAACATCACACTCTGGGGACTGTTGTGGGGTGGGGGGAGGGGGGAGGGATAGCATTAGGAGATATACCTAATGCTAAATGACGAGTTAGTGGGTGCAGCACACCAACATGGCACATGTATCCATATGTAACAAACCTGCACATTGTGCACATGTACCCTAAAACTTAAAGTATAATAATAATAATAATAATAATAATAATAAAAGTAAAGCCAAGATGATTTACTGAAGAATTGACTGAGGGGACTGAGAGAAGGAGAAGTAGGTTACAGTTGGCAAAAAAGGTCTTGGCTAGAGCACATGAAAGTTGTCATTGATGAGATGGGGAAGATCGTGGCGAGAGCAGGACTAGAGAAATATCAGGGAGCTCAATTTTAAACATGTTAAGTTAAATATGCCTATTCATATCCAAGTGGTAATGTCAAACAGGCAGTTGTGTACTTTGGTGTGAGTTCAAGAAAGAGACTGGAGTAGAAATAAATAAATTTAGAAATAATAGAAACTACATGTTTAGGAGAATCAGTGCCATACTCTCAATGTTTTTATATTAAGATAGAAATTGTTCATATATGATATTTGTATCTTTGAAATATTTATTTTGTACTCCATTTTAATATATAGTAGATAAATTTATATAAATTTGTGATTTTAAGTTTATGTTGACAGATTATGTAATGTATTGACATAGGAGAACTTTATTACATTTGTAAATTTAATGTATTAGGTACACATTACACAGTTTTAGTACGTAGTAAGAATTCTTTTAGTCATTTTGATTGTACTAAAATTGTACTATAATTGAAGTACTTAAGAAATCAAGTGTGTTAAGTTTACAAAAACAACACAATGTCTGAAGGTACAAAATTAGCCACGTTTATAAATGAAACCAGTGTTATTTAGAACTCCTTAACATTGAGGGATTGCAAAAACCTGCTCAATTTATAGAGTAGGATTCATAAACTGAGCTCAAATTCTAGGAATAACTATATCGTTGAATCTGTAATAAATTAAACATTTTTGAATCCAAAGTAAACTTCTGAACATTTCTTACTATATCAATAGCTGTCATTATAGTCATTAAAATGTCAGCAATTGAAATGATGCATTGTTGATACATTTTATTTTGTCTTGAAAGTAAAAGAGTTGAATATTGGTAAAATATCTACTATTACCTAGACCAGTATTTCTCAAACTTTCCTGGCCATCATCCACAATAATAAATATATTTTACCTTGTGAAACAATACACACACACACGAGTAAACAAAAAGTTCCATGAAACACTATGTACCTTACCACCTGAAACTAACTTTGATAAATCTACCTTTAACTATATACAACATGGATTTCACTGCCTACTAATGGATCATAACCCACAATTTGAAATATCATCTAAAGTAAGGCTAAGCATTATAGGATTTTGAAGCAAGTAAATTAGAATTGCTTCTGTTTAAATAGCTACAGTTGAACAAAGATATGTACATACCATGAATGCATACTTGTGTATAGCTTGGATAACAGTTTTAAACAGAAGTTTGCTTGTGAGTGTGTAGCCATGATATACAACAGGTTCATTTTGTGCTCCATCCCAGCAGTCAATCTCCAAACAACGGCATCCTTTCACAAGGGCACTAGCAAAATTTCAGCAAAATAAAATGTTACTCCTGGACCATTAAAAATATATACCAAAGTATTAAAATATTCCAAAGACCATTTGATTTTATAATAAATGCATAAATGAGTCCATAAAACTCTATAAAAACTTGTCTTTGGGACAAGTTTTGAGTCTCTAGAAATTTGCATTAAAAGGGAAGACACATACTATCTGTGTAGTACAATACTGTGTCTTTCTCGCTAGTCAAATGTTTTACTCTTCCGTGCTCTCCATACAAGGCTTGGTTTTCAGTAAGCAATGAGGATACCTGCTCCATAGTTGTAGCTCTGAAACATCCCTACTCCCAACCCATATAATTTTACTTATGGTGGCATTTACTGTTCAATGCCATACCATTCAAAAGTGATAATGTTCAAAGCCCTCTCAGAATAGTAAAATATATTAATAAAATCTTATCTAATTCTTTCCTCATGTCAGGCTTTGGGGAATGGGGTATATGGCAGAAAGGCAAGGATAAAGAAAAGATAAAGCATGACAATACTTGCTCTCTGGAAACAGTGTTGGCTACACAGTATGGAAGCTAGAGGGCCTGGTGAATCAGCAAATAATCCTTATCTCTCTAACCATTTAACATAAGGCCATCTCTAATTTTAATCCAAGTAAGCACTAGAGAAAATCAAGGTTTATGCAAAGGAAGCCTGGACACCTGCTCATCTCTGTCTATTCGACTCATAATTTCACTAGGAGAAACGTATGACCTGCTTACCTCAGAATACAAGTTCACAGCTTTATCAAAACTGAGGAAACTATATTTCTGCTTCTGCTGATATCTAAAACTGGGCCTGATTTTTCTACCTAAAAAATAAATATTGGTTTCTTGATTTAAACATAAATTCTATCTTAGGTTCATTAAATCAGTTGTACCCACTGTGTTTAAATTAATTTTCAGTGTTCATACTACAAGAGAGCAGTGACAGGATGCTTTATTAGCACATATGCTTTTATTTACTCTGTGTCAGTGGAAGCTGATTGCATTCAGATTTTTCACTGACTTTATAATAATGAATAAAAGCAAATAGGGATGTCTCAAAATCTTCATACCCAGCCCAGAGTAGGCCATTGTATGCCATCATGAAATAGGTCATTTGCCCCAAACTACCAAGAGTTCACTCAAATTTATTGATTTATGTATAGATATTGTTTTCTTGATTCATGCAAATATAGTTATAGCGTTAAGATAATTCTTTAAATTATTTCACAGACACATACAAAGAGTTGCATAGTTGTTCCTATTACCTATGAACCTGGCCTGACATGGAGCTAATATGTGCCAACCACAGACAGGGTCAGCAACACTAACATAAGGCAATGGTTAGTGCTGTTTCTACAACAGCAGGGATTGAAATTTCAGTCCATAAAACATGTTTGACATAAACTGACTGTTAGTAAATATTTATTGTGTTTATATTAGAAAACATGGGAACTGTAGAGATGTAAGAAGAGAAGTGGAAGGCAGAAAAATGTGATCTAAAACGCGATCTTGGAAGAGACAAAACTGAATCTGAGAGCTGACTTGAAACACCGGGATCTTAGAATCGATACATAATAGGAAAGAGGTTAAAAAAGCTCCCTTGTCATACATAGAGATATTTTTCCATAGAAAACCAGTAAGTACATTAAATTACCCCATGTCTACAGGCTACTGGTTTTCCACTGGGACGACTTTGCCTCACAGGAGGGATTTGGCAATGTCTGGAGACATTTTCGGCTGCCACAACTGGAGATAGGGAGAGGTTTGTAACTGGCATCTAGCAGGTAACGGTCACAATGCTGCCAAACATTCTGCAATGCACAGGACAGCCCCCAACAACAAAGAATTATCTGACTTAAAAAATGAAAAGTTTGAGAAACCCTGCTGTAAGTCATGACAACCTGGAGAAGGGAGTGTCGTCCCAGCACCAAGTACTTATATAAAATCAGTAGTTTTTCCAAACAGAAGCACAGAGCACCAAATGGGCCATATGAGAAAATGAATCTTTTAGATTTAGTTCTTCTTTGGCGATCATATGCAGTCCCTTTCTAGGGAGATGACCCAAGAAGTACTTAGGTAAGAGCATAGCTGAGAACAGATAAAACAATTATAACACTAAGTCAATGTACTGAATTCAGGACTGCCTAAAATATGAGAGAAAGGCGGTGGGGGGGGGGGGGGCGGAGGGAGGGAGAGAGAGAGAGAGAGAGAGAGAGAGAGAGACCTTATATACCCTTGGGAATAATAGAGATAAAAGTTGGAAGAACCCTGATGAGGAAGTAAGGCTTTAGAGAGAAAGAGAATTGGTGAATCTCATTTAACTTGGAGGCTTCACCAACCAAGCCAAATCTTTATTAAGAATAATTAAATTCTTAATAAATTCTTTTGGGGTGTTTGGTTTTTTTTTTGTTTTTTTTAGAGACAGAGTCTCGCTCTGTCGCCCAGACTGGGGTGCAGTGGCGCGATCTCGGCTCACTGCAAGCTCCGCCTCCCGGGTTCACGCCATTCTCCTGCCTCAGCCCCCTGAGTAGCTGGAACTACAGGCGCCCACCACCACGCCTGGCTAATTTGTGTATTTTTAGTAGAAACGGGGTTTCACTGTGTTAGCCAGGATGGGGTTTTTAAATTTTGCTTTTTGTTTTTGTGTCTGTTTTTGTTTTTGTTTTTTTGTTGTTGTTTTTAAGATGGGGTCTCTGTCACCCACACTAAAGTGCAGCCTCGAAGTCCTAGACGCAAGTCATCATCCCACTTCAGCCTCAAAACTAGCTGGGACTACAGTCACATGCTACCACATTTGGGTAATCTGCTTTGGTTTTTGTTTGTTTGTTTGTTTAAGTGCACAGTGCTTTATTTAGGCATGTGGCAATGCACTATAATGTAAAACTTCAGAGTTTTCTTAACTAATTGTCTTTGTATTGGAGAAATGGACCTAGAATATTCATAGAGAAATCTTGTCTGGCCCGTGGATACTCTCTGGGCAAATAAGGCAGAAGTTCTAAATTCGGCTACATTTGTAGAATTGCAAATGAATATATTTCTTGGCTTACGGATTTATTTATGTATTTAGATTTTAAGTTGGAGAAGAAACAATGTTTATTTGTAAAGTTTCTTAATTTCTATGGAAGAATGTTTGCTTTCCTGACTCGTATTTGATTATGACGGTAAATTGTCTTGCCTATTTTATCAACAGAGTATGAGTTCTCTGGAGTGCTGCCAGAGAACAATCTTGAGCTTTTTACTTGGGGTGGGGGGAAAAAACCACCAAGAACTATATTGTGAAAGAAAACTTTTCATAAATAATATTGGCTCTTGCTACTTCTCTAGATAGTTTTAATTTTATCCATGGATCAAGTCAACCTTTACAAAACTGCATATTCAGACTACATGGTTTGGTCACCAGCAAAATGTTTTCAGTGATTATGCAATGTCATGCCAACCACTTACATGTGGAGGCACCCAAGAGAAAGTTTTACCTTCTCTAATGGTGATGTTGAGGACACTCCACTATTTAACTTTGAGCCTTTTTGGAAACAGAGAAAATTTCTCTCTCATTCACTGCTGTTTTTTATGATCATTGTAAACCTTGTAACTAATCCTGTTTCTCTCTTGACTTCGGCTGCTAGGAAACTTACAGGTGATAGTCTCCATGCCTTCTAGAATTTGTACAGAACTTTGTGGTATGAAATTTCCACTCTTAACTTTATTTCATCTATTTATCTTTAAATTTCCTTCAAATACTTCCTATAAACTATCAAGGTATAAAATACTGTAATTTTTGTTGTAACTTATTTAGATTGTGTAATGTTACTATTTTCTATTTGAAGTTGAATTTTAACTGGTAATAAAAATAAATTTAAGAATCTTTTGGTACATTAAGATATTGAATGCTTTACAGCAGTAATATTCTTTTTCCTTTTGTAAATATGAGGAAATCGAGATACACAATGGTTATATCTGTCACAAAATTAACAGATGAGGGAAAGGGAAGAAATATGAGCACTAGAAACTTAAACATTGATATTTAAACACTATATTATGCCACTAGTCACAAGGAAAAATATTTTGAAAGACTTTCATACTAAGCATGTGTCTTCCAAAGGTGGATAAAGAAACAGAGAAAAGTACAATTAAATTTAAGTGTAAATTTGCAGTTGGGTGAAACTTTTTCTTGTAATGTAAAAGTAATTATATATATTTCTAAATATAACTGCTTTAATATTTATATTTTCTCTCTTAAAAAAATTAAAATAACAAAAAATGAATGGAAATTCCTATAATGAAATTATAGCTATAAATTGGGCTGTCTTTACAGAATTCTAAATGAATACATTTCAAAATTTGTGAATTTATGTCTTTACTTAGATTTGAAATTAGAGAAGCAGCAATATTTACTTGTATGTTTGATATTATCTTGGAATTAGAAGATATCTTTTCTATTGATGGTTTTACCTTAAGTAATGCTATCTAATCATTTGGTTTTAAATATCCCATATATGCTGATGACTTCCAATTCTGTTTTTCCAGTCTGATAACTTCTGAATTCCACACACACATAGATCAGACTATCTGATCTAGCCATTTGGAAACTAATTGATATCTCAAACTTAGCATGGAAACCACAGAACCCTTGCATGTTGCCTCAAACCCTACAATGGGCTTCTCTCTTGGGCTTCAACATCTCAGCCAACAGTATTACTGTAATTTGGTTATTGGAATGAACATCTTGATTCCTCTCTTTCCCTCATATCTCTCTTCAAAACACCTGGTAAGTCATGTTGGCTATACCTCCTAAAATTACATGGTCCCCAACATATGATGGTTCAACTTATAATTTTTCAACATTATGATAATGCAAAGAAAATACGCATTCAGTGGAAATCGCATTTCGAATTTTGAATATTGGTCATTTCCCAAGCTAGCAATATGCTGTATGAGATACTCCGTCGCACGATGTTGAGCAGCAGCAGTGAGCTACAGATCCCACTCAGCCACATGATCACAAGGGTAAACAACCAAAACTCTATGGTGTCCTGTGTTGCCAGTTTTTGGGGGTGCTTTGGGAGTGAGGATATGATTTAGCCTCACTGTAAGCTAGTGTAAGTGTGTTAAAGTAAGCTAGGTGAAGCTATAATGTTTGGTAGATTAGATATACTAAATGCATTTTCAACTTAAGATATTTTCAAGTATTGGGATGTAACCACATTGTAAGTTGAGAAGCATCTGTATCTCAAATTCAACTACTTGTCATCTCAGCTGCTGCCTCATGAGTTCACCACCAGCTATATCACCTGCACTGCTACACCATCTTCCCAAATCATCTTCTACCTCCACTCTGGCCCCATCAGTCATTCCTCCACATTATTGAATAAATCAAATTATGACACTATCTTAAGGAAAATCCTTCTCAGTGCAGCTGGGATAAAATCTATTCTCCTCTCCATGCTCTACAAGATCCTCATTAACTGACTCTGCCTACCTCCTCAAACTCACCTCCCTTCATTCACCATTGACTTGTCTCTAGCCACATTTGCCATTTTTCTCTCATTTAAACATGCCAATCACTTACTCTGTTTAACATGACCTTCCCACTAGATGTTTCTAAGGCTTCCTGTATCATCACTCATGCCACAACTATTTCTTTTTACCTCTTGAGAAGACTTTTCTGACAACTTTACCCTAAGTAACACCCTCCACCCCACAGTCACTTTCTATCACATTACCTTAGTTCATCTTCCCTGTATGATTCATTCATCCTTGAAAACATTTTTTACCTGGTTATTATCTGTCTATCTGCTTGTACACAGATAAATGTAGCAGCTTTGAAAATCTTATTCTGCACTGTATCTGAGCTGACTGACTAAACTGAAGTCTGGTATTAACAGTATGATAGGTACATTGTTAGGTATAAAATCAGCAATGCAATGTGGATTATTTTTAATCTATGTAAACTCTTTAACATACAAGTCTATAAAAATCACTATCCACAAATGTGAAGTTGTACAATGTACTGTATTTATGTGTTGGCTTTAGTTATAGTATGTGTCCTGATGTCTGAGAATTAATTTTAACCATACTTATTAAAATAGAGGATCTTCTGACTAGCTAAATAAGAGTCTTCTTCATATGCTTTCCTTTGAGAAGTGTCTAGGTTATTCAGCAAACTTCGGAGGGGCCATAACCATGGAGAGGAGGTTAACAGGTGGGATTAGAAGGAAAGCATATGATACTAATGCATACAATAAATTACGTTGCCACTTCATCCAAATGTTGGATCTTCAAGATATGTACAAGTAAAAATTTCTATTCCCTATGAGTTTGGATAACATGGAGAGTCTTCTTTTTATTGTGCACTCTTGCCTACTGAGGTAGACACTGCCAGGAACTTCCAAGTATTTTTAAATGTAATAGATTTAAAAATAAAATAAATACCTTACATATCCCCAAAGGTCACTTGGTCCCAATAATTGATCAGATACCAAATATGTGTTATGTGAAGATGAAATAAAATAATCATTTAATGGATGAGTCATATCTTGATAAACTTTTCTACATTCATTTTTAAACAGTAGACATTCACGTGAATCCATGTATCTTGTAAAACCTTCTAATGACATTTGGTGTGCTTTCCTAACTAAAAAAATAAAATAAAATAAGTTAAAAGGATGCAAAAATACCATTAGCAAGATAAAAAACTACATCTCACTTGTAAACTTACTCAGTAGTAGAGCATATTTCTAAAATATTCCTTTAGAATTAATATTAATACTATATTTATGTTGTTTGGAAACAAATTTTTGTAGTAAAACCTTCAGTTCTTCCATATTAACATTCAAGTAAATAATATATTATTTAATTATCTCTTTTTTTATGTTTTGAAAATACACACAAGAAAAGTACATATATTATGGACCAATGAACTTCGACAAGCTACACATCTGGATGACTGGCACACAGGTTGAGGAACAAAGCATTGCAGTGTTCCAGAAGCCTGCCTCCGACTAACTTCCCAGTCACTCACCACACCCAAGTATATCAACTGATCTGACTTCGAAAAGCATAGATTAGTTTTCTTTGGTTGTTGCACTTTATATGAATTGACTCAGACAGTATGTATTTTTTGTACCTGGTTTCTTTTACTCAACATTCTATTTCAAAGATTTACTCTTGTAGTTGCATGTAGTTATAGTTATACATTGCTCATTCCCATTACTTTACAGTATTCCATTGTATGACTATGCCACAATTTATTTATTCATTCTATCACTGATAGGCATTTAGATAATTTCCTGTTTGGGGCTGCTACAAATTGTGCTGCCAAAAATAACCAGTAAATGTCTTTTAGTGCAAATATATACACATTTCTGTATGGTGCATGCCTAGGAATGGAATTTCTGGGTCATTTGTATCTGATCATCTTTAGTAATTAATCTCTGAACTGTTTTACTCACTGTAATATGTACCAAAATATCTATCAAGCAGAAGACTGGCTCTGGAAACAGCCTGGACTCATATCCATTTAACTTGTTATATGATCTTGAGCATATTAGCTAACCTCTCCCTATCTGTGGAATGGGGGTAATAATAGGATCTACCCTTATATATTCACTCTAAAATTTTTAGTTGCTATTATTACTGTTGATAGTTCATTTCAACCAAAAAGAAAAGGTGACATGAGCATTCACTTGATTAGAGTGTGATCTTTGGCAGAGAATTTTATTTCCAGGAATTTATCCTATGGAAGTAGAGACTCAGACAGTGATGTACAAGAATGCTCACATTAGCATTATTTATAAAAGCAAGATAAGTGCAGGGGAATAAACAAATTAAAGCTCAAAATATGATACAATACTAAGCAGCCATTAAGAATAATGTATCATAAAAATATAGTGATGTAAGTAAATGTTATGACATCATAAAAATGAAGAAGACAGCATTCAAAATGCTATTACTATTTTGGTTTAAAAAAATAAAAGCTAGAAGAAAATAAATGAAATTTTTATAGGTATACAAACCCTCTATTTCAAGCCATATAAATTTAGGAAGATAGAAGTGTATGGAGCAAATGAATCATGCATTGTAACAGTAATGACTTGCATACATTTATTATTTTTCCCTGTTTAATTAGCAGTAATTGGCTTAGCCCTTTTGAACTACTGAATAATTAAATAAATATCTTTGGTAATGGAATAGAAAATAAACTCATTTTGTTCCCTTAAAAACTACCAGTTTGAAATAAGGATTAATCACATGGATTTTTAAAAACCTCATTTGGTGCCTGTCACATACCAATGAGGGATGAGGCTGAGGAACTTGGCAGCATTTGGAACTATAAGATCATAATTCAAATTGGCCTTAATAAGACACCAAAGTGATCAATAATCATGTAAATGAAATGCAAGGTCCTGGCTGTGTTGGAGAGTATTTGAGGCAGGTGAAGGCTCAAAAGAGGAAATGGATGAACAGTATAATATTGTAGTTAAAATGCAAACACAATTCCAAAGTGTCACTGCCTCCATCCCAACATCTCATTTGTATCTTTTAATTTACCACCTGAAGTTTACAGTGCCAAAGTAATTGTTTTGGTAATATTCTCTAGATCAGTGCTACTTAAAGTGCTCATCTGTAAACTGGTTGTTTCCAGTTGGCAATGACATAAAGAGCTTGAGCCAGAACATAAATCAATTCACTACTTCCTTAGAGAAAGTCTTGCTATTAAAAAAAAAAAAAAAAGTCATCTGAACTCATCAGTTCTGCTTAGTGATATAGTCGCTTAGTATTCTTGTGCAAGCTCTTTACCTTGCTGCTAACCTGCAAAAATTTAATGGTGCTGAGACCAAATTGTCACTAAGACTCAACTCAATGACACCACTACAATATCGAGAACCCTTCAAAATCTTTGCATGGCACTGAGTCATGAAGCCAAAATCTTTATTGTGGCCTATAAGAACCTATATGGTTTGATCTCTGCCAGTCTCTCCAAACTCATCTCTCTCTCATTCTCAAAGTTCTAACCACACAGTCCTCCTGTTCCTTCAGTTATTCAATTCAGATTTAATGCTTCCCTTTCTTGGACCTTAGACACTTCTCCCATTTTGTCATATAACTTGTCCCTTCTTGTCATTTAAGTCTCAGCTCAAATCTCACACTCTCAGAGAGGGTTCTTCTGAACACCCAACCTGAACTAGGCCTCCCAGGTCATTTACTCTCCATCACCTTCTTGCTCTATGTTTCCGTATCACATAGCACTCTCTTAAGATATCCTTTTACATGCTTCATTATTTACTGTCAACTTTCCTCCAACCCATCAGGAATTCAAGACCTAATTGCCTTATTCTTCACTATATCTTCAGCCCCCAAAACCATACTTGGTTACTACAGATAAATATTTGAATAAATTATGAATGTATGATCCAATGCAGAAATAAGTTTGGTTTTTTAGAAACTACATTATCATGTGTTAAACATTGGTAGCCTAAACCAACTTAAAGAGGCAAAACTAGAACTTTCATACGCCCCTCCTAGGTGAATATTTTGAGCTATTCTATCAGTTAGTTTCTGTAAGGTCAAACATTGTGCTTTAACAATGTTTTGGTACCATATATGATTATTTTATTGTATTATGTGTTTATAATTTTATTTCAAAATGAACATAAATGAAAAACTGTGAAGTGTTTTTACCCATTGAAAGATGGAACAAAGATCACAAATTCTATGACAGATCGTTAGCCTAAATGGTCATTTAATTTAAACCAAATCACTATGTGTTCAAAAATGAAGAACAAGCGAAAAGTATATATATTTACGAAATGTTGTAGATAATTATATTTATAAACAAAGTAAAATTCATCAGTTTATAATATTTTCTTCTTAGAATTTTTTTTCATTTAGCACATTTAATTTTCATAGATATTTTCAATAATATAATGCATTAAAATGGAAGACCACCTATAACTGGGGTTTTATCTTATTCATGAGATCAAGATACTTTCTTCTAATAGGGTACATGTAATAGAATCATTGTCTTACTTTCACCTCCAAGCTCATTTCTGAACACTTGAGAGATACGTGGAAGCAGTTAAAAGAAAGGAGCTGAACAATGTATAGGAAAGGATGTCATGGTTGCATACTATAGCATTCTAAAAGGTATCAATTCTATAAAATATATTTTCTCAAAGATATTTGACCCATCCAAAAACGGTAATTTGATAACCACAATTCATAAAAATACTTTGCTTTGAAATAATTTTTGAAAAAAGAAAAAATACTTCACATATAAATATTCCGATAAAAGTTTGAAATGCAAACATACCTTCTTCGATAGGCTCGTATTTCTGAATGATCTCAAAAGCAATAGCTTTACTCATCTCAGCTGCATATTGTTCTTGTGTCAGAAATTGAGCCAGATTACTTGCTAAAAGAATTTTCCGGTTTTCAGAATATGTGTTGAAAATCTCAATAATTTCTTCTCTGTGCGTGATAATTCGATAAATTGCTCTAAATTCTTCTATGGTGATTCTTCCTTGTTTCAGCCTGTCATTGTCCTACTAAAAAAATGACTGGTGGGCTCACATTGTGAGTATAAAAAATACATAAAATGAATATTAGAGTATTTATGTAACATGTAGTAATTTATACTTGAAAGAAGATGAAAATTACATTGGATTCTTATTGAAGATAAAATATACAAAGCTGCATGGAGTGACGTCAAAATTGGAAAAGGGTTAGTTAACTCTTGAAACCCAGTGGTTATAGGGATAAAGAAAGGAATGTGGGAGAAAATGAGGATTCCAGGTTGTCTTTCAATTTCACATTTCATTTTTGTATTCCACTTTACTTCAATATCTTCTTAAAACCATACCAGGCAGTGTGTAATCTCATGCCACTGGTGTGCAGCCTGGACCATATATGTCAGAGTGAGTCAGACACATTCAAGATCAATGTAAACTGCAGAAGCTGTAGTAGTTATGCAATACCTTGAGGAAGTGGAGTCTGAGTAATCATTGAAGGATTTGGGGCAGGTACAAACAAGATGAGTTCCAATAAGAAAGAGTGGATTCGAAAGGTCATATTTGAACTTTACGAGAAAAGGCAAGTTGTTAAAAGTACCAGGATGATTGGGAGTTTCTGAATAGGAAAATCAATACCAAAAATAGAAGATTGGTTTGATTAGTTGTGCATTTCCAATTGGAAGAGTTAGAGAACTGCAGGTAAGAGCAGATAAGATGAAATTCAAGTGGGAGGTGGTGAATAGACACTAAAGAACAGACCTCGGTGAAATGACGAAGGAAGAATTCAGAAGAATTCGACACAATGAAATTTTAGACAAATGAGAGAGATAACTCAAGAATGACTGGGGTCAGGGAGAGTTAGAAAAACTGGTAGAACTATAGTATCACTAACAAATAAAAAAACTGGGAAATAGGAATTTCAGCTAAGAGGGAGATTTAATTTTTTAAAAAATGCTTTTTTATAACATCTTAACTCTCTTGTTACATTGTAAACAGCTTGAATGCAAGAAGCATGTGTTGAAGGGGCATTGTGTCATGGTGGGATCTGTGGTTGTCAAATCAGATGCGGGGTCTCCAGAGCTGATTAAACAATGATAGCACCTTAAAATTATATAATCTTAAAGTAATTCATGCGTATTGTTCATTACCTTACTTAAATAACATGCTTCAACTTACTGTTTTTAAATTCTGGATTTTGAGGTCTGTGGAAGCGGATGTTATAGAATTAATTTCATTTTAGCCTTATCTCACTTCTTATTTGTCATAAAATCTTAAGCAAGTCAATAAAAATTTAAAATGTGCCCGTAATCCCTGAAAATTTTGGTTATAGAAAATTATGTAAATAAAAAATTATGGTTCTACTGAATAGCAGCATAAAATAAAATATACATTATTCACTGAATAATGACAGTTTTATTACTTTCAAACAGAGTATAAGCTTGGTCATCCGAAATGTTCTCTGATAATTTGTTTTGTCTCGTGTTCTTCTAAAAGGTCAAAGTTGCCATCTTGTACTAAAAAGAATTGGAGATATAAGTCCAAACAAAATTCCACAAATCCAAAGAATCACTATAGTTGATCAAAATCAAAGAAGAATTCAAAGTCAAATGTTAATCAAATTACAGAAAAATGAAAACCACACAGAATAGTGAGAGTTGTATCACTGAAGAGGGGAAGATCTAATTTTAGTAGAAAGAGAATGGAAAAGGAAAGCAACAAGGAGCAAGTGACAATGGGGAAGAAAAGCAGGACGTGGTAGCATCATGATCAAGGGAAGCGGGGAGAAGAAAAGCAATAAGAAAGAAGGTGCAATTTGAGTGCTGAGGCACGTGACAGCAGCTCAGACTGCCAACGTGCTAGACTCCTCTGTAAGAGAAAACTGAAGCACAAAAATCTTAGGTAAATTGTCCCCAGCCACACAGGTAGACCAGGATTTTTAACTAACTCTAAGACCACCCAGAGGAGCAGCTGGAAGAAAAAAAGTCAGTATACCATTACACAGATTAACAGTATATATGCAGAAATCAATTCTGTAAATTGCAAATCTGACCATCTCAACTCCCTCTTAAAGTTCTCACTGTACCTCCTTTGTCTTCAAGACAAAACCCCAACTGTATTGTGTAGCATCCAAGGCCATCTAAAATGTCATGGATGATTTCTGCTCTTATCTTTTTCCTCCTTCCACCTCACACTTCAGGTGCTCTGAATTAGTTGCAGTACAGGTACCAAACCATCTCTTGCTATGGTACCTATGTTTCTCGTTGTTGTTTTTTGTTTGTTTGTTTTTCTTTCCGGAATATCCTTCTTTCTGTTTAAATTACCAATTTCTACTAATCCTTGAAAAAGTGTCACCCACTCTAGAAATCTTCCTCTGTATCTCCTCCCCAGGTTGCATTAAAATATCCCTTCTCTGGGTTCTTAGAAGACTCCACTTTCTTCTCTTACAGGCCTTATTAGATTGGAATGACAGCCTTTTTCTATATTCATTCTAGAATTGCCTCAGACAGCAAGTTTGTCATTTGTTTCTTGTATCCTCAGGACTCAAAAAAGTGCCTGACTGAAGATATTCAGAGTGTGGCCTACCACCCAGTTTTATGAAACTGATGAAATAAGTGCATTTAGACAATAATTACATAAAGGAATTAAGTATCTCCCTAGACTTAAGGAGGATAGGAAAAGAGATTTAAAAATGCATATCCCAGAAGATATGCAAAATCTCAGGCCCCACCTCAGGGTTCACTACCACCTTTAAAATGTTTCGTATTAATCATTAAACATACAACATAAAATAAGAGTAATAAAATCATTTGTCTCCTGTTTAAAAAACGTTCCTTAAGTGGTTATTCTTTGCAAAGCATTACAAAAAGCACTTTCCCAAACAATTCATTCAATGTCTTGTATATTTAGAAATACACCATATGCTTCAAGACCGTGAACATCATGAAGGTAGACATTTTATTCTTTTTATTCCCAATGCCTACTACTGGACCTACCTAGAGGAGGAGCTTAATTACTATACGTTTAAATGAGTGATTGAATAAACAAGGGAAAATAAAATTCAAAATAATTCTATTGATTGTCATTCTGAGTGTACACTTTCAGAAACAGAATGAAGGCTTTCCATATTGTCACCATTTTCCATTTCCAATGCTCAGTTTGCTAGTAAAAATATGAAATGTTATTTAAAATAATGTGATGAGAAAGCTGATTTATCAAAACAGAATTTACTTTTAATGTAAAATACAGCATTTTAGAGTTGGTTGTATCTAAAATTACACTAAAAATAAAGCCTAAGTAAATTCAAATTACATTACAGGAAATGATATGACTTGCCACTTTCTTTTTTCCCAAACTCTCGCGCTAGTTTAAATTGTTTGGCAGTTTTCCTGTTTCCTTTTCTTCTTCCCTTTCCTCCTTACCAAATATATGAGTCAGATACTATACTGGGTAACAAGGATGCAAAAGTAACATATTGTCAGTGCCCTCTGGAAGCAGATAGTCTAGAAAAAGAAAGTAGGCATGGAAGTATACAGGTGCCGAAATATAATCTTTGTAGCTGAGCACAATGGCTCATGCCTGCAATCCCCAAGCTTTGGGAAGTCAAGGTGGGAGGAGCACTTGAGGCTGAGTTCGAGATCACCCTGGGCAACATAGTGAGACCCTGTCTCTAAATGTAAAAAAAAAAACAATTTGCCAAGTGCATTGGTGCCTGCCTGTAGTCCCAGCTACTCTGGAGGCTGAGGCAGGAGGATCCCTTGAGCCCAGGAGTCCAGGGCTAGAGTGAGCTATAATCATACCACTGTACTCTGGCCTGGGTGACAGAGCAAGACCTTTTCTCTAATTTTTTTAACATTTTAAAAATAAAATAAATTCTATAGATAATAGACACAATAAGGAAAGTTGGACAATTCTTCCTGGAGGGTCAAAGGAGAATCTTTATAGAAAAAGTGATCCTGGAACTGAGTCTTCAGAGGTGAGAAGGAAGATATTTGCCTGAAATTAGGGAGGAAAGGGGCTAATTCTATTTGTTAAGATCAGAGCAAATGAAAGTACAAAGTACAAAACAGAAGAGTGTAATTAGAGAGAATGTTAGTGAAGCTGCGGGAGCAGATAAGGCAGGAAGCACAGCTGAATCCCAGGGTTCCTCGGAAGCCACAGTGAGAAATTTAGACTTCTTTGGAAAGAATAAAGAGTTATTGATCAGTTTTAAGAGAGAAATCCCATAGATTTTCGTTCTAGAAAGATTACTCTGGCAGCAGTGTAGAAGGTAGATGTTGGGATTTAAAACAAACCAATCTGTAGGGTTTTTCCAACTTTGATATGCATATGAGTCAACTTGGGACTTGTTGAAATGCAATCAGCTTCATTTCTGGTCTGAGGACCACAATAAGTAGTAAGTAGTTCAAGAGCAATTGACATGGTGTAGCAAGTATATGGACCTAAAAAGATAGGGTCAGAAGAAGAGTCTGAAAACCTCTTCAATTTCTGCTTAGATAACTGAGAATGGTGCCGAGATCACCAAGCAAAGAAATAAAGGAGGAAAGACAGTTTAAGAGGGAAAGACGAGTTTCACTTTAAACATATTAAATTTGAAGTACATCTGAGATGACATCTAAACAGAGACAGCCAGCAGGCAAATGGTTGTGTGTTAGGAATAGAGGAAAACAATATGCTATAGAAGAAAGTAGAATGATAACTTTGCAGTCAGACAGACCCAGACATGAGTTTCTACTGTTATGTGAGATATGAAGAAATTATATCAACATTCTTACACTCAATATCCTTATGTATAAAAAGAAGCTAACAATAACTTCCTTATATGTTTTTAATAAAATGAGTGCAACACCTAATCAGTGTCTACATTATGGCAGATGATGAACAAATGGTGCCATTTACATGTCTTCAACGTTCAGGATAGAAAACTTGGAACTTGTTCCTATTTAAGAAGTAGCCGTTAAGAGTCAATAAGATAGCTCAGGAAAAGTTTGTAATGTAAAAATAAAGGATATAAAGAGCTCAACTTTAAGAGGAGAGCAGAAGGAGTGGTCACAGGACAGAAGGAGAAGGACTGATCACAGATTTGAAGAGAAAATTGGGAGAGAATGATGTCATAGAAGTCAGAACAGGGAAATTTTTTATAAAAAGGGATAAGTGAAATGCACAGAGAGGCTAACCAGTGGATTTAGCATTTATGACCTAAAAAGATTTTCGAGATAGGTATGAAAGCAAAACAGATTGCAATGGATCATTGAACGAGTGGAGAAAGAAATGTAAAGGATTCTTTTGGTTTATCTGCTAAAACAGGGAATGTAACATTAGAAGAGGATATGGTGCTATTTATTTTTTAGATGAGACTTTTTAAAAGTTTACATTGTGGAGGACCAACTAAAGTAAGAAACCATAAACTTGAGGTGGAACCAAACAGAATATAAGTGGCTGAGTTGATTCCAGGTAGCGGATTTGTAGGGCAGAATCAGTAGAGAAATAATTTCTCTCTCTCTCTCTGAATACTAGCTTCCAATCCATTCTAACTAGTGCCATGTTATTTATCCTAAAATATGTAATATTTCTTTACTCAAGAAATTTCAGTGAGTACCCCTTGCCTGCAAAAGGAAATATAATTTCCATGGTCTACCATTCAAGGTTTCCATCATCTGGCTATAACTGTCATTTGCAACTCTTTCTTACCACTTCCTTTCATGCATCCTGTACTCCAGTCATATTTGATTACTTTTTATTCTCCATGCACTCTTTCCACATACTCCATACATATTCCTTCTTATTTAAGGTCCAGCAAGAATGCCACTTCCATCATGGCATCTTCTATAAAAGCCCAAACTAAATAGAGTCTCTTCTCAGATTCCCTGTATTACCCACGAGATATATTATAAGCTACTTATAAAACAGTAATTTCTGCATTCCTTTTTCTGCCCTTAAAAGAAAGATAACACTTTATTCATTTTTTACAGTTCACAGTTTCCTACAGAGTGTCACCACATACTATAGATTTAATAGTGGCTATTAATTCCTTAAAGAATTTGAAGACTCAGGGCAAATCCAATTTAAAAAATCCTGAAATTACAAAGGATACTATTTCTTACTCAACCAACAATCAAAAGTGTAATCCAACACTCATACTGTGTATTGAAATAACATATATTTCCTATAAAATATTTTAAATGCTATAAAGACTATTGCATGATAAAAGCAATAGGCTTTTTTAGTAAAGGGATTTAAAAAATCTTAGAGAATTGCTGCTCAAGCCATGAATCAATAATTAATCTTGTAGAAAGAAGTTCAGAATATATTGCCAAGATCACAAAGTTATATTTTCTTTACTCAAATTTATAATAAAATGTCACCTTGTAAGAAAATAAACTCACATCAGAATTTACGTCAGCTTAGATAATGAATAAATGTAATTCAATTGTGTATACTTAACTGATGCAGCGTCTACATATATTTATTGAGCACCTATTTTGTGTCATGCCTAGTACTAGGTATATTCATACATAATATCTTATTTAATACCCACAACAATCATGTGAGATAGCTATGTTAGTCCCATTCTACGGATTAAGAAATTTGCTCAGAGAGATTTTTAACTTGCCAAGTAGTAAACAGCTAGGATGTCTTACAGCCAAGAATCTCTAGTGCTCTGAGAGACTAGAAGATTTTGGTCACGTAGGACTCATTTTATTTACTCTGGGAAAAGGTGCATCCATAAAATGAGAAAAAATTAGCAACAAGAGTTGAAGCAAGTGAGTTGAATGTGTAAGCAGCTTAATCTTCAGCTATCCATAAAATACAGTTAACCAATACACCTTCCCTAAGGATTCTACTTAATCAACATTTTAATGCATACATGGCAATTTAGCCTAAGGTGACAAAGTTTTAAATTAGTGGTTCTAGAATTATGTTACTAGATAAGAATAGTTTATCATGATTATCAGCCTTGTTTATATGTAATTTATGCTTCTAAAGTACTTACAGTTATTTTAGGGAGGTTTTTGAAGTATTCTTAGCAAACTCTGTGTCTCTAATTTTTATAATTAATATTATATTAATAGCCACTCCAGAAACACTTTGCTAAACAATAGATCTTCAGGCCTGCTCATGTCCGTAATCATACATTTCAATTAGTGAGCCATTTCCGTACTTTTATAATGGTTGAGCATTCTATGTAATGCTTTTAAATATGACATGTATTTTACTAAATTTCACTTCAGATATCTCTGCCCTGAAGATAACATAAAGAAACTTGATAATCACTGAATAATATTTACATTTCACATTTGATACAGATTTCAATATATTACTATTTTTATTTTGCCTTTAATGTAAATTTTAATAAATCGAGAAGCAATAGCTTTTCTCCCTTTGGAAGATACTACCGGAGGAAAAATCCTACATGTAAAGATGTTCATAAAAACTTGTGTTCTTTGAATGTGGTATTAGCCATGAATCGATTAAAATTCTGATACCTTATGGCCACATGCACTGCTTGGATTCAGAGACACAGTTCTGCAACTTTGGTTTTCACTGGGGTCTCCTGAGAAGTACAACTTTTCTTTTTTAACCTCCTCTTTGTGGTTTGTAAACTTGAGGGCTAAATGTTATTGAGAGAAGTGGTTGTTGGAAGACAATTCTCCATAGGTCTCTCGTGTTTCTATGTGTTTTCTGAGCAGAGGTATTGATTGCTTTTCTTCCATACTAGATTTTCAAGGACATTTGTATAGCGAACAGCTTTCGTAAAGATACTGTCTCCTTCCAGAGGAAAAAAAGCAGTTTTGTTTACTGTTTCCTATAATAATGATGACAGCCTACAGGGCAAAGATCAGGTAGGCTTACTGCCCACCATAAAAGGCCCAGGTTCCTTAAGCTTAAGGTACCTACTCTATAATGCAACTCACTGTGTGTCACTTGTTCCTCTTCGTACCACACTTTAAAAACTGGGGCTTGGGGAAATAACGTCAAAATGCTAATACTCTGACAACTGTCATTTCTGTGAGTAATAAGCTGTCTTTTTTTTTTTTTTTTTTTTTTTTGACGCACAAGCCTGCTTCCACCAGCTTCCATGGAGCTACATCAGGCCAATTGGTAGCTTGCAGGGAGGGTAAAATATCAGACCTTTCCCAGTTTGTGTAACCAATAACAACTTCAACACAGATTGTGTTATCTGAGTACTCACTTTCAAAAAACAAAATCATACGCAGGATTTTAAGGTTCCTATTGATCTGGATTGGCCAGTGTAGCTTTCTTGCCTCATTCTCCAAGAAATTTGTCATCTTCCTAGTACAAAACTCAGCTAAAATGGCTTTTCCTAATTTTGTTAATGATCTTTCCTTCTGTCATCTAGTGACAGCATTGAGCCAGGTTTCCCTCCTACTAGTTATTCTTCAAACAAAGATAATTTTTGGATGATTTTCTTTTGTGGAATAAGTGAAATAACCTATGTTTTCAGATTACTTATTCCTTCTTGATTTTTTAAATCCATTTATTGAGGTATAATTGACATACAGAAAGCTACACATATTTAATGTATACAACTTGATGAGTTTGGAGATAAGTATACAGCCATGAATTTATCAACACAATCTATGCCATAAACATATCCATTCCTTCCAAAAGTTTCCTTCTGCCCTCTTAATTATTTTTTCCCCACAGGGTCTCTCTTTGTCACCCAGGCTAGAGAGCAGCGGTGCCATCACAGCTCACTACAGCCTCTATCTCCTGAGCTCAAAGGATCCTTCCACCTCAGCCTCCCAAGTAGCTGGGCCCACAGGCACACACCACCAGGCCCAGCTAATTTTTTGTACTTTTTGTAGACACGAGTTTCACCATGTTGTACAGACTGGTCTCGAACTCGTGAGCTCAGGCGATCTGCCCAACTCAGCTTCACAAAGTGCTGGAATTACAGGCATGAGCCACCACGCCTGGACCCTCTTTATAACTTTTGTGTGTGATAAGAATACTCAATCTAAGATCTACCCTCTTACACTTTTAAATATGCAACACAATGTTATTTATCACGGGTACTATGCTGTTCAGTAGCTCGCTGGGACTTATTTGTGCCGTATAACAGAAACTATACCCTTTGACTAACACTTCCTTGTTTTCCCCTCCCCCAGCCCTGGTAACTATCATTCAACTCTCTCCTTCTATAAGTTTGACTGTTTTAGATTCCTCACATAAGTGGTGTCATGCACTATTTGTCCTTCTGTGTCTGGCTTATTTCCCTTAATATAATGTCCTCTAGTTTTACCCATGTTGTCACAAATAACAAGATATTCTTTATTTTTTCAGGATGAGTAATATTTCATTGTATGTACATACTATATTTTCTTTATTCATTCATAATGGACAGTTAGATTGCTTGCATATCTTGGCTATCATAAAATAATGCTGCAATATATACAGGAGTACAAATATCTCTTGATTTCAATTCCTTTAGGTATATACCCAGAAATGGGATTGCTGGATTATATGGCAGTTCTATTTTTAATTTTTGTGGAACCTCCATATTGTTTTCCACAAGGTTGTACCAGTTTGCATTCACACCAATAGTATACAAGAGTTCCCTTTTCTCCACATTCCTGCCAACACTTTTCTGTTGTACTTTTTTATAATAATCATTCTTACAGGTATGAGGTGATAGCTCATGTGATTTGATTTGCATTTCCCTGATGATTAGTGATGTTGAGCACTTATTTATATACCTGTTGGCCATTTGTATAGCTTCTTTAGGGAAATGTCTATACAATCCCTTTGCACATTTTCTAATCAAGTTACTTGGGGTTTCCATTCTATGGAGTTGTGGGATTCAATTTTGGATACTATCCCTTATCAGATATGTGGCTTGCAAATATTTTCTTTTATTCTGTAAATTGGCTTTACATTTTTGTTGATTGTTTCCTTTGCTGTGCAATAGCCACTTTGTTTCATGTAATCCCACTTTTCTATTTTTAGACAAGTTTTTGTTACCTGTCTTTGTTTCAATCCCTTTGGAATCATATCTAAGAAATTCTTGCCAAGCCCAATGTCAAAAAGCTTTTTTCCTATTTTCTTCTATGAGTTTCATAGTTTCAGGTCTCAAGTTTAAATCTTTAATGGATTTTGAGTTGATTTTTGCATATGGGGTAAGGTTAGAGTCCAATTTCATTTTTTACATGCGAATATCCAGTTTTCCCAATGCCATTTATTGGAGAGACTATCCTTTCCCCATTATGTATTTTAGTACCTTTGTAGAAGATCAGTTGACTATATATGAAGGGGTTTATTTCTGGGCTCTCTATTCTGTTCCATTAGTCTACATATTTGTTTTTATGCCCCTACCATACTGCCTCAATTACTGAAGTATTTTAAATACATTTGGAAACCAAAAATTGTGATGCCTCCACCTTTATATTTCTTTTTTAAGATTGGTTTTGGTTATTCAGGGTCTTTTTTGATTCCAATATGAATTTTAGGATTGTTTCTTCTGTTTCTGTGAAAACAAAACAAAAATGCCATTGGGATTTTAGTAGGGATTACATTGAATCTATAGATCACCTTGGGTAGTATGGATATATTAACATGGGATGTGTTTCTGTTTATTTGTAACTTTTAAAGTTTATTTCATCAGTGGTTTACAGTTTTGGTGTGCCAGTTTTTCACTTCCTTGGTTAAATTTATTCCTAAGCATTATATATTTTTTAATGCTAGTGTAAATGAAAATGTTTTCTTGATTTCTTTCTGGATAGTACATAGTTAATGAATAGAAATGCAACACATTTTTACATAGTAATTTTGTATCTTGCAACTTTACTGAATTTAATAGTTCTAGTAGTTGTTTTTGTTGTTGTTGTTGTTGTTGTTGTTTTGAGGACTCTCGCTCTGTTGCCCAGGCTGAAGTGCAGTGGCGCAATCTCAGCTCACTGCAACCTCTGCCTCCCAGGTTCAAGCAATTCTCGTGCCTCAGCCTCCTGAGTAGCTGGAATTACAGGCGTGCACTACCACGTCTGGCTAATTTTTGTGTTTTTAGTAGAGACGAGGTTTCAACACATTGGCCAGGCTGGCCTCGAACTCCTGACCTCAGGTGATGCACCTGCCTCAGCCTCCCAAAGTGCTGTGATTACAGGCATGAGCCACCACACCCGGCCTTGTGGTAGTTTGTTAACAAAATCTTCAGGAGTTTCTACATGTAAGATTGTGCCATCAGTGAATAGAGATAATTTTGCTTCTGCCTTTTTAATTTAATTGCCTTTTATTTTCATTTCTTGACTAATTGCTTTGGCTAGGATTTCCAGTACCATCTTGAACAGAAGTGGTGAGAGTGGGCATCCTTGCCTTTTCCCAGATCTTAGAAAAAAATCTTTTCAGTTTATTTTATATGATATTAGCTGTAAGCTTTTCATATATGGACTTTAATGTGTTAAGTTCCTTTTATACTTAATTTACTGAGAGTTATCATGAAAGGGAGTTAAATTTTGTCACATGCTTTTTCTATATTTTTGAGATAATCATGTGATTTTTATCTCCATTCTGTTAATGTGGTGTATCACATTGATTGATTTCTGTATGTTGAGCCATCCTTGCATGCCAGGGACACATATTATTTGGTCATGGAATATGATCCTTTTAAAGTGCTATAAATTTGATTTGCTATTATTTTGTTGGGGAATTTTGCATCTATGTTCATCAGGAATATTGGCCTAAAGTTTTGTTTTCTTGTGGTGCCTTTGTCCAGCTTTGGTATCCAGATGATGTTGACCTTATAAAATAAAACTGGAAGTGTTCCCTCTTCTATTTTTTAGAAGCATTTCAGAAGGATTGGTATTAATTCTTCTTTAAATCTTTGGTAGAATTCACCTGTGAAGTCATTTGGTCCTGGGCTTTTCTTCGTTGGGCAGTTTTTGATTACTGATTAAGTCTCCAAACAGGGTCTCACTATGTTACCCAGGCTGGTCTCAAACTCCTAGCCCCAAGTGATCCTCCCACCTTGGCCTCTCAAAGCATTGGGATTACAGGTACAAATCACTGCACACAGCCTCTCAGTCTCCTTTTTGTTATTGGTCTGTTTAACCTTTCTAGTTCTTCTTGGTTCAGTCTTGATGGGTTATATGGTTCTTGAAATTTCCCTTTTTTTTCTAGATTGTCCAATTTTATGGTGTATGATTGCTCTATGTGTTTTTCATTTTTGTGAGATCTGTTGTAATGTCTCCACTTTCATTTCTGATTTTATTTGACTCCTCTCTCTTTTTTCTTACTCTAAGTATTTGTCAATTTTATTTAACTTTTCAAAAAAACAAGTCTTAGTTTCCTCAATTTCTTCTAATTTTTTTCTTTTCTATTTTAGTTATTTCTGTGCTAATCTGTATTATTTCCTCCCTTCTGCTAACTTTGGGCTTATTCTCCACTCTTTTTATAAATCACTAACATCTAATACAGTTACCATTATCAGTCTGATATAATTAGACATCCAATCCTAGGTTTAATGTTAGCATTTCTGTATGCTCAGGAAATTATTCTAAACTGATATCCTGGTATTATTTCAGATTTTCTCAACAACTAATTTTACCTTCTACTGAAATGCTCTCCATCTTGATTGTAAATATAGTTAGTATAATTAATTGCTTTTCTTCTTAAGAGACTAACCTTTATATGACAATTACTGACATTGGATTAAGTTCCACCTAGGATAGGATAGGCAGGGGGTGGATGTCATCTTACCTTAAAAATCTGTTTCACATGAATATAACTGCACCGAATATCTAATTTTTCAAGTAACCTCTGAGTTTTTTCTAGGTTAATTTTTCCACCTCTGAAGTCATCCTGAATCTTTGACAAAAACCATGTAGAAGCACAAAAAAGTTAAGGAAATTCTCACAGAAAGTCATTGAATATTTAAAATTCCTAAAGAAACATTTGATTTACTGTATTATTTTTATTTTTAAAGAATATGTTTAAAGTAAATTATAGTATAATTGTATGATAAATATTTTTTAAAAAACAAAATTAAGTAGTTACTATGCTATGGTAAAGGTATGAAAGGGCATAGCACAGTAAAAATACAAAAAAAAGAATTAAAGTTAAAATTTGAGAATTGAAGTCATTACTTAGAACATACATTAAAACATTATAACAATCTATTGCCTGAAGGCATGAAGTTGGAAGGCAGCTAGACTTCAAGATCGCCTCTCACCTGACCTCTCTGTTTTAGTTCTCTCTTCCAGAAAGGTGAGCAAATTAACCCTGAATCTTAAGGAAAGTGGAAGCATTAGATGAATTCCTAATATGCCACCGAACACAGTTTCTGCTACTTAGTGTTCAATAAATAGTAACCATGACTGATAAAGTTATTATTACTACATTAGTCCAATGCCCAGCTACACACACACTCAAGACAGTACCATCAAAAAGCATCAGAAATACCATGGTGAGTGTATATTTGGTATGAAAAACGAAAAAAATTTTTAAAAGCTTACTTATCATAGATAAACTACAAAAACTAGGACACTTCCATTTGAAAAACTAAGATCGAAATGAGATAATGACAATTATCACTAAAATTATAAAAGGTATAGGTAAAAATTGTGCAAAACTACTAAGTTTCAGATTGTTAGAACGAATTAATGAGATCTCCTTAAATTTAATAGTTATGACTTAATCCAGCAAAGCTCATGTTCTTGTAAGAAAAAGATACCAGAATGCAGGGAAAGTTAGAAAAGCTCAGAACAAACAGGGAAAAGCAGTTCAACTTAAATGAAGAGGACTTAAATTCAGAACTCCTCGAAAAGAATAACAGCATCAAGTAAAGAGGATAAGTAGGAGAAAGAAGAAGAGGAGCAGAAAGAAGCTCTCAATGGATATCTCATTTCCATAGTTTCATGACCTGTAGAGCCGTTTCTCCTCACTTAGAAGTCTTTCCCCAGTAGGTGCTGTCATGGGTTCCAAATACAATTAACTCTGCCCCTTTGCAGAAAATAATTTCTTGATACTCATCAGCTGTTACCACTTTTCTAGGGAGAAAGCAGAGAACACACAGTGGTTTTTTTTGCCTTCGTTCTTTGAAGCTAGCTCACACTTAACCATAGAAACAGTATGCAAGATGTGGTACCTGCACTACCCTGCCCTTGAAACTGTTTGGCTTCTTACGTTCTGACCACCTCCAAACCCACAATATTTGAAAACACAGCTTTCCCTGATGTCTGGCATTTTTCCATGAACTGCCATTGTATCTCCTTTTATTTTTTACTACTTTGTTTAAACCCCTCAAACCTTTCATCATAATATGCTTCCAGTGGGTTTGGGCAGCTACTCTGAGAGCCTGAGTATAAATCAACACCATTGTGATTCCTGAAGTTGCAAAGTGCTGTCACTCTTGAAACTTTGGGCTGCTTCTCTAGATCGTTGACAACATATAATGCACACAGAGACACACCACTTTCGAAGAAGACTGTTCAGGAGGCTAAGTTCTTAAAATCTTCAAAAGAGGTATAGCTGGTTGGCTGGGCACCACACTGTCAGGTGACTGTCATTTTTTCCTTTTGGTCTGAATTCCCATTGTGATATCATCAGAGGTTCCACACTTCACAAGGAAAGCTTCTTATGACCTCATCAGGAGGCTCAGACCTTGCCAGACTGCCTGCTTTCATGGATAGACATAAAAACCTTCAGCTTGAATGTTAACACCTTGATGGGAAAGGTGGCTCATGGAATGTTTTCTTATCCTTTGAACACTCCTCATTTCAGAAGCTTTGCTTCTGTTGCAACCAAACATGACACTTAGCGTGCTGAGCAGGAAGGACAAGGAAAGAGTAATTCGCAGACTGTTATTACAGGCCCCTCCAGGGGAATTTGTAAATGCCTTTGATGATCTCTGTCTGCTTATCCGTGATGAAAAACTTATGCACCACCAAGGTGAGTGTGCAGGCCACCAACACTGCCAAAAATATTCTGTACCACTCTGCATCGATGGAAATCCAGTACTCTTGTCTCACCACAATGTAATGGGCGACTACCGATTTTTTGACCATCAAAGCAAACTTTCTTTCAAATATGACCTGCTTCAAAATCAGCTGAAAGACATCCAAAGTCATGGTATCATTCAGAATGAGGCAGAATACCTGAGAGTTGTTCTTCTGTGCGCCTTAAAACTGTATGTGAATGACCACTATCCAAAAGGAAATTGCAACATGCTGAGAAAAACTGTCAAAAGTAAGGAGTACTTGATAGCTTGCATTGAAGATCACAACTATGAAACAGGAGAGTGCTGGAACGGACTTTGGAAATCTAAATGGATTTTCCAAGTTAACCCATTTCTAACCCAAGTAACGGGAAGAATATTTGTGCAAGCTCACTTCTTCAGGTGTGTCAACCTTCATATTGAAATATCCAAGGACCTGAAAGAAAGCTTGGAAATAGTTAACCAAGCTCAACTGGCTCTAAGTTTTGCAAGGCTTGTGGAAGAGCAAGAGAACAAATTTCAAGCTGCAGTCTTGGAAGAATTACAGGAGTTATCCAATGAAGCCCTGAGAAAAATTCTACGAAGGGATCTTCCAGTGACCCGCACTCTTATTGACTGGCACAGGATACTCTCTGACTTGAATCTGGTGATGTATCCTAAATTAGGATATGTCATTTATTCAAGAAGTGTGTTGTGCAACTGGATAATATAAAGAATTGCTCCTGGTAACTATCTTGATTTGACTTGTTTGTGTTTCTTGGGAATGGTTATTTTCCTAAAATTGAGCAATCTGTAGAGATGTCTCTCACTTAGCCAATGCAAATTTAAATGGGAAAAGTGTAGCAAGTAATTTTACTTGGGGAATATTTATGAACAAGGCAAGAAAGTGTAAAGTAACTGTGTTTCATGGTGGTGACCATCATAAAGACCAAGACATTTGTTAGAAACTAAAATAGTTTTATAGAATCTGGGATTCCAGAAATAGTATAGAGGTGGCCAGGGTTAAGGCTGTGTGTGGGTGTGTACGTGTGTGTGTGTGTGTGTGTGTGTGTGTGTGAGAGAGAGAGAGAGAGAGAGAGAGAGACTTTTGACTGTTTCGAACTGAAAAGGTATACAAATGAATATCACTCCACAAATGATATTTTACATAACTCAATTCAGTCCTAGACCATCCACGAGATGGGGAATTTCAATAAAAGACATTAGGTTTGGATTTTCCACAAAACCAACAGATATCAAAAATCTAGCTCAGATGAAGGACTATTAGTAATTTTGGCTCCTCTTCCACTCTACTTTCTTCCCCTCAAGAATTGGGGTTACTCAAAATCCCTGGCTTGTCTGATAACTAACATGGTCTTCCAAGCCAACCAGAGAAGCCTGACTTCCCAAACTTTTACAGCCAGGCTTTTGTGAAGTCGTCACTGTAAACACTTAGAAGTACTTATTACATAACATGGCTTGTGCTAAATATTTTGCATAACATTTTTCATCACTAATCTGGTACTAGTATTATCTCCGTTGTACCTAAGAAAAACCTAAGTTCTCAAGTTGTTCACATCTTCCAGACACATAGTGTCACAGTTCACTTGTGCTGCTATAACAAAATACCATATATTGAGTAACTCACAAATAACAGGAATTTATTGGTCGCAGTTATGGAGGCTGTGAAGTCCAAGACCAAGTTGCTAGCAGATTTAGTGCCTAGTAAAGGTGTGTTTCCTCATAGATAGGACTTTCTGACTGTGACCTTACATGGTAAAAGGGGCAAAGCAGCTCTGTAGAACTTCTATTAATGGCACTAATATCGTTTATGAGGGCTCCACTCTCATGGCCAATCACCTCCCAAAGTCCTCACCTCCTAATACCATCACCTCGGGGACTCAGTTTCAACATATAAATTTTGAGGGACACAAACAATCAGACCGTACCACATAGTGACAAGTGTATCTGACTTAGTGCTCATGCTTCAGGGTACAACAGTTCCCCATGGAAGCCTATTTCATTATGAGTTATGGACTCTGATGTACATTGATTTTGCCAAGCATTCCACCTTAAAGGATATCCCAGAAGAAATGGAACTTGTGACAGCTGTTTTCTAGCCAGAGTAAATCACCTATACACTCACCCTACCACTATTCCTAGCAATGTTACTGACCACTGGTATCTGCTCTTTCAATAAATTCCCAAATGTAAAACTCTTTAACAAGATTACAGTACAGCAGTAGGTAGGCCCCATCCTCCAATTCTGATTTATCTAAGAAGCAAAGTGTTTTGTATTTTGTGTTTATGCAATTGAAAAACAGTTCTAATTCTACTTATTAACATTGGAGCATTCAGATCCCGTGCAAGAATTTCTAAACCTCAAACCTCCCCAGCTGATGATTCTTAGAGAATCTCAGGAGAATAACCTGGGATTTATCTTTAAAAATATACATTACTGGGGCCCATCCTAGGATTCTGATTTAGTAGGCTGGGAAATCTGCATTTTAGCAAGTATCAGAGGTTACACTGATGCAAAATATTTCAGGGCCACATTTTAAGAAATGTTCCCTAATCTTAAAATAGCATGTCCTGTGCTTTCTCTTTACTTAATTAAAATCATTTCCCACAAAACCATAGCCCAGTGAAGGCCATTGCTACCACTTTACTGCATTTACTATGCACAGACCAAGGACGGGCCTTGCCATGTAAAAAAGGTAAAAACAAACTTTCTAAAGAAAAGCAGAAAAGAAAGTTGCTCTCATAGCACTAAAATACAGCCATCCAGTGAAGCCTTAAGCAAAAATTTGAATTGATATTATGGTTATATGTGTAAGGGTTGATTTTCCAGATCATTGCAGATTAGGACCCAGTGGTTTGTGGGATAATTACAGAGGCATTTAGCTCCTGCTTTAACATAGGGTTTTTTTAAGTAATATTTGTTGATAATTCTGAATATAAAAGTCACATGTACAAATCGTGGAAAATGCTTAAAGCATAAAGCATTGTGGCCCATTTTCTTCTGTCTAATTTTATAGAACTGCTTTAAATATGAAGAATAGACAAAATATAAAAATTTGTATCTTGTTCTTTTTTATAACACATATATCATAAACATTGCCCCATGTCATTAAAAACTCCTTGAGCACATAATTTTAATTATTTACACAATATTCATACTGTAGATGTCCATAACAAGACAAATCATTTCTCTATTCATATATAATTTAAATTTTTAGCATTTTATCTCTGTTATTAATGATGCTATGATGAACATTTGTTTGTCCACATCATAGGTTATTTTCCTTGAGATAAATTCCTTAAAACTGCATATTAAAAAGACATGAACATATTAATAGTTAATATATATTGCCAAAATGCTTTCCATAAAGATTTTGACAAATTTATCATCCCATTAGTAGCATTAAGAGAGTATCTAGCTCAGCACAGTAATCTTGACCATATAATATCAAATTTTTTTGATAAGCAACAAGGAAATCTTAGACAATACAAAACAGGAAAAAAAAGTTATTTCATGAACTTATACTTCATTACGTCAAGAGTAGTCCCACAAAGATATTTAATTTGGTAGTTATTTTCCTTATATGGAAATTGGCAGGTCCAGGGAAATGCAGTTACTACCTGTTCCCCGTACCTCTCTCTCTCTCTCTCTTTCTGTCCTCTCTTCCTCTCTTTTTCTCTGACCTCGCTCTCTCTCTTTTCTCTCTCTCTCACACACACACACACACACACACACACTTAGACCTGCACTCAAGACACATACATACACACATGCCTACGCACATGCACACATAAAAAATATTTCAGATTGAGGAGTCACTGCATTCTTTCCCTCAAATCCCACTCCCAACAGAAATATAAGCTCCATGAGAATGATGATCTTGTCAATCTCAAGTACCTAATCCGTTATTGTCTGTCATATGGTAAGTACTCAAATGAATGAGTGAATGAACAAATCAATAAGGATCACAAAGATAGGAAGCACAGTAGGTTTAACTGGCCTTAAGGTTTTGTAACCCACCAACACCCGCTGTCCCTTAGGAGGCATGCATCCCACCGCAGATTCCCAGTGCTGACGTTGTTACCCCTTACTCCAAGGCAGTTCATTCCATTCAGAAACTGCCATTGGTCTTCTGCTGTGATGAAAACCTTTGCTTTTTTCTGACTCCAAATGGTAGGAGATTTTTCCTCTATCAAATGTAAGAAAATCAAGTTCTTCAAAAGTCATACATTTCTTTTCATTTTACATTGATTACATTTTACATGATTCTCTGTCAAAGATTTTCTATCCTTGGAGGCTGGTTCAGAGAGCTAAAGGAATGACCGTATCATGTTCTACTCAAGCAGAGGTCCATGAGGAGACTTACATCTTTCAACATGCCTGCATGTTACGGTATGTCCCTGCTGCTCTGGAACATGCCCTGGCTTCATGAGTGCCTTGTGATTAAAGCATGCTTCATCGTTTCCACTTTCTTTGCACTTTTATCACTTTATACAACACCTAACTACTCCCTTCTATGTATCATGCATTTCTGGGAATAATCAACTGGAGCTCCTATTCAACTCTTTGGATGTTCAAAAGCTTATAAAGGCCCTCTCCATAGTAGATTAAATTTTAGTGAGTCAATATGAAAAGTGATTTTGGTTCACTGCCACTCAGCCAATTTTTGGCCATGTTACTGATTTATCTCACCTTCTTCTCAATCTTCTCATCATGACGTACCTTAGATTCTGGCCCCTTTACTTGGATAACTGAAGCAGCTCCCTAGGGTTTGCTACTATTCTTAGAAAATGGGTTACCAGTCTACCTTTTCCTAAATTCTCATGAAATCTATCTTGACTCTACTTCAGTCACTTGTCTTTCACTCCTGATGAGCAATCTATTTATTCTTTTCTACTAACGTCTGTAGTCTTTTTTATGATATGCTTTCAAATTTCTCTACTTTACTAAGCTCCACTTCTTCATCACTGCTTCACATAGCAAACGACTTTGTTCCTTCACCGAGAAGACACATTCTTTCGAAAGAGCTACTGCTGCTTTTCTCTGCATTTAAAAATATGTTTATGCTCTTCTCCTTCCAAATAGTCACCAAAGAAGTATATGTTCCTTTCTAAGACTAACTTTTCCTCCTGTGCATTGAATCCTAAATTCTTGATCTTTTCCCATCTAGGCTCTTTATCCATCAGGGCGTTTGTTTTGTTTGTTTTGTTTTGTTTTGTTTTGTTTGTTTTTGAGACAGTATCTCACTCTGTTACCCAGGCTGGAGTACAGTGGCACAATCACAGCTCACTGCAACCTCCATCTCCCAGGCTCAAGAGATCCTCCTACCTCGGCCTCCCAAGCAGCTAGGACTACAGGCATGCACCATCACACCTAGCTTTTTTAATATTTTGTAGAGATGGAGTTTTACCATGTTGTCTACGCTGGTCTCAAACTCCTGTGGGGTCAGTGGTGATACCCCCTTTATCATTTCTTAGGTAACGTGGCCTAACTGACACAGCTGGTAAGTGGCAAAACTGGAATTCCAACTCAGGCCTGTCACACTTCAAAATTCATGCCCTCTACACCTTGCCATGCTGCCTTAACTCTACCCCCTGGCTTCTATTCCATCAGCATAACTAACACCCATTCTCAAAAGTTTCAATATCAATTATTCATTCCAATTACCTTTCCTCAGTTATCACAGGGACTTGGTTTTATCTTGAAAACCTTACTTCCTCAGTTGTGCCTGCATCTTAGTTTATCTCTTCTCTACTTTCTTTCATATCTCCTCATCCACTATTTCTTCCATATCTCCTCATCCACCCCTCAGCCAAACACAGGCTTCTTCCAACTTTAGTTCTTTGTCCTCTCATTTTTTCAGCTTTACTTAGGTATAATTGAGATACAAAAATTGCACACATTTATGCATATATCTTGATGAATTTGGACATATGCATACACCCATGATACCATCACAGCCAAGGTACTAAGCATATCCAACACCTCAAAACATTTCCTTATGTTCATTTGTGAGGTTTTTTTGTAAAAACATTTGACATGAGATCTATCTTAACATATTTTTAAAGCACACAATGAGGTATTGTTAACCATGTGTACTATGTTGTACAGCAGACATCTAGAACTTATTCATCTTGCATAACAGAAACTTTATATCCACTGAAGAACAATGTTCCATTTCCCCTATCCCCAGTTCCTGACAATGATTACACATTTCCAATATTGCCTACCAGTCCAAGCCATACTATGTCAAAAATCAACATTCCCAGATCCAAATCGCTTCTTTCTTTCCTGTCCCCTAGCCCCACTTCAAACAAATTACTCTCTCTTATTTTCCGCTCTTGGAAGCACTATCTTACCATTAACTCAAGGTCAAGATTTTAAGCATTCTTAACTTGTTTTCCAAAGGGAACACACAAAGGGAATGTAAATTAGTCCATCCGCTGTGGAAAGTAGTTTGGTGATTTCTCAAAGAACTTAAAACAGAAGTACCATTCAACCCCTCAATCCCATTATTGGGTATATACTCAAACGAATATAAATTGTTCTACCTTAAAGACACATGCACACATATGTTCATTGCAGCACTATTCACAATAGCAAAGTCATAGAATCAACCTAAATGCCCATCAGCAGTAGACTGGATAAAGAAAATGTGGTACATATACACCATATACAGCCATAAAAAAGAACAAGATTATGTCCTTTGCAGCAACATGGATGGAGCTGGAGGCCATAATCCTAAACACACTAACCCAGGAATAGAAAACCAAATACTACATTTTCTCCCATATAAGTGGGATCTAAACATGGAGACAAAGAAAGGAACAACAGACACTGGGGCCTACTTCAGGGTGGAGGGTCAGAGGAGGGGCAGGATTTAAAAATTACCTATCGAGTATTATGCTTATTACCAGAGTGATGAAATAATCTGTACACCAAACACCTGTCACACACAATGCACCTGTGTAAAAAACCTGCATGTGTACCCCTGAACCTACAATCAAAGATTTTAAAAAGTAAAATCATAAAATAAAACAACACAAAATAAAATCCAATAAGTCATTGGATTCCTTTGTTTCTATCCTTGAAAGCATTTTCCATATTTATTCCCTTTGTCATTTATTAATTATCCATTTATTAAAATTCAATTCATTGGGTCTATTTCTATTTTGCAATTTTTAAAATTTATTCTCTTATCCCCTTAATAATCCTTGTTATTTTTCACTTATCAAGTTGTCTAACTGGTCTGTTTTCATTTCTTTTTCTCTTAGTCTCCAACCTATTCTATGAAGTTTTTCCAAATTCATCTTTATAAGCCTCAATTGCTTATTAACTGATATTCCTCACAATCCTGATCAAACACTTTTTACAAATATCTACTAAGTAGGGGATACATTTCAAATTCCCTAGCTTAGCAGTCTAATGTCCTCCATGACCTGAGTGTCCCTATCTTCCAGCATCTTTTCTTTGTCTTTTCTTTTTTCTTTTTTTTTTTTTTTTTTTGTTTGAGATGGAGTCTTGCTCTATCGCCCAGGCTGGAGTGCTGTGGTGGGATCTCGGCTCACTGCAACATCCGCCTCCCAGGTTCAAGTGATTCTCATGCCTTAGTCTCCCAAGTAGCTGAGATTACAGGCATGCGCCACCAGGCCTGGTTATTTTTTCTACGTTTAGTAGAGATGGGGTTTCACCATGTCGGCCAGGCTGGTCTCAAACTCCTGACCTCAGGTGATCCACCCGCCTCGGCCTTGCAAAGTGCTGGGATTACAGGTGTGAGCCACCGTGCCTGGCCTCCAGCATCTTTTTTAAAAAGCCTGTTCTACTGGCCTCACCAGAGGTGCTCTAAATTCCCTAAAAGTGAACACATTTTATCTCTAATTCTGCCTTGGTACTTGTTCACCTTATTTTTGTTTGTTTGTTTTTCAGAGATGGGAACTTGCTATGTTGCCCAGGCTGGTCTTGAACTCCTGGCCTCAAGGGATCCTCTTGCTCTGGCCTCCCAAGTTGCTAGGATTACAGGTGTGAGCCACCGCGCTCAGCCTGTTCACCCTAATTTGAATATTAAATGTGTCTGCGTGTGTTCTGCTTCTGTTAATAAACTAAAGGAGGAATTTTTTTTTTCATTCTTAGGTAATATAGTGGAAATCTATGAAACACTGTGTCAGACTACATAAGTTCAAGTCTTTATTCTACCAATTACTATCTTTGTAATTTTAGGCATAGTTAAAACATATGATTTGTTTGATACTCAATTGTTCCATCTGTTAAATGGGGAAGATTTTTGCAACGTTAAAATTAGATAGTGAGTTAATTGTACAGCACTTTGCAGCTGCAAATCTGCAGCACCTCGTATGGTGTTTACATATATTTCATGAGCAGTAAATGATTGGTGAATGAGTAAATGTCCAAAAGAAGAGAACGTCCATCAGTCTCACAGGTTGGCCAGAGCTGGACAGGCAATATTTCCCAGTGATAAGAGAAAGCTTCTGAGAGCATCATTCCCCAGTCCAGCCAAGCTCTCTACCTTTCAGAAATTCCAATTTACAGATACCTCTGGGTTGGATGTACAGATTTGCAATTAAAAAGTGTTTCATGGTACCTGGCACATAATGAGAATATATAATTTCCTCACTCTGTTATTTCCCTGACAATTCACTCCTGATGTCTTATTACAAGCCAAGTGGACATAGATTCTTTAAAAAGGTGCCGGGGGCAAGATTTGTCTTCCAAATTCAGTAAATCTGGATCCCAACAGGAAACAGATGGACAAATACCAATCTAATAATTCAAAGAAGGTATAATGAAAGAATTATCAACAAAGATGTGGAAACACATGGAGTGGTAAAGTAACATGAAAGCAGTTCATATCTTTAGGCCTAGGTTAGGGAGTGGTCACTGGAGCCTGGAAGGAGGAGTCTATTTATTGGGCCACCATAAGAAGGGGTGTAAACTTCTGTGGAACGACACTGACAGTCTAAAGACATTGCTCAGGGAAAAAGCTAACAGCATAAATGTTCTCCTCCTTTCTCCAGTCTCCGTCAGGGCTCTCTAGCTAACTCAATCTACAAACGGAGGACAGACAAGAGAGCCCATGAATATAGTCCATACACATCAGCCTCCACAGGTTAACAATAGGGTGGTGAAGGGAAGAAAGTAAGACTGGAAGAGCAAATAGGAGATATCAAACATCCATTCATCTGAATGCTATTTCTGACACCTTACAGAGCTTCATTTTGATAAGATGAGCATCTGGCATTCACTAAAGATATTTTATCCTTTTGTTCATTTGGAAATGCCATTTGTTTAAGTAAATAAATATATTTTGTATCACTACATAAAAGATGTGTTTGGAAGCTTTTCAAGTAACTGTTCTGTATATTTTAGTCCATTTTAATTCCCCTGAAAAGGACAACCTCTTCTAGGTTATAAATGCAACAGCTTTCCTGAATTAATTTTGTTACACAAATATAATTCTTACCATACTGTTCTTATCTCCCTAGTCACTTTTCATTCTTATTTTAGAATATGTAAAGTGCCCTTGCTTTGCAAACACCATGTTCAGACTCCAAACTCATGCAAATAAAGAAGAATTTGTGGTGCGAATAGGATTTGCTAATTGGACAGATTTATTTTCTTCATTCCCTGGGAATGTGATCTGTGACCCTAATGGCATGCAAATGTAGCCTAAATTCAGAGGCAGTTGTGGCATGAGAGAGTGAGTTAACTTATTGGTATGTAAGACTGCTTTCTTATCAAACCTGGGAAAACCACTCAGCTAGGCAGCCAACAGGCTGATCTCAACACTGTGATTTGCAAACACAGTGACAGTGAAGTATCATATAAGGCTTATTACTGAAGATACTGGAAAATTCTATATACATTATATGTTTTTTAGCAGGGATATTGGAATAATTTCTCAATGCTTCCTAATAAATATTTTGCGCATTCACCTCAGTATTTCATTTTATACCTCATTTTTGGATAAAGTCTCCTTCTACAAAGAATTTTCCTTTTCTTTGGGAATTTCCTTATGACTAATTCCATTCTTGCCTTGAAAAATTCATGTTGAAGACTTCTGCTGATGAGCCATGTATAAGCTTGAAAACAGTTTGAAGACTTTAATAGTTTTGTGTTTTGTTTTTTTCTTTCTTAACTAAAAGACAATAGCCACCATACAGTTTTGTTTCTTCATTTATAGTTCGGGAAACTGAAACAAGGCCCAGATAATTTGAGTGCTTTTTTAAAACAATCATGCAACTTTAATCAATACTATAGTCCTGGCCCAGCATTATATTCACATTTTGTTCCATTTCCTCTATTATTACTAAGCCCATCAGGCAGATCTTAGGAGGGTTTAGACATGTGAGGGTTTGGACACAAAGGATATGGTTGAGCCAACACCTAATTTCAGAGAAGATGCTTGGAAAGAGCTTCTCACATTTCCATCATTATGGGGCAGCCCAGCTGTGCATTATGGCAGAAGTAGAATTGGATGTCAATTTTTTTCCCCTGTACCTTCTGATAATTGGAGGAACTTGCCCTAAGAAAGAAAGTCTCAACAGCTCCATTCTCATTTCTATTTCCAAGTTGCCGACAAGTGGGTGGTACTTTAAAAGAAAATAATCTACAATTTCTTAGTAAATCAAGGTAACTGTAATGCTCTCATAAGTTGTAACAAATCTTTGAAAAATATCTTCATATGGCTGATGAAGGGTAAAATTACTGAGACCTTGAGTGGGACGCTATAAAGAAGAGAAGTAAATCTTACCCTTCTTTCTTCTAGCAGTATACACACACTTTGACACAAGAAACTGTTCAAATCAACCAGAAAATAGCAATCTTAATACAAAAAATGGGTGAAGTATATAAAAACTTATAGAACAGAAAACCCAGAAGAACTAAGAAAAAAAGCATATGAAATCATCAAAGAAATGCAAATTAAAACTGCAATTAGTTTTATATCACACTTTTAAAAAGGCAAAAATTAGAAGCCAGTTTAGGTAAATTCTGGTTAGAGGGTGTGTGTGTGTGCGTGTGTGTGTGTGTGTGTGTGTTTAGAAGTCTCATACATTGCTAGTGGGAAGGTAGACAAGGGCTGCTGTCAGCCATGTGGCACTATTTAGTCAAATTAATCGCAGGCATGCCCTATGACTTAGCAATTCCATTCCTGGGTCTATTTTTTTCCAAAATGCTCACACTGCTCTGGAAGAAAACATGTGCAAGGATGTTCACTGCAGTGGCAGGAAGTTAGTTGCAATTTCGATGAATGAAAAGGTAAAGGTGGCAGATACACACCAAGGAGTACCAGGGACAGCTGCAAGTAATGGAGTAGACATACCCAGAGCAACATGAGTGGATCTTAAAAGCACACAGCTGGGTAACAAAGAGTAAGACACAGTGCGATTTATATCACAATAACAAATGCAAAAATTGAAAGGAGATGCTTACAAATTGCAGTATACATTTTTCAAGAACACATGCTCTTTTAAAAAAAAAATACACATTAAATGTATTAGAATGGTTGCCTGTGCAGAGAGGAGAAAAGAAATGAGCTATGGGGAATAAAAGAAAACAGGTGAATAAAAAAAGCTAAAACAAGGGAAATAAGAAAGCAAACCAAAAATAAACAACCAGAACCACAAAAGGAGGAAACTAAAGGGAAAACAAACAGAAGTAAAAAATTGTTTTATTTATTCAGAAGCAGCATGAGGTTAAAGCTGCCAAAGCTAAACTGAAATATGTCCCCACATTTTCCCTCTCCTCCGCTTGTGTCAGGGAGAGAGCACCACACTTCAACCTTGCCTTATGTAACTGTGAGTGGTCTGTTGTAATCAGATGAGGCTGAGTGCTGGGCAAGGGTGTGCTCTGAGCAAAGCAAGAAATGCCACTCATCTGGCTGGGGTTGAATTTCTCAAGACAAACACAAACTGGGATTGGAAAAAACAGATTATCTCTGTTTTCACCTAGGAGGTGATTGGAAAAAGTGAATTTGGCTTCATAGGCTGTCACTGTTACCAAAGGATTGTTTAGGAGAGATCAAAAGAGGCCAGGACCTGTAAGCAGTGTCAAATTCTAACTGGGAAATTGAAAAAGTTGTGTATTTCTTCTTACCAGATCAGTAGATTATGAAAACCTGACCATAAAGATATAGTATAACTGTACTGTGATTCACTCAAAATTCTAATAATTTTCTCTTCTATAAAACTGCTTCACAAAGGAGTGCAGAAATTTCCTGCCTCTCCAGTTGCCCCCTCTAATCCTCAACTTTGTTCATATCTATCTTGTTGCCTGGTCTAGTCTCCTGGTGGTGAAGAAAATTAACAAAAAGAAGTTGCTGAACTACTCATTTTTAAAATTTTTACTTATTATAGTTCAATGAATATGTCAGAAAAAGCAAAACCACAAAGATAAAAATCCATTTCTCTTTAAACAGAGTGTTAAATTAGAAGGAATTTAGCTGTAAAATTATTAGTGATATTTTTCTGGGAAATGACAGTATAACAGAAAATGAGTTGACACTTCTCAAATAGGTACTGTAGATGGTTTGGTGCCCTTGAAACACAATCACATGTATTCCCAGGATGCCCTGGAGTTTCTGGCACAAAGGACAGACAGCCGAAGACTTAATATTGGACAGCCAATTTACATCTACCCCAAGATATGTGATTCTGTGAAATAGAGTGCATTAGAAATGCACAGTTCATACTGCAGCACTAGAAAATACTATAGGCATTATGATAACCAAACTCAAAATATATACAATTACATTTTAAGCATATAATTAAAATACAACTTGTATGCACTGAAGCCAAAAGGTATTTGGAATGGCTATGTTGAGAGAATATGGAGTCAGTAGAATAGAACAGAGTCCCTCTTGATCCCTCTGTCAATGCTGTCCATCTACATCCAGAGTTAGAAACCTAGGTGTGCTGTCCGTCAAATTAAACTATTCTCTTTTTCTGCACGCCCACTCTATTAGCTTTCTTCTGGGAAAGCGACCATGTAGAAACTTCAAATGATGCCAACAGTAAACTCTCCCCAAAAGTCTACAGAATGTGAAAATATCTGAAACAAGTACAGTTCATCTACTGTTGGTGGAGCAAAGCATAAACTTTAACCCATACTGTGTTATAGTACTAGACATATCACAAAGAATTTACTTCCCATCAATTCATTCTACAAGTTATTGTCCTGAAAACATCCCTGTAACAGGAACTATAGACTGAAAAACAATATGAGTAATGATCTCTGCTCTCCAGGAGCTGAAGATCTTTTTTTTCTTTTTCTTTTTTGAGACAGAGTCTTGCTATGGACCTTTTAAAGAGCGATAGTTATTGTAACTTCAGGTGTTATCTCTATGTTTCCTGCAATTCAGAGATAATAATTTTAACAGAGAGCAATATTGAGAAATTAGTACCTTTGCTTCTTGTTCCTATAGATTCAATCAATACAAAGAATAAATAAAGCAATATTCCCCTTCATGGTAAGCAGGATCTAGAATCCCTTGTCCTAGAATTAACAGCTTTTTCTGATTCAGGTCCAGAGGAAGCGAATTAAGTTGGCTCATCTGAAGAGTGGCAGGAGATAGTGAGTTTTGTGTTTGGAAGTTAGAGATAAATGAAGCTAATCAAAGTCCAGCAGAGAAATCCATATTGTTCCTACCACATGCCAGGAAGTGTCAGGAACATTAATAGGGCAGCTTATGAAGCCAGGGGGAGAATTTCTCCCAAATCCAAGTGTGTGATTGAAATTGGACATTCTACTTTTCTTGTATTCAAATGTCATGCATCCGTTCATATCCATTTCATAAAAATAAACAAAGGTCTGGTTTACAAGATATCTGACTCTTAAAAAACCCTTCCACTTATTCTATGAATGCCTAGACAGATTATTTTCCATATTTCAGTCTTATAAAAGGCAAGAATATTTCCTCATTCGGTTAATAGCTAGTGAGCCCAATCTTTATGCCAGACTCTACATTACGCACTAGGAGCACAAAAGGAAATTGCACACTCTTCTTGTTCCTGGTAGGTCCCAGCTGAGAGGAGGATACTGGCATGTAAAGGACTAATTAGGCAAAAACTTCACACTGTGGGAGACGAAAGGAGAGCAAAAAACTCTCCCTCAGGAAGTTAGAGAAGGCTCACATAGTGAATGCTTCCACCACCCCCCACCCTCCCTGGAGGACTGAAGCACTCGTCCTCCAGCTGCCTCATCAAGATAAGGTTCCTTCCCAGGAGCAGACCACATGGGAAATCCTACCCCTTTGCCCCAGTTCAAGACAACTTTGCAGCATCATCCCAGCTTCCAAGTTCCCAGGAGGATTGACTAAGGCCTTTGTTATGACTGAATCAGCAGTTCCCCGTCCCCCTTCCAACCTAGGAGTAGGCAAATTTTTTCTGAAAGGGCTACAGAGTAAAATGTTTTAGGCTTTGCAGGCCACATAAGGTCAATTTCTGTCGGATAGCCTATTTTTTTTTTTAAACCCATTGAAAATGTAAAAACCATTCTTACTTATCTCAGGGCCAAATACAATCAGGCCATGAACCAGATTTGGTTTGTGGAATTTTGTTCCACCCTAAACAGCTTTTCTCACCTGCTCTCCACAGCTGTTAATCCCAAAAGGACCTCCCAGTAAACATCCGGCAAGCTAATCCCTGTCTCAATTCTATTTCCTGGGGAGCCTGAGGATTCAGTTTGACAAAGGAAGTACTTAGGACCCAAAGGTTTAACCAGGCTGGTGACACTGAAATTTACCTATGCCCTGTGGTTCTGAAAAGTAGCTTTCCAGAATTCCTCACCCTTTTTGTGTTCTGGGAAAGGGTTTACTGCAAAGAATCCCCTTCCCAGGTGACACATGAGACTCAAAATTCACTCTTTCTCCTAACTCACATAAGACTCACAAATGTTTCTGTATAACAAAGCCAGACCCTGAAAAACTGTCTTTGTTTCATAAATAATTAGCTGAACTGTTTATCCTCCCAAAACTAGCTTGACACAGAGATAAACATTTCTTGTTCATCTTGTCAGAGGCATTCGAACCAGAGCAACTTGAATACTGGCTGGATAAAATAAGGCTGAGACCTACTGAAGCAGGACATTTCACTGACCCCTTTGTGGAACTCGCAACAGGGGTGCCCCGTTTACTCAGCCCACAGCTCTCAACTCCTCATAGGAGGGAGTGAGCAAGCCAACAAGGCGGGAACTGGAATACACGAGTGCTAGAATCAGCTGGCTACTTCATAGCTGGCAAGAGCAAACTCCACTCACTCAGACCCGCTGCTTTCCACCCCTCGTCGGACAGGGCACACAGGTAAGCGGGTGCAGGAGCCAGGGTGAGTGCTACTGGGTGCTGGCAAGAGCAAACTCTGTGCATGCTCAGCGGCAGCACTGCGGGGGTGCCCACGACCCTTGAAGCCCCAGAGGGAGTGTTAGAGAGCTCTTTTCGCTCTTCCCTCCATGGACAGCTTAAGCGTTAACAGCTCAGTGTACCCTCTGCCTTTTCATGTGAGGCAGCTGCCTTCTGCCAACAAAGGCAAAGGGTCAGTGTGACAGTCTTTTTGCATCCACACTCACAGCTCCCGAGCTGTTGTCCAGTGTCCAGGAGAAATGAGATCATGTGAACAAATTGAAGGATGGTAAACGTGGGGGATATTATTGCAGATGAAAGTGGCTCTCAATGTGAAGGAGAGCTGCAAAGGGGATAAAGTGGGAAGGTATTCTTCCCCCAAAGTCCAGCTATCTCCTGCCGGATTCCTCTCTGAAGTTACCAGAGAAGCTGTCAATCTGTCCCTCTGAAGTCAAGCCACTTTTCTCCAACACCCAGCAGTAGTAGCCAACGTCCAGCTGCTTCTCCTCTCTCTGCCGGCTGGGTTTGGGGTTTTTACAGGCACAGAATGGGGCAGGGTGGGTCTATGGGTTGTGTTGGAAAAGGCAACATTCAAGCAGGAAAACAGCGATGTAAACTCTCACTTTGGGCTGCAGTCTCCGGCTTTTTGGCTTGAGGGTGGGGCCCTTACCAGGGACCTGCCCTCTTCTGCCCAGAATTTCTTTGCCGCCTGTCCCTATCACTACTGGGCTGCATTCCCAGGAGATTAGACATTCTAAGTCACAGGATGAGATAGGAGGTTGGCATAAAATACAGGTCATGAAGACCTTGCTGATAAAACAGGTTGCAGAAAAGAAGCCAGCCAAAACCCACCAAAACCAAGATGGTAACACAAGTGACCTCTAGTTGTCCTTACTGCTCATTATAATGCATTAGCATGCAGAAAGACACTCCCACCAGCACCATGACAGTTTACAAATGCCATGGCAATGTCAGGAAATTATCCTATATGGTCTAAAAAGGGGAGGAACCCTCAGTTTCGGGTATTGCCCACCCCTTTCCTGGAAAGCTCATGAATAATCCACCCCTTGTTTAGCATATAATCAAGAAATAACTATAAGTATCCTTATTTGAGCAGCCCGTGCTGCTGCTTTGCCTATGGAATAGTCATTCTTTTATTCCTATACTTTCTTAATAAACCTGCTTTCACTTTACTGTATGGACTAGCTCTGAATTCTTTCTTGCACGAGATCCAAGAACCCTGTCTTGGAGTCTGGATTGGAACCCCTTTCCAGTAACAACCTGACAGACTGAGTCTCCCCCTGATTACAAAAAAAAAAAAAAAAAAAAAAATCCTAACTGTGAAGTCATCCCACATATAGCTTAGACAAGCTCTTTGTTATAAAATCCAAGGCAAAACCACCCTGATGACACGCTCTGATCCTCAGATCTGGGGTGCTCTTGGTATTGCAAAATTCCAAATAAAATCAATCTCCCTACATGTTCTGGGTTTTAGTTTTTGTCTTTGTTTTTGCCTTTGCCTTTGACAGTGAGATGATGGCTGCAGGCAGAAGAAACGTAAGGTTCAAAGCACCAAAGTACAAAAGGATCTGATATTGTCACAGACTGAGAGATTTGATGTGGAGAGAGTATGGAGCTCTGGTGGGGGCCACAGTGCAAGGCTGGGGTAGTAAGTTAGAACAGGCTGAAGGGCCTTGATTCAACCACTAATGTGGTCATGTTCCTGAGGACCTTGGTGCAGTCCCCTCTTGGAGATAAAGAGGCTTGGCCACCATCCAGGCAAAAATAATTCCTTCAATAAAGAAAAAGACAGACTTTAAAAGTTATCACCAAGAAAACATGGTCCCCTAAGATAGAGGACTTCAACTGACAAATCCCTAAAATTTTGGAAGAATTTTAGAAAAATAGGTATCTTCTTGTACATTTTTAAGTTGATGTTTAAGATTTATCTTTTAAAAAGTGAAAAGTAACATGTAGTTTGAGACATATTGTAAATATCAACATTTTCAAATAAAATCTTTTTATCAGATTTTTTAAGTATGCAGCAGAATCTAAATACACTAGATTTATTCATTTTCTTAAAAAAAGACGAACACTTCCCTAATTTTATGTAGTTTCTTTCTCTGTTTGAACTTTCTATGTCATTTCACCAATACATTTTATACTAATTTAATACATTTTTATGCTGAAAAGTCTTTCACTGATTATTCTGTCATACATGTTTGCTACAAAAACATGTGTATGATTTTTTCCTGTGCCCACCAGTCTAAAAGATTTAAAAATTTTCTCTTCTATAAACAACTATTCAAAACAACATAAAGATATTAACAAATTTAATGTAATTTTAAAGATAAAAATTTAAACTTATTGAAAACACAATTCATACTGACATGGATCAAGCTCATTTATTTTGGATTAGTTTATATATCTATCAATGAATATTAGTTATTACTAGAAAGACAGAGTGTTCAGCATCCAGTCTATTTTTATTTTTACTTCATAGATATGAGCAATGAGCAACGTTGATCAGAAAAAAAGTGAATGGGAAAGAGTTTTCTTATGACAATATCACTCAGTTCTTTAAATTCTTCTGAATTTTATACCAAAAAAATCACAGTAGTCTATCATCAAACATTATTTTTAATAATATGTCAATGGACACTTTGTTAGCCAGCCCTTCTGTTATATTGAAAGCAAACAATAAGAAACCAATATATTTGAAAATGGACTTGTTATTCTATTATTAGAGCCACTGACATCCTCAATTTCTGAAAGGAAGAGCGCTAAGAGCACAAAGTCTTTACCATGACTCACTCAATGACAAGCCTATACCAGTGGCTCTTTCACTGAAAGGGGTTGTGTTTAATTCAATATATTTAGGCAGGGAGGGAGAAATTAAAATATTCAACTCAATGCATCTTTGAAAACTGTCAACATCCAGGAACAAAATGCAGTGTTATGCTCATTTAATTAGTGGGAAATATCCACCATATAACCTAATTAAGCAAGCCAACCCACATTTAATAATGTCAGCCATCAGCCACTCTTAAAAAAAAATCAGACCTCAAGTTTTAACTTCCAGTAAAAGGATAATACACGTATTTTCAGAAATATAAAATTCACTGTGAAATAAATTAGAAGTCATATCTTGTAATGTAAGTTACTAAAAGCAACCAAGACTGCAATTTTTCATATCTACATAATGTAATTTATCATTTTCTAATAAATTGACATGATCAAATGCCATTTTTATTTCTTAATTTGCAAGACTAAATTATGAGTTATTTATAGTGAGGAGTCTGATATATATATACATGAACTATGTATAAAGTATAGTTAACAAATCTCTAATCAAAATTGTCTATGTATTTTATTTTAAAAATTATATGTACTACTAAAAATTACTTAATCCAGCAGTTAGTTTCAATTATATTTTCCTAGTAGGAAGTAGAAAATATTAAATATTTTAGAGATGAAACAAGATTAGACTGACAGAAATCAGAATAATTATTTTATGAAATGATTTCAGAAAATAAGTTTAACTACTTCAGCATATGAGAAACTCCAATCTGAAAAAAAAAATCATGTAACAGTTTTTATCTACTATCTTAAGGAATTTGACAGTTCCAGAACACTTTTCAGTTGCATATAAAATAATCAACAGCCTAATTTGTAGTCATTTGCCTCCTCACTTCAAGCTAGCAACAGCTTGAAGCTGACCGTGTCAAGCAAGCGTATCAATGCCATTTTTCCAATAGCCTGTGCTCGCTTTACGTCTCTGTGACACATTTTGGTAATTCATGCAATATTTCAAATTTTGCATTATTATCACATCTTTTATGATGATATGTGATTTTTTTTTTTGACAGACTCTCACTCTGTCTCTCAGGCTGGAGTGCAGTGGTGCGATCTCAGCTCACTGCAACCTCCATCTCCTGGGTTCAAGAGACTCTTCCGCCTCTGCCTCCTGAGTAGCTGGGATTACAGCCATCCATCACCACACACGGCTAATTTTTTTTTTTTTTTTTTTGTATTTGCAGTAGAGATGGGGTTTCACCATGTTGGCCAGGCTGGTCTCAAAATCCTGGCCTCAGGTGATGCACCCACCTCGGCCTCCCAAATTGCTGGGATTACAGGCGTGAGCCACCACACCTGGCAGTGATTTTTGATATTGCTACTGACACTGTAATCGCACATGCAAGACAGCAAATTTAATTGATAAATATTGTGTGTTCTGACTGCTTCACAGACCAGCAATTGTCCCATCTTTCTCCCTCTCCTTGGGCTCTCCTATTCCCTGAGACAAAACAATATTGAAATTGGGCCAATTAATAACCTATAAATAGCCTCTAAGTGTTCAAGTGAAAAGAAGAGTCACATATCTCTTATTTTAAATCAAGAGCTAGAAACAAGCTTATGAGGAAGACATGTTAAACGTCAAGATGGGCCGAAAGTTAGGTCTCTTGTGTCAAACAGCCAGATTGTGAATGCAAAGGAGAAGTTCTTGAAGGAAATTAAAAGTGCTACTCCAGTCAATATATGAATAATGAGAAAGCAAAAAGCCTTATTGCTGATAGGGGGAAAGTTGCAGTGGTCTGGAGAGAAGATCAAGCCAGCCACAACACTCCCTTAAGCCAAAGCCTAATCCAGAGCAAGATTCTAAGTCTCCTCAATTCTGTGAAGACTGAGAGAGGTGAGGAAGCTGCAGGCAAAAGGTTGAAAGCTAGCAGAGGTGGGTTCTTGAGGCTTAAGGAAAGAAACTATGTTCATAACATAAAAGTACAAAGTGAAACAGCAAGTGCTGATGGAAAAGCTACAGCAAGTTACCGAGAGGATCTAGCTAAGATCATTGATGCAGGTAGCTACACTCAACAACAGATTTTCATTGTAGACAAAACTGGCTTCTATTGGAAGAAGATGCACCCTGCAACATTCATACCTAGAAAGAAGTCAGTGTCTGACTTCAGAGTTTCAAATGCAGAGTTTCAATGCAGCTGGTGACTTTAAGTGGAAGCCAGTGCTCGTTGACCATTCCAAATATCATAGGACCTTTAAGAATTATGTTAAATCAACTCTGCCTGGCTCTATAAGTGCATCAACAAAGCCTGGATGACAGTATATTTATTTACAACATAGTTTACTGAATATTTAAAGCTCTCTGTTGAGACTTAGTGCTCAGAAAAAAGATTCCTTTCAAAGTACTACTACTGATTGACAATGCACCTAGTCACCCAAGAACTCTGGGAAAGATGTACAAAGAGTTTTTATACCTGCTAACACAACATCCATTCTGCAGTCCATGAATCAAGGGGTAATTTTGACTTTCAAGTCTTATTATTTAAGAATTATGTTTCTTAAGGCTAATGTCTGGCAAATGTTTATATTTTTTGTAGAGATGGGTTTTCACAATGTTGCCCCGGTTGGTCTCGAACTCCTGGGCTCAAGCAATCTGCCTGCCTTGGCCTCCCAAAGTGCTGAGATTACAGGCGTGAGCCATGGTGCCTGGCCAATAGTTGTTTATTACTTAATATTTTTGGCAGGAAAATAAAAGGGACTTGAAAAACTCTTTAGGCTTATGTCTGTATCTTAGACTTCTGAGTATTTCACTCACTTCCACGTAAAGGGACCCATAACTCCTTTAGGGCCTATAAAGTAGATGGCAGTCTCTCTTTTGGCTAACACTTTACGTAAATTAGGTGATATATAATTTTATATTTTAAAATTTTTATATATGATACACAAAATATATATAGATGCTCTTCTGCTTGTAATGGTGTTATGTCCTAATAAGCCCATCATAAGTTGAAAGTATCATAAGTTGAAAATGCATTTAATACACCTAACCTACTGAACATCATAGTTTAGCCTAGCATTCCTTAGACATGCTCAGAATGCTTATGTTAGCCTAAAGTTGGGCAAAATTATCTAACACAAAGCCTATTTCATAATAAAGTGTTAAATATCTCATGGAAATTATTGAAGTTTCTACTGAAAGTGAAAAGCAGAATGGTTGTATGGGCACTTGAAGTTTCAGTTGAATACATTGCTTTCACACTACTATAGAGCTGAAAAATAGTAAGTCAACCTATCATTGGGGACTGTCCATATATGAAACATACAACAGACAAAAGAAAGGGATTTGGTTTTCAAAATTGGAATTCTTATATATTTTTTACATTTATTATGATAAAAAATTGAAAAAAAGAAAGAAGGAAAATCTTTCTAGACAAAACCTAGCAGAATCTCTACTTGAACAGTTTAATTGCCACTGAAAAAATTAATCTTGCAATATTTTATACAAAATCTTATAATTGGTTCTATAGTTAATTAAAATTTCATTACTGAGCAGATATGAAAAGCACAGCTTATTTGAAGTATTTATTATTCCTTCTTGAATTGCTAATGAATTAAAGCCTCAAATGCATCTGTATTAAAGTCACCTTCCTGCTCATCTATCTACATGCTCAGAAAGTAATATGTTAAAACCAAGAGTCTTCATATATTTGGTGCTGTTATTTTTCTTAACTAGTGAATGCAAATTTATTCCATGGTACTTTCTGAAAAATTAACTATGTTTCTGTTAACATCATCTTTTCCAGTCCAGTTGCTTTAGTAATTAAGATTCTATTTGAAGTTCATTTTCATTTAAGCATATTATAACTTTTGACAACATTTTTCTCTTCATCAAAAGGTCAATGCAAAGTCATGTCAACAGCATTAACTGTTCTGATCTGTAGACTTCATGGAAGAAGATGCTACTTCACCCTCTGGATTTTAGTTCATATTTCTTAATCCATTTAAAACAAATGTAAGAGAATCTAATCATTTACTAAAAAAAAATCGGTAGTGACTGGCAAGATGGCTGAATAGGAATAGCTACAGTCTGCAGCTCCCAGCGAGATCAATGCAGAAGGCAGGTGATTTCTACATTTCCAACTGAGGTACCCAGTTCATCTCATTGGGACTGGTTAGATGTTGGATGCAGCCCACAGAGGGCAAGCCAAAGCAGGGTGGGGCATTGCCTCACCTGGGAAGTGCAAGGGGTAGGGGAACTCCCTCCCCTAGCCAAGGGAAGCCAGGAAGAACTGTGCCATGAGGAATGGCTGGTTCCAGCCCAGATACTATGCTTTTCCCATGGTCTTCACAACCCACAGACCAAGAGATTCCCTTGGGTGACTACGCCACCAAGGCCCTGAGTTTCAAGCACAAAACTGGGCAGCTGTTTGGGCAGACACCAAGCTAGCTGCAGCAGATTTTTTTCATACCCCAGTGGCTCCTGGAATGCCAGTGAAACAGAACCATACACTCCCCTGGAAAGGGAGCTGAAGCCAGGGAGCCAAGTGGTCTAGCTTAGTGGATCCCATGCCTACAGATCTCAGCAAGCTAAGATCCACTGGTTGAAATCGCTACAAGCCCAGCAGTCTGAAGTTGACCAGGGACGCTCGAGCCTGGTGTGGGGAGGGGCATCTGCCATTACTGAGGCTTGAGTAGGCAGTTTTCCCTGTACAGTGTAAATAAAGCCTCCAGGAAGTTTGAACTGGGCAGAGCCCACTGCAGCTCGACATTCCTCCTCTCTGGGCAGGGCATCTCTGAAAGAAAGGCAGCAGCCCCAGTTAGGGGCTTACAGATAAAACCCCTATCTCCCTGGGACAGAGCACCTGAGGGAAAGGGCGGCTGTCAACCCAGCTTCAGCAGACTTAAATGTTCCTGCATGCCAGCTCTGAAGAGAGCAGCAGATCTCCCAGCACAGTGCTCGAGCTCTGCTAAGGGCCAGACTGCCTCCTCAAATGGGTCCCTGACCCCTGTGCCTCTTGACTGGGAGACATCTCCCAGCAGGGGTAGACAACTCATATAGGAGCACTCTGGCTGGTATCTGGCAGGTGCCCTCTGGGACAAAGCTTCCAGAGGAAGGAATAGGCAGCAATCTTTGCTATTCTGCAGACTCTGCTGGTGATACCCAGGCAAACAGGGTCTGTAGTGGATCTCCAGTAAACTCCAGCAGACCTGCAGGAGAGGGCCTGAGTGTTAGAAGGAAAACTAACAAACAGAAAGGAATAGCATCAACATCAACAAAAAGGACATCCACACGGAAACCCCATCCGAGGGTCACCAACAACAAAGACCAAAGGTAGATAAATCCACAAAGATGAGGAAAAACCAGTGCAAAAAGGCTAAAAATTCCAAAAACCAGAACACCTCTTCTCCTCCAAAGGATCACTACTCCTCGCCAGCAAGGGAACAAAACTGGACAGAGAATGAGCTTGACAAATTGACAGAAGTAGGCTTCAGAAGGTAGGTAATAACAAATTCCTCCAAGCTAAAGGAGCATGTTCTAACCCAATGCAAGGAAGCTAAGAACCTTGAAAAAAGGTTACAGGAATTGCTAACTAGAATAACCAGCTTAGAGAAGAACATAAATGACCTGATGGAGATGAAAAACACACCATGAGAACTTCGTGAAGCATATACAAGTATCAATAGACGAACTGATCAAGCAGAAGAAAGGATATCAGAGATTGAAGATCAACTTAATGAAGTAAAGCATGAAGACAAGATTTGAGAAAAAAAGAATGAAAAGGAACGAACAAAGCCTCCAAGAAATACAGGACTATGTGAAAAGACCAAACCTACATTTGACTGGTGTACCTGAAAGTGACAGGGAGAATGGAACCAAGTTGGAAAACACTCTTCAGGATCTTATCCAGGAGATCTTCCCCAGCCTAGCAAGACAGGCCAACATTCAAATTCAGGAAATACAGAGAACACCACAAAGATACTCCTCAAGAAGAGCAACCCCAAGACACATAATCGTCAGATTCACCAAGGTTGAAATGAAGGAAAAAATGCTAAGGGCAGCCAGAGAGAAAGGTCGGGTTACCCACAAATGGAAGCACATCTGACTAACAGCATATCTCTCTGCAGAAATGCTAGAAGCCAGAAGAGAGTGGGAGTCAATACTCAACATTCTTAAAGAAAAGAATTTTCAAACCAGAATTTCATATCCAGCCAAACTAAGCTTTGTAAGCGATATGGAAAGGAAAAACTGATAGCGGCCACTGCAAAAACTACCAAATTGTAAAGACCATCAACACTATAAAGAAACTAACTTTGTAGTTGCTTTATAACATATGCAACAACTAACGGGCAAAATAACCAGCTAGCATCATAATGACAGGATCAAATTCATGCATAACAATATCAACCGTAAATGTAAATGGACTAAATACCCCAATTATAAGACACAGACTGCCAAATTGGATAAAGAGTCAGGACCCATCAGTGTGCTGTATTCAGGAGACCCATCTCACATGAAAAGACACACATAGGCACAAAATTAAGGGATAGAGGAATATGTGCCAAGCAAATAGAAAGCAAAAATAAGCAGGGGATGTAATCCTCATCTCTGATAAAACAGACTTTAAACCAGCAAAGATAAAAAAAGATAAACAAGGGCATTACATAATGGTAAAGGGATCAATGCAACAAGAAAAGCTAACTATCCTAAATATATATGCACCCAATACAGCAGCACCCAGATTCATAAAGCAAGTTCTTAGAGACATACGAAGAGACTTAGACTCCCACACAATAATAGTGGGAGACTTTAACACCCCACTGTCAATATTAGACAGATCAATGAGACATAAAAATAACAAGAATATTCAAGACTTGAACTCAGCTCTGGACCAAGCGGACCTAATAGACATCTACAGAACTCTTCATCCCAGATCAACAGAATATACATTTTTCTCAGCACCACTTCACACTTATTCTAAAATTGACCATATAATTGGAAGAAAACACTCCTCAGCAAATGCAAAAGAACAGAAATTATAACAAACAGTCTCTCAGACCACAGTGCAATCAAATTAGAACTCAGGATTAAGAAACTCACTCAAAACCACACAAATACATGGAAACTGAACAACCTACTCCTGAATGACTACTGAGTAAATAATGACATTAAGGCAGAAATAATGAAATTCTTTTAAACCAATGAGAACAAAGACACAATGTACCAGAATCTCTGGGACACAGCTAAAGCAGTGTTTAGAGGGAAATTTATAGCACTAAATGCCCACAGGAGAAAGCAAGAAAGATCTAAAATCAACACTTTAACATCACGATTAAAAGAGCTAGAAAAGCAAGAGCAAACAAATTCAAAAGCTAGCAGAAGACAAGAAATAACTAAGATCAGAGCAGAACTGAAAGAGATACAGACATGAAAAATCCTTCAAAAAATAAATGATTCCAGGAGCTAGTTTTTTGAAAAGATTAACAAAATACATAGACCACTAGCCAGACTAATACAGAAAAGAGAGAAGAATCAAATAGACACAATAAAAAAAATGATAAAAGGGATATCACCACTGATCCCACAGAAATACAAACTACCATCAGAGAATACTATAAACACCTCTATGCAAATAAACTAGAAAATCTAGAAGAAATGAATAAATTCCCGGACACATATACCCTCCCAAGACTAAACCAGGAGGAAGTCAAATCCCTGAATAGACCAATAACAATTTCTGAAATTGAGGCAGTAATTAATAGCCTATCAACCAAAAAAAGCCCAGGATCAGACGGATTCACAGCTGAATTCTACCAGAGGTACAAAGAGGAGAAGGTACCATTCCCTCTGAAACTATTCCAAACAATAGAATAAGGACTCCTCCCTAACTCATTTGATGAGGCCAGCATTATCCTGATACCAAAACCTGGCAGAGACACAACAAAAAAAGAAAATTTCAGGCCAATATCCATGACGAACATTGATGTGAAAATCCTCAATAAAATACTGGCAAACCAAATCTAGCAGCACATCAAAAAGCTTATCCATCACAATCAAGTCGGCTTCATCCCTGGGATGCAAGGCTGGTTCAACACACACAAACCAATAAACTTAATGCATCACATAAACAGAACCAAGGACAAAAACCACATGATTATCTGAATAGATGCAGAAAAGGCCTTTGATAAAATTCAACACCCCTTCATGCTAAAAACTCTCAGTAAACTAGGTATTGATGGAACATATCTCAAAATAATAAAAGCTATTTATGACAAACCCACAGCCTATATCATACTGAATGGACAAAAGCTGGAAGCATTCCCTTTGAAAACCAGCACAAGACAAGGATGCCCTCTCTCACCACTCCTATTCAACATAGTATTGGAAGTTCTGGCCAGAGCAATCAGGCAAAAGAAAGAAATAAAGCGTATTCAAATAGGAAGAGAGAAAGTCATATTGTCTCTGTTTGCAGATAACATGATTCTATATTTAGAAAACCCCATCATCTTAGTCCAAAATCTCCTTAAGCTGATAAGCAACTTCAGCAAAGTTCCAGGATACAAAATCAATGGGCAAAAATCACAAGCATTCCCATACGCCAATAACAAACAAACAGAGAGCCAAATCATGAGTGAACTCCCATTCACAATTGCTACAAAGAGAATAAAATACCTAGGAATACAACTTACAAAGGATGTGAAGGACCTCTTCAAGGAGAACCACAAACAACTACTCAAGGAAATAAGAGAGGACACAAACAAATGGAAAACCATTCCATGCTCATGGATGGGAAGAATTAATATCATGAAAATGGCCATACTGCCCAAAGTAATGTATAGATTCAATGCTATCCCCATCAAGCTACCATTGACTTTCTTCACAGAATTAGAAAAAAACATTACTTTAAATTTCATATGGAACAAAAAAAGAGTCTGTATAGCCAAGACAATCTTAAGCGAAAAGAACAAAGCTGGAGGCATCACGCTACCTGACTTCAAACTATACTACAAGCCTACAGTAACAAAAACAGCATGGTACTGGTACGAAAACAGATATATAGATTAATGGAACAGAACAGAGGCCTCAGAAATAACACCACACATCTACAGCCATCTGATCTTTGACAAATCTGACAAAAACAAGCAATGGGGAAAGGATTCCCTATTTAATAAATGGTGTTGGGAAAACTGGCTAGCCATTTGCAGAAAACTAAAACTGGATGCCTTCCTTACACCTTACACAAAAATTAACTCAAGTTAAATTAAAGACTCCGATGTAAGACCTAAAACCATAAAAACCCTAGAAGAAAACCTAGACAATACCATTCAGGACAAAGACTTCATGACTAAAACACCAAAAGCAACGGCAACAAAAGCCAAAATTGACAAATGGGATCTAGTTAAACTAAAGAGCGTCTACACAGCAAAAGAAACTATCATCAGAGTTAACAGGCAACATACAGAATGGGAGAAAATTTTTGCAGTCTATCCATCTGACAAAGGGCTAATATCCAGAATCTACAAAGAACTTAAACAAATTTACAAGAAAAAAAACAACCCCATCAAAAAGTGGGCAAAGGATATGAATGGACACTTCTCAAAAGAAGACATTTATGCAACCAACAAACATACAAATAAAAGCTCATCATCACTGGTTATTAGAGAAATGCAAATCAAAACCACAATGAGATACCATCTCATGCCAGTTAGAATGGTGATCATTAAAAAGTCAGAAAACAACAGATGCTGGAGAGGATGTGGAGAAACAAGAACGATTTTACACTGTTAGTGGGAATGTAAATTAGTCCAACCATTGTGGAAGACAGTGTGGTGATTCCTCAATGATCTAGAACCAGAAATACCATTTGACCCAGCAATCCCATTACTGGATATATACCCAAAGGAATATAAATCATTCTACTATAAACAGACATGCACATGTATGTTTACTGCAGCACTATTCACAATAGCAAAGACTTGGAACCAACCCAGATGCCCATCAATGATAGACTAGATAAAGAAAATGTGGCACAAATATAACATGGAATACTATGCAGCCATAAAAAAGGATAAATTCATGTCCTTTGTAGGGACACAGATAAAGCTGGAAACCATCATTCTCAGCAAACTAATACAGGAACAGATAAACAAACACTGCATGTTCTCACTCATAAATGGAAGTTGAACAATGAGAACACATGGACACAGGGAGGTGAACATCACACACTGCGGCCTGGTGGGGGGTGGGGGGCTAGAGGAGGGATAGCATTTAGCATTAGGAGAAATACCTAATGTAGATCATGGGTTGATGGGTGCAGCAAACCACCATGGCACGTGTATACCTATGTAATAAACCTGCACATTCTGCACATGTACCCCAGAACTTAAAGTATAATAAAAATAAAATAAAATAAAAATCAGTGTTTTTGAAGTTTCTTGAGATATGCTTTAATTGCAAATATCTTACTTTGAAACTGTATACATTATGTACAAAGCAAAATGTATATAACAGATATTTTATTAGTAGTAAATTTTATAAAGATCATTTTCTGTATTCATGAAACCATGAAAAATATTCCTTAAGGGTTTAAGATACTTTTTATAGTGCAAACATTTTACTGCTAATTTATTAAAAGCCAACTAAAGAAAACTATTATAGTTATGAACATTATAGCAGACTAACAATTATAAATACAGCAAGGTGAATTTTTCCCACTTGAAGTGGGAGTAGGACATTATGATGAGGGATATGAAGTTTCTGGAAATCTGTATTCCCACAAAAAAAAAAACACTGTGTAGGTCTCAAATTCTAAATTCATTTAAGGGAAAGATATGAGGGACAGGAAGAGGGAGGCTCTAATCCTACTCAGCGCATTATTAGGATGAAGTGCACTACACTGTTGAGCTTCAGAATCAACCATTTCATAAAGTTCAGCCTATAAAGTCCATATTCCTTTCCGGTCCACTTTCTCAGTGTTTTCAGACTATGTTTCCCACAGAGTTCTGCAGAAGCGTCTACACTGCTACTCAAGAGGGGAGACAGGAGCTGATGCCATGTGGAAAGTAAACCCTGTGAGTAGGGCTCTAGTTCTTTGTCATTGTTTCAACCAGAGAAACTCTGTTTTTATCTTTTTTATACAATGAAGCTCCCAGTAAAGCATTGTTTAAAAAGAAAGAATTACACTTCTAAAAGTGATTTTGAAAAATCATAGCTATATTCCAGTATCACAAAAAGATACTGAAATCATGGTATTATAAAAATGCAGAGGTGATCTCATCTAATTTCCCTAATTTACAGAAGATGCTGAGGCTCTGAAAGGTTAATGCTTTTCCCAGGGCCACAGTGTAACTCCTTGGCAAAGCCCTATGGAAACCAAGTCATTTCAAGTCCAGGGTTGTCTTCAGTATACCGTTTGATAATATCACTGCCTTATAGTTCTACCACCCAAGCCCTCCATTTTCTAGGCTGTACTTCTCTAGTTCCTTCATGTACACTTAACTGCTATGCTCTCTAGAAACCTCAACATCCTCATCTCTTCTACTTACATTCCAATTTTACAAGTTTCCTAAAGTACCCAGGATTCTACCTAACACAACCTGCTGTACTTGGACCCTTTCTAAGCACCGTGAGACCATGCCTCATTTGTTCTAGGTACATAGTTATCTTTTCAGTCATTTCATGGTAGAAGTGCAAGTGTCAGATGCTACTCTCACGGCTGTCTCCAAACTTCTGCTACTTTAGGAATTAAAAGGACAAATGCTATGAAATGCCACCTCAGAGTCAGGAAAATAAAACCATAATGAGAGTGAAGTACAGCATTCTGGTTAGAGAAGTGAACTATATCATCATAACAAAGTTCTGTAGGGAGTCCCAGTTATCCTACTATAAAGCACAGTTGATCCAAGCAGCTTGCAGGATAGAAATAGCAGGTTATTTTCTTAAAGGAAGAAAACCCCTCCTGTTTACTACTTGTGAAATAACTTCTTTGTGGGAAAAAAATATTATCTTTAACTATCAAAATGGAACACAACCAGTTATAAAGTCAAATTATGAAATCTGTGTGACAGGGAAGTGGTGGAGAAATCATCTGAATACGGAAACTCACCTCTTGGTGAGAACAAACTTTGTAAGCCCTGATGTCAATATTCTAATGTAAGTCAAGGCCAGGGTATTACTAACTACCAGGAAGAATGAAGAAAATTATTCTAAAACATAAAATAATAATGACTTTACATATAACCATGCAGCCGTTGTAGCAAATTTGAAGATAAATACATCCAAATCTTTAAAAAAAAAAAAAAAAAAAAAAAGAAAGAAATGCAATAACAAGAAGGGCCCAGGCAAGCAAATTTGCTCAGAAAAGATAGAAAAAGATTATTTAAAGCTTTAGAGAACCCGAATAATCTTTTAATAAGATCAAAGAACACTTAACAACATACAGCAAGATATATTTCGGTAAGGAATTTAATCAAATTATACACATTTTCCCCTGCAATTTGATAGTGTGATGACATATCCTTAAACTTTTAACTATCTTGATGTTATTTTGCCAATTTGTGTAAAACTGAAATCAAACTGATTTTTTCTCCTCCACTAAGAATGCCAATGTCATCTGGGTGAATATCCTTGCCTATATCATTGTTGTACAGATTTTCCTTATGATGTATATATGATAAATATACTTGTATCTGTTTCATTACATACACTTGTGTTTCATTCCATTTTTTAATTTTCTTTCCTTAAATCCTTATCACATATTTTCAAAGGTGTGCTGTTAGGACACTGTAATAACTGCTTTTTTGTCAAAAAGTTCTTTGCTATTTCTGTGTGGTTATTTTCCACTAGATTTACTTGAGAATTTTTGTCAAGTTCCCCCTAAAAAAATATTTTTCAATTTGATCAGAATTGTGTTAAACCTATCAATTAATTTGAGGAAAATTGTTCATTCCAACATTTTTGAACCCTTATAATTTTCAAGACATTGTGCTAAGAACTTTACCAAAACAAGTGACAATGTATTCACAAGACCTGTGGGAAATACCATTGTATCCCTAACATACGGATAGTAAAATTGAGTCTTAGGAACTTTAAGCAGCTACTGAGTAGAGGGGCAAGAATCCTAGCCTGGGTCAGTTTGATTCCAAGCCCATGATCTTAATTATCATGATATACTACCTTCTCATCAATTACTACAATACACCTCTCCATCCATTCAAGAACCCCTTCATATGGATAAGTAAAATGTGACAGGTTTTCTTATATTTCTTTACATTTCATGAGTTGATTCCTAAATATTTTATGATTTTTTTTCTGTAGCAACTGTGAATGAGATTGCCCTGTTGTTTTATCTAATTGGGCACTATACTGATAATAATGGTCAATTTTGTATCATTTTCTTGAATTCAGCCAGTTTAATGAGGTTGCTTAATTCTAGGCTACCTACATTTGAAATATTACATTATCTGCAATAATAATAGTTTGTCTCATTGTTTTCAAAACACTCTAGCTTTTATTGTTCCATGTTTAATTACATTGACCTTCTAGAATACTGTAACAGTAGTTAACATAGTATAATATATACACTGTATAATATGGTGTAAATAATAATTTAATGACAATGAAAGGTCTTTTGTTCAATCATTAAGGATAAGGCACCTCTTAGTTTCAAACAATTTTTATTTATTTTTTTAAGTAATTGATTTTTTAACCAGAAATATATTACATTTTATTAAATATGTTTCAGTACCTATTAAAAGTATTTTTTATTTAATCTATTGATATAAAGTAAGTGCATTCATTTCGAACCATCCTTGCATTTTTTAATGCAAATTACTTGTCGATGGTGGAGTATATCTATTTGTTAATATTTTATTTAGAATTTTATTTTTAATAAAACATGAAATTTGTAATTCTTTTATGCACCATCTTTTCAGGTTTTGGTATCATATGTGATACTTCATTCAATGATTTGCTTATTGTATAAATCAGTGTACCAGAAAGAAACAAATATTATAGTCAAATTAAGATAATTTCAGGAAAGATTAATAAATTTACCATGTACAAAGAGGTATGCAGGGAGTGTAGATTAACCACCAGCTACACTATAGTATCTTAGGGTGGTTAACACACCTAGGTCTGAAGGGGTAAAGGGAGAAATAGTTACCAAACTCAGAATGAGAGGATAATATTAAAATGGCCAACTTGCAAAAACCTATAATCTTTAGTAGGGGTCTCAAACAGCCTAAGGTAACTCCTCAGAAAACGAGCTAAAGATATAAATACTGCAAGTTTACTTTCTTTCCTCCCTTAAACCTGCTGCTGGGTTTCCCATTTGGCTGAAACCAGTCCAAAACAGAGTGCAGGGAGTCCTTCAAAGTAGTACATCTGGGTATGAGGGCAGTGAGGGGAAAGGTGGAGTGGATCTAGAGGGGAACATGAATGACACAAGCACATACATGTTTTTAATGTTCTGAGCAAAGTATATACTGTTGAAATGAACTATTCCTGAAATATTTAAATGCATAATTTTCAAGCACTTTGTGACTCTGGAGCATGTGTTTTTAGATAATTGGCATGTTTTTAAATTTTTTTCCCAACGATTACATTAGAAAGGTTTTCTACCTCTTGAGTCAATTTTAATACTTCTTTCATCAGACAAGTTATTCATGTCATTGAAATGTTCAAGTTGTAGGCTTTAATGTGCATCAAATCTCTTATGAGTTTAATTTATTCTTTGTTCATTGTTAAATCCTCTTTCTCATTTCAAATGGTGTGTATATTCCTTTTTAGATTTTCCATTAGTTTGGCTTTTTTAAAAAAAACTAATTCTTGTCTATATCAATCTGTGACTTTTTAAATTTTATCTCATTTTAAGTCTAATTTATATATGTGTGTGCATGTGTTGGTGTGTATGTGTTATTTCTTTTCACTCAGATTCCTTAAATTTAACATTTTTGTTTTATTTCTATCTTTTTACATTGAATGCTTGATTAATTAATTTTCTCTTTTATTAATGTATAAAGAATATAAAAATGTTTACTTATATTTAAATCTTTGATTCATTTTAAGTTAATTTTTATATATGTTGAAAGGTAGAGGTCCAGCTTCAATCATCTGCATATGGCTAGCCAGTTATCCCAGCATTATTTATTAAATAAGAAGTCTTCTCCCCATTGCTTGTTTGTGTTGGTCCTGTCAAAGATCAGATGGTTGTTATGTGTGTGGAGATATTTCTGAGTTTTCTTTTCTGTTCCTTTGGTCTATGTGTCTGATTTTGTACCAGTACCATGCTGTTTTGATTACTATATTTTTACAGTATATTTTGAAGTTGGGTAGTGTTATGCCTCTAGCTTTTTTTTTGGGGGGGGTTTTGTTTTCTTTTGTTTTCTTTGTTCTGTTTTTTGCATAAGATTGCTTTAGCTATTTGCATTCTTTTCGGATTCCATATGAATTTTAGAATAGCTTTTTCTAATACCGTGAAGAATGATGTTGGTAGTTTGACAGGAATAGTAACAACACTGAAGATAACCTAGAAAATATTCTTCTTGATATTGACCTTGGCAAAGAATTTTTAGCTAAGTCCCCAAAAGCAATCGCAACAAAAACAAAACTAGACAAATAGGACCCAATTAAACTAAAGAGCTTCTGCACAGCAAAAGAAACTATCAACAGAGTAAACAGACAACCTACAGAATGAGAAAAGACATCACAAGCTACGTATCGGACAAAGTCCTAATATCCAGAATCTATAGGGAACTTAAATCAATGAGTGAAAAACAACCCCATTAAAAGAAGAGCAAAGGACATGAACAGACACTTCTCAAAAGAAAGCATACAAGCAGCCAACAAACATGAAAAAACACTCACCATCACTAATCATCAAAGAAATGCAAATTGAAACCACAGTGAGATACCATTTCACGCTAATCAGAATGGCTATTATCAAAAAGTCAAAAAAAAAAACAAAACAGATGCTGGCAAAGCTGCAGAGAAAAGTGAATGTTTATACACTGTTGGTAGGAATGTAAATTAGTCCACCCACTGTGGAAAGCAGTCTGGAGTTTTCTCACATGTATTTGTATGTTCATCCCTGCGCTATTCACAGTAGCAAAGACATGTAGTCAACTCAGGTGCCCATCAATGGCAGATTGGCTAAAGAAAATGTGGTACATATAAACAACATGGAATTTTACACAGCCATAAAAAAGAGAGCAAAATGATGTCCTTTGTAGCAACATGGATGGAGCTGGAGGCTATAATCCTAAGCAAACTAATGCAGGAAGAGAAAACCAAATTTTACATTTTCTCCCTTATAAGTAGGAGCTAAGCATTGAGTACACGTGGACACAAAGAAGAGACCAACAAACACCAGGGCCTGCTTGAGGGTAGAGGGTGGAAAGAGGAAGAGGATCAAAAAACTACCTATCAGATACTATGCATCACTGGGTGATGGGATCCATACCCCAAACCTCATCAGACAATATTTCCATGTAAAACATAGGTGCACATGTATCCCCTGTATCTAAAATAAAAGTAAAAACTTAAAAAATACATATTTACTTGTGAATAAGTTTATCTTTGGCCAAATCATGTAAGTTTTGATATTCATATTTCTTTTTTTTCTTTGGTAAGCTGTTGACTGTTTTTTGTTGTTTGATCCTATGGTAATCTGTGGGGATGTTTTAAGTATACAAATGATTGAAAAAATGTTATTAAAATTTTAAAATTAATTCTTGTTATGTTTTAGGTAACCAAAGAATCTGACCCATAGGGTTTCTAACTCACAAAAGGTAAGTTCCATATTGCACTTAGTAGTTATTATTTTCATTACTTAATGTGGTATTGTTCCCATATATATCCATTAGCAAAATGTATTGTTGTATGTTTTTAGATTTATATAAATAGAATCACACTGTATAATTTTAAAACTTGCTCTTTTTGGCTAAATTTTATATTTTTTAGATCCATCCACTGTTGTATGTACTCATAGTTTATTCATTTGAACTGCTATAGAGTTTTTAATTGCATATATACTCCAAAATTCATGCTTCTATTCTTCTTTAGATAGACAGTTAAGGCCTCTCCAGTTTTTTGCAATTATGAATGGTGGTGCAACAAACATTCTTGCATGATCTTCTTATGCACATGAGGAAAAATTTCTATAGGGTACCTAGGACTGCAACCATCAGTGATGGGTTATCCATATCTTTAACTCGGCAAGATATGGCCAAAGTGCATTTCACATTGATTGTAACAATCTCTGTATACTTGTGAAGTATATTGAAATTCTACTTGTGAAGTATGTTGAAATTTTTTGGCCTAGTCAAAGTTTTATTTGAATAAATGTTCCTTTATCATTTAAAAATAAAAAAATATTTTCTCTGCATGGATTACAATGTCAGATACCAAACTATTAGTTCAATTATTAATCATATTATTCAAATATTATATATGTTTTGTCTTCTTGCTCCAACATGAATATATAAAGGAGTATTAAAATATCCCACTATATTATTTGTGGATTTCAATTTTTAATTCTAACAGGTCTTGGTTTATAAATTATAATATTATTTCAGGATTTTTTTCATCTTAGTTGTGTATGGTAGTTATTAACATTATGAAATAACTGTCCTATTCTGAAGGTTTTGTCTTAATTTATACCTGTTTGATATGAATAATGTCATTCTTGCTTTTTTAAATTTTTGAAATCTTTCCTAATACATCTCTTTTTTCCTGTTTCATTTTACAATGGTGTACTTTTGTGTGAAGAATATTCCTTTGTTTAAAAAAAAACTGGTTAGATGGTGATTTATTTGTTCATATGGAGATTTGGCCTGTTTACATTAAATATCATTAATTGTTGAGTTTGCTTTTGTTTCAGTCAACTTTATTCTATGCATTCTATTCTTGATTTTCTTTATTATTCTGCTATTATTCTCTGCAAAAATTATAAAGAGAAAGAAACACATTTGTTCCTACTAGTGAATCTGGTAGTTTGGCAATGACCCATATTAAATTAATTCAATAACTGAACAGTATTATTTTACCTATCTTTTTGAAAAGTAGGGGTTCCTATTGGGTCCATGTTTCTCCTTCTGATCCTTGTAGATTTAATATTATAATAACAAGAATAGCCATAGTAATACCTAATATTTATTGAGTACTTACTATGTGCCAGTCAGTTTTAAGCACTTTATATGTTAACTCATTTTACCCTAACTACAACTCTACGAAACAGCTGTTATTCTTGTTTCCAGTTACAAGTAGGGAAATTGAGTTGCTGAGAGTTTAACTCAACCATGGTCATAAAACTTAGTATATGGTAGAGCTGAACTTTAAACCCAGAAACTTTGGAGCCAGAGCTCATATATTTAACTTCTACACTAAAGTCTTCCCTGAAATTTAACAATGTATAATTTCTATTTTATTATAAATTTAAAATATAACTTTAAAAGAAAAACACTGTATATAATTTAGTGTATTTAAAAAATTATTAAAACATTCCTTAGTTTAGCACCTACTTCATACATTTACTCAGGTATCGTCTTCTCAGCCCTGACTATCATATTTTAAATACAATACTCCATAAACTCCCATTGTATCCCCCTCTTGGATTTAGTTATTTTAATCATATGTATCATCATCCAGCACAGTATATATTACATTTATTCATTTTGCTTTTTCATCTTCTCCTCCACTAGAATTTAAACTTTATGGAGAAGATCTGCTTACAACTATATCCCTAGCACCTAGAACAGTGATCAAGGCCTAAGAGTCATTAAATAAATATTTTTTGAGTAAATGAAGAAATGAATTGAGTTTAGTAATCACCACTAGTTTTCTCCAATTGCTATTTCATCATTACTGCATTCTTATCTTTGACTCATTTTTCCAGTTTTCTTTTATATCTAAGAAGCACTTTCTGTGTCCTCACAGAAAATTTGTATGGTTACAGTCCTATTCTTTTCAAATAATTTCCCCTAGAACTCTGTCATTTCTGAATTCTTATAATATTCACTGGAAAAGAAAACAATTCTGAGGACACTTTAATTTTTATCTCCTTGTATGTAATCTGAGCTTTTCTCTTAATTATTTATTTCAATGGGAAATTTGGAAAGAGAGATGCATATTCTAAGAAAAACATCTAACTTTGAAATCCCTCATCATGATGTAAACTGAATGCATTGTTTGGAAAGTTTAGCATCTGTGGAGATACGATGTAAATGAAAAGGGAAAAGAATGAATGGCATTATTAAATTTCAACATATGAACAGAACCAATAATGAAAATGCAATTGGAGCAAGGAAATAAAAAAAACTATAAGTAAGGAGGCAAAATTTTCCTGTAAAAAGAAACTGTCCTTAATTAAATTTTAAAATAATTTTAACACGCTGTTGCTTGTAAGAGTTACACTTAATATCCAGAAATATTAGCAACCTAAAAGTTAAGGCCCACTCTCTGTTCATTCTTTTGAGATCACAGAGCAGAGTTTGTTATCACTTTACCTACGATGGGTGTTACAATGGAACAGTAAAGGACAGAAAGACCTCAAAAGGCACAGTTAACTTTATATCAAGTGCCTACAGTGGCAAATATATTGACTGCACAGAGAAGGCTGTCAAAGTAGGAATAAGGCAGCACTCTCTCCCAGTTGGGAGTGCAGTTTCCTTAGCGTATTAGTTTCCTATTGCTGCTATAACAAAGTACCATAAACTCACTGCTTAAAACAATGTATAGGAGAGGTGGAGCAAGAGGGCTGAATAGAAGTTTCCACCAGTTGTTTCCCTGGAAGGAACACCAATTTAACAACATATCTACATTTTTTAAGAAAACACCTTCATAACAACCAAAAATCAGGTGAGCACTCATAATACCTGGTTTTAACTTCATGTCATTGAAAGATGCACTGAAGAGGGGAGAAAAGACAGTCTTGAATCTTCCACACCACCCCTGCGCCATCCCTGGCAGCAGCTGCCTGACACAGAAAGAGAATCTGTGCTTTTGGGAAAGGAAAAGTGTAGCAATTGTGAGACACTGCATTGAACTTAGTGCTACTCTGTCATAGCAGTGAGCAAAACTGGGCTGAACTCAGCTGATGCCCATTGATGGAGGAAGTATTTAAGCCAGCCCTATCCAGAGGGGAATTGCCCATCCCAGCAGTCAGAACTTGACTTTCAGCAAGCCTTGCTGCCATGGGCTAAAGTGTTCTGGGGTTCTAAATAAACTTGAAAGGCAAAGGCTGCCTAGGCCACAAAGACTGCAATTCCTAGGCAAGACCTAATGCTGTGCTGGGCTTGGTACCAGTGGACTTGGGGAGCACATGACCTAGTGAGACATCAGCCAGGGCAGCTAAGAGAGTGCTTGTGCCACCTCTCTCCAACCCCAGGCTGCACAGCTCGTGAATTGAAAAGACACCCTCTTTCGCTTGAGAGGAGGAAAGGGAAGAGTAAAGAGGACTCTGTCTTGAATACTAGCCCAGCCACAGTAGGATAAGGGCACCAGTCAGAGTAGTGAAGCCACTTCTCTAGGCCCTTGCTCCCAGATGACATCACCATGCCTGCCCTGGGACAAAAGAGAACGTACTTCCTTGAAGGGAAGGAGCCAGTCCTGTAGGACCCATCATCTGCTGACTAAAGAGCCCTTTGGTTCTGAAAAACCAGCAGCAATACCAAGGTAGCACACCATGGAGCTTGGGTGAGACTCTGAAACTTGCTGGTTTCAGGTAAGACTCAGCACATTCCCAGCTATGGTGTCTATGGGGAGAGACCCCTGCTTCTTGAGAAAAGTGGACAAAAAGGCCAAGTGGACTTTGTCTTGCACCTTAGGTAGCAGCTTGGCCAAAGAGGAATGGAGAACCAAGTGGGATCCTGGGGTCTCTAATTCCAGGATTTGGCTCATGGAGGGCATTTCAGAACCTGCCCTGGGCCAGAGACGAGCCCACTTCCCTGAAGGGTTAGACCCAGGCCAGGCAACATTTACCACAAGCTGAATGAAGAGCCCTTGGGCCTCGAGGGAACACTGACAACAGTCAGACAAAATAATAGTGGGAGACTTTAACACCCCACTGTCAATATTAGACAGATCAATGAGACAGAAAATTAACAAGGTTATTCAGGACTTGAACTCAGCTCTAGATCAAGTGGACCTAGTAGACATCTACCGAAGTCTCTATCCCAAATCAACAGAATGTACATTCTTCTCAGTGCCACTTGGCCCTTATTCTAAAATCAACCACATAATTGGAAGTAAAACACTCCTCAGCAAATGAAAAAGAACTGAAATCATAACAGTCTCTCAGACCACAGTGCAATCAAATTAGAACTCAGGATTAAGAAACTCACTCAAAACCACACAATTACATGGAAACTGAACAACCTGCTGCTGAATGACTCCTGGGTAAATAATGAAATTAAGGCAGAAATAAGGAAGTTCTTTGAAACCAATGAGAACAAAAAGACAATGTACCAGAATCTCTGGGACACAGCTAAAGCAGTGTTAAGAGGGAAATTTATAGCACTAAATGCCCATATCAGAAAGCTAGAAGGATCTCAAACTGACACCTTAACAACACAATTAAAAGCATTAGAGAAGCAAGAGCAATGTATTCCAAAACCCAGCAGAAGATAAGAAATAACTAAGATCAGAGCAGTATTGAAGAAAATAGAGACACAAAGAACCTCCAAAGGAAAAAAAAAAAAAAAGATCAATGAATCCAGGAGCTGGTTTTTTGAAAAAATTAACAAAATAGAGCACTAGCTAGACTAATAAAGAAGAAAAGAGATAAAAATTTAATAGACACAATAAAAAAGGTGATATCACCCCTGACCCCACAGAAATACAAACTACCATCAGAGAATACTATAAAGACCTCTATGCAAATAAACTAGAAAATCTAGAAGAAAATGATAAATTCCTGGACACATACACCCTTCCAAGACTAAAGCAAGAATAAGTCAAATACCTAAATAGACCAATAACAAGGTCTGAAATTGAAGCAGAAATTAATAAATTTCTGGACACATACACCCTACCAAGACTAATCCAGGAATAAGGTGAATCCCTGAATAGACCAATAACAAGCTCTGAAAATCAGGCAGTAATTAAGAGCTTCACAAAAAAAAGTCCAGGACCAGATGGATTCACAGCTGAATTCTACCAGAAATACAAAGAGGGGCTGATACCATTCCTTCTGAAACTATTCCAAACAATTGAAAAGGAAGGACTCCTGCCTGACTCATTTTATGAAGCCAGCATCAACCTGATACCAAAACCAGGAGGAGACAAAACAAAAAGAGAAAACTTCAGGCCAATATCCCTAATGAACATTAATGCAAAAATCTTCAATAAAATACTGGCAAAACAAATCCCGCAGCACATCAAAAAATTTATCCACCATGATCAAGTCACCTTCATCCCTGGGATGAAAAGCTGGTTCAACATATATAAATCAATAAACATAGTCCATTACATAAACAGAGCCAAAGACAAAAACTACATGATTATCTCAATAGATGCAGAAAAGCCCTTTAATAAAATTCAACATCCCTTCAAGTTAAAAACTCTCAATAAACTAGGTATTGATGGAACATATCTCATAATAGTAAGAGCCATTTATGAAAAATCCACCACCAATATCATATGGAATGGGCAAAAGCTGGAAGTATTCCCTCTGAAAACTGGTACAAGACAAGGATGCCCTCTCTCGCCACTCCTATTCAACATAGTATTGGAAGTTCTGACCAGGGCAATCTCTTGATGCCTTTCAGATCCTTTATTTATCTTTGACTTTTGGGAGTTTGATCATTAAATGTCTTGAGATAGTCTTCTTTGGGTTAAATCTGCTTGGTGTTCTATACCCTTCTTATATTTGGATATTGATATCTTTCTCTAGTCTTGAGAAGTTCTCTGTTATTATCCCTTTGAATAAACTTTCTAACTCTCTCTCTCTACCTCCTCTTTAAAGCCAATAACTCTTAGATTTGCCCTTTTGAGGCTATTTTCTAGGTTCTGTAGGCATGCTTCCTTGTTTTTTTTTTTTTTTCTTTTGTCTCCTCTGACTGTGTATTCAATAAGAAGAGAGAAAGTCAAGATGTCTCTGTTTGCAGATGACATGGTTTTATATTTAGAAAAGCCCATCATCTCAGCCCAAACACTTCTTGAACTGATAAGCAACTTCAGCAAAGTCTCAGGATACAAAATCAGTATGTGCAAAAATCACAAGCATTCCTTTACCCCAATAGGTAAGCAGAGAGCCAAATCATGAATGAACTCCCATTCACAATCACTACAAAGAGAATAAAATACCTAGGAATACAGCTAACAAGGGATGTGAAGGACCTCTTCAAGCAGAATTACAAACCACTGCTCAAGGAAATAAGAGAGGACACAAACAAATGGAAAAACATTCTATACTCATGGATAGGAAGAATCAACATTGCAAAAATGGCCACACTGCCCAAAGTAATTTATAGGTTCAGTGCTAGTCCCTCAAACTACCATTGACATTCTTCACAGAATTAGAAAAAACTATTTTAAATTTCATGTGGAATCAGAGAAGACCCCATATAGTCAAGACAATCCTAAGTAAAAACAACAAAGCTGGAGACATCACGCTACCTGACTTCAAACTATATTACAAGGCTACAGCAAATAAAACAACATGGTACTGGTACCAAAACAGACATATAGACCAGTGGAGCAAAACAGAGACCATGGAAATAACACCAAACATCTACAACCATCTGTTCTCCAACAAACCTGAGAAAAACAAGCAATGGGGAAAGGATCTCCTATTCAGTAAACGGTGCTGGGAAAACTGGATAGCCATATGCAGAAAATTGAAACTGGACCCCTTCCTTATACCTTATACAAAAATTAACTCAATATGGATTAAAGACTTAAATGTAAAACCCAAAGCCATAAAAGCCCTAGAAGAAAACCTAGGCAATACCATAATTCAGGACATAGGCATGGGCAAAGACTTCATGAGGAAAACGCCAAAAGCAATTGCAACAAAAGTCATAATTGACAAGTGAGATCTAATTAAACTAAAGAGCTTCTGAACAGCAAAAGAAACCATCATCAGAGTGAACAGGCAACCTACAGAATGGGAGAAAATTTTTGAAATCTACCCATCTTACAAATGTCTAATGTCCAGAATTGACAAGGAACTTAAACATATTTACAAGAAAAAGACAAACAACCCCATCAAAAAGTGGCCAAAGGATATGAACAGACACTTCTCAAAAGAAGACATTAACACAGCCAACAAACATATAACAAAAAGCCCGATGTCACTGACCACCAGAGAAATGCAAATCAAAATCACAAAGAGATACCATCTCACACCAGTAAGTATGGCAATTGTCAAAAAGTCAGGAAACAATAGATATTGGCAAGGCTGTGGAGAAATAGGAACACTTTTACACTGTTTTTGGGAATGTAAATTAGTACAATCATTGTGGAAGACAGTATGGTGATTCCTCAAGGATCTAGAACCAGAAATACCATTTGAACAAGCAATCTCATTACTGGGTATATACCCAGAGGATTATAAATCATTCTACTATAAAGACACACACACGTATATGTTTATTACAGCACTATTTACAATAGCAAAGACATGGAACCAACCCAAATGACCATCAATGATAGACTGGATAAAGAAAATGTGGTACATATACACCATGGACTACTACACAGCCATAAAAAAGAATGCTATCGTGTACTTTGTAGGGACATGGATGAAGCTGGAACCCATCATCCTCAGCAAACTAACACAGAAACAGAAAACCAAACACCACATGTTCTCATGTGGGAGCTGAACGTTCAGAACACATGGACACAGAGAGGGGAGCAACACACACTAGGGCCTTTTGAGGTGTGGGGGGTGAGGGGAGGGAAATTAGAGGATGGGTCAATAGGTGCAGCAAACCAGCATGGCACGTGTACACCTATGTAACAAACCTGCACATTCTGCACATGTATCCTGGTTTTATTTTAGAAGAAATAAAGAAAAAATACATATAAACAAAACTACACAGTCAGAGGAGACAAAAAAAAAAGAATAAAAAACAAGGAAGCATGCCTACAGGACCTAGAAAATAGCCTCAAAAGGGCAAATCTAAGAGTTACTGGCTTTAAAGAGGAGGTAGAGAGAGAGAAAGAGTTAGAAAGTTTATTCAAAGGGATAATAACAGAGAACTTCTCAAGACTAGAGAAAGATATCAATATCCAAACATAAGAAGGGTATAGAACACCAAGCAGATTTAACCCAAAGAAGACTATCTCAAGGCATTTAATGATCAAACTCCCAAAAGTCAAAGATAAATAAAGGATCTGAAAGGCATCAAGAGAAAAGAAACAAATAACATACAATGGAACCCAATATATCTGGCAGCAGACTTTTCAGTGGAAACCTTACGGGCCAAGAGAGGGTGGCATTTAAAGTGCTGCAGGAAAAAAAATTTTACCCTAGAATACTATGTTTGGTGGAAATATCCTTCACATATGAAGGGAAAATAAAGACTTTCACAGACAAACAAAAGTTGAGGGATTTTATCAACACTGGACCTGTCCTACAAGAAATGTTCAAGAGAGTACTTCAATCAGAAAGAAAAGGATGTTAATGAGCACTAATAAATTACCTCAAGGCACAAAACTCACTGTTAATAATATATACACATGTAATCACAGAATATTATAAAACTGTAACTGTGGTGTGTAAACTAGCCTTATATTAAGTAGAAACATAAAATGATGAACCCATCAAAAATAATAACTACAAAAACTTTTCAAGATACAGCCAGTACAATAAGGTATAAATAGAAACAACAAAAAGTTAAAAAGCAGGGAGACCAAGTTAAGGTGTAGAGTTTTTATTAATTTTCTTTTTGCTTGCTTGTTTATTTATGCAAACAATGTTAAGTGGTTATCAGCTTAAAATAATGGGTTGTAAGATAAGATTTGTAAGCCTCATGTTAACCTCAAATCAAAAAAATACACTGGATACATGAAAAATAAAAACCAAGAAAACGAATCATGCCACCAGAGAAAATCACCTTCACTAAAAGGAAGACAGGAAGAAAAAAAAAAAGAAGGAAAAAAAGACCACAAAACAACCAGAAAACAAATAAAAAATGGCAGGAGTAAGTCCTGTAAAAGGAAAATAAATCTTGGGACCCCAAAATCATTAAGCCAAAGGGAAAACTTCAGCTGGGAACTATGTCAGGCAAACATGCCTCCCACTTTATTCCTAAATAAGAAAGCTACAAATGTAAAAGATATACATACCTTCTCACGATTTGCTGACAAGAAAATTCCTTGTGGACCTTAAGATCTTCACTCTAAAACAGTTCTGCTGAATTTTATCTTGGCAATATAAATTGATAGCTTATCTTAACAGGTTCAGGACAAAGGACAGCACTGATAGTCATCCTTCTGCTCGCCTGAGACAACTGCATATCTGATTTCTTCCTCTGTCCAATTGTTTATGTAAAAATAGAGATTCTCTGAGGCAGATTAAGGCAGAAGTGACTATCTCCTACCCCAACCCCTCACATATAAATTGTATATTCAGTGAAAAGTTGATCAAAGACTCAAAAGAATGCAACCATCTGTCTTTTATCTACCTATGACCTGGCAGCCCCCATTTCAAGTTGTCCCGCCTACCAGATTGAACCAATGTACATATTACACATATTAATTGATTAATTAACAGGTAATATTACATATTACACATATTAATTGATTAATTAACATGTAATATTACATATTACACATATTAATTGATTACACATATTAATTGATTACACGTATTAATTAATCAATGTACCTATTACACATATCACATCTCCCAAAATATATAAAATCAAGCTGTACCACAACCACCTTGGGCATATGTCATCAGGACCTCCTGAGGCTGTGTCACGGTCATGTCTTTAACCTTGACAAAACAAACTTTATAAATTGATTGAGACCTGTCTCAGATACTTTTGGGTTCACAGTCCTTACTTATCAATAATAACACTGAATGTAAAAGGACTAAACTCTTCAATCAAAAGACACAGAGTGGCTGAATTTTTTTAAAAAAGACCCAATGATCTATTGCCTACAAGAAACACACTTTACCTGTAAAGACACACATAAACTGAAAATGAAGAGATGGAAAAAACTATTCCATGCAAGGAAAACCAAAGAACAGGAATAGCTATACTCCTATCAGACCAAATAAATTTCAAGACAAAAACAATAAGAAGAGATAAAGGCCACTATATAATGATAAAAGAGTCAATTCAGCAAAAGGATAAAACAATTGTAAATATATATGCACCCAACACTGGAGCACTCAGTTGTATAAAGCAAATATTATTAGAGCTAAAGAGAAAAATAGGCCCCAATACAATAATAGCTGGAGACTTCAGCACATCATTTTCAGTACTAAGCAGATCTTCCAGAGAGAAAATCAAAAAAGAAGCATCAGACTTCATCTGCACTATAGACCAAGTGGGCCTAATAGATCCTTACAGAACATTTCATTCAGTGGCTGCTGACTACACATTTTTTCCTCAGCACATGGATTACTTTCTAGGATAAACCTTATATTAGAACACAAAATAAGTCTCAAAACATTTTTTAAAAATTGAAATAATATCAAGCATCTTTTTTAAGGGATGTGTGTGTGTGTGTGTGTGTGTGTGTGTGTGTGCGCGCGTGTGCGTGTGTGTGTGTGTGTATGAGTGCGTTTTGTAGAGACAAGGTTTCTCCATGTTGCCCAGGCCGGTCTCAAACTCCTGGGTTCAAGTGATCCATCCTCCTCACCCTCCCAAAGTGCTTGGATTACAGGTGTGAGCCACTATGCCCAGCCTAATATTGAGTATCTTCACTGACCACAATGGAATATAACTAGAAATCATTAAGAAGAGAAATTTTGGAAACTGTACAAACTCATGGAAATTAATCAATATGCTCCTAAATGACCAGTGTGTCCATAAAGAAATTAAAAAGAAAATTTAAAAATTTCTTGAAACAAATGATAGTGGAAACACAACATAACAAAACCTATGGGACAAAGCAAAAGCAGTTCTATGAAGGAAGTTTATAGCTATAAGCACCCACATCAAAAAAGGAGGAAAAACTTCAAATAAACAGCAAAATAATGCATCATATAGAACTAGAAAAGCAAGAGCAAACCAAACCCAAAATTAGTAGAAGAAATAATAAAGATCAGAGCAAAAATAAATAAAATTGAAATGAAGAAAACAATACAAAAGATCAATGAAACAAAAAGTTGTTTTTTTGAAAAGATAAACAAAATTGACAAAACTTTTTAGCCAAACTCTGCAAGAAAAAAGAGAGAAGTCTCAAATAAATAAAATCAGAGTTGAAAAGGAGGACATCACAACTGATACTGAAGAAATTCAAAGGTTAATTAGGTGCTACTATGAGCAACTATATGCCAATCACCTGGAAAATCTAAAAGAAACAGATAAATCCTTAGAAACAGACAACCTACCAAGACTGATCCATGAAGAAAGTCCAAAACCTGAGCAGATCTATAACAAGTAATGAGATCAAAGCTGTAACAAAATTTCTTCCAGTAAAGAAAAGCAAGAGGAAGCAGCCAAGATGGCCGAATAGGAACAGCTCCGGTCTACAGCTCCCAACATGAGCGACGCAGAAGATGGGTGATTTCTGCATTTCCGTCTGAGGTACCGGGTTCATCTCACTAGGGAGTGCCAGACAGTGGGCACAGGACAGTGGGTGCAGCACACCCTGTGTGAGCCGAAGCAGGGTGAGGCATTGCCTCACTTGGGAAGCGCAAGGGGTCAGGGAGTTCCCTTTCCTAGTCAAAGAAAGGGGTGATGGACGGCACCTGGAAAATCGGGTCACTCCCACCCTAATACTGCACTTTTCCAACAGGCTTAAAAAACGGCACACCAGGAGATTATATCCCGCACCTGGCTCGGAGGGTCCTATGACCAAGGAGTCTCGCTGATTGCTAGCACAGCAGTCTGAGATCAAACTGCAAGGCAGCAGTGAGGCTGGGGGAGGGGTGCCCGCCATTGCCCAAGCTTGCTTAGGTAAACAAAGCAGCCTGGAAGCGTGAACTGGGTGGAGCCCACCACAGCTCAAGAAGGCCTGCCTGCCTCTGTAGGCTCCACCTCTGGGGGCAGGGCAGAGACAAACAAAAAGACAGCAGTAACCTCTGCAGACTTAAATGTCCCTGTCTGACAGCTTTGAAGAGAGCAGTGGTTCTCCCAGCATGCAGCTGGAGATCTGAGAACGGGCAGACTGCCTCCTCAAGTGGGTCCCTGACCCCTGACTCCTGAGCAGCCTAACTGGGAGGCACCCCCCAGTAGGGGCAGACTGACACCTCACACGGCCGGGTACTCCTCTGAGACAAAACTTCCAGAGGAACAATCAGACAGCAGCATTCGCAGTTCATGAAAATCCACTGTTCTGCAGCCACGGCTGCTGTTACCCAGGCAAACAGGGTCTGGAGTGGACCTCTAGCAAGCTCCAACAGACCTGCAGCTGAGGGTCCTGTCTGTTAGAAGGAAAACTAACAAACAGAAAGGACGTCCACACCAAAAACCCATCTGTATGTCACTATCATCAAAGACCAAAAGTAGATAAAACCACAAAGATGGGGAAAAAACAGAGCAGAAAAACTGGAAACTCTAAAAAGCAGAGCGCCTCTCCTCCTCCAAAGGAACACAGTTCCTCACCAGCAACGGAACAAAGCTGGATGGAGAATGACTTTGATGAGTTGAGAGAAGAAGGCTTCAGATGATCAAACTACTACGAGCTACAGAAGGAAATTCAAAGCAAAGGCAAAGAAGTTGAAAACTTTGAAAAAAATTTAGAAGAATGTATAACTAGAATAACCAATACAGAGAAGTGCTTAAAGGAGCTGATGGAGCTGAAAGCCAAGGCTCCAGAACTACGTGAAGAATGCAGAAGCCTCAGGAGCCGATGCGATCAACTGGAAGAAAGGGTATCAGTGATGGAAGATGAAATGAATGAAATGAAGTGAGAAGAGAAGTTTACAGAAAAAAGAATAAAAAGAAATGAACAAAGCCTCCAAGAAATATGGGACTATGTGAAAAGACCAAATCTACGTCTGATTGGTGTACCTGAAAGTGACGGGGAGAATGGAACCAAGTTGGAAAACACTCTGCAGGATATTATCCAGGAGAACTTCCCCAATCTAGCAAGGCAGGCCAACATTCAGATTCAGGGAATACAGAGAACGCCATAAAGATACTCCTCGAGAAGAGCAACTCCAAGACACATAACTGTCAGATTCATCAAAGTTGAAATGAAGGAAAAAATGTTAAGGGCAGCCAGAGAGAAAGGTCGGGTTACCCACAAAGGGAAGCCCATCAGACTAACAGCAGATCTCTTGGCAGAAACTCTACAAGCCAGAAGAGAGTGGGGGCCAATATTCAACATTCTTAAAGAAAAGAATTTTCAACCCAGAATTTCATATCCAGCCAAACTAAGCTTCATAATTGAAGGAGAAATAAGATACTTTACAGACAAGCAAATGCTGAGAGATTTTGTCACCACCAGGCCAGCCCTAAAAGAGCTCCTGAAGGAAGCACTAAACATGCAAAGGAACAACTGGTACCAGCCACTGAAAAATCACGCCAAATTGTAAAGACCATCAAGGCTAGGAAGAAACTACATCAACTAACGAGCAAAATAACCAGCTAACATCAAAATGACAGGATCAGATTCACACATAACAATATTAACTTTAAATGTAAATGGACTAAATGCTCCAATTAAAAGACACAAGACTGGCAAATTGGATAAAGAGTCAAGACCCATCAGTGTGCTGTATTCAGGAAACCCATGTCATGTGCAGAGACACACATAGGCTCAAAATAAAAGGATGGAGGAAGATCTACCAAGCAAATGGAAAACAAAAAAAGGCAGGGGTTGCAATCCTAGTCTCTGATAAAACAGACTTTAAACCAACAAAGATCAAAAGAGACAAAGAAGGCCATTACATAATGGTAAAGGGATCAATTCAACAAGAAGAGCTAACTATCCTAAATATATATGCACCCAATACAGGAACACCCAGTTTCATAAAGCAAGTCCTGAGTGACCTACAAAGAGACTTAGACTCCTACACATTAATAATGGGAGACTTTATCACCCCACTGTCAACATTAGACAGATCAACGAGACAGAAAGTTAACAAGGATACCCAGGAATTGAACTCAGCTCTGCACCAAGCAGACCTAATAGACATCTACAGAACTCTCCACCCCAATTCAACAGAATATACATTTTTTTCAGCACCACACCACACCTATTCCAAAATTGACCACATAGTTGGAAGTAAAGCTCTCCTCAGCAAATGTAAAAGAATAGAAATTATAACAAACTGTCTCTCAGACCACAGTGCAATCAAAATAGAACTCAGGATTAAGAAACTCACTCAAAACCTCTCAACTACATGGAAACTGAACAAACTGCTCCTGAATGACTACTGGGTACATAACGAAATGAAGGCAGAAATAAAGATGTTCTTTGAAACCAACGAGAACAAAGACACAACATACCAGAATCTCTGGGACACATTCAAAGCAGTGTGTAGAGAGAAATTTATAGCACTAAATGCCCACAAGAGAAAGCAGGAAAGATCCAAAATTGACACCCTAACGTCACAATTAAAAGAACTAGAGAAGCAAGAGCAAACACATTCAAAAGCTAGCAGAAGGCAAGAAATAACTAAAATCAGAGCAGAACTGAAGGAAATAGAGACATAAAAAACCCTTCAAAAAATTGTTGAATCCAGGAGCTGGTTTTTTGAAAAGATCAATAAAATTGATAGACCACTAGCAAGACTAATAAAGAAGAAAAGAGAGAAGAATCAAATAGACACAATAAAAAATGATAAAGGGGATGTCACCACCGATCCCACAGAAATACAAACTACCATCAGAGAATACTACAAACACCTCTACACAAATAAACTAGAAAATCTAGAAGAAATGTATAAATTCCTCGACACATACACCCTCCCAAGACTAAACCAAGAAGAAGTTGAATCTCTGAACAGACCAATAACAGGCTCTGAAATTGAGGCAATAATCAATAGCTTAGCAACCAAAAAGAGTCCAGGACCAGATGGATTCACAGCCGAATTCTACCAGAGGTACAAGGAGGAATTGGTACCATTCCTTCTGAAACTATTCCAATCAATAGAAAAAGAGGGAATCCTCCCTAACTCATTTTATGAGGCCAGCATCATCCTGATACCAAAGGCTGGCAGAGACACAACAAAAAAAGAGAATGTTAGACCAATATCCTTGATGAACATTGATGCAAAAATCCTCAATAAAATACTCGCAAACTGAATCCAGCAGCACATCAAAAAGCTTATCCACCATGATCAAGTGGGCTTCATCCCTGGGATGCAAGGCTGGTTCAATATACGCAAATCAATAAATGTAATCCAGCATATAAACAGAACCAAAGACAAAAACCTCATGATTATCTCAAAAGACGCAGAAAAGGCCTTTGACAAAATTCAACAACCCTTCATGCTAAAAACTCTCAATAAATTAGGTATTGATGGGATGTATCTCAAAATAATAAGAGCTATCTATGACAAACCCACAGCCAATATCATACTGAATGGGCAAAAACTGGAAGCATTCCCTTTGAAAACTGGCACAAGACAGGGATGCCTTCTCTCACCACTCCTATTCAACATAGTGTTGGAAGTTCTGGCCAGGGCAATTAGGCAGGAGAAGGAAATAAAGAGTATTCAATTAGGAAAAGATGAAATTAAATTGTCCCTGTTTGCAGATGACATGATTGTATATCTAGAAAACCCCATTGTCTCAGCCCAAAATCTCCTTAAGCTGATAAGCAACTTCAGCAAAGTCTCAGGATACAAAATCAATGTACAAAAATCACAAGCATTCTTATACACCAATAACAGACAAACAGAGAGCCAAATCATGAGTGAACTCCCATTCACAATTGCTTCAAAGATAATAAAATACCTAGGAATCCAACTTACAAGGGACGTGAAGGACCTCTTCAAGGAGAACTACAAACCACTGCTCAATGAAATAAAAGAGCGTACAAACAAATGGAAGAACATTCCATGCTCATGGGTAGGAAGAATCAATATAGTGAAAATGGCCATACTGCCCAAGGTAATTTAGAGATTCAATGCCATCCCCATCAAGCTAACAATGACTTTCTTCAGAGAATTGGGAAAAACTACTTTAAAGTTCATATGGAACCAAAAAAGAGCCCACATCGCCAAGTCAATCCTAAGCCAAAAGAACAAAGCTGGAGGCATCACGCTACCTGACTTCAAACTATACTACAAGGCTACAGTAACCAAAACAGCATGGTACTGGTACCAAAACAGAGATATAGACCAATGGAACAGAACAGAGACCTCAGATATAACGCCACATATCTACAAATATCTGATCTTTGACAAACCTGAGAAAAATAAGCAATGGGGAAAGGATTCCCTATTTAATAAATGGTGCTGGGGAAACTGGCTGGCCATATGTAGAAAGCTGAAACTGGATCCCTTCCTTACACCTTATACAAAAATTAATTCAAGATGGATTAAAGACTTAAACGTTAGAACTAAAACCATCAAAACCCTAGAAGAAAACCTAGGCATTACCATTCAGGACATAGGCATGGGCAAGGACTTCATGTCTAAAACACCAAAAGCAATGGCAACAAAAGCCAAAATTGACAAATGGGATCTAATTAAACTAAAGAGCTTCTGCACAGCAAAAGAAACTATCATCAGAGTGAACAGGCAACCCACAAAATGGGAGAAAATTTTCGTAACCTACTCATCTGATAAAGGGCTAATATCCAGAATCTACAATGAACTCAAACAAATTTACAAGAAAAAAACAAACAACCCCATCAAAAGGTGGGCGGAGGACATGAGTAGACACTTCTCAAAAGAAGACATTTATGCAGCCAAAAAACACATGAAAAAATGCTCATCATCACTGGCCATCAGAGAAATGCAAATCAAAACCACAATGAGATACCATCTCACACCAGTTAGAATGGTGATCATTGAAAAGTCAGGAAACAACAGGTGCTGGAGAGGATGTGGAGAAATAGGAACACTTTTACACTGTTGGTGGGACTGTAAACTAGTTCAACCATTGTGGAAGTCAGTGTGGCGATTCCTCAGGGATCTAGAACTAGAAATACCATTTGACCCAGCCATCCCATTACTGGGTATATACCCAAAGGACTATAAATCATGCTGCTATAAAGACATATGCACATGTATGTTTATTGCGGCACTATTCACAATAGCAAAGAATTGGAACCAACCCAAATGTCCGACAATGATAGACTGGATTAAGAAAATGTGGAACATATACACCATGGAATACTATGCAGCCATAAAAAATGATGAGTACATGTCCTTTGTAGGGACATGGATGAAATTGGAAATCATCATTCTCAGTAAACTATCGCAAGAACAAAAAACCAAACACCGCATGTTCTCACTCATAGGTGGGAATTGAACAATGAGAACACATGGACACAGGAAGGGGAACATCACACTCTGGGGACTGTTGTGGGGTCGGGGAAGCGGGGAGGGATAGCATTAGGAGATATACTTAATGGTAAATGACGAGTTAATGGGTGCAGCACACCAGAATGGCACATGTATACATATGTAACTAACCTGCACATTGTGCACATGTACCCTGAAACTTAAAGTATAATAATAATAAAATAAAATAATAAAAAAAAAGAAAAGCAAGAAACCCAGTGGCTTCACTGCTGAATTCTACCAAACATTTTAAGAAGAACTTATACCAATGCTACTCACACTGTTCCAAAAAATGAGGAGGAGTGAGTACTTTCAAACTCATTCTGTGAGGCCAGTATTACCCTGATATCAAAACCAGACAATGACATATCAAAAAAAGAAAACCACAGGCCAATATCACTGATAAGTATTGATGCAAAAATCCTTGACAAAATACTAGCAAACCGAATTCAAGAAAACACTTAAAAGACCATTCATCATGATCAAGTGGAATTTATTGCAGGGATTCAAGGATGGTTCAACATGTGCAAATCAATTAATGCAATACATCATATCAATAGAATAAAAGACAAAATCCATATGATCATTTTAGTTGATGCTGAAAAAGCATTTGATAAAATTCAACATCCCTTTATGATGAAAACCCTCAAAACACTGGGTGTAGAAGAAACATACCTCAACATAATAAAAGGCATATACACAGTCTCATAGCTAGTATCATATTAAATGGGAAAAACTGAAATCCTTTCCTCTAATATTGGGAACATGACAAGGATGCCCACTTTCACCACTGTTATTTAACATAGTAGTGGAATTCCTAGCTAGAGCAATAAGACAAGAGAAATAAATAAAGGGCATCCAGTTTGAAAAAGGAGAAGTCAAATTATCCCTGTTTTCAGATGATATGATCTTATACTTGGAAAAAGCTAAACATTCCATAAAAAAACTATTGGAACTGATCAAATTCAGTAAAGTTGGAGGATGCAAAATCAACATATGAAGCCACCTGCATCCCTTGGTTCATGGCCTCTCTTCACTCCAAAGCTTCTGCTTCCTTAATCACAGTTTCTTCTCTGACTCTGAACCTCCTGCCTTCCTCTTAGAAGGACCCTTGTGATTGTGTTGGGCTCACCAGAATAATCCAGGATAATCTCTTCATCTTAAGATCTTCAACTAAGTCACATCTTTAAAGACCCTTTTGCCATGTAAGGTAACAGATCCACAGGTTTGGGGGATTAGGAAACATACTGAGTGTCCCCAAATTTTCCCATCCCATTTAATATATGAGAGATACTGGGGTATGCCAGTTAGAATACTTTAGTAGAGAGGATAATATAATGATGCCAGCATAAGAAAATATGATCACAAAATCTTTAAGAAATGAGAGGAAAGAGGATTCAGAGATACTTCTTCCATTCCAGTGATACTTCATTTTAGGTGCTTGATAAATGTTTACAGATACCATAAATTCATGATACTTTGAAACTCAAGCATTTGCTTAGAAGATATCAAAAAGCAGAACTTGATATGCTACATTCACAGCATTCATTGCAATATTAGACAAAATAAAAGTTATCTAATAATTTAAAAATTAAAAATAGCACTTCAAAATCTTATTTAAGGAAGAAATAAGATATCAGAATATTTGAACAGTAAAAATATAAGTAAAACATATGAAAATTCATAAGGTATTGCCAAAGTAATATCTAAAAACAAATGTACTTTTCTGAATATATGTACTAACTGACACCACCCTAAGATTTGGGAAAGAAACAATTAGGCCAAATAAAGTTGGAAAAAAGAAATGATACAACAAAGAGCAAAAACAAGCTTGCTTGGGAAAGGGGAGACAAAAATAAGTAAAAATTGATCACCAGAAACACTAATTAACTGGTAGGAAAAGGTCAAAGCAGATGGCCTTCAATTCATTCACTCTCTTCATGGGGTGGGGGTACTATGTTCTCATAAGCCACTCCCTGGCAGAAGGCAGGTGACCTCCTCCTTGTCAACTGTACCACTGGGTAAATATACTACAGAAATTTATTAGGAAGAGGATAGCTTATTTCTGAATTGCCTTTAACAGGAAGTCTCTGGCTACAGATTACCTATAGTAAATAGAATCCAGGATCTATGGGGCATGATCCCTTGGAGAATGCCTCGTGGGCTATTCAATTCCCTTGGACTATCTCCCACTGTGGGAGATACTCCCATAACCTCAAATGCAAACCAGCCTATCCTGAGCCAGAGGAACATAGCCAACATGGAAAATACTTCTCACTGCATCTGAACCGACTGAGTGCCTGTTCCTTAACTTCATTTGGGTAATATAAGGTAAGATCTCTGATTCATGTGGGGCTGACTTTCCAATCCAATCCTGTGCATTGGTATTCTCACTATACCATTGATTCAAACTGAAGAACCAAGTAGCATTGATAACTTGTTACTATATATATATAGATAGATAGATAGATAGATAACTTGTTACTATACATATATAAATATATATAACTATATGTACTATATTTTTATTATATAGTATATTTCATATATATAACTATATATACTTTTATTATATAGTATATTTCATATATATAACTATATATACTTCATATATATACTTCATATATAGTTATATATGTGGTTATATATAGTTTTATATATAACTATATATATTCCATGGTCATAAATTCATTGCAAAGCTTTGTAAAAATTTTTTTAAATAATACATATATATACATATATAAAACTATCTAAAATTATTTAAAATGAAAAAGTACCCCACATTTCTCCATGAGGCAAAAACTGTTTTGATTGCAAAACCTAAAAGAGAAATACCAACAGTTTTACTAGGCCAACCTCAATTATAAATGATAATCATAATCATTTATAAGTTATATATATTTTATAATACTTGAATATTCAAGTATTCTAAAATGTATTCAAGTATTATAAAAACTGCCAATGATTTACCCTGGGATTTCAAATTGATGTAGCACAAAGAAAGTAATCAACATGACTCATCATATTAACAAGGGGAGAAAAAGCTAAGATATTCTAAGCTTCTCAGTAAACACCAAGAGCACATTTGACAAAAATCCAGTATCTGTTCCAAGTTTTAAATCTAAAACTAGAGTCATTGAGAATTCCTTAACTCACCTTCACAGAGTATATCTATTTCAAGTTGCATGTTAATATATTTAATACAGATTCATTGAAGTAATTCTCTAAAAAAAAAAAAAAGACAACAAATTCTCCCTTTTAGTACTTCTACTTAATATGTTAATAATCCTGGCAATTTGTATGTTAATATCATTGGAAATATTATTCAAGCAAAAAGAAAAATAGGCACACAGACATAAAAATGAAAATATAAATGAGTCATATTTGCAGATGGCATGAATATGTATCTGGAAAGCCAGAAGCAAAAAAATAATAATAATAAAATTATCACTGAAGACAATAATCCACTGAGGTCCAAACTGTAAGATGAATCCACCAAACTTAATTGCATCTCTTTATAAAATGATACCTGACTAGATTAATTGAGAAGAAGAATTAATTTCACTGATAATATAGGTCAACATATTTAAATGCTAGAATACTCATTTAATTTAGGTCATTAGGGTTTGAATTTTTTTAATAGCATAACAGACAAGACATGAATAGTTGTAGCAATATATTATATTTCTGATTGGGTATATTAAACAGTAGATGTCAGTATCTATGGTTGTTATAAATAACACATTAATGGTAAAAAACAGATAGCATTTATTACTTAGTATGAGGCAGTTATTATGGAAAGCACTCTAGTTGCCTTTTCTGCTTAATCACCAATCTTATGAGATAAATTCTATTCTAATCCTCACTCTACAGACAAGGAAATTGAGGATAAAAGAGGTTAAGTTGTTTGCGTATGATCAGTAAGTAGTAAGTGACAGAGGCTGGACTTAAATGACTACGACCTGGCTACTTAATAAAAATCAAAAAATTGGTAGGTGGAGCTTAATAAAAAGACTAGGCAAAAAGTTGTAGCACATCTTTTTCTCTAAAAAGGTAACAATGGTGAACACATTGTACCAGATTTATAAATGCCTTAAGGTGATACATATTTGTATTTTTTGAGCCTGGCTACAAATGGTATGTTGGATTAAAAATGAAAATACAGATGCAATTTGTTAAAACATAATCAAACTGTGGGTTTCTGCCAAGTATCTAAACTATTCTGGGCACTGAGCTCAATTCAGGTCCATATTGCCCAAGTTTTGTAACTGGCAGATCCCCTGGCCTCATAGATGTGACCACAGTGGAGGGCACAAATGGGGAGAGAGGGCACAACCACTCCCAGGTGTTGGTTGCTCTCTGTATCAGGACTCTGGACCCTCATCATGTGCTGGGATGGCACTGGTAGGAAGCCACAATAATCCATTTCCAAGCTGGAGCACTCTACCAAATATTCACCACCCTCCTGAATCAGTATGTTTCATTAAAATTATACTGTTCTTATTTTCTTCTGTTTTTTAGGCTTTATTTGATGGGTCTAAAAAGCTGCAGACAAAAAATAATGATACAAAAAAAGAAAACAAAAGATAGTAATAAAATTAAATAAATAAATAAAAAGTAGCGTATTCTCAGGTGCTGTATTATCCTGACTTGTGCTGATTTGCCCTAATTTTATAATGAAATTTTCTATGCTTACAGGACTCATTTCTACTTTCTTTAAATCTCTTGACTTTTAAAAATTATATTTGTTCCATAATTCTTAATAAAATATTTTTTATATGGTAATTTTTTCTTATCCAAATTTTTCTTCACAATTGTTCATCCCTCTGTTGTAGTGCTTTTACATCTTAACTTTCTAATATTAGCTTGCTTTTTATTTTTAACTTTTCTAAAAATTCAAGTTATTTATAATTATTTTATTATTGTGAAGCTTTTTTTTTTTTTTTTTTTTTACAACTTTTGGTTGTAACGTGTACTCACAACCATTTTCAATATCATGGGTTTCTAACAATGCTTGACTTTTTTCTTTTATTATTTTAATATAAATACTTTTCCACTTATTCATGAATTATTTTTTCCCCTCATGAGGTGTTTTTGTAATGCTGATGAAAGTAATAGGTGAGACAGTAAAAACAGAAAGAGTGCACTGCAAGCAGGAAAAGCCACAGCCTCTTTCCCCACTACCCCTCTCCTTCCTTGCCTCAACAAGCTGCTTCCAGTTTTCACCCTCTGTTTGCTTCTCTAGGAGGGTCCAACTATGTGGAAGCTGTCACCTTTGATGGAATTTATCTGATACCATATAACATAGGTAAGACACTTAATGTTCTGGTTAGCTACTGCAAAGTAACAAATTATTCTTACATCTTAGATGCTTCAAAAAAATAATCAACTTACAATATTTCATGATCCTCTACATGAGGACTTTGACCGGGGCCCAGTGGGTCATTCTTACAATTCTGAGGCCTTCTTAGTGAGGACTGGCAGCCAAAACACCTCCACATAGCTTCTCTAGCATGGAAGTCTCAGGGTCTTCGTAAGTCTTCCACCATGACTCAGAAATCTCAGAGAGTGATCTCAGAGATGGGAAATGAAAGCTGCTATTTTCCTAAGGCCTTGGCTAAGAAACTGTGACCTGGTTATTTCTGCCATATTCTATTGATCAAAGCAGTCACAGACCCCTCTCAGATTCAAGTGGAGGGAAAAAAAGATTTGCAGACCTCCTATTGCTGGATATGTATTTAAATAAGGGGCCCAGCTACTACACTTCAAAGTCCACATCTCCCAACCAGTGATTGAGAATTGTGCAGATTATAAGGCAGACCTATTTCTGGAAGACACAGGACTCCTTTGCCAGTCACCTTTGGCCCAAGGACTCCCCAACAGCTTTGCTGAACCTTCCTTAGATACACAACAATCTGCGGTGCCCCCACGCTTCCTTCCGTCTCTCCTGCACTGAGTTGGACTCGCCCTGCTGTCTGCTGACTCCCCAGACTTCCCTGACTTCTTTTCTATTTCCATTCACATAGGCATGGCCTCTAATAAAATCCTTGCTTATTTAATGCTATTTTGCTGTCTAATTCTTAAATTAGAATATTATACTCTACTAATATAAATTAGTATATTATACTCTACTAATATAGACTAGCATATTATACTATACTAATATAAATTAGTATATTATACTCATACTAATATAAAATTTCACCTTTCAGTGGAAGGAGAGTCAAAGAATTTGTGGCTATTTTAAGTCACACATCATTTCTTTTTCCATGCCCCACCCCTGGAACCTTCTCAAGGTGTTTGACTTCAACCAGAGTTGAAGATCCCCCATCTGCAATACTGCTGCACCCCCACCTCAAGCCCCAGCTGATTGAACCCCAGGTGGATTCCTGATTCAGGCAATCCACAGGCTGGGCTGAAGCAATCATGATGTCTCTCTAAGGAATATTAATTAAAAGCCACAGAGACCCCAGTCAGTTTTAAGGAGGTGTGCCGCCAGAAACCAGGGTCAGCACCATACCAAACCAAAGTTATGGAGGAGTAAAAACCAAAAGTCTTGCAGAAGCAGCAGATTTGGAGACAAAAAAAGCAGAACCCACATGCAGAAAGAAAAGAGAGGCACCACGTGACCCTTGAGACAAAGTGACAGACATTCCAGTGCTGCCAGACAGATTTCCAGTATCTGTGAGGTCCTGCTGTGCACCAGAGAAGAGAGTTCTGGGAAAACCCCTGCTATGGGTTGAACTGTATTCCCCAAACATTCATATGTTGGAGCCTTAACCTCCAGGACCTTAGAATGGGACCTTACTTGGAAATAGAGTCATTGCAGATGTAATTAGTTAAGCTGAGTTCCTACTGGAGTAGGGTGGGCCCCTAATCCAATATATTGTTGTCCTTATAAAAAGGGGAAGTCTGGAGAATAGTTATCCTTCCAAGATAAACTATTTGCCAAATATGTAACAGAGTAACCAGCCATTTCCATATGGGATTTCTAGTCATTTCCCAGTTAAAAATTAAGGAATAGGTACACGCAGTAAGAGCACTCAGTGAAGATGAGGGCAGAGATCAAGATGCCACATCTACAAACCAAGGAACACCAAAGATTGCCAGAAACTATCAGAAGCTAGGGGAAAGGCATGGAACAGTTACTTCTTCACAGCCGTCAGAAGGAACCAACCCTGTTGACACCCGGACCTCAGACGTGAAGCCTCCAGAACCGTGAGATACAAAATTCCTGTTGTTTAAGCCACTCAGTTTGTGGTACTTTGTTATGGCAGCTCTGGAAAATGAATATGACCCCTATAACTGCATTTCCATGTGAGCTCATTTAAGTGGGTGTCTGTTCCTTGAAGAAGAAAAATGATATGAATCAAAACATCCCACCTAAACTGCCTTTGCTCTGAGCAGAGGGAACACCCTCTGGCAGAGCCAGGGTTCTTCTCAGAAAATTATTCCCAGTCTCCTCCAGGACTAAGATAAATGAATGAGCAAAGTTTAAAAGTTCTCTTCTAAAGAACATGGTCAAAATAGTTTTAGCCTGTAAAATTTGAAGGCAGATAAAACCAGAATTCAGCCTTGGCAGAATAAACTCTCAATAAAGTAACCTCAGATCCTTAGCTCCGAACACCACTTTTTTTTTTCCTGTATTCCTTCCAAGATAAACTATTAGCCAGATATGTAACAGAGTAACCAGTCATTTTTATATGGGATTGTTATTCATTGCCCAGTTGAAAATTAAAGAATCAGTACAAAAAAAAAAAAAACAAAACACTTTTGTTCTAGGAAAGAGAATCAGATATCCTTTTTTAGCAATAATTAACTAGCAAGGTCGTGCTGTCACCACGGTTTTTAAAATACCCTTTTGTCTTTCATGGCAAGTGTATGCATCTAGACCATCTGAAAGTGGCTCTAGAACATGAAAATATAAATGTAAAACAAGAAAGGGGCAGGAAAAGAATGAGGAGCAGGCAAAACATAACCACGTGTTGGCTATTTCTAACTCCCTGGTCCAGGAGTACTCATTAATCACTCTAATCCCACAGAAGTATAATGATTCTGAATATCTACATATGCCACAAATTATCTAATACTGTTCCTGATTTACTAGGTGTGGAGTGGCCATATATAAAACCTGACTGTTACTCACATAAAATATTGGCCTGAAACTCTCAGACTTCGAAGCAAGTAGCAGATTTGGATGGAATACACCACAAATTAATAAAGCCATAATCTAGAGAAGGTAATAAATTGACTTTTTAAATATGAGATACTCTAAACTCTGGCTTCAGTGGGGAAGAGTTTTTTTTTTTTACTTCAAGTTATGCTGATTTAATTACAAAATAAGCTTTTCCAAGGCACTGGCCTTTGTAATGAAGGTAAATATTACATGTTTGCTAAAAAACAGGGTTTTATAAAACTCCTCACCTCATATAAACAATTGTAAGTCTTTTGTTTTTTCCAGAAAAAAAAAAACTTTCACTAAGTATTAGTCACTCATATATCTATAAATCTCAGAGGAATTTCCCCAAGCACTCTGGCTTCCCAAGTAGGAGATTGTTTCTCCTAGTTCAAGTCTCATTTCACTGTTAGGCTGGCTGTTATTTCATGGTGACTTGCCATGTTAATAGTATGTCTTCTAATCCACGAATGTGATATAGCTCTCCAACTTATTTGAGTCCTCTTCAGTTTTACTCAACAGTGTTTTGTAGTTTTCTGTGTATAGGTTTTGGAAATCCATAATTAAATTTATCCTTGGGTATTCTATGGTTCTTTGTTATTATGAATTGTATTTTTTATCTCATTTCCCAATTGTTTTGCTGGTATACAGAAATATAATTTATTTACCTATATGGACCTGGAAAATTACAGCTTTGTTAATTAAATTCAACTAGTTATATTAGTTGTTTTGCAGATTCCTTAGGATTTCTACATTTTAAAAATAAAGTCATCTAAGAATAAATAATTTTTATTCTTTCCAACTTTGAATGCTTAATTTCCTTTTTGTATTGTATTGCCCTGGTTAAGCCTTTCAGTACAATGTGGAATAGAAGTAGTTAGCACCGAGATCCTTTCCTTGTTCTTCATCTTAGATGAACAGCATTCAGTCTTTTGCAATTCAATAGGATGTTAGCGCGTAGGATTTCTACGAGTAGCCCACTGATCTTTTTAGAATAATGAGATCCGGTCACTCCTTTGCCCAGTTCTCCAGTGGTTTCCCAAATCATTTAAAATAATTTCATAAATCCTTAAAGTGACCTACATAATCTGGTTTTCTATAATCTCTCTGAATTCAGATTCTCCCCTCCTCCCCATCGCCAGTCACCACATTGGGTGTTTTGCATGGGGCACTACACACAGGCCCCATCTCAGTACTTTGGCCCTTCTTGTTCCCGCTCCCTGAAGTGCTTCTTTTACCCTAGACAGCCACAGAGGTCACTCTTTCTTGTCTCTGCTATTTTTTCTTTTTTTTTTTTTTTGAGGCGGAGTCTCACTCTGTCGTCCAGGCTGGAGTGCAGTAGTGCAATCTTGGCTCACTGCAAGCTCCGCCTCCCGGGTTCACGCCATTCTCCTGCCTCAGCCTCCGGAGTTGCTGGGACTACAGGCGCCCGCCACTAAGCCCGGCTAATTTTTTTTTTTGTATTTTTAGTAGAGACGGGGTTTCACCATGTTAGCCAGGATGGTCTCGATCTCCTGACCTCGTGAGCCGCCTGCCTCGGCCTCCCAAAGTGCTGGGATTATAGGCGTGAGCCACCACGCCCAGCCTCTCCGCTGTTTCTAAGATACAGAAATTTCACCATATTAGCTTTCTTGACCACTTTATATAAAATAGGAACCCCTTCCCTAGCTTGCCTAAGTATTTCTATCTCCCTTATACTGTTTATTTTTCTTCAAAGAACTTATTGCCATCTGACATATTATATACTTCTTTCTATATTTATTTACATGTCCTTTCCCACTATCATGTAAGATCATTGAGTGTGGGGAATTTTTCTATGAGAAAATGGGGCATATAGTTAGTGTTTTAGAAGTATTGAATGGAAAAAAAAAAAAATATATATATATATATATATATATATAAAATTTATGTTTGGGTATAAATGACACTCTCCCTGCTAGTTGCTATACTGATAGGGATAATGGGAAGCAAAATCATTACTGTCATCATCCACATAATCCAGAAATACTACAATCTTAAGTAATTTAAATCATACTATAATCTTCTTAGTATTATAGTATGAGTATTGGGTTTTGGCAATTAAAGTAGGGAATGAGGCCAGATTCTGGGATATAACTACCAATGGCATGATTGTCATAACTGAGTCCATGGAAGACATCTCATTTAACATCATTTTAAAATTTCCTTTCAGTAGGGACAGGGTCTCACTATGTTGCCCAGGCTGGTCTTGAACTCCTGAGCTCAAGCAGTCCTCCTGCCTCAGCCTTCCAAAGTTCTGGAATTACAGGTATAAGCCACCACACCAAGCCCCTATTGCCATCTTGGAGACCCATTTTTCTCCATAATTCAAGAAATACTGCTGTGAACTTCATCAACCCCACATCTCTTTCTAATTGACCATTGACTATGATTTTTTAATTTTAATTGGACACAAGGTCTTCCTCTGTTGCCCAGGCTGCAGTGCAGTGGTGAGATCATAGCTCACTGCAGCCTTGAATTTCTAGGCTCAAGTGATCCTTCTGCCTCTGCCTCCTGAATGGCTGGGACTACAGGTGCGCAACACGACACCTGGCTATTTTTTTTAAATTTTTTGTAGAGATGGGGTCTCACTATGTTGCCCAGGCTGGTCTCGAACACTAGGCCTCAAGGTATACTCCTGCCTTGGCCTCTCAAAGTGCTGAGATTATAGGCATAAGCCATCTTGCCTGGCCGACAATGGTTTCTTAAAGCACTGTTGATTGTAAAACTTATATTAAATAAAGACTCTCGCTCCGCAGAACTGTGTATGGCCCACTCTGGCAAATACTTGACAATTGTTTACCCTTATGAATTCTTGAATTCAGGCCCCAACTAGACCCATCTGGAGTATCTGTTATCTTATTTTTTATAAGGTGATCTGTTTTCCAATATTATAATGCTCCTAGTTCATCAGTTCATTGGAGGTGACTTCTAAGTTCTGTTACTGATCTGTAGGGAATGTTATGAAGACTCTCAAAATCTTAAAAATAGATGAACTAATGTTACTCCTGAAGGAATAGTTGCAAAAGGGATCTGTCAGCAATGGAAGCAGAGAAAAAGGAAGGTTACAAGAGTTAACATTACACCCCTACAAAAGAAATCCCCAGCTTAGTGACTGGATCGGCTTTGTTCCATAGTTGTGTATAACCCATTTATTGTGGAAATTAATGCATGAAACAATCTTAGACTGATATAACAAAATATTGAATGCACGTTATTAAAACTTTCTGATTATAATGGTGTGCAGGACAGAATAAACTACCCAGAGAATGAAAGTGGTCTTGTCAACTGTTTCTCTCTTCCTTTCATATTTTTATTATACATTTACAGGATTTTACTGTCATGCCATATCAGGGGAGTCAAGTCTAGACAAAGATAACCTATATTCCCAAATGAACATTCTGAACAAGATTTATATAAGATATAGAAAAGCTCTTATTTTATTGCAATACGGCCAGCTTTATAGTAGGTCTTAGGAGCTGATAAAAAATGTGACTTTGGGTCAGGAGCAGCGGCTCACTCCTGTAATTTCAGCACTTTGGGAGGTTGAGGCAGGTGGATCACGTGAGCCCAGGAGTTCAAGATCAGCCTGGGCAACATAGTGAGACTCCGTCACTACAAAAAATACAAAAATTAGCTGGGCATGGTGATGCACATCTGTAATCCCAGCTACTCAGGAAGTTAAGGCAGGAGAATTGCTTGAACCCGGGAGGTGGAGGCTGCGGTGAGCCAATATTTCACCACTGTCCTCCAGCCTGGGTGCCAGAGCGAGACTCTGTCTCAAAGAAAAAAAAAAAAAAGTGACTTCATGTCATGTGTAGTTCATATAAATAAGTTCAATTTATAAGCTCTTTTCCCTGGAAAGTGGTGATCCACTTAAGAATCCATGGTCACAATTTTGGTACTGGCTACTGAGTGGCTAAAGTCTCAGAGAAGAAGGCCCTTTTTAAAGCAAGACTTAGCAATCAGTGCACATGCACGTGTTGAAAGTACTTGACATAGTCTTTATTTAAAACGTTTTATTTAAAACAACCATTTACTAATTGCTCTTGATTGTCAGCCTCTGCAGCTGGATTACTTTTCCCAATCTGCATGGTATATCATCTCACAAGAAAGGACTGTGATTTTGTTTCATCTGCTGATGACATCAATAAAATGCATAGTAAATCACCACTACTATGTTGTTTCAAGAAAGTATAGTGTGTTCACTAGAAACCATATCATGCCCTGTATTATTTTTTATTTTCTTGACTAATTAAATTAGGAAATATCCATGTTTTATTGACTGTAGAATTTAATATATAATATAATAATCATGATGAGTAGCCCCAAACTGAAAACAACACTGAGACATGCCACCCTCATTCCACAGTGATTTTTAAAAATATTTTCTACTTAGATGTATGTAAATAATAGGTACCAGCATGATACTGAGACCATCCTGAGAGAACAGACCCACACATTCCTTCAGGAGAAAATGTATCTGAGAAAACTGAAACATCTCCTAATCATAAAACAGTTCTTAACTAGCTCTAGGCTCTAATTTTAATGCAAACTATAAACTTTAGTCACTTACTCATGTATGATTGAAGATTTATCTTTTGCTGATTTTATTTTAACAGAAATAATCCTCATAAAGAATGAAGAGGCAGCCAAAAAGAGCCTTAAAGGAGAATTTCAAAATAGATATCTTGGTAGCAGGAAGGAAAATATAATTTATGGGTAAACATCTTTTGAACATTTCTATATAATCAAACTTTAGTAGGAAAAGCAATGTCCAATAATAACTGAATTGACTATTGAACATTATTTCTCTAAATGCAAAATAAATATAGAAGTATTCTTTCTCCATCATAGAAACTGACTTAGCTTTTCTATTTTTATTCATATATTTATATTCACCTCCCATTATTTTGTTCTACAAAGAAGTTGAGGCACATGATGAAGCTGCTGTATATGATATGATTACAAAAACTAAGGTACTTCAGGAACTATCATTGATAAAGTTTATGATTATTAAACAAAATAAATCTAGCAATGTTGAGCATATCAAAGTTAAATTAAGTTCAAGTTATACTCTTATGCCTGAGAATACAATGGATAAAGACCAGTATCTCAGGTTCTAGTTCTTAAGTTAGAGAACATAAGATACTGGTCTTTATCCAGCCAAAAGATATAATTAACTCTTAGCATATATACTTTTCAGTCATTAAGTTCATGAAAAAGACTTCATTTGATTTTAAAACTTCATAATTAGATTAACTCTATCATCAGATATGTCTTTGATTATTCTCATTTACATGAATTTGCTCTCACCTATCATGGTATAGATTTATCCTATGTGCTACTTTATCCTTTGTGCTCTGTTGAGGTTTCACAAATCAGTTCATATCACCTAAATTGATCAATCTGAATTTGATTATAGACCTAAGGTAAGGCAACACACCTATAGAATACTGTTTTAATCCATACGGCCATACATTTATTGTAGCAGCTATTTAGTTTATACTAATGAAAAACCTCTAAGCCTAATAAATTATAAATATCTTAAATTTGGGCACTTGAAACAGAATGAGAATCTTAATTTAACCTCATTTTGTGTTCATACAAAGACTAAAGAGCTAAAAATTGGTCTAAAAATTTGGCATCCATTATTCATATCCAGTTAGTGTTCTGCTATTATTGTGCCCAGAAGAAAGTGATTAATGCATGGGAAGCACCAAGGTCAAATTTATTTTGGGTACAACATAATGTACCTCTATATTTCAGACTGCTGTCATGGCATGAATTCTTAATATCCTCATAACATTAACTTCATGTTCAATCACAATTTAGAAAGTATTAATGTTTCTACCATGTTAAGATATAGAAACAATTGGAGATATAGAACAAAAAAAAAGCTATCAACTAGTTATATTTCAAATAGTGTATTTTTTTGAAAGTGATTATACCATACATCAGTTTTTAAAATATTTCAGGTACATAATAGCTTTTTCCTGTCCCAGAAGCCCAGCCTATGGAAAAGAAAAAACACTGTCACTTCCACTTCTAATCTCACTCTATTTTCAAATAACCTTAGCATAACACAGCTTTAGCTCATTAACAATAGATATCCATCACTTTTCAAATTAGATATGCTTCTTTGAATTTAGCTGCAATGCGAATTTATACAGATTTAAGTCCGATATTTTTCAGTGACCTCCCAAATATAATAGAAAATGTGATATCATTGAAAAGTTCCTTCTGTAAACTCTGGTCACAAAGCATGTTAAAGATGCAGTGAGAACATGGCCACAAGAGGCTCCCTTGCCATGGAGCACTGCGTGTTTCCAAAGACCCTCACCTCTCGCTGCTCAGGGAGAAGCCCCTGGGCCTTATGCCCCTCAGGGTGAGAGCTGCAGGTCCTGACACTCACCAGTCCAGATAGGGCTGCAGGGAGGCCTGGGATAGAGACAGTTTCCCCAGTCAGAAAACTTAGCTTTGGTCCAGAGCCCACTCAAAACTCCCTCAATAGACTCAGGCAGGCTAATGATCAAGGGCATGATTCTTAAATCTAAAATCCTGAAATTCAAAAAGTTCTAAAGCTCCAAACTCTTTTGGCAGCGAAGCTGAAATGACCTGAGTCATTTGGCTGCAAAACCTGACCTGCATTCGCGTAAGGCTATTTACAGACATTTTTTATCTCACGTTAGGTGAACGTTATTGTTTTTCTGCCAAAATATGAATCTGTTTGATTACAGGGAGCCCCAGGCCTTGCTGGGACTGTTTATATAGTACGTGATATTTGCACTGTATTGTCTTCTAAATTCTGGTACCCAAAATATATGTGGCACCAAGGCATTTGGATAATAGGAAAATAATGTCTTATGAAATTATATGGAAATGAATTTAAATATTGCAATCTACTGCTACGTACTAATTATATGACTTTGGACAAATTATCTAATGTCCTTAACCTTGTTCTTATCTTTAAAAAGTGAAGAAATCAAATCACGCTCAAATGCTTTGATGGTATTTGCCTAACTCGGGAATCACTTTTCCAACACTATCTTTTCCTAAAAAATCACTTCCCCCTCCCTCCATCTGCCCTCACTAAATATCAGAACTCAGTGGCTTATGGCTAGATCCCCACATGCACGTGTTCCAAATGTTGCTCAAGTCCTTTTGTCTAGATATTTACAATGTCTAATAGAGCTAAACCACAACAGCATATTTATCTATGTATTACCACAATCTAGATGTGTGTTCCTCAAGACAAGAATCATGGTGTTTCGCACCTGCACATGTTGTTGGGGGGAAAAGACTATAGTCTCAGAATCTGAAATATGACTATCCCAGATAAAAAACAGATGGCAGAGAATAAGAAGGGAAGTTCATATCCACCAGAGGCTGGAGACCACCTCAGCCCAATTTCTAAATCCACTAGATTTACAAACTTTTCTCTACAGTGAGCTCAGTCTAAAACCACCCCACTCCCGCTGTCTTGATGTTAACCAGCAAGGGGCTCTGTGAAACTTACATAGGGGAAAGAACCCTATGCTACTGGGCAGAAGAGAAAAGGTAGTTCCCAGTTAGGAAATATCAAGAAGAGGTTGCCATAATTGTCCAAGAAAATGGTGAACACCCATAGAAGTTCAGTTTTCATCCAGGATAGCCAAACACTATGACCTTTTCTGGTTTTTGATATTTTAACCAGCTCTATGAGCTATGAAGACTCAGTTCATAGAAAGATGGACTCACAGAAAAATGTCCAATAAATTTTTCTCTGATACTAAATGTAACATGTTCAGTAGTGAAAGGCGTAGCATATAATATCTGAGTGTCTGGAGAGACCTGAGAAATTATCTAATATCATTTAACAAATAAAAAACTGAAGCTCAAAGAAGACTAGTAACTTGATTAAAACTGACAGAGCTGGTAAAAAAAGAGCCGGAAGGATTCAAATTCTTCTGTTCATTAAAAGAAAATAATAAATAAATGACAGGCTATGATTCCACTGAAAAATATTTGTATTAAAAATAAGTATCCTTGGACACAGAGTAGTGGTATTGTGTGGGCAATGGAGTTGGAGACCTAGCGTTAGAAGTGGTTCTTCCAGGAACTTAGGCAAAGCAAAAATCTAAGGCCATGCCAGTTGTGAGGTGTTCGGATGCCATAGTTCTTTCCCAGTAACATCAAAGTAATATAATCTCCAAAGATAAGAACCAAAGAAGACATCTGACATAAGAATCTGATCCAATGGCTTTAAACATTAAATTGAATATTAAATAGAAGAGATTTTAGCCTGATGCTAAGATTTGAATGTATGGTGTATTTAAACCTATGGCTGAGTATATTTTTAAATTATAAAAAAATGATATTTTCTCTGCTGGGAAATTATTAGGAATTCTAATTTTATGCATACTGCAAGTCTTCAACTATTTATGACTGTTCAAAAGAAACCATGCTGAGCTTCTCTGTCAATGACTTCTAATCAGAGAAGCCTTCTATAAGCTTAGCATAAATAGGTGATGAGAGCAATGAAAGGGCATCACCGTTTGTCGCAACACTTGACATTTAATATTACTGTCACAGATGCAGGCCTCCTGGGAGAGGAAAGGAGAAGTTATTAAGACGAGGGACTTAAGAATACTTTATAAAATCCTACCCTCTTGATTTTATTTGATTTTTTTTTTAATATTGAACTCACCCTGTTTGGAGAACCCCTCCTCCTTTTTTCTTGCTTATGTCAATTTCATTCTTTCAACTTTTCCCATTGGCTTGTGCTTCCTTCTGTTAAATTGACATGCCATGAATCTTTTAGATATCAATTCTCAGTAGAAATCGTCCAATGTTATTGAAAACTGTGTGCTTGCTTATTTGAACTTTATTATTTTTTCCCTCTACATACCATTTACTTCAAACCATGTAATAGACTTTAAAACATGTGTTCACATTATCTTTGGGGGAAGTGCTCTTACCCCATGGGACAGTATAACAGCAAGCTTTGCTCAAAGATTCTTATAAAACATTAGGGGGTGATTATGTGAATTACCAAGGACTTTGTAAAAGCTACACCCCTGGTGCATTTAAGTGTTTATTTACTGAACTCTCTTATGAGGAAAGTGGCTTAAGTAGCCACTGCCAAATGGCGGCCAATCATAAGAGAAAAGACATCTAGGACAATACAGAGTGATCAGCAGGAAAATGGCATTGCATTGCAGTTAGTATGCAACGCATCATTTAGGCAAAGCAGAATATTTCTAGAGATACCGTAGTCCAGTTCACCTTAAATAGGAAAAGTACTAACTATAGGTGTAAAATGATCCTGCTACTTCTGGTTAATTCAGTACCACATGAAGTATAGTTTAATTGTTGCCAAGAATCAGAAAAAGAGCCTTTAAAAAACCAATTGGACACTATAGTATATCTTATACATTAAACTTATAGTTCCTTTCCATACTGTTAATGATCCAACCCATCTTAAGCCCTATTGAGGCAACTGAAATAGACATTACTCTGTTAAGTGAGCAATGATTATGACTGCTTTTAATAATGTATTATTCATATCTTACAGAAACAAAGACTTCTTATATGCAGTGGATTTTTTAATCTCAAGGATGACAATATTTATCATAAAAAGTATGTTAAATAACACATGTATGACATGAATATGTTATATTCTGAATTTGAGGAAAAACTATCCCTATAAACAGGAATTTGCCCTTTCATGTTAATAATCATTTAGCTGGGTGAGCAGCTTAGACTAGCATGGGTGATTCAGAGGGGCATTGAGGAGATCATGCTGAGCTTGGAATTGCAGTTTATGAGAGAAAGCATGGTTCAAGAATGGACGATCCAGGCAGAGACCAATATCACATAACATTTCATGAATTTACTAAATGAGAACATATAAACAGCTCACTCACAAAGTTGAATATTAGTTTTGAACCCAGACACAATGCATACTTACTACTTTTTTTTTTTTTTTTTTTGAGACAGAGTCTCGCTCTGTCACCCAGGATGGAGTGCAGTGGCGCCATCTCGGCTCACTGCAAGCTCTGCCTCTTGGGTTCACACCATTCTCCTGCCTAGCCTCCTGAGTAGCTGGGACTACAGGTGCCCGCCACCACGCCCGGCTAATTTTTTGTGGTTTTTTTTTAGTAGCGACGGGGTTTCACTGTGTTGGCCAGGATGGTCTCAATCTCCTGACCTCGTGATCCACCTGCCTCGGCCTCCCAAAGTGCAGAGATTACAGGCGTGAGCCACTGCGCCCGGCCATACTTACTACATTTTAGAGAGTAGAATTATTGGCCGTGTGTGGAGGCTCACGCCTGTAATCCCAGCACTTTGGGAAGCTGAGGCGGGCGGATCACCTGAGGCTGGGAGTTCGAGACCAGCCTGACCAACATGGAGAAACCCCATCTCTATTAAAAATACAAAATTAGCCGGGTGTGGTGGTGCATGCCTGTAATCCCAGCTACTTGGGTGGCTGAGGCAGGAGACTTGCTTGAACCTGGGAGGCAGAGGTTGCAGTGAGCTGAGATTGTGCCATCGCTCTGCAGCCTGGGAAACAAGAGTGAAACTCTGTCTCAAAAAAAAAAAAAAGAAATTAGAATTATTTTTGGCACAAGAAAGAGAGAAAGATCAGACACGCTTGGACTGGTTCAAATTTGTATTTCTGCTTTACTGACTGGCTCTGTGGAGACGCGGTGGCTGCTCTCGGTCTTTCAACTGGTCCACGTAGCCTTTACATGGATACAGACTACTGATTCCATAAATAGAGAAATTTCCAGATGGTCCCACCTCAGGGGGAGTCATTTGACTCATGACTGGCACACAACACTGAAAATGCTGGAAAGATGGCAAATATTAGTAACTGATAATACTAGAGGAGTGAGTGGGAACATATAGGACCCAGCATTTACATTTATTTCAGGAATCAAAAACACCAGACTCTTTATGTCCCTGGTAGACTGTTTCCCTCCCCTAGAAAGCTAGTATAGCAGGGTATGAAGTAGCAAGAATTTGCATATGGAATTCATGATTAACATTAAAATGAGAAGAAATGTTCCATTTTGTGTTTCTGTTGGAGGGACTGCTGCAGTGGGCCAGCTATCAAGCAGCATTAGAATTGATTGGATCAGTCCCAGTGAATGTGATTTTTATCCATCAATTATTCAAAAATTCTGAGTTTCATCATCAAACTGAGAGGCCGCATAAATCTCAGACTTATGAAGCTCATCAGGTAGCAGGTGATGCTAGAGGCCTTTTGGGAACAGGACTAAATAATCAAGTTCAGACCTGAGTCACTAAGATGGGCTTGAGAAAAGATGATGAACTGAGAAAATTAGAGCAGTGAGAGGACCATATGGGGACATTTGGATAGATAAGACAGTGTTTTTGCAGCTGCCGTGAGTGCATAACATTTAGGCAACAGAGATGCATTAGTTATCCATTGTCATAGTAATGCTGCATAACAATTTACCCCAAAACTCATGGCTCAAAACAATAGGCATTTATTGAGCTTACACGTCTGTGGGTTATCAATTTAGACTGAGGTTGGCATGACAGTTCCAGCCTTAGCTGGGCGCACTCACGTGTCTGGCCATCAGCTGCGAATCAGCTGATCTTGGATAGCCTCCGTGGGAGCTGGAGCAATTCAGAACTGGGTCTCTTCTCCAGCAAGTCAGGCTTTTTCATAACAAAGAGAAGCAAGAGATATAGCAAAAACACAAATGTACTTTTTAAAGCCTCTATTGCGTCATATCTGCTAACATCTCGTTGTTCAAAGCAAGTCCCAGGGACAAACCAGAATTAAGAGAGGTAAAAATAGACTCGTTCTTGTTAGCAAGAGAAAATATAAAGTCAAAGGCAGAGGGTACTCTGTTAAATATCTACTGCTCCATTAAAAATTTACCCCAAAACTTAGTAACATAACACAACTGCCATTTAATTTGCTTACTATTCAGAGTTACTCTTCTGGAGGCTCAACCAACAACGTAGCTGAGATTAGATAATGTAAGATGTCCTGACACATGTGTCTGAGTTGGTGCTTGCTATCAGCTGGATCGTGTATCATCGACAGAGTAACCCAGGATTTCTCATGATGGCTGGTTTACAAAAGTGACAAGAGAGGGCATATTCTATTGCACAAGTGCTTTGTGGTCATGATTGCTAAAGTCCCATCAGCCAAAGCAAGTTGTGTGGTCAAAGAAAAATCACAGAACCAAGCCCAGGATCAGTTTAGGAGGGTGTGCATACAGAGAAATATGATTATTAGGGACTATTAATGTAACAAGCTACTACAGGTGTGGATGCAGGGAGCGGATCAATGTAATGACATCATCAATGTCATCAATCTACCATAAGAGAGATATTGAAGGAGAAATGTAAGGGGACTTTCAGAGCATCGGCACTAAATTTCCCTTGGAATTTTCAAGAATTGTAATAGAAAAGCTTTTTTTTGAAGGAGCTTTGGTGAGTTCTGCAGTATAACATGCTTTACTTTCCCCTCAGTGTATATATTTTCCATTAACAATAGTAAAGATTTGAAATGCTTCAAATTAATCCAATTAGAAATAAATCCCTAGCTACAGAAAATATTTCTTGAACTGCAATTCACACAGGACTGAGCTATGAGCACCTTGGCTTTATATAGGATACATAATGGTAACTTAGGCAATATATGCCAAAATTATCAGAAAGTGCAATAAATTTTGGTTTTGAAAAAATACGGTTGCAAAAATGTAAAAACTTCATATCTTCATGAGAAATAAAAGGGAAAATATAACTAAATACCTTTTAGGCAGGCTGCTAGATTCACAGTGAATCCCCCTCATCTGGGTAAACCCTCCCTAGGTAGAATGGGTTCTTTGAGGCCATATCTCTGAAACATGATTCTACCTCAATGACTATATTGACTGATTGAGGGAAGATGCCTGGCCTAAACTGAGTCAATCACCTTTTCTATCGTAAGAATTCAAAATTGGAGAGTGAGAAATTCAAAACAAGATTAGCAGTTATTGAAGAGGAATCAAATTAACAGCAACACTTATTCATCTGAAATCTCTAGAGTCAGTCTGCTTCCTGCCTTTCTAGATGTTCAACACATGTTTAGATTCCATGCCTTATGCCAGAATTCTTCCAATAAGCTTCCCTTTACAGTTTTTTTTTTTAACTTAAGCCAATTCGTTTTGTTTTCTATATGTAGTGGATGCTGTAGTGTGCCACTCAGAATACTTTCAGGACTGAGATACTCATTCCTCTAGTAGCCAGGAGCAAAACTACATGCCCTCCAAAAGTTACCCTTGGATGAATGGAGCTGCCTTGACCCTTCCCTAGGGGAAGCCCCTGAATGTCAGCATTTCTAGAAAAGACTCAATCAACTACTTGGCAGCAATTTGACTTCATTGGACCCCTTCAACTTTCAAAGAGGTGGTAGCCCTTCTTGACTAAGACCAAAACACATTCCAAATATGGACTGTCTTTCCTGCCCACCAGGTCTTGGCCGGTACCCGTCTACAAGAACTTAAATAGTATTTGACCCACTGACATAAGAATCCACCTTAACACTGCATTGGATGAAGAGACTCATTTTAGAGCAGAGTGGGTATAGCATTGAGCATATGACCATGGGAATAATTGTCCCCCATTACAAAGCACACCACCAGAAATGTTCAGGCTGAAAGTGCAATGGGACAGTCTTTGAAGGCATAGGTAAGACATCACCTTGAAGATGCCTGTGAGGATGAGGCACCATCATTGAGGACACAGCATGTGCCCTAAAGCAATGACTATTTCATGGTCATGAGTCCCCAGCTACTTAAAACACATGAACCCTAGAAGTAAAGTGTGGCAGTAGGAGTGGCCCTACTTACGTCACTCCCATGACCCACTTAGAGAATTTGTGTGTCTCATCCCTACAGATTTGGACTGTGCCAGTGTAGAAGTTCTGGTTCCAAGAGGATGAATGTTTTCACAGGGGAATACAGTAAATTATGCCTCTTACCGGTCACTTCAGGATCCATGTGCCAAGTAATCAGAACCAAGGAAAGGGTCACAGTGACAGGTGTAATTGATCCTGAACATCACAAAGAAGTAACTGCTCATGTCAGCAGGAGGAAGACATTTGGTTCTGGACTTTGACTTGGGACTCCCCTTGCCAAATGTTGATGGTAAATGGACAAAAGCAACAGCCACATCCTAAGAAAAGCGTGATGACCAGGAACTCAAATCTCTAAGAAAGAAGAGTCTAGGCTGTCCACAAGTAAGCCACCAGACCAGCAGAAGTACTAGCTGAGAGTTAAAACATCTAGAATGGATAACAGAGGAGGGAGAAGGTGAGTATTGATTGCAGCCCTGAGGCTAGCAGCAGCAGCAGTGGGGGTTGTGGTTTCTTCCAACTAAGTTTATCCTGTAAGTTTTCCCTGGAAATAACTTTAAAACACACACACACACACACAATCCTGGAGAATCTATTTCTAAACAGGAGAAATATACTTTGAGAGGCAAGTGGATCCAAGCAGCATAAGGGGTGGAGAGTAGAGGATGTAGTGGCGCACTGCTCAGATATCCCCTTTGGGACTGAGGCACTCATTTCCACCGCTGCCAAGAATGTTGACTACTGACACTTCAAAGCTTTATCTCTCTCTGGGAACTATCCTCAGTCAAGGGGAGACACCTAATGCAAGTTCATTCCCCCTTCCCTGGAGCAGGCCACATCCAATGGCTGCCCAATGCAGGGGTATAAAAGTCCAGACCCTTGCCTCATTTTGGAACAACTTTGAATGGCCATCCCAGACCACAGCTCCCTGAGGAATTGATTGCCTGTGGCCTTGTGGCAACTACATCACAGATCATCTTTTCCTTCTGCCTGTTCCTGCCTCCCTTCGTCCTTTCAGTGCTGTTCTGAGCCTTTTTCCAGGAACTCAACCTAAGGCACCCTAACCGCTGTCAAAATGAATATAGCAGCTTCTTTTGGAGGAATATGTTATAAAACATGAGGGGGTACAGAGAGAGATAGATGCTCACTAAGAATCCTGTGAGCTAGACACTGTAATTATCTATAGTTTACAGATGATACAGATGGAGACATGGAAGCTTAGAACTTAAGAGATTTCTCTAAAGTCACTGATCATGACCAGGTCTGTCTGACAGAAGAACTTGTACTGTTTACTACTACATTATTCATAAATAGTCCATTTTCCTTTGTATAGCTCTTTACTGGCCTGGAGATGAAAAAATAAAAGTAAACATTTTTGCTCTTTCCTCCCAGAAGCTCTCCATGAGCTGGGCCCATGCTAAAGCCAAGATAAGATACTGTCTCATAAGAGCAGCAACTTAATCCAGTCTCTAATGCCAAAGTTATGAGTTATGTATCAGGCCCTATGTGAAAACTCTATATAGGAAGTAGCAAAAAAATAAAATAATAAAATAAATTTAAAAAATAAAAATAAAAGAAGAAGAAGTATCTAAGTAACTCATTAGCTACATCCTAAATACTGGGCTAATGTCTATATATGTGTACTTCCAACACACACCTAAGAAACGGATGGACCATAGTGGCCAGGTAGAATGATGAGTCCTCTGATGCATTATATAAGATTGTCCTCTTTATTTACAATTTAATTTAATCTGACAGAAAGGAAATGTAGGAAGGAGGGGGAAAGGATGGGGAGGAGAGTAAGAGGAAGGAAGAAAGAGACTGAAACGTTAATACCATTTATGTATGGAGGTAGAATTTTAGGATTTTTGTGTACCTTTTCTAAATTTTCTACAATTAACAGTTATATAATCACAATTATAAATTAGGTATAAAAGCATATGATTTATGATACTGTTCAAAAGGATAGAGGAAATGCTATTTGGAATGTGTATAAAGAAACAAGGCTAGATGGTATTTTGACGTCCAGGGTACCCTACAATGGAGTATTCAGACACCATTTTGATATTGTCTCTTCCTAAGCAGAGAAAGAACACATTATGGAAGACTAGTTATCATTTCCCATCCAATTCAGTCTGCTTTGCTTTCGTGAACTGTAGGTCAAATTGTGTATGGATGAATTGGCAGAACTTTATATATTCATGAACACAGATTGAAAGTCAGAAGAATGGTGAACTCTTCCTCTTATCAGAAATAGTAAATGTGCTCAAAATTTTCAACGAAGATAAAAATTAATAACCAAGTTAATCCTGTTATTCTCTAAGAAGACAAGATTGGAAAGTCACTTTGTATGAAAGTCTTTATAAAGACTTTACAAAGAAAAAATAATCATTAGTTGCAATTCCCTTACCATTTTCACTATAATCCCTCTACCAAGTATATTTTACCAAATTCCATGCTCAAAAGGCACATCTATTTGTGGTATTTTATTTTTCCAGCCTGATATTAGAGTAACCTTTTTAAATGAACTGACTGCTTAATTGCATTATCATGGGATCTGGTAAGTCACAGCCACAGGAAGATAATCTCTGTAAGGAAACAGAGAAACAAAAATTTTTTTTTATTTTTATATCATCTACAATTTATGCCTCCACAATGTACCCTATAATAAAGTTTTTCATGTAATTCAGAAAAAGAATATTGAAAACAAGCTCCAGCCTGTCAAATAAAATTCTAAGTAACAAGCTTGTCTGCCGCTATTCTATTAAAATGTTCTACACTTTGAGATGTCCTTATCTCTGAAGGGCAAATGAACCCAGCAGGTGACTGAGTGATTATGACTTCTGATTCAGAGCTCATTTTTTAAAACATGAGCTGTTTAATGCTTGCTGATTGCCATCACTAACATTCCCTTGTTTTCAATACAGTCTTCTCATTCACCGACTGAAGCCTGCCCTGCATCCAGAGAGCCCACTTAAAGAGACTCTGCAGCTAAGTTTCAATTCCCGGGATGGCAAAAAGACTTACTATAAAATTAATTTTCAAAGACATATTTAGAATCCTCTATTTTCCTATTCCAGATGTAAATTTTAAGAGATGGTTTGAAGAAAAGGATCCTTAATAACGCAGTGAAATGAAAGGAAGTTACTGCCAACAAGAGACTGTAGTTCATGTAAAATATGTCCCACATGGGTGTCCAGGGGAAAAGCTATAGCAGTACAAGCAGTTATTCTCCTCCTCTGAAAAGTTATAAAAACAAAGCCAAACAAAATAACAACAGCAAAACAGTCCACAAACAAATCAATGTCTCAGCACTGTCTTCTTTATTAAAACTTCTGGGATATTCCTGAAATTCTGAATATACTGTCTTGTGGTTATAAAATGGCATCCTGGATTTTATGGGTTTATAGCCTAAATGCAAAAGATAGAAACAATAATGTATTATGGTACAGAGTCTCCTACAGTTTTCAAGTATCATGTACATCCTCCGACCTTTATCTGACTAAAGCAACAGCTCTTTGACAAGAGAAGATGTGACTATCCCACATTCTAATGTCTTGGAGGATGTGAGGGCTAGCCCATCTTTGAAAAGTTATTTTTATAGTAACTAGAAGATGCAGAAACCTCCAATAAGGCTACAAGGTTGTCTCTCATCCACTGCATCCTCAAGTGCTTTATCACTTGTCATTTTGAAAATGATCATTAATCACAGCACTTTGCACACAAGCCAACTTGTAACCTATGGGCTTTTTACAAACATAACAAGCTACATCCATAAAATGCAGCTGTTGTGAAGAGAAATGAGACTGTTCATCATAGTATGAGTTAGCAGTCTAAAACAGGAAGATAAAGATGACTATTACACCCAGTTGAAAATGCTGGCGTTGTTTTCTTCTTCCTAAACTCTATTCGATATCTCAAGTGTAAGTATCAGGTATACAGCAAATAAACATACAGGGGCCAATATTAAAAATCATGAAGAGATGGATATCAAAAATACAACTGGTATATATAAATTAGCATGTATATTATACCAAAAGGCTAAGTTTGTACCTATGCCCATACAAACCAACCTAATCAGTGCTTTTTTAATTTTAGTTGTCAGTTACAGAAAACAACTCATTGCAACAAATATTGGTTGGATCCTTCTGGACAAACACTCATCTCACCTCACACCAACCTGCAAGTTGGACTTAGTACTTTGAAATATCACAGACATCCAAACATAGATCACATAGATCCAGCTATTCAATGTATGATCCACACACAAAAAGATGTGTTATTGAAGTTTTTGTGAGAAGACTGCAAAGAGGATTTATATTTCTTACAGTGTAGCTAAACTTCCATTGTCTTTCAAAATATTCTCTCTCGATACAGTCTCTCTTTCTCTCTCCAAGTCCAGCTCTTCCAGTCCCTCCAGTTAAGCTCTGGGACTTAGACCCGAGCTTCCTTTCTTACACGAAAGGAATTGAGATGTGTAGCTCCCCAGCCTGTATGCTTCACCGATGGGACTAGGTAGCCACCTCCTTGGAAGGCAGAGAAAACTGAAGGATCAAGTATTTTATTGCTGGACAAAGTGGCTCCCCCCTGTAATTCTAGCACTTTGGGAGCTTGAGGCGGGTGGATTGCTTAAGTCCAGGAGTTTGAGACCAGCCTGGGCAACATGGCAAAACTCCATCTCTACAAAAATTAACTGGGTGTGAGGGCACATGCCAGTAGTCCCAGCTACCCTGGAGGTTGAGGCAGGAGGATCACTTGAGCCCGGGAGGCAGAGGTTGCAGTGAGCCAATAGTGTGCCACTGCACTCCAGCCTGGACAATAGAGCAAGACCACTTCTCAAAAAATATTTTTTCTTTCATAGTTTTAAGGACATACAAGTATCTCAAGAGCAGGAATGCTAAGTTAGCCTTAAAAATGAACTGGATCCAAAAATAGGAATGACACCAGAAATACTAGGAAACTTCTTCAGTCTTGTCTTAGCTTCTCTCTTTTCATTTACTCTTTTCTTCTGTCTAGGTTTTCCTCTCTTCTCCTAATCTTTCTTGTTCTATAAAGAGTGAAGACTTCCAAAGAGAGAAGTCTTTGTTATAGAGACCAGGGGTTTTCAAGTCTATTATACATCAATATGTTTTACTAACATAGATTCCTGAGCCTCACTCACAAAGATTATTGTGATTTCATAAGTCTGTTAGGGCTTGAAAATCTGTACTTTTGAAAGCTCCTCAATTGGCTTAGGGTAAAGATTAATCTCCTGCAACAAAGAGCTCCTCTCAAAAAAAAAAAAAAAAGTACACACACACACACACACACACACACACACACACACACACACAATAAGAAATGTATTTCTTTTCTCACTTAACTGTCCTAACACCAGGATCCAGATTGGCAGGATAGCTGGGCTCTGCCTAATCATTAAAGATCCCAATTTCCTTCCATCTTATTCATCCAAGGGGCCCACTTACAATCAAAAAGCGCTTATAAACGTAATGTCCCTTGTTTGGTCAAAGTGCAGCCACTGTCACATTCACTTTACAACTCTCGGAAGAGAAAGATTAAAGGTTCAAGCTCAGCAGTTTTATATATCAGCAAGTAGGGCAGAAGTTGCCCACACCACTTCCACCCTGATTCTCATGAAAACAACTTAATCATTTGTTTGGGAAACATAGTCTGTATCTGGACTGCAATGTGCCCAGGAAGAAGTGAAAAACAGATTTGAGGAGACTCGCACACCCCCACCATAAGAGCATCTGACACATAGGCAGGCTTGGGAACTACTGTATAGAGATAAATGATGACGACCTTTCCACCTCTATCCTTCACTTCTCACAATATCAGCTGTCATGTAGGGGAGAGAGCCCTCTACCTGGTGTCAGAGCACCCACATACAAGCCCTAGTACTGCCACCTAACTAATTGTGTGATCTCAAACAGATCATTTAATAAAAATACTTTGTGCTAGGCTAAATACTGAGTGCATATATCATTTCTTTTAACCTTTATAACGTAAGGCAAATATTTTTCACTCTGTTTTAAAAAACGAAGCATCTCTTCCCACCTCACACTATTACATATGATCAAAACTAGATTTCGAACACTAAAGTGCCCAAAGTACATCATTTTTCCCTTCTGCCATATTTAACCTGAGTCTCCTTTTCTCATAAGTGGCAGAAAATATCTACCTCGATGAGTTATTGTGAGGTTTAAATGAGCTAACTTAAAAGTACTAAATAGACCTTAAATCCCAACATAAATAAAGACATTATTTTCTTTTGTAGACACAAAAGTTCAAACTAATTTGCCATGCTGGGCCTGTGTTTTGAGTTCCACTCTGGCAATGATGATGAATTTGTGCTTATTCACTCACAATCTCTGGTTCTGTCTTCCGTGATCAATGGCATCCATAGCAAGATGACAGTTCAGAGTTAACCTGTGGTCACAGAACTAAACAAAGCCGACTGGCCCGTATGGGAATTGAATTAATGATCCAGAACTGATAAGCACTTACTCAGATGAGCTGAAACAACTAGACGTCGAATGTCATCATGAAGACACGGACTAAAGATGATAAGATTCGGGGAAGAGCAATCTCTCTTTGTTCCTCTTGTAAGTCCATTCATTAAAGGCTTGCCAATAAAACTGGCTGTCTTGCCAGCAAATGGCCTGTTATCATAAACCAAGGTGAATTTCAGCTCATTTCTCTATTTCATATTCCAATCATATTATGAACGAACTTACCTTTTCTTTTATGAAGGTTGAAAATTCCAGCCTATACATCATAAGTTGCAGAAAAGCAAACAATAAAATGAGACACCAAACAAGGTAAACACATAATTCCCTCCCATCTCATTCCTACCTGACCCTCCTCCCACATAGGCAGAAACATTTGAGGAAAGAGTAAAATAAATATAAATTGAAATGCACGTTATTACCACCCGTGGTTTCTAGAAGGCTTTTAAGTATGAATATATATGGTGGTGGGTATTACATTTTTTATTAAACAGAATTATTATCTTTTAAAATTAAGACAAAAAGTCTCATCGAAAGGGTCCTAAAATCTCTGGCAATTTCCATAATAACCAGCACCACTCAAATCTAGATCCTCCAGAACTGTTCCTCCACAAGCATCCAGGGATTGGGCTCAAGATTTTCCTGATTTTCAGCTCTATATTATTTACCTGCTCATAAAAAAAAATACTGTACCCCTTCTGTGAAGGAAAACATCCTGTCTTGTTCAGGATAGAGTAATTTCACTTACCAAACTAAAAAATCTCACTCTCCATCTCCTACCCTCGCCCCTGAACAGTGTGTTTTGCCAACAAGCCACTCTTATGTATCTACCATAGGAAGGGAAATGGAGAGAAAACTAATTTCCCCTTACTATAAAGAATCTCAATTGTCTAAGAAAGTGAACCTTTCTTCCCAAAATGAGTCTAACACACACACACACACACACACACACACACACACACATATATACACACACATATACATATATATATATAAAGTATCATTATTTCTCCTGAAAGATCTCTTATTTCAGATGACCTCAAATTGAGAAAACTAAAAAAAAATTGATTTTAAAAAACGTTTTGGCATTTGGAGAATCTAAAATTTCAAATTTAACAAAAAAGTAAATTGCCTTCTCACTTCATCTGGATGAGAATCCTCTGCAGCAGACTGAGTATGAGAAATAAAAAGCTTTCCCTTTTTTACTGGTTATAAACAGAGGAGATCCAGGAGTTGGACTATATCTCCATTTTGATAGATTCTATTATAGTGCTTTAAACAATAGGATTTTTTGCTCAACCACATGTAGGGATATATGCCATATAGTATCTATTGCACTAGCTACTTGCCAACTCATTTCTAAATTCTATTCTAAATATAGAGACTAAACTGTGAAGCTAGGTGGGTCCAAAAAAATTTCAGCTTATGAAATAAAGCATGGGGCAACAATTATGTTCCCTGAAGCAGCAGCTACTAAATATCCTTCTAAGTCTATTCAGTGGCTAAGCTGAGAAACTGATGATTAAGGGCACCAAGGTTATGCTGTCTTGCTAGAAAGGGATAATCGGTGACTCTGTGTTGCAATGGGTCCAGTAGATCCAAGGAACCTAGAAATGCAGATTTTTTAATGATAATTACTAAAACATTAGAAAAATATTTAGAAATGTACTAATGCCTTCAACTAACGTAAGATCTTTTTTCTAAGCTAAGAAAAAATCTAAATAACCCAAGTAACTTAACAAAGATTGGGTTCTTTTACAAGTAATTATAAAACAGAAAGATTAAAACGAGCTCTTTGGTCATTCCTGGAAGGTTTAGCAACAAGAAATGTGGGTAAAACACACAATTTGAAACTGTACAGAGCTGGTTTCCACTACTTACTAGCTGTGTGACCTTGACTAGTCCTAAATTCTAAATTTTAGTTTGCTCTCGTGTAAAATGCAGATAATGATACACAGTAAATATCCCTTATCAGAAATGCTTGGGATCAAAAGTGCTTCCGATTTCAGATTTTTTTCAGATTTGGAAATATTTGTGCTTCAGATTTCAGAATTTTCCATATTTTGAAATATTTGCATATACATAATGAGATATTTTGGGGATGGGACGTAAGTCCAAACACAAAATTCATTTATATTTTATTCACTCCACATACACATAAACATGAAGGTAATTTTACACACTATTTTTAATAATTTTGAGCACAAAACAAAGTTTGTGACATTGAACCATCAGAAAGCAAAGGCGTCATCATCTCAGCCACCCATGGGGACAGTCTGTGGTTGTTTAGCACCACCATCATTCCTCACTCTGAATTTACACACTACCAATAGGCAATCATTTTCTTACACTTATTCACACATAATGGTAAATACACCATTGGTATGATGAAAAAGCAATGTCTTCAGGGTAAGTGAGCATTCCAGCAGCATCACCAGAATACCTATATCAGTTGTCAAACAACAGCAACAGCAAACAACAGGCCTTCAGTCTCCACCTCCAATGCTATGTTTTGATTAAAAGGTAACTGTACACCACATTTTATTTTTTTAGATGAGAAGACACATCAGAAGCAGATGAGCAACCAGGAACTGAGTTTTCTAGGGTTGAGGAGACATTCTGCCGAATGGCTTTTAGAAAATCTTTCCCCCAGAGTCATCTGCCTTATTAACAAAATTTTTTCATCTCAGGAGCCTCCCTTGGATTTTATAAACTGACGCAATTTCCTGTTCTGTTACAAATGCACACTGTGCTAGTCCTTCAATAAGCCCATCACATATTTTCATCATGCTGCCTATAGACAATTTTTCTGCAATATTAACAACGTCCTCCTCATATCATGGTCACCTTGATTCAGAACTATTTGAGCTATTTCACCATCAGTCAATACATAAACAACTGGAGCCTCACTACTGACGTTGAAACTTCTTCAATGTACACTTCTGCCACTTACTGACAAAAACTCTGAACGTATATTTATTGCATACGTAAAGAAGTCAGACATCTGTTTTTCCTCACTTGACATACAAAATCCTCCAAAGTCACCACCTTGTTCATTGTCATGACTGAACGTAGTTGCAGGACAGAGGTTGTGCCGGGCATGCACAGCTGGGTCTTTTATCATGTGTTCCAAGCGTTGGTAGCAGTATATATGACATCCTTCGTGCTAAAGTGCTTTTGAAAACCTTCCAAACCCACATCTCTGTTCATTCCTGCTAACATGCTGTTCAAGTAAGTGTTTTATATTTACTCTTCATTGATCTAAGGATAGCCTGATCACATGGATGAATTAATGAAGCCTCATTTGGTGGAAAATACATGGCATAAATATTATTTTATTATTACTATTACTGTTGATGAGGTCTCACTACATTGCCCAACAGGTCTCGAACTCTTGGCCTCAAGTGATCCTCCTGCCTCAGCCTCCCAAATTGCTGGAATTACAGGAGTAAGCCACCATACTTTGCCATTTTTTGTCATAAACATTATTTTTTATGAGAATTTCAGCTGGAAATAAGCAGAACACTTGTCAAATAATAACAAAATCTTACAGTTGTCATCCAGTCCAGCTTCCCTGCAGTGACCATGAGCTACTGGTACAAAATGTTTGTAAAAACAATCAGAAGAGATACCCCGGTTATCCATGCCTGTTTGTTAGCATAATCATGGACTGGTGAGCAATTCAATCCTGAAAATCAGTGAGGATGCACATTTTTGCCTATCATGACAAGTTTACATTTATGCATGCCTTCTACATTGGCACATCGCAGCACAGTTATTCTGTCCTTGGCATTCTTAATTGCTGTAGGCACTGTCTCATCAGTTGGAGTCTGTGTCTTTCTGGGGCAATAACACCAAAACAGTGACATTTCATCTGCATTACAAACTCATTCTGATGTAAGATTTTCATCAGTGATGACCTTGGTAAATTTGTCAATGAACTTCCCCACTGCTTCATGATCAGCAGATGCAATGTCATCATAAATCTTCAAAAATTTAATGCCATGTCTTCTCAAATTTTTGCAACCAGCCTATTGAATAGTCACAGTTCCCTTCAATTTTCAGCTTATTGTGATAGATCTTTGCTTGTTTCATGAGCATGCAAACATGTGGCATGTGCTCACTGTGATGCTGATGGATCCACTCCTTCAATACATAATCAAGATCTTCATTTTAGCTTTATGCAGTGTTTTTTTAAAATTTTTCATTAAATTCTGTTTATCACTTTCAGCATAGAATTTCAACAGTTTTCCTTCTTTTTCTTCAGATCATATAGAGTGGTCATTCCCACACCATAATCTTCTATAACACATTTCCTGGCTGGATGCAGTGGCTCACGCCTGTAATCCCAGCACTTTGGAAGGCCTAGGCAGGTGGATCACCTGTGGTCAGGAGTTCGAGACTAGCCTGGCCAACATGGTGAAACCCCATCTCTACTAAAAAAAAGTACAAAATTTAGCCAGGCATGGTGCCGCATGCCTGTAATCCCAGCTACTCAGCAAGCTGAGGCAGGATAATGTTTGATCCCAGGAGCAGAGGATGCAGTGAGCCGAGCTCGCACCATTGCACTCCAGCCTGGGCGACAGAGCGAGGCTCCATCTCAAAAAAAAAAAAAAAAGCATTTCCCACTTATACCACTGTTCATTTTCTCCAACAGCTCAACTTTCTGTGCTATAGATAAACATAAATGCTTCCTCTTTTTCTTATCGCCGTTACACATACGGGTATCTGCAGGCTTTTTTGACGTTTTCAACAATGTCTTCACACCACAGAGCAGAAAATAATCAAAAGAACACAGCGGGTAATATGCATAGGTCTTAACTCTGTGTGGGGCATTGTGAAGAAATTGCCATTGGCACATTTGGCCTGCACACGAGCCATTTTATTATTCTTCAAGAGCATGCTTGCGTAGGCAAATCTGGGTGTGTGTGGAAATGATGTATTACAGCTGAAGGAAATTGGGAGGCTCTTTTCCCCTTGGGGACAACAAATAAACTGTGTGTTGTGCACCTGAGTTTTGACTACAACCCATTACATGAGGGCAGGTATGAAATTTTCTATTTATGGTATCATGCTGATGCTCAAAAACTTCTGGATTTTAGAGCATTTTGGATTTCAAATTTTTGGATGAAGGATGCTCAACCCATACCTAAATTTCCGAAGATTTGCAATGTTAAATAAAAAGTGCAATGTGAGCCTGTAGATTCAGCTACTCAGGAGGCTGAGGCGGAAGGATTGCTTGAGCCCCACGAGGTCAAGCCTGTCATGGGCAACACAACAAGACTCTGCCTTTAAAAAAAAAAAGTACCTTGCCCAAAATGGATATTAATTTAGTAATAGCTATCATTTTTACTAGAGCTAAGATGGCAATGGTGTTGATAAAAATTTTAAGTCCTAAATAAAACTCTCAGAAAATAATACCTTCACTATTTACTGTAAAATATAAGCACTCCGACAATCCTGGGGCTAGTGGATGGTGTTTGTCAGCAGAAAAAGTAAAAAAGACTTTGGCACCTTCCAAATGTAATCTTACCATCTGAGTGACTAATTGTGAAGAAGCCAGGTAACATAAAGCCGTCCTGTAGGCCAGGGTTTCACAGCCTTGTCACCATTGACAGTTGGACCAAATGATTCCTTGATGTGGGGGTGCTGCCCTATGCAATGTAGGGTAATCAGCAGCATCCCTGGCCTCTACTCCCTAAATGACCTTCTCATTTATGTCAACCAAAAATGTGTGCAGGCATTGCCAAACATCCCTTGGAGGGCAAAATCACCCTGGCTGAGAACCGGTCTTGTTAAAGGGGAATGGCATGTGTATGCTCTGTTTGATGCTGTTCTGAGCCCTCTGACAGTAACTTACAGCTGGAGTCATCATTTTATGTGGCCTAACATTCAACCAGGTAAATAAGATGATTAAAGATAAGTCAACTAATCAGTTTAGATGTTTACTTGAGAATTAAATGACTTGTATTTAAAGACATTGGTTTTAGCATTATAAAGAAATGGTTCTGAATCCAAGCTCTCATAATGTTCTATCTATATAACCAGGGACAAGTTACTTATGTGGGTCTCAGTAAAATGAAAATAATAATGCTTATATGATACCAACAATAGTAATAGTACTGACCATATTTATGTTGCTGGGACCCAGTTCTCTTGTAGATAATATTCACAAAGCTTAACTGCTGGCTAAAATGAACACCTTATAGCTTGAGATGATAGTGACGATAAATTTTTTAACCAGTTTATGATTAACATATGATGTGCCATAGATATTTAACATATACAATTGGATGTACATGGCAATAAGTTCACACCTGTGAAACCATCAAACTCTCAAAACTATCAGCGTAGTAAATTTATCTATCACCTCCAAAAGAATCTTCTCACCCCTATAATGTTTCTTTTCCTTTTGTGGTAACAGCACTTAACATAAGATCTATCCTCTCAGGAAATATTAAGGATACAATACAATACTGGTAATAATAGGCCCTACATTGCACAGTAGATTTTCAGAACTTATTCATTTTGCATAACTGAAACTTTCTACCCTTTGACCAACATCTCTCCATTTTCCCTTCCCCCTGCCCCTGCTACTCTCTGCTTCTATGTGTTTGACTATTTTACAATCCACATGTAAGTGAGATTACACAGTGTTTGTCTTTCTGTGTCATGTTTATCTCATTTTGCATCATTTCCTCCAGGTCTATTTTTGTTGTTGCAAATGGCAGGATTTCTTTCCTTTTAAAAAAATGAATGATATTCCATTGAGTGTATATACCACATTTTCTTTATCCATTCTTCTGTTTATGGATATTTATGTTGTTTCCATATCATGGCTAATGCAAATAGTGCTGCAATAAGCATGGGGTTGTTTCAAAATTCTTTTCAAGATCCAGATGTCAATTCCTTTGGCTATATATCCAGAAGTGAGATGGCTAGCTCCAGTGGTAATTTTTTTTAATTTTTTGAGAAACAGCCTTCTTGTTTTCCATAGAGGCTGTACCAATTTACATTCCCGCCAACAGTGTACAAGGGTTTTTTTTCTTTTCCACCACATCCACTCCAACACTTGTCCTTTCTAACAGGTATGACATGATATCAGCCATTCTAACAGGTGTGACATGATATCTCATCTCTGATGATTAGTGATGTTGAGCACTTTTTCATATAAATCTTGGCCATTTCTATGTCTTCTTTAAAAGAATGTCTATTCATATCCTTAGCCCATTTTAGAAACTGGATTATTTATTTGTTTTGTTGTTGAGTTGTAGAAGTTCTTTATAATTTGGGGTATTAACACCTTATCAGGTATATGGTCTGTAAATATTTTCTCTTACTTCATTAGTTGCCTTTTCGGTACAGAAGTTTTCAGTTTGATGTAATTCCACTTGTCTGTTTTTTATTTTGTTGTCTATGTTTTTGGTATAATAATCAAGAAATCATTCCCCAGTTCAATGTTTAGAAACATTTTCCCTGTTTCTTCTAAGAGTTTTTATTGCTTCCAGTTTTACAATTAAGTCTTGAATCCACTTTGAGTTGGTTTTTGTATGTTATTTACAAAATTTATTTTAACTTCCTAAGTCTTTTCTAATAATACTTAGCTTAAAACACAAATATATTGTATAGTTGTACAAAAATATTGTATTTCTTTATGTCCTTATTCTATAAGCTTTCTTCTATTTCTAAAAGCTTTTTTTAATTTTTAAACTTTTTTGCTAAAAACTAAAAGATAAACATAAATCAACCTAGGCCTGCACAGGGTCAGGATCATCAATATCAGTCTCCCACCTCCATATCTTGTCCCACTGGCAGGTCTTCAGGGGCAATAACACATGTGGAGCTGTCATCTCCTATGACAACAATGCCTTCTTCTGAAACACCTCCTGAAGGATCTGCCTGAGGCTGTTTTACAGATAACTTTTCTAATAAGTAAAAGGATTACACTCTAAAATAACAATTAAAAGCATACTATAGTAAATATATAAATCAGTAACAGTTATTTATTATCATTATCAAGCATTATGTACTCTACAAAATTGTATGTGCTCTATTTTTATACAACTGACAGCACAGTAGGTGTCTTTACATCAGCATCACCACAAACACATGAATAGTGTATTGCACTATGACATTGTGATGGCTACAACATCACTAGGCAGTAGCGACTTTTCAGCTCCATTACATTATAATCTTATGGGACCACTGTCATATAAACAATTCATCACTGACTAAAACATCAATATGCAACATGTGCTTGCATATTACATGGTAATTAAACGTATACATTTCAGTTGAGTAATAGCTACAACTGGAATTATTGTGTCATGAGATGTAATTGTGTTCAACTTAGACACTCCTAGTTTTGCAAAGTGGTTGTACCAGTCTACATTCCCACTAGCAACATTTGAGAAATCTGGTTGCTCCATATTCTCACTGAGACTTGGTATTGTAAATCTTTTTTAGCCATTTCTTGGTGTGATGTGACATCATAATGTGGTTTTAAGTGCATATTCCTAATAACTAATGAGGTTGAGCATCTTATCTGTTTGTGGGCATTTTTGATACCTACTTTTTGAAGTCTTATTAAAATATTTTGCCCATTTTTCTACTAAGTGTTTTGTCTTTTTCTTACTACTCTATTGTTTTCATATATTGTAGATAGCAGTCCTTTAATAGGACTGCAAATACCTTCTCTACTCTGTACCTTGCCTTTTCATTCACTAAATGGCATCTTTTAGGGAACAGAATGTTTTGATGTTAGTATAGTTCAATTTATCAGTTTTTCCCTTTTGGATTAATGCTTTACTCCAGGTGCACTGGACTCCTTGCTGCTCCTCATCATACCAGGCATTTCCTACTTCTTTACTGCCTACTTGCATACATATACTTATATGACTCATTCCCTTCAAGTCTCTCTGTTCAAATGTGCCCTTTTCAAAGGGCTCTTTCCTGGCATATCTATATAAAACAAGAACCCTTACCTACCCTGCCCCACCCCTAGTATTTCCTACTCCCTATCTCTGCTTTACTTTATTCTTATCACCCATAACTACCTGATGTACCATTTATTTATTATCTCTCTTCTCCACCCACATATTACAATGTAAGCTCTATGAGAACTGGACATTTGTCGGCTTTGAACAATCCCAAGTGTCCAGAACAGTACCTGACACATAATAAGTCTCCAAAACTTTTTTTCTGATTACTGAATAAATAAACAATGCTCAACTATAGATTTACTATTATTTATCTTTCTCATGGCCCTGTATGCTTTTTTTTAATATGAGTGTTCAAATCTTTGTTCAATTCTGCCTCCTAATTCAAGTCTACACTGCATATTAGACATGTCAGAATTTTTAGGCCTGTTTCACATCTCCTCACATCTCTTAAGTATTTTCTGCCCCTTTCCTTACTATGCTACTTTCAGAATTATTTCCTCAGAGCTGTCATTCAATTAAACAATTCTCTCTTCAACCTTGTCTACTCTACTGTTAATTCATCCTTGACATTTTTATTTCAATAACTACCCCTTGCATTTATATAATGTTTATTTGGTGATTTACAATCTGTCTGCTGTTTCCTTCTGATGCTATGCTCTTGTTTTGTGGATTATCTTATTTCTCAAGAGATAACTTTTGAACATTTTAGGCACACTTATCTTAGAGCTTTTCTTAGATCATTCTGGTTCTTCTTAGGTATGAATACTTTCATTTATTTCATCTGTTTATCTTGTTGCATGATTTGTCATATTTCCCATATTCAGTGGGATTTATCATTTACAAAAGTTACATGTGTCCTGGACTGTAGAGGTTTACCACTGTGGATTAAATTTATATTTTCTTCTGCTAAAGTTTTTTAATGCTCACTGGTTTCAGAACAGTTTTTATGACATTCTTAGCTGCAAATTTCTGCAATATTTGGGAGATAAATTTTGGCTACAATTAAAGCACCGCTTGGGCCAAGATGGGAGGATTAGGCCGTCTCTACTATTTTAAAAGTACAAGGCATCCTCCACCTCCATCAGGAACCTACACTGGAGTTTCATACAAAAGTCCAACCATTAATAGACGTATAGCATCTTCCAGGCATTTTCTGTTGTGCATGTATAGCTTGGTTATCCAATGTAAATATTCCATAGGTAGTTGCAAATAAGGCAAGAGTGCTCAGAGGGCAAGTCAGGAAAAATGAATTGAATTTAACATAATATATGTTATACGACAGTCTATTTTTAATGAAATATTTGGAATTATTTATTCTATTGACACCAAATAGCATAATTACTATTTGCTTAGAAAATTGGAAGACAATGCAAAGTCCCTCTGGTTTGTTATTCTTTCTTGCACTCAAAATTCCAAAGTCATTTAATAAACATTTATTGGCAGTCTGCTGCATATAAAGCACTATTCTACATTTGTAAGTGTAACAATCATTCCTGGATAAAATCTGAACATTTCTATATAAAAGAAGAAATCAGAGAGTGGGAGAGCTTAATAGCCAAATAATCAATGAGAAGAACCACAACTTCTTGGGAAAATAATTTACCATAATAATGATATGTTGACCTCCATTTACAAAATTGATATTATTTAATTTTCCTATTTATTTTGGCTATTTATCAGAAGTGAGAGATTTGTCATGATCTATTTCCTTTCTTGCCCAGTTCCTATTGCTAATAACAGCATGCATTTTGTAAGACAATTGGACAGGGATTAGGAATAGTACATGGCTAAAAAATGGTAAAAAGCTGATAGAGTGTATTAAAGTTCTGCACCATGAACTTGGCCTCATTAGAAACCTAGCAAACTGAGCTAACTAGCCATAAGCAGAAGCTTTTTTAAGGACAAGACTTATTACATTGCAGCAGATAAGCAGGCTATCAGCAGCACCATAGCAGTTTCTGATGACTCTCTAGAGGGAGGTAATTCTGTCCACATTATCCATAGTTGTAAAAACACCAGGGAGTTGGTATCTGAGCCTGATGCATGATGAAAAGACTTAAAGGATGAAGACCGGGGAGCCAGTAAGACAAACAGCACAAGCCACCAACAGTATTTTTGTAGGGATACTTCTGTATTTCAGAGCACAGATTTTTATATTAGAATTACTGGTGGCATTGTCATTCATCATTACAAATGTTTTCTTAATATCTTCTGGGGGAAAAAGAAAGGAATTTCTTGTACCTAAAACATATATTAAAGCATAAAGCAAGGTTGAATTAGGAACATGTCTTCCTGTAACATACATCAGCATTTTTATTAATCTTGACCATATCATAGTCCTCTAAAAAAAAAAAAAAGCCAAAATAAACACTGAGCATATGCAGTAGAGTTAAAATATCAAATTTAATTTTTTTTTATTTTCCAATCTCATCCCAATATTAGAGGTAGGATTTTTAAAATTATTTGGTTAACTCATTGGAGCGATAATCCACTGCTTCCTAAATTATCTGAGAACTGATTGTGAAATTATATAATAACCAACTTCCTTCACAAGTTCCTTCCTTCATCTTCTACATACTTTTTGGCTGAAGAAATAATAGATTAAAGGAATTTAACAGCGGGCAAAACTTAGTAATGATTGTCATTCCAATAGCTTTCTTTAATGGGGGGCTGTGAAACCATAACAAAGTACATTATGCACTGTGATTAGGTCCTCAATGGCTATAAAAACCTTGGCTAGAATGTCGTTGTTACATCCATTACATTTCTTATTTAGGTAACTTCAAATTAAGCAATGCAGTGAGCTATGCTAGGACACAATGAGTTATGTGCACCAACCTTACATTTGAGGATAATATTTTACTACTCATCCCACCATCTCCAAATGCATTTTTATTTCCTTCATTTTCTTTCTCTTCTTCCCTCAGATTATCTCCAATTAATGTATTGAGTACAAACTAACATACTCATTCATTCATTCAATTGTGGTGTATTTAATGCCTACAATAAGCCAACCACTATACTCAGTGAAAAAAAAAATGAATAGCAAAAGCAGAAACAGTTCTTAATCTCAAAGACTGCAGTTGAGTGGAAAACAGGGAGGAGAATCAAATAATCATACAAAAGTATGAAATTAATAATTTCTATAAAATGAGAAGGCTATGGTAATATGAAAGCTTATAATAAAGAGATTTGAGGTCATTAAAAAGGGCTTCCCCAAGGAAGGGACATTTGTGTTGATATTTGAAGGATGACTAAAATTTGCTCAGGTACAAAAAGGAGACAAGACAGAGATTAGCATATGCAAGTGTCCTGTATAGAATTTCAAACTGACTGATACTAGAACGCAAGAATTTAGATACATGAGTTCTATTCCTGAGACTAAGGCAAATATGCCCTTAGTTTGAACTATTCAAGGTCAAATGTTTTCAAAATTGGATCCAGGAGAATTCATTTGTTTAGTCATTAAATTCTTATATTTCAGAGTAATCTTTGCAACAAGAAAGAAAAATATTCTAAGTCTATTAAAGACCTCACCATTAGAGAATATTATAAATACCTCTATGCAGATAAACTAGAAAACCTAGAAAATAGATAAATTCCTAGACACTTACACCCTCCCAGTAGTGCACCAGGAAGAAATTCTATCCCTGAAAAGACCAATAACAAGTTCTGAAATTGAGGCAGTAATAAATAGACTACCAACCAAAAAAAAAAAAAAAAAAGCCCAGGTCTAGATGGATTTACAGCTGAATTCTACCAGAGGTACAAAGAAGAGCTGGTACCATTCCTACTGAAACTATTTCAAAAATGTGAAAAGGAGGTACTCCTCACTAATTTGAGGCCAACATCATCCTTATACCAAAACCAGGTAGAGATTCAACAAAAAAAGAAAACTTCAGGCTAATATCCTTGATGAATATTGACGCAAAAATCCTCAACAAAATACTGGCAAACCAAACCCAGTAACACATCAAAAAGCTTATCCAACATGATCAAGGTAGATTTTATCCCTGGGATGTAAAGTTGGTTCAACATACGCAAATCAATAACTGTGATTCATCACATAAACAGAGCTAAAGACAAAAACCACATGATTATCTCAATAGATGCAGAAAAGGCCTTCAATAAAATTCAAAATTCCTTCATGTTAAAAACTCAATAAACTAGGTGTTGAAGGAACATATCTCAAAATAATAAGAGCCAGCCACATATGACAAACCCAGAGCCAATGTCATACTGAATAGGCAAAAGCTGGCCACATTCCCCTTGAAAACCAGCAAAAGACAAAGTTGCCCTCTCTCACCACTTTTCTTCAACATAGTATTGGAAGTTCCAGCCAGGGTGATCAGGGAAGAGAAAGAAAGAAAGTGTATTCGAATAGGAAGAGAGGAAGTCAAACTATCTTTGTTTGCAGATGTCATAATCCTATATCTAGAGAACCCCATTGTCTCAGCCCAAAAGCTTCTTAAGCTGATAAGCAAATTCAGCAAAGTCTCAGGATACAAAATCAATGTGCAAAAATCGCTAGCATTCCTATACACCAATAATGGGCAAGCCAAGAGCCAAACCATTAATGAATTCCCATTGACAATTGCCACAAAAAGAATAAAATACCTAGGAATACAGCTAACAAGGGAAGTAAAGGACTTCTTCAAGGAGAACTACAAACCACTGCTCAAAGAAATCAGAGAGGACACAAACAAATGGAAAAACATTTTATGCTCGTGGATAGGAAGAATCAATATTGTAAAAATGGCCAAACTGCTCAAAGCAATTTATAGATTCAGTGCTTTCCCCATCAAACTACCATTGACATTCTTTACAGAATTAGAAGACACTATTTTAAAATTCATATGGAACCAAAAAAGAGCCCAAATAATCAAGACAATCCTAAGCAAGAAGAACAAAGTTGGAGGCATCAAGCTACTCAACTTCAAACTATTTGACAGGGCTACAGTAACCAAAACAGCATGGTACTGGTACAAGAACAGACACATAGACCAACAGAACAGACTAGAGAACCCAGAAATAAGTCTGCACACCTACAACCATCTGATCTTCAACAAATCTGACAAAAACAAGCAATGGGGAAAGGATTCCCTATTTAATAAATGGTGATGGGAGAACTGGCTAGCCATATGCAGAAAATTAAAACTGGACCTCTACCTTACAGCATATACAAAAATCAACCCAAGGTGGATTAAAGACTTAAATGTAAAGCCCAAATGTAGCCCTGTCAAATAGTTTGCAGTTGAGTAGCTTGATGCCTCCAACTTTGTTCTTTTCGCTTAGGATTGTCTTGGCTATTCTGGCTCTTTTTTGGTTCCATATGAATTTTAAAATAGTTTCTTCTAATTCTGTGAAGAATGTCAATGGTTGTTTGATGGGGAAACCCTAGAAGAAAACCTAGGCAATACCATTCAGGACATAGGCATGGGCAAAGATTTCATGATGAAGGCACCAAAAGCAATTGCAACAAAAGCAAAAATCGACAAATGGGATCAAATTAAACTAAAGAGCTTCTACACAGCAAAAGGAACTATCAACAGAGTAAACAGACAACCTCAATATAGGAGGAAATTTTTGCAAACTATGCATCTGACAAAGGTCTAATACCCAGCATCTCTAAGGAACTTAAACAAAATTACAAAAAAAAAAAAAAAAAAAAAACATTAAAAAGTGGGCAAAGGACATGAACAGACACTTCTCAGAAGAAGACATATATGAGGCCAACAAACATGAAAAAAAGCTCAACATCACTGATCATTAGAGAAATGCACATCAAAACTACAATGAGATACCATCTCATGCCAGTCAGAATGGCTATTATTAAAAAGTCAAAAATCAGATGCTGGTGAGGTTGTAGAGAAAAGGAATGTTTTTACACTGTTGGTGGGAGTGTAAATTAGTACAACCATTGTGGAAGACAGTGTGGTGATTCCTCAGTGACCTAGAGGCAGAAATTCCATTCAACCCAGCAATCCCATTACTGGGTATATACCCATAAGAATATAAATTGTTCTATTATAAAGACACATGCATGTGTGTGTTAACTGCAGCACTATTCACAATAGCAAAGACATGGAATCAACCTAAATGCCCATCAATGATAGACTGGATAAAGAAAATGTGGTACATATACACCTTAGAATACTATGCAGCCATAAAAGGAAATGAGATCATGTCCTTCACAAGAACATGGATGGAGCTTGAAGCCATTATTTTCAGAAAACTAAGGCAGAAACAGAAAATCAAATACCTCATGTTCTCACTTATAAGTGGCAGCCGAATGATGAGAACAAATAGACACATGGAGGAGAACAACGCACACTGTGGCCTGTTGGAGGGTGAGGGATGGGTGGAGGGAGAGCATCAGCAAGAACAGGTAATGGATGCTGGGCTTAATACCTGGGTGATAGGATGATCTGTGCTGCAAACCATCATGACACATGTTTATCTATGTAACAAACCTGCGCACCCTGCACATGTAACCCTGAACTTAAAATAAAAGTTGGAATTTTTTTTAAATACAAATAAAATTTAAAAATAAAGACCTCGTGATCACCCAAGGAATAGATCCAGGAGTTTTGCACCCTTAGCTGTACAGCTTGGTACATATGGGTTTTTCCTGTTTTTATTCTCTGCATTATGATTGGTACCTAGTTATAAATAAAATATGATGGGCTATTTTGGTTTGATATGTGATTGTACTGTAGTTGGCATTTTATTTCTATAATTTGTGGACATTTATTGTAGGAAAGCATTTTAAAATGAAATGTAAGAGAAAGTGATTGTTAAACTTCACTATAAAAGTCAATGGATTTCTTTCAAGAAACATGATAGTACTATTGTAAAAAATTATCAATATGAGCAATTTCAAACTGCTTTTAAAATTATTGGCTTTTATTTTACATTGATGTGACATCTAAATGATTTTACTCTAACATCATCAATCAATCCCTTAAATATGTATAATATCATAGCAAAAACCCCTATACATATATAGTCTACCTTGAGAAATATTCACAGCTAATTTCTTTAAAAAATACACTGAGACAGTATTCCTTTGAAGAATAAATATTAGGTAATGCAATTTTTTAAGGGTTGTTTTTGTAGATAAAAGGATGAATAGAAAAGACCTGAACACCATAAAGCAACAAAAATTTCTATCACTTCTATGTACATATATGTATATGTATGTGTAGATGTATGTGTGTATATATACACACACATACTTCTCTGTGTATAGACAGACAGAAAAAGAAAAAGAAGCTTACAATGCCACAGAGATGAATTTATAATTTAGGGTATATTAAATCACTCAGTGTCTTCCTTCAATTAGTCAACAGTTAACTTCTCATGCATCTATGTTTATTGACCACTTTTTCAAATGGGTTATATCAGGAAATACAACTTAGCAAATGTTAAAGCTCTAAATAGCCAAGTTAGACAAAATATACATAGTCCTAAAAATAATTTTATCTATCATATAGCCACATTTTCACTCATTCATTAACAAATTTTATTAAACTCCTACTGCACTAAGTCCTGGGAGATCCCAGCAAAAATCACAAATCTCTTAAACTATCACAATGGTACTTAACAATTTTTAGAATTGTAAAATAAGTGACGAGCTTTTTCTTTAGATCTTAAATGGAACCAAGAACATACAAAAGCTGTACTGATATTAATTCTTCTCCCTTTCTAACTACCATCATCACAAGTGCTTGATCTTATATAATGAGATAACAAGGAATTTCATAAATATAGCCTAACCACTACACTATGGAATTTTACAATTCAGTAGAAATAGGTTAACAATCATTATTTATATTTGTCTGCTATTTTATAATTCAAAAAACACATCACATGCAGTATCTCATTTGGTGTATGTGTGCTGCTATGGTTATCCATATAGAGATACCACTATAAATTGATAAAATTCCTATAAAAATCAACAGAATAAGAACTTCTAAGTAAGACACACATATACATACAGCAAGGTATATATCCAATGCAATTCAAAACTGAAGAAAGATGAGGTAAAGCCTCATGAGTGCGTGGCTCTACAATATGATCAGCACTGAAACATTTTGAAAAAGAGATGAGATTTAAGGATACATTTAACTAACAAAAAGAGTCCACTTAATAGGTTCAAGTAAAGGAAGTTCAGGAAGACATTCCAAGGACAGTGCTATTTTGGAAAAGGCACCGAATTTTATAATAAAAATTTATGCTAAGGTTTACAACCATGCCACTTGTCTCATTCTGTAGTGCCTCCAAAAGTGTTATTGAGATTAATACCAGATTCTATAAATGAACAATAAATAAGTCATCCAATATTTCCATCTCACTTCTTTTATTTCAGGGTTTTAAATATTTTAAGACTATTTAAAGGAAGCTGACAAGCAAAGTCATCCAAACATATCCATAACTAATCTTGTTTTCCAACATATGATGTAAAACCAATGAATCACAGTAACTAACTCAAATAAGTGACCCTGCGTCATTCCTATTATGAGAACAGGCCATCTGCTCATTGTCCTCGAAAGCTAAACACTGCTCCAGCTTAACTTTGTCAGAGCAGTAATTATTCACTTTGGCAAGCATTGCGCGAATTGTTTGTTTCATCACCATAAAGATTCTATTTGGGCATCCAAATGCTGTATATTTTCTTCTCTGGCATTACATGAACATTCATTCCTCTTCATAATATGGGAAATTTATTCAGTGCCAATTAGAAAAATAAACTCCAGGATGAAAATGGCCCTGTTGCATCAGAAATCATACACAAACTAGACTCTTCCTGCTATTACCCAATTACAGAGAAATTTTAATAACGTCTCTGTCTCAATTGCAAATAATAGGTTAAGTCATATGAAATGTTCGATATTCAATTATTTGACTTATTAAAATTTCAATTTCATATCATCCTACTTAATATAATGAACCAGAGATGGTTCATACTTCTACTTACTAATTAAAACTATCTATCTTAAAAGACACATCAATATATTAGACTCTAAGGAAATGACTCATACCTGGCTCCTACTTTCTAGCTATTTCAGATCACAGAAAGCTAAACTGTAAATTACTCTATTTGCCTTTTGTCTACAGAGTCAAAATACAATTTTCAAAAAACAAAAAAACATGTTTTCCTTACAATTACAGATGAATACATGTCAAAATGTTTTAGCTCATTAATGAGGGATCCACTAAGATCTTAAAGCTGGTTCTGAGGGTATTTTGAGGAACTGGCATTTATAGGCATTTTGGGAAAACAAAGTAAGAATAAAAATAAGTTTGCTACGTAAGATACAAATTTGATTAGTGTCTTACAGTGTTATAAAATCATAACATTTGGGCTTATCTTCTCTTTCTTTCTTATCTTCCCTTTCTGAACAGAAAAATTCAAATTAACATGTGTCTGGACTCCAATCAAATAGAAAATAGCAAAATGAAACACAGATACATTTCCCTAGATAATTAAAATATCCTTAGGTAAGCTCATTAAATGAAGCCCCAGTGTGGCAATGAATAAACCTATTGACCCTCATCCCTTTGCCTTATTTTTAAGTTTTAAATAATATTTCTTAACAATAGTATGAAAAGGAGAACTTTATTGTAGAATAGAAGTTGGAATTACTGTCTTAAATTCAACTTTTTTTGGCTGGGTGCAGTGGCTCACGCCTGTAATTCCAGAACTTTGGGAGACCGAGGCGGGTGGATCATCTGTAAGTCAGGAGTTCGAGACCTGCCTTGCCAACATGGTGAAACCCCATCTCTACTAAAAATACAAAAAATTAGCCAGGCATGATGGCAGGTGCCTGTAATCCCAGCTACTTGGGAGACTGAGGTGGGATAATGGCTTGAACCTGGGAGGCAGAGGTTGCAGTGAGCCAAGATCGCCCCACTGCACTCCAGCCTGGGCACGACAGATCGAGACTCCCTCTCAAAAACAAAGACAAAACAAAACAAAATTCAACTTTTCTTTGTGGAATTTATTTATCTCCACTATCCTCTTTGCCTAGTTTTTGATCTCAGGATCTTTGTGCTAGCATATTATTCTAAAATAGTAATCACCACAAATTAAAAAAATTCAGTAAACCCATGATCACCTACATCCAGATAACCTTCACTGGTCATTTCCTATGCTGGATTATTAGAATTTGAACTCATACTTAGGTATAGATTACTGTTTTTTTAGTACCAAGTCAAAGGCTATAAACATTATGTTAACTATTTGATAAACCTCTTTTCATGCATATCCCCCGCCTTCCCAATACCACCACGTCTATACATTGAAAGTTCCTAAAGCAGAAGGGGTTTTACAAATATGTAAGTCTCCTTAAATAGCAATTACAAAGACCTAAATAAAAATTTTGCAATCGCCATCTTTATGCCAAGAAATATGCTTACTATTGATATTCCAAAAACATACAGTCAAATATACTTTCAATTTTAAATATGATTGCCTTAAATAAATTCTGTTTTAAGTCAGTCACTTTTCTAAAAAATTTTTCCATAGGTTATTGGGGTACAGGTGGTATTTGATTACATGAGTAAGTTCTTTAGCGGTGATTTGTGAGATTTTGGTGCACCCATAACCCAAGCAGTATACACGGTACCCTATTTGTAGTATTTTATACCTCACCCCCTTCCACCTTCCCCCCAAGTTCCCAAAGTCCACTGTATAATTCTTATGCCTTTGTGTCCTCATAGCTTAGCTCCCACATATCAGTGAGAACATACGATGTTTGGTTTTCTACCCCTGAGTTACTTCACTTAGAATAAGTCTCCTTTTCATGACTGAGTAGTATTCCATTGTGTATATATATATATATATATATATATATATATATATATATATATATATATATATAGAGAGAGAGAGAGAGAGAGAGAGAGAGAGAGAGAGAGAGAGAGAGCACAGTTTCTTTATCCACTCGTTGATTGATGGGCATTTGGGTTGGTTCCACAAATTTGCAATTGTGAATTGTGCTGCCATAAATATGCTTGTGCAAGTATCTTTTTCATATAATGACTTATTTTTCTCTGGGTAGATACCCAGTAATGGAATTGCTGGATCAAATGGTAGTTCTACTTTTAGTTCTTTAAGGAACCTCCACACTGTTTTCCATAATAGTTGTACTAGTTTACACTCCCACCAGCAGTTTAGAAGTGTTCCCTGATCACTGCATCCATGCCAGCATCTACTGTTTTTTGATTTTTTTATTATGGCCATTCTTGCAGGAGTAAGGTGGCATTGCATTGTGGTTTTGATTTGCATTTCTCTGATCATTAGTGATGTTGAGCATTTTTTCATATGTTTGTTGTCCATTGGCATATCTTCTTTTGAGAATTGTCTATTCATGTCCTCAGCCCACTTTTTGATGGGCTTGTTTGCTTTTTTCTTACTGATTTGTTTGAGTTCATTGTAGATTCTGCATATTAGTTCTTTGTCAAATGTATAGATTGTGAAGATTTTTCTCCCACTCTGTGGGCTGTTTACTCTGCTGACTGTTCCTTTTGCTGTGCAAAAGCTATTTAGTTTAATTAAGTCCCAGCTATTTATCTTTGTTTTTATTACATTTGCTTTTGGGTTCTTGGTCATGGAATCCTTGCCTAAGCCAGTGTCTAGAAGGGTTTTTCCAATGTTATCTTCTAGAATTTTTAGTTTCAGGTCTTAGGTTTAAGTCCTTAATCCGTCTTGAGTTGATTTTTGTACAAAGTGAGAGATGAGGATCCAGTTTCATTCTCCTACAGGTGGCTAGCCAATTATCCCAGCACCATTTGTTGAAAGGGTGCCCTTTCCCCACTTTATATTTTTGTTTGCTTTGTCAAAGACCAGTTGGCTGTATCTGGGTTTATTTCTGAGTTCTCTATTCTGTTCCATTTGTCTATGTGCCTATATTTATACCAATACCATGCTGTTTTGGTGACTATGGCCTTACAGTATAGTTTGAAATCAGGTAGCGGGATGCCTCCAGATTTGTTCTTTTTGCTTAGTCTTTCTTTGGCTGTGCAGGCTCTTTTTTGGTTCCATATGAATTTTACAATTGTTATTTCTAATTCTGTGAAGAATGATCGTGGTATTTTGATGGGGATTGCGTTGAATTTGTAAACTGCTTTTGGCAGTATGGTCATTTTCACAATATTGATTCTACTCATCCATGAGTATGGGATGTATTTCCGTTTGTTTGTGTCATCTATGATTTTTTTTCAGCAGTGTATTGTAGTTTTCCTTGTAGAGGTCTTTCGCCTCCTTGGTTAGATATATTCCTAAGTTATTTATTTATTTATTTATTGCAGCTATTGTAAAAGAGATTGAGTTCTTGATTTGATTCTCCACTTGGTTGCTCTTCTTGTATAGAAGAGCTACCGATTTGTGTACATTAATCTTGTATCCAGAAACTTTGCTGAATTCTTTTATCAGTTCTAGGAGCTTTCTGAAGGAATCTGTAGGGTTTTCAAGGTAAACGATTGCATCATCAGCAAAGAGTGACAGTTTTACTTCCTCTTTACTGATTTCTGTCTCTTGTCTGATTGCTCTGGCTATGACTTCCAGTACTGTGTTGAAGAGGAGTGGTGAGAGTGGGCATCGTTGTCTTGTTCCTAGTTCTCAGAGGGAATGCTTTCAACTTTTCCCCATTCGGTATTATGTTGGCTGTGGGTTTGTCATAGATGGCTTTTATTACATTGAGGTGTGTCCTTGTATGCTGATTTTGCTGAGAGTTTTAATAATAAAGGAAGGCTGGACTTTGTCAAATGCTTTTTCTGCATCTATTGAGATGATCATGTGATTTTTGTTTTTAATTCTCTTTATGTGGTGTATCACATTTATTGACTTGCATATATTAAACCATCCCTGCATCCCTCGTATGAAACCCACTTCATTATGGTGGATTCTCTTTTTAATGTGTTGTTGGATTCAGTTAGCTAATATTTTGTTAAGGATTTTAGTGTCTGTGTCCATCGGGGATATTGGTCTGTAGTTTTCTTTTTGTGCTATGTCCTTTCCTGGTTTTGGTATTAGGGTGATGCAGGCTTCATAGAATGAATTGGGGAGGGTTCCCTCTTTCTCTATGCTGTGGAATAGTGTCAAAAGGATTAGTACCAATTCTTCTTTGAAGGTCTGGTAGAATTCAGCTGTGAATCCATCTGGTCCCAGACTTCTTTTTGTTCATAATTTTTAAATTACCATTTCAATCTTGCCGCTTGTTATTGGTCTGTTCAGGGTATCTAACTCTTTCTGATTTAAGCTAGGAGGGTTGTATTTCTCCAGGAATGTGTCCATCTCTTCTAGGTTTTCTAGTTTATGTGCGTAAAAGTGTTCATAGTACCTTTGAATGATCTTTTGTATTTCAGTGGTGTCAGCTGTAGTACCTCCCGATTCGTTTCTTAATGAGGTTATTTGAATTTTCTCTCTTCTTTTCTTGTTTAATCTTGCTAATGGTCTAACAACTTTATTTATCTTTTCAAAGAACCAGCTTTTTGTTTCATTTATCTTTTGTATTTTTGTTTGTTTCAATTTCATTTAGTTCTGCTCTGATCTTGGTTATTTCCTTTCTTCTGCTGGGTTTGGGTTTGGTTTGTTCTTGTTTCTCTAGTTCCTTGAGGTGTGACCTTAGAATGTCATTTTCTGCTCCTTCAGTCTTTTTGATGTCATTTTTGGGGGCTATAAACCTTCCTCTTAGCACTGCCTTTGCTGTTTTCCAGAGGTTTTCATAGGTTGTGTCATTATTGTCATTCAATTAGAAGAATTTCTTAATTTCCATCTTGATTTCGTTTTTGACCCAATGATCATTCAGGAGCAGGTTATTTAATTTCCATGTATTTGCATGGTTTTGAAGGTCTCTTTTGGAGTTGATTTCCAATTGTATTCTACTGTGGTCCGAGAGAGTGCTTGGTATAATTTCAATTTTATTAAATTTATTGAGGCTCACTTTGTAGCCTATCATATGGTCTATCTTGGAGAAAGTTCCATACACTGTTGAATAGAATATATATACTGTGGTTGTTGGATGAAATGTTCTGTATATATCTGTTAAGTCCATTTGTTCCAAGGCATAGTTTAAATCCATTGTTTCTTTGTTGGCTTTCTGTCTTGATGACCTGTCTAGTGCTGTCAGTGGAGTATTCAAGTTCCCCACTATTATTGTATTGCTGTCTATCTCATTTCTTAGGCCTATTAGTAATTGTTTTATAAATTTGGGAGCTCCAGTGTTACTTGCATATATGTTTAGGATGACATTTTCCTGTTGGACAAGGCCTTTTACCATTATACAATGTCCCTATTTGTCTCTTTTAACTGCTGTCACTTTAAAATTTGTTTTGTCTGATACAAGAATAGCTACCGCTGCTCACTTTTGGTGTCCATTTGCATGAAATACCTTTTTCTACCCCTTTACTTTAAATTTATGTGAGTCCTTATTTTTAGGTGAGTCTCCTGAATGCAACAGATAGTTGGTTGGTGAGTTCTATCCATCCTGTAGTTCTGATCTTTTAAGTGGAGCATTTAGGCTGTTTACATTCAATGTTAGTATTGAGATGTGAGGCACCATTCCATTCATCGTGCTATTTGTTGCCTGTGTACCTTGGTTTTTTTGGGGTTTTGTTTTTGCTTTTCAAATTGTATTTTTGTTTATAGGGTCTGTGTGATTTATGCTTCAAACAGGTTCTGTTTTGATGTGTTTTCAGGATTTGTTTCACAATTTAGAGCTCCTCTTAGCAGTTCTTGTAGTGGTTTCTTGATAGTGGTGAATTCTCTCAGCATTTATTTGTCTGAAAAAGACTGTTATCTTTCCTATATGTATGATGCTTAGTTTCACTGGATACAAAATTCCTGGCTGACAATTGTTCTGTTTGAGGAGGCTGAAGATAGGGCCCCAATCTCTTCTAGCTTGTAGGGTTTCTGCTGAGGAGTCTGCTGTTAATATGATAGGTTTTCCTTTATAGGTCACCTGGGGCTTTCACCTCACAGCTCTTAAGATTCTTTCCTTTGTCTTAACTTTAGATAATTTGATAATAATATGCCTAGACAATGATCTTTTTGCAATAAATTTCCCAGGTGTTCTTCATGCTTCTTATATTTGGATATCTAGGTCTCTAGCAAGGCCAGGGAAGCTTTCCTTGATTATTCCCCCAAATATGTTTTCCAAACTTTTAGATTTCTCTTCTTCCTCAGGAACACCAATTATTCTTAGGTTTGGTCATTTAACGTAATGCCAGACTTCTTGTAGGCTTTGTTCATATTTTCTTATTCCTTTTTCTTTGTCTTTGATGGATTGAGTTAATTTGAAGACCTTGTCTTTGAGCTCTGAATTTCTCTATTCTACTTGCTTAATTCTATTGCTGAGACTTTCCAGAGCATTTTGCATTTATATAAGTGTGTCCAGTGTTTCCTGAAGTTTTGATTATTCTTTTTCATGCTATTTCCTTGAATATTTCTCCCTTCACTTCTTGTATCATTTTCAGGATTTCCTTGCACTGGGCTTAACCTTTCTCTGGTGCTTCCCTCATTAGCTTAATAACTAGCCTCCTGGGCCAGGCACGGTGGCTCACACCAGTAATACCAGCACTTTGGGAGGCCAAGGCAGGTGAATCACCTGAGGTCAGGAGTTCAAGACCAGCCTGACCAACATGGTGAAACCCCGTCTCTACTAAAAACACAAAAATTAGCCAGGCATGGTGGTGGGTGCCTGTAATCCCAGCTACTCAGGAGGCTGAGGCAGGAAAATCACTTGAACCCATGCAGCGGAGGTTGCGGTGAGCTGAGATTGCACCACTGCACTCCAGCCTGGGCAACAAGAGCGAGACTCCATGTCAAAAAAAAAAAAAGAGAGAGAAAAGAAAGAGAAAACAACTAACCTCCTGAATTATTTTTCAGGTAAATCAGGGATTTCTTCTTGGTTTGGATCCATTGCTGGTGAGCTTGTGTGATTTTTTTTGGTGGTATTAAAGAGCCTTGTTTTGTCATATCACCAGAGTTGGTTTTCTGGTTCCTTCTCATTTGGGTAGCCTCTGTCAGAGGGAAGGTCTAGGGCTGAAGACTGTTGTTCAGATTCTTTTGTCCCACGGAGTGTTCCCTTAATGTAGTTCTTTCCTCCTCTTTCTATGGATGTGGCTTCCTGAGAGCTGAGCTGCAGTGACTGTTATCTGTCTTCTGGGTCTAGCCACCCAGCAAGTCTACCAGGCTCCAGGCTGGTACTGAGGGCTGTCTGCACAGAGTCCTGTGATGTAGACCGTCTATGGGTCTCTCAGCCATGGATACCAGCATCTCTTCTGGTGGAGGTGGCAGGGGGTGAAACGGACTCTGTGAGGGTTCTTAGCTTTGGTGGTTTAATGTTCTATTTTCCTGCTGGTTGGCCCCTGTTGGGAGGTGGCACTTTCCAGAGAGCATCAGCTGTGGTATTATGGAGAGGAACCAGTGGTGTTAGGGCCTTAGAACTCCCAAGATTATATGCCCTTTCCCTTCAGCTACCAGGGTGGGTAGGGAAGGCCCATCAGGTGGGGCAGGGCTATGCATGTCTGAGCTCAGATTCTGCTTGGGCAGGTCTTGCTGCAGCTGCTGTGGAGAATGGGGGTAAGGTCCCAGGTCAATGGAGTTGTGTACCTAGGAGGATTATGGCTGCTTCTGCTGAGTCAGGCAGGTTGTCAGGGAAGTGGGGGAAAGCCGGCAGTCACAGGCCTCACCCAGCTCCCACACAATCCAAAGGGTCAATCTCATTCCTGCAGTGCCCCCTCTAACAGCACCAAGTCTGTTTCCAGGCCAGTGGGCTAGCAGGGCTTGAGAACTTACCCCAGGCTCCCCATCTCCCAGCTGTGAAAGAAAAGGGCTTTGGTTTTTCCCCTGCCTGTGGAGTCTACATGCTGGATTCACATCCTCCCCCGAGTTCTGGCCAGGAAGCTTCTCGCCCAGTTCAAATTCTTACAAAGTTCAGCTCTACCTTCTCCCTGTGGCATTTTCCCCTGAGCCTCTGGCCGCCCTCCCAAAGGATCCCTGTGACACCAGGCAGGAATGGCCTGCTTGGGGACCCAGCCAGCTCCCAGGACCTTTCCTGCTGCTTCCTCTACCCCATGTATTTCACTCAGCTCTCTAAATTGACTCGGCTCCAGGTAAGGTTGGAAACTTCTCCTGCAAACTAGATCTTCAGTTTCCCCAGTGGGGATGTGTTTTCGGGGGTGGAGGATGTCCCTTTCCCACTTCCACGGTTTGGGCACTCACAGTATTTGGTGTGTTTCCTGGGTCCTACAGGAACAATCTGCTTCCTTCAGAGGGTCTGTTGGTCCTCTCGGGATTCCTGCTTTGCTCTTGCACTCATTCTGAAGCTAATATTTATGATGCGAGCCTCTGCACGCTGCTCTGTCCATCCAAGTCAGAGTTGCAATCCAGTCCTGCCTCTATTTGAAAAATAAAGTCAGTCACTTTTAATATAATTTTTTTTTATTTTGTCAGCTTCTTGGAATTAATCTTTAAATTCCTGATATGGGGAACATTAGAAGCTTTAAGCACACTCTCTTGAGACTATGTGAATTATAAAAATTAACAGAAGATTATTGTTTTAATTTCATGTGTAAGTGAATGAGGGATGAGACTATAGTACAGTTGTCCCACAATATCCACTGGGGAATGTGTTCCAGGACCCCCTGAAACAGCAAAATCAATGAATGCTCAAATTCCTGATATAAAATAGGGGTACTATTTACATGTAAACTATACACATCCTGCCATAACTTTAGATCATCTCTAGATTACTTATAATATCTAAGACAATGTAAATGTTATAAAAATAGTTGTTATACTATATCATTTAGAGAATAATGACAAGGAAAAATGTATGTACATGTTCAATACAGACACAATTTTTTTGGAATATATTCAATCTGTTGGTTGAATCCACAAATATGGAACACACAAATATGAAGGGCCAACTCTATTTAGAAAAGGCATAAGTGAGAAGCTCTGTACAAAGATAGCTATAGTCGGGAGCTCTATGATCTGGATTTACGTTTCACTTGAAGTAGGCAGCTGTAAATAAAAATATTAAATGGGACTCCTTCAAAAGGAAACATTTTAGCAAACAACATGTAATGCATAAAGTTAGGTTGAAAACTAGAGTCCTTTTTGACAGGGTTACTAAACCTGCACATCAGTGAAATACAGTGGATATCAGAAACCTAGACTTCATCAAGGCTAAAAGGCTTGACAAAGTCTTTTTTAATACCCTTGCAAAAGAAAGAGTAAATGTTAATAAAACTGGATGGATTTGAAATGAATTGAAAAGCCATTTCTTGAGGATACTGATTAATGATGAAATAATGTCACTCTCTGTGGGCTTTGCCTTCTGCCTCATCTTGTTCAACAATTTTATCAATGACTTGAATGAGGACAGGAAACATATGTGTATTATATTTGCACCTGATAAAAAGCTTAGAAGGGTAAGGAATATGTTGGATGACAATATGCCAGTATCATGAATCAAAAAGATCTTGACAGGCTAGAAAGATAGGCCAAATCTAACAAGATGGAATTTAATCAGGATAAATATAAGGCCATTACAACAACAAAAAACAAAGAAACAAAAGAAGCATGCTATTTAGGTACAGGCTGAGGGAGCTGTGGCTTAAAGGCAGCAGGTGAAATGATGACTGAGGAATTTAGTTGAGTTCACAGAAATCTTCACAGTATTGTGAATTGTCATTAAGAGCTTGTTCTTTAGCATCAAAAGGATGGGGAGTTAAAGTCCTGAATCTGACACTTATTCAAGATTAATCTTGGTAAATTACTTAATCGCTCCACACCTCAGTTTCCTTATATATAAAATGACATTGATAATAGTAAAATCTTCAACATGAAGTCTATGTTACTTTTTTATGTAAGCGCTGAGCCTTAATTCTTGAATAGTTCATTACTGAACATTTCCTTGAATATAACTTCCTTTTCCCATCTTTCAGTGGGAGAAGAGATAGAAAGGAAGACATGAGGAGGTAAAGGGGAAGTAGAAAAGAAAACAGAGATGAAAGAAATTAACCAATGTTTATTGAGCAACTACTTTGGTCCAGGTACACTGTGAGACACTCTATATATGTGAAGTCATTTAATTCTCATAGCAAAATGTAACAAAGATATAATCTCCATGTTAGACATGAGAAAACTGAGGGTTAGAAAGAATAGTTTCCCCAAAGTCAAAAGACAGAAAATAGCAAAATTGGACTTTGAACCCAGGTATGCACTCTGAGACCAAGATTCTCACCTCCACCTTCCATTCACCTCAGGAAAGAGTCCTTTGTGGTCTCTTAAATGACAGGTATCCTCCACATTCCCTCACTCTATCTGTATGGTCTAAAATTCAACTTGAAATATTATTCTATTACCACATTTATATTAATGTTATTTGGTTTGGTCAATCTGTGAGAATGTATTTTAACACATTAAGTTATGTCTATGACTCAACATGCCTAAATAAATTCAGTAGACACAATAACATTCTTGATAGTCATCCCATTTCTTTAATAGTAACCCTTCCCATTACTGGTTCCTAAAAAGTTTTCTTCCATGGGCCTCTTTATGTAATTTTGCTTTTTTTGTATTTTTATTTAAGTCATTCCTTCTTCTTATTTTCCACCAACGGCACATAAGCAAACCATGAAGCAAGCCAGCAGCAGTGGCAGCAGAACTACTTATTATATAAACTGAAAGAAATAAATTTATTCCACCTAATAAAAAATGCAATGCTATGCACTTGTAGGTTATCACCTATACCAAAGTAATTTGGAAAGAGGCCAGCAGGGACACATAGCTACAGGGAGAACATTATATTCCTCCCACTGTCAAAGTCCCATGCTACCCACACGCTTCCATCCTTCAAAACTAAAGTCAAACATCACATTTCCTGTGAAGTTCTGCCTGACCACATCTCCACCCCAGGTGAGAGTTGATCACACTTTCCTTTGCTCCATATCTTTAATATTTCTTATAGAGCACTCGGTATACTGAACTGCAAAAATTTGCTGATAAAACAAGATGTTAAATTATAAATTTAAATGAAGGAATCAACACAATAGATATTACATTCCAAAGGAGGTGCTAGACCATTTGCAGAATTTTAAAAATAGATAATTAGAATAGTTAAACAATACCTGAATCCCTCATCCACCTTGAAATTATAGAAAAAATGAAAATTGAGATAAAGGATGGATTTCTAATTAGGTTTCTTTCTTCTAAGACTCTACTTAAGAGTCCCATCCTCCTTGGAGATACAGGAGCTCTCAAGCCTAATAAGGGAGCACCAATGAGTCTGCTTTTGAAGCTTAGCATGTGAACCTCGAAGCTAGGAGGAACACAGGGGAATAGTATCTGACTCCCACCCAAGAAATCTGGAGGCAGTAGAAATGGGCTAATGAGCTGCAATTATCTCAGAGCATTGGAGTGTTGCTGCCACGTATAAGAAACAGTTTGCAATAGCAAAGTATGCTGAGGCAAGGCATTTTCCAGCCTATGACATTCTGCCTTTGAAGTCTACTCTATGGAAAATGTTCTTTTTAAGCTTGTCAATGACTACCTCCTTCTGAGAAAGTCAATAAACTCTTCTAAATCCTTGTGATGACTCAACAGCTCTGAATGAGTTAGTGTATGCTTTCGTATTCAAACTTTCACCTTCCTTGGTTTCTGTGATCATTCAATAAGGTATTACGCAAAGACCATAGGCTTTGAAGTCAAACAGACGTAAGTTTGATTTAATATAATCAATGGGTGCTTATTGAATGCACAGTGTGTACCAGGAACCAAACTAGGTTCTGAGGATCAATGTTAAACAAAGCAGACATGGAACAATGTTAGACACAGAACAACATGCCCTTACTACGCTTAATATTTTACCCAGCTATGCCACTTTCCAGCTATATTACCTTGGGAAAATTTGTTAAATTATCTGTGCATAAGCTTTCTCATCTAATAAAGGAGAATAATATTACCTATTTCATGGGCTTTGTTATGAGGATTAAATGGGGCAAATTAAGTAAATTGCCTATCAATCTCTAACAGACACATAATAGTCATTCAATAAATGTCCAAGCATTTCACCTTCCCACACTCTCCTTACCACCTCATCTATTCCCTGCATATTCTTATATCTCCTACTGCTTTTGCTCCACTTATTCTTTAATTATCTCAGTCCTGCCCTAGTCAGCAGATATGAAATGCCTGCATTCCCCAAAGGTTTCCCAGCTCTGTCTTTCCTCATTCTTTACTTTCTCCCTAAGGAAACTTATTCACTCCCTTGGCATCAGCTACCACTTCTAAGCAATTCCTGCTTCAAGCTATGTCTTCAAATGTGATCCCTACTTCCTATCTCACATTCCCATGATGTCTCTATCTCAGCATGTGAAAAAATAAATTCACCATACTCACCTGAAATCTACTTCATCGTTTATGCCATTGATATTAATTAAACTCATTTAAACAAACATTTATTAGGCACCCATTATACACAAGCAACTTTTCTGGGGCTGGGGACTCTTCTTTCACTATCTGAGATCAAATAGACTCAAATAAATTAAGATAGGGTCAGTATTCTATATTAGCTGAACTCCCACTATTTGCTGTCAAGAATTCACGAACAGGCCAGGTGCTGTGGCTCACTCCTGTAATCCCAGCACCTTGGGAGGCCGAGGGGGGTGAATCACTTGAGGTTAGGAGTTCCAGGCCAGCCTGGCCAAAATGGTGAAACCCAGTCTCTACTAAAAATACAAAAATTAACTGTGCATGGTGGCACACAGCTATAGTCCCAGCTACTCAGGAGGCTGAGGCAGGAGACTCGCTTGAACCTAGGAGATGGAGGTTGCACTGAGCCAAGATTGTGCCACTGCACTCCAGCCTGGGTGACAGGAAGAGACTCTGTCTCAAAAAAAAAAAAAAAAAAAAAAAAAACAAAAAAAAAAACACACACAAAACAAAAAAAAAACAAAGAAAAAACTCAAGAACAAATAAGATTTGATTAGCAGGGGATACTTGAATCTACAAAGCATTGTAGCTTACACATAGTAGGTGGTCAGTGAATGCTTATTTAGCTAAATTCAATTTAAATTAATGGTATAAACAGAAGAAGAAAGTCTTAAAGATGTCATGCCAGGAGTGGTTAATAATCCAGGAGCATAGTTTGAGCATAAAGTGAGTAATTGGCGGTAAATTTGAAAAAGTATTTTGAGATCAACTTTGGAAGTCTTTAATAGAAAGACAAGTGGTTTGATGTTTATCTAACAAGATTAAGTAATGAACAATAAGATTAACTAATGAACAAAGTCATCTAAGAAATGACATTTGTCTAATAAATCTCCTGTAATAAAAAACCACTAAAAGCTTTAGAGTAAGTGAAAAACACTATAACAACTATTAAGATTTTTCTGTGGGCAACATGAACTTGAGAAACAAGAGTAGAGAAATGACTTCAAGTGCTATTGCAAGGAAAATATATATGGAAAGAAAGAGTTGTATGCAGATGTTTTCAGCAGGCTTTTTCATTGTAGACAAAGAATGGAAACAACCAAATATCCATCAATTGGTCAATAGATAGACAAATTGTGATACAACTCTTATGATAGAATGCTATTCAGCCATAAAAAGGAATGAACTACATGCAACAATACAAATGAACCTCAAAAGCATTCCACTAAGTGAAAGTAGCTTCGTACAAAAGTGTGTATACAGAACAATTCCACTTATGTGACATTCTGTAAAAGACAAAATCATAGGGACAGGAAACAGATTGGCAGTTGCCAGCGGCTAAAGGTTTAGGACAGGAAGTAACTGCAAATTGCCACAAGGAAACATTTTGGGGCGATAGAAATATTTTGTATCTTGATCATGGTGGTAGTAACATGACTGTATATGCATTTGTCAAAACTCATTAAATTCCACACTTAAAAGAGTGAATTTTATTGTATGTAAATTACACCCAGGTGAACCTAACTTTTAAAAAATGCTTTTGCATTAATTCTTGCAGATCATTAAAAAAGATCCAAATTACATCTGATACCAGTGTCAATGGAAATTGAGAGAATGATTCCAAAGTACATCAAAAAGGAAAAAATGATAGATGTCAGCAATTACTCACATGCAAAATTAAGGGAGAAACTTTATTCTGAAAGCATGGTAGAATCACTAAAAGAAATAAAGACTCCAAGTTGAAAAGTCTAACAGGCAGTGAGAAACATAAGATAGCAGCTTTAAAAAAAAGGCTGAGTTAGAAATCAGAGATTTCTAAATAGTCTGTATAGTTTACATTTCTACCTATCTGACTAGGTGACACTGCTATGTAAATGTTGAATAAAAGATGCATTGTGGCCATCCACAATTAGACTGCAGGATGGAAAACAGGAAACATCCAAAGAATAGAAAACTTTAGAAAAGGGGCACTGACAATCTTTAATGTTTCAGAGTAGTCAAAAATTTTAAACCAAACAGATATTCAGTGTGGATTTTGGAGCCATTGGGTGACTTTTCTCAGGCTCAGAACACAATACCTCAAAGTATAGTACCTTGACATGTGAGTATTTTTGAGCTGAAGAGAACAGGAGGGTCTCAGAAGCAAGAAGGTGTCTCTGACTTTCTGCCCTCTTGTCTCCCTCTTTGCTCTCTCTTCCCCAAAACAATAAAACTTAGAAAGGTCACTCTCTGACCTACCTCCCCTAAAAGTAGCTCATAAGACACTCACATGTCAGGTGTTCTGCCCTAAGCTCATAGAGAAAAAATGCTACACAGAGAAGCCAAGAAGAACTTGAGTGAACAGGTCTTGCTAAGTTCCCTCAAGTTTATTACCATGAGATTATACCCTTTTTGTCCAGTTATTTTTCTCCACAATGACCTATTTCTTTCCATCAGACTTAGCATAAAACCACAAAGTTTTAAGCCACGTGCAGTGTCACATGCCTGTAATCTGCTGGTGGCCAGGAGGCTGAAGTGGGAGGATCACTTGAGGCCAGGAGTTTGAATCCAGTCTGGGCAACATAGCCAGACTCTCAAAAGACTAAATAAGAAAAAATAAAAATAAATGTTAAAAAAAACCACACAGTTTTCCCTGGATCTTCAGGTATTTATTTCTGAAGGCACCCATGTCATGTAAAACTTCCTTCAAGTTTTTATAATAAATTTGTTACGCTTTTCTCTTGTTAATCTGTGTTTTGTTATAAGGTATTCAGCCACGACCCTTGTGATAGGTGACAAAAAAGATACTGCCTTTTCACCCCTACACCTTAAATAGCACTATTTTAGTAGAATAGGAGGGTTACAATTCAGATAGGTTAAAGAGGTTTAAGAAGAGAGGGCTCTCAAGGACTTAAAAATAGCAAAAGGATTTTTGCAAAGATTGAAAACAGTAAAATGCTTTTCCTTTTTTTCAAAGGTTGCCTAGAGGTTATCAACTAGGAATCTTTTTTCTTAGTTTAAAAAAAAAAAAAAAAAAAAAAAAAAAAAAAAAAAAAACAGGAGACATAAAGATGAGGGATATTTACTAAGGGCTAAAATATCAACATTCAGTTTTTCCAAGGGTCATGAGGCCCTAGGATGTTAGGTCATGGTACCCAAACTCAGGACTGATTTATACCAAAAGCCAATTAAACAATTTATAATGAAAAGCGCAACTGCTAAGCAGGCTGCTCGTTATATGCACTGATCAACACATTATTGCCCCAGGGGAGAAGCTTTCTCTAGAAGCAAGTTTAAAATTACAAAGTGTTTAAAGTGTTTGTCACCCCCACTAGCACTTAGGCCTCCCTTTGGCATCTTCCTTCTTTTTTTTTTTTTTTTGCCAACTTTTTTGAAAAAAAAGTTCAGACTTTATTAATAGGATGTTTTATAAAATGCAAATTTCTGGCTCTTGGTAAGACTAAATTAGGACTTCTGAGAGTGAGACCCAGAAATCTCTATTTTTTAACACTTTCACCACGTCACCCAAATGATTTTGATGCACTTTAGACAATGTTTTGTATGGTTTATACCCACTTCCACCTCCCCATCTCATACTCCTTATTCCATTTCAGTCTGGCTTCTACTACTTCACTCTGTTTTCTGGCAGAAATCACCAGTGACGTCTTAATTTTCAGCTCCAATGACATACTTCTAATGAAATATCCTAAAATAATGAACACTTCTGCCACTTTCCTTTTCTTGGAACTTTCTAATTATTGGCTTCCAAGCTAGTATTCTATCCATGTTCTCTTCCTACTCATTTGACCTCTTCTTTCTGTTTTCCTTGCTGTAGCTTCTTCCACGCCTTTGGGACTTACGTATTGAGTTGTTCCCAAGTTCAGCCCTTGTTTTCTCCTTTTTTTCTTTCTGAGCTTTCTTCTGTGATAATTCCATTCATTCCCATTGCTTTTTCCATGGACTGTATTTTCGTAACTCCCAAATCTTTATTTTCACGTCTACCCTCTTATCTTCATTGTGCTCACTAACTTCCAGTGTTCACCAGACAGCTGCCTTGAGGGACTAAGTAAATTTGAGATGAGAGCAGCAGAAAAGGCTGTGGGTGGAACTGCTCACAGAAAGTCTGGGAAAGGATGGCAAAGTGCTCTGACAGAATTGCCAAAGGCTAAGAATATAAGAGACACATTGAGAATCAGGTGATATCAGCCCAGACCCTACTAAGTCATTTGAACATAAAAGCCAGAAAAGGATACAGCATTAGTAATCGTTTGCTACAAAACTTCAGTGGCATTCAACAGTCATTGCTTATTGCTCATGTTTGGGGGGTCAGCTGGCAGTTGGCTGATCTAGGCTAGTCTTGACCAGAACAGTGGGGGTGACATGGTGACACAGTTCTGCTCCATGTGTCTCTCACCTTTTAGCAAGAGAGCTCAGGCATGTTCCCATGGTGATGGCAGACGCACAAGAGAGTAAACCACGGCACACAGGCCCATCTCAAGTCTCTTCTTGCATTTATGTCCGATAATATCCCATCTGCCAAAGCAAGTCACATGGTTGAAACCACTGTCAGGGGTGGGATAGGTCACCCCACCCATGATAGAAAGGCACTATTTGTGAATATAGGGAAAGGTGAAAAATTGGTCACTGTCACTGAACTTTTGCCTAGTAAATAAACAAAGTGATGAATGCAGGCTGTTTTGTCACAGTCCACCCACATCTTGGGATGAAATATTTTGTCACTTGTGTCTTTAGAAATAATGTGTTCTCATATTGAGAGTAAGCTTCCAGCCAAGGTGCTTGGTGTGATTAATGCAACGTATTTTTAAAAATTAATATATCATCATATTTTTGGTAAATTATGAGAAAGTATTAAACAATTAGCCCTAAATTGCCATAGTTTCTGCTGTGAAGAAAAATAAATGCAAATGAGAAAATAATTAGCTGAATAATGCAGTTTAATTACAAACAATATCATTTTGACATGGTCTGGGTATTGTGTATTCTTGGTTGCATTGCAAAGCAAGAAAAGTGGTAAGAAGAAGATATAAGTTGGACAAATTAATGTAAGTTTATATTATAAAGTCCACTGTAAATAACAAGGTTTTAATAATGTTTTAGTGGAATTTTGAAAAAAATTTTGTAAAATATAAGCAATGTTAAAAATCTGCTCCAATATGATCTTACGTATAGAAAACTCTGAAGACTACACCAAAAAGCTGTTAGAACTAAGAAGTAATTCAGTAAACTTGTAGGATATAAAGTCAACTTACAAAAACAGGTTGTGTTTCTATACACTAACAATGAAGTATTTGAAAAAGAAATTAAGAAAATATTTTCATTAACAAATAGCATCAAAAAGAATAAAACACTTAGGAATTAATTTAACCAAAGAGGTGAAAGATCTGTTTGCTGAAAACTATAAAGCATTGGTGAAAGAAATTGAAGGAGCACAAGTAATGGAAAAACATTATGTGTTCATGAATTAGACAACTAATATTGTTAAAATGTCTGTACCACCCAAGGCAATCTATAGATTCAATGCAATCCCTATCAAAATTCAAAGGACATTTTTCACAGAATAGAAAAAGCCATGCTAAAACTCACATGGAATCACAAAAGACCCCTAATAGCTGAAGCAATCTTGAGAGAGAAGGACAAAGATGGAGGCATTATAATTCCTGATTTCAAAATGTATTACAAAGCTATCAAAACAGTATGGCACTGACATTGAAACAGACACATCAACCGGTGGAACAGAATAGAGAACCCAGAAATAAACCCACACACATAAGGTCAACTAATAATTAACAAGGGTGCCAAAAATACACAATACGGGGAGGATAGTCTCTTCAATAAATGGTATTGGAAAAACTGGATATTCACATGCAAAAGAGCGAAATTGGACCATTATCATATATCATACACAAAAATTAACTAGAAATGGATTAAATAATTAAATATAAGCCTGAAACCATGAAACTCCTAGAAGAAAACAGGGAGAAATCACCTTGGCATTGGCCTTGGCAATGATTTTTTGAATATGACACCAAAAGCACAGGCAACAAAATCAAAAATAAACAAGTTGGTGGGGGGGGTGCTATATCAAACTAAAAGCATTCTGCACACCAAAGAAAACAATCCACAAATGAAAAAGCAACCTACAGAATGCAAGACAATATTTGTAAACTATATATCTAATAAGGGGCTAATATGCAAAATGTATACAAAATTCATACAACTCAACAGAAAAAAGAAAATCTGGTTAAAACATGGAAAAAAGGCCCGGTGTGGTGGCTCATGTCTGTAATCCCAGCACTTTGGGAGGCCAAGGAAGGAGGATTGCTTAAGCTTAGGAGTTCAAGACCAGTCTGGGCAACATAGTAAGACCCCATCTCTAAAATAAATAAAGAAAAGAAAAGAAATAATTAAAAAAAACATGAAAAAATACCTGAATAGACATTTTTCCTAAGAAGACATACAAATGGCCAAAATGTATATGAAAAGCTGCTCAACATCACTAATTATCAGGGAAATGCAAATCAAAATCACAATGAGACATCACCATATTCCTATCAGGATGGCAAAGAGATCACAACTGTTGGAAAGGATGTGAACAAAAGGGAACCCTTGTGTACTGCTGATGGGAACATAAGTTGGTGCAGCCACTATAGAAAACAATATGGAGATTCCTCCAAAATTTAAAGAAAAAAAGAACTACATTTGATCCAGCAATCCCACTTCTGGGTATATATTCCAAAGGAATTGAAATCAAGACCTCAAAGGGATATCTATACCCCCATGTTCATTGCAGTATTATTCGCAATCTAGAGGATGGGGGAGATGGTGAGACATTGGTCAAAGTGTACAAATTCCCCATTATAAGATGAGTACATTCTAGGAATCTAATGTACAGTATGGTGACTACAGTTAATAATACCATATAATTTACTGGAAATCTAAGAGACTAAATCTTGTATTCTTACTACACATACACACACACACACACACACACACACATACACACAAAGTAACAATGTGAGGGATGGATGTGTTAATTACTTGGTTGTGGGAGTCATTTCACAACGTATACATATATCAAATCATCATGTTGCACACCTTAAGTACACATGATGCAAATATACACAATTTTTATTTGCTGATTATAAGTCAATGAAGCTGGAAAAAAATAATTTAAAAAGAAATCTACTCCAATAAGGCTTTGCTCTCACCATTAAGTCTTTGTTGTCACCAGTGACCTCACTATTAATTCATCATCAGCATTTGACATATTAGATCATTCACTCCTCTTTGATACATTTTCTTCACTTGTCTTGGGATCGCACACTTCATTGGCTTTCCTGCTTCCTCACTAAGGTTTTCTTCTCAGTCTCCACTGTTGGCATCTCCTCTTCTCCCAACCTCTAAAGGTTGAAGGACCCTGGGGCTTAGTCATTAGACATCTTCGCTTACTCAACATTTATTTTCCAGATAACCTTATCCAATTCCATGGCTGTCAGACGTAAGATAATTTCTGTATCTCCAACTCACACTTTTCTGAACTCCAGGTTCTTTTACTACCTTCACAACATTTCTCTTTGTGTATCTAATAGTCATTTCAAATTTAGCAGATCCAAAAATCAAACTCTTAATATTTCCTTACAAACCTGTAAAATTCCTGCCTGAGTTGACAACAATTCCACCTTTGCAGATGTTCTTGTCAAAATGTCAGAGTCATCACTGATTTCTGCCTCTTTCATTCCATGCCCTTTCTATACATTTTATTAGAGAAACTTGTTGGCCTGTCCTATAAAATATATCCAGAGTCCAGTCACTTCTCACTACTTCCACTGCTACCATCTGCTCCAACCATCATCTTTCACCTGACTGTTGCAGTAGCATCCTTACCAGTCTCCCCACTTCCACACTCACCATTCCACAGCATGTTCTTGGCAGAGTGATCCCTTTCAAATCTAAGTCAGATCACTTCACTTTGCTCAAAATGCCCCCATGGCTCCTGAAGGCAAACCCTGACAATACCCTGTAGGTTTTGTGTGCTCTTGCCCCTGTGACCTCCCTGATTTCATCTCGTACACTCTCAATCTTGCTCACTATACTCTTATGTTGGTCTCCAAGCTTCCTTACATACACCAGGCATGCTCCCACCCGAGGGCTTTGCACTGGCTATTCTCACTGCCTGAAACGGTCTTTCCCCTCCTTCAAGTCTTTGCTCAAATATCCTCTCCTCAGAAGGCGATCTGTACGACAAAATGCTACCCTCTTAGCCCACCCCTCACGCCCAACATACACACACATGCACACAGGTGTCTTCTTCTTGATTTTTACAGCACTTATTACTTTCTAAAGTATTATAGAATTAACTTATTATGTTTATTTCTTCTCTTCCTAGAATGTAAGACACACAAGCAGGGATTTTTGTGTCTTTGATATACAAATAAGTCCCAAACACTAGAACAATGCCTGCTGAAGAGTGGCAGAAGGATTTTTTTCTAGCTAAAGGCACTTGGAAAACAACAGATACAAAAGGGACACTCTGACCTCCCTGTGCCAGGAGAGAATAAATATTCTTGTCACCAGAAATGGAGAGTGGAAACAGAAAAATCTGGACAAGGAAACCTTGTTAAAATCACTCATCTTCCTTTAGCCTTCCCATACATTTTAGTTACTTTTGCACAATTGTCACACTTTGTTCAACCTACTCTATAAGCACTTAGGTCTTGCCAATTCTTTGGACCTTCATTTTCCTATGGGGGCTCCCATGCACATGTAGAAATTTGTGTGCGTTTCTCCTGTTAATCTGTCTGATATCAATTTAATTCTCAAGCCCAGCTGGAGACCGTAAGTAGGTAAAGTCTTACCTCTCCTAAACAGAAACACAATTTGGCGCTCAATAAATATGAGTTTAGGATACGAATTTGTAAATGAAAAGCTAATTGAATTACTCAATACATCTCTCATAGAGAAGGACGGCTACTTTGCTAAATAAATGGGATCAGAGATTTCTCCATGAATATTTATTTTTATTATTCCCTTACTCTTCTTAAAGTTTACATCTCTTAGAGCATAGTATTTAAAAATCTATTTGTATTTAAAACTTACTCATATATAAACATTTATGAAAAATATCTCCACTAAGCTCATTTCCTAGTTTTCATACATAAATTCCATCTAGAACCTACTTAAAATGTCTCTATGTCTGATATTTTAAAATGGAATTTATATAGAAAGTTTTCATATCACATATTTTAATTATATTTATCTCAATGTCTGATTTGATACTTTTTTAAAATTGGAGGAATAGTGTTGCAAAGACTTGTCATTTCTAACAGTGACAACTGCACTGTCATTGCCATCTTTCTGTTTGTGAGCTATTTGTGAGCTGAAAGTGATAGACTCTTGCCACTTAATGAACTCCACTTGGCAGACAGAAGACCTACATGTCACACACTTCAGTAACTCTCTCCTCCTGCAGCTCCCACATGTCCACGTTTTCCTCTTTCCTCTTCTAATATGCTGTCTGGTTCCACTTTTAATAGTGCCAGTTGCCAGTTTTACATACAGTCATTGCCTAGACTGCAACAGATTGGATTACTAACCTCATTCCTAAAAGTCAGGCTCCCTCCTTGAAAACCCTGCATGACCAGAAAGGATGGATTATGGCGAATGCAGGTGAGCCTTAGTGCCCCTGAGTAGCCCGTGAGGCAGTTTTCAGGAGTACTTTATCATCCCAGAATCATATTCAGCTCTTTTTTCTCTTTTTTCCACTCTAATATCCTGCTTTCCTCTTCCTCCCTGAAGTGAAGTGAATGAGTTCTGCTCTTGACCTTTTTCTACCAAATATGTAGTCACCTACAAAAAACCCTACCACCATCCCATTCCCTTGTTCATTTCACCCCCACCTTTCTCATGACTTCCTTTCTTTTGTAGATAATTGTTGCCTAAAGGACGTCTTATTCCCAATAGAATATATAAAGCTTGCTAAAGTATTTCTTTAAAAATTTTTAGACTGTTTTTTTTGTAGTAAGGTTTAAAATCATTAGCATTTCCATCCATTAGAGGCAAATTTGCACTCTAGAAAGGAAGGAGATAATTAAGGCCGTGGCTAAATAGCTGTCTTTCTAGATCACTTTTTCCCTAATATGAACCCCATTGTGCACCAAAACAAAACAAAACAAAAACAATTGGAGGCAGAAAAGCATGAAGCAAGCCGTTGATTTAGAGACTGAAATCTTACATACAAATTTAATAGCCTTGTTACTTTTTGGCCGATGACTTTGGGCAATCTGGAGTCTTATTTTCTTCCTAGAACATTGTAATGTCTACTTCTAGGATACTGTGTGACAGTAAAGCTGACATCTCTGAAATAAGCCTGTAGACTTTAAAAAGTTTTCAGAACAAGTTCGCCTCGGTGGTGTACACTTGCAGTCCCAGCTACTGAGGAGGATCACTTGAACCCAGGAGTTTGACACTACCCTGGGCAACATAGTAAGATAGTAAGACCTCCTATCTCTCTCTAAATAAATAAATAAATAAATAAATAAATAAATAAATAAATAAATACAAATAAATAAAATGTTTTAAAAACATACATGACTATTGCTGAAGATCCTAAAATAAGGCTACCTGCTTAAAAGCATAAATTAAAAGAAAATGTCAATCTCATTTATGAAAAATTAAAAAACAAACTTTAAGGCCTAGGTATAAGATCTGAGACTAACCATACTGCAGTATATACATGAAAAGGTACCATCTAGGGATTTTTTAGACTTAAATTTTAATCATAAAATACTTCAAACATTAAAAGTACAGAAAATGCTATAACAGTTACCTACTACATACCACTAACATTAAACAGATGTTAACATTTTCCATAATGTGTTTTAGCTTTCTCTCTTTTGAGGATACAAAATGTTACAGTTAAAATTAAAGCCCTTCCTCCCTTCTTTCCTTTTGTCTTCCTCTCTAAACAACCACTTTCCTGAAGTTTTTCTATATCTTTCCATATAAGTTTTGAGACATTTACCTCCACAAAGAAAATGTACTACTGTTTCATATATTTTTAAATTTTACATACATAATATGCATATAAATATTTGTATCTTTTTAACCTCCTTTCTTCCTGTTAAAAATGTGTTTTTGTGCTTTACCTGTGTTGATATCTGAAGGTCTACTTTCTTTACACAGCTCTGCAACATGATGTTGAAGAACTACTATGTATGCGTTTTCTTATAAACGTACAGGTTTCTCCCTAAAAGTGTAATTGCTGCGTTTATGGCAGATGACCATCTTCACATTTACAGCCCCACTGAAAATTCACAATCTCTCCAGTAGGTGTCATCAGAATTATTAAGTTTTACATATTAGATAAGTATCATATGGTATGTCTGAATGTTTTAATTTATATTTCCCAGAATACTAGCAATATTGAGAATCTTTTCAAATTTTTATTGGCATTCAGTTTTCTTCTTCTACTAATTACCTATCATTACCTTTACCTATTTTTCCATTGCATTGTTTTTCTTTTTATCATCAATTTGTAGAAGCTCTTTATATATTCTGGATACTAATCCTTTGATGGCTATAGTATTACAAGTTTCTTGTAGTTTTTATCTTCTTTTTTCATATTTTTCATGGTATCTTATAGAAGCTAGTATGTAGTCAAATTTGTTAATATTCTCCTTAATAGTTTGTGCCTTTGCATCATACATAAAAAACCCTTACCTGATGTAATTCACCTATTATTTTCCCTGTTTTCTTCTAAATTTGTATTATTTTACTTTTTAAGCCCTTAGTTTATCCAGAATTCAATATGTATAAATGTACAGATATAGAATTTTTCAATATCAATAACAAATTGTCACAATGTCATTTACTTAATAATCCATCCTGCTCCCACCAAAATTTTATTGCCACCCTCACTATATAAATAGATTGGGCTCTAAATTCCTTTTTCTTTTCCATTGGTTTGTCTATTTCTGTGTCAACCCTCAGTTTTTACTCATAGGATTTACAAAAGTTATAATACCTAGTCAGACAAATCTACCATTATTTTTATTCTTCAAGATTGTGTTGACTTTTCTCGGTCATTTATATTTCCATATATATGTGAGAATTTGTCTGTCAAATTCTATTCAAAAGAAATTGATGATATCTTTATTGAAAGTACACTAAATTTATAAATTAATTTGGATATGTTTCCATCATTATGAATTTGAGTTTTCCCAACCACAAATTACGATATCACAGTCATATTACATCTTTTCAATCAGTTAAGCCTTCTTTTAATGAAGTTTTAAAATTTTCTATGTAAAAGTCTCAGTAATGTTTTATAAGTGTTTTTCTACATATCATATAGTTTTGTCTCCTATTACAAATGATATGTAAAAATTTTATAGTACATTTTCTGAGGAAGACAGCATACCAAGTGATTAACAGAACAAGTTCAGGTATTGAAACCAAAAGACTCGAGTTCAAATCTTGCCTTTGCCATTTACAAGGTGTGTCACCTAAAGCAAGTTATTTTAATCTCTCAGTATCTCTAGGGGATAATTCACTCATCTGTCAAATCGAGGGTCATAAAAATACCTACTTCAGAAAATTCTGGTGGTGATTACATTAAAGAAGGAGAAAGAGAAAGAGAGACAGAGAAAGAGAGAGAGGACTCAGAACAGCTTGGCACATGGTAAATGACTAATAGATGTTCATTGGTCATATCAGTTAGGATAGGCTAGGGGATGCTACATTAACAAATAACCCTAAAATTTCAATGACTGAAAATGAAGTTTACTTCTTGTTTATGCTGTATGTCTATCATGTATTAGGTAGGGCACTATTCTCTTTTGTCCTCACCCCAGGACCCAAATTGTCTATAGAGCAACCAATATCTGGAAGATATGGCAGTCTTCCGGATAATGGTGCTCTATCAATTTGCCACGTGGAAGATGACTGCCATTCCTTGTTCCAAGAAACAAAGGAAAAGAGCAGCAAATCTTGTGCTGTCTCTTACAGCTTCTACCTGGAAGAGACAGGCATCACTTCTGTTTACACTTCATTGTTCACAGCAAGTCACATGATCAAACCTAACTTCAAGGAGACAAGAAAGTGAAATCCTACCCTGTACTAATACAAAATCAAAAATATTTAGTGAACAGTTTCTTCTGTCATAGCTGTTGGTATGGTTTATTAAAATTAAATTTTTTATCTTAATTTTAAATTTAATTGACTTGCTAAATTATTGTGTTAGTTCTAACGGTCTTATTTTGTTTCATAGTTTTATTTTGTTCATTTAAAGAAACTAAACTAACATAGTTAACCCTATTGTACAGGTTCCTAAGATCATATGGCTAATGAACTGTGAAAATCAAATTTGAGGCCAGATTTCTCTGCCTTCAAAATCCATTTTCTTCCCACTACAAAATCATTTAATATCTCGTAACATTTAGTATTTAGTTCCTTAATCCATTTGGAAGAGTCTGACTTATTTTCTCTTGAAATTGTATGGTAAATATGCCACCACTGTGTACAAATGATGACAGTTTTGTGTCTTGCTGCCCAATCCTTATGCTCTTCACTTCATTCCTTTGTGTGTTTAGGTGTGTTACCGTGCTGATTAAAAATTACAGTATAATGTTGAAGAAATTATAACTAGCAATTAAAATGTGAATTTTTGTGAATTTAATCAGTGTAACATATCTCATTTTTATATTAGTTTGCATTTCCTCAATTACTAGTGAAATTGAGCTTTTTTTTCTAGATGTTCTTGGCCACACAACTTTCCCTTTTGTGAATTGTCAATTCACACCCTTTGCTTTTTTTCTATTGCATTGTTTGCCTTTTTCTGCTGGTTTGTGAGAATGCTTATATATTCAGATACTAATCCTTTGTTAGTTAAATACATTGAAATACCTTCTTACATTGTGTCTTTGTCTTAGGAAAGTTTTACGTTTTAACATAGTCAAAATTTCTTCCTTTATGTTTTGAGTTTTTGTCTTTTTTAAAGAGATACTCACTATGAAAAAATTACATATAACATTTTTCCATATTTCTTCTAAATGGTTTCCATTTTTATGTTCACATTTAGTTCCTTAATGCATTTGGAATTGACCTATGAGCTCTGTATGGTTGGGATCCTCTGGGGGAAGGGAGAGTGGGTAAAAGCAAGAGTTAGAAGCATTTCTTAAGAGAAGCATTTCTTTAGAAGCATTCACTCCACACCAACATACTGACCGTGAAAAACGTTTTTATGAAGAATGTTAATTACCTCTCTCAGAACACCTAATTTTCTGCAGAGCATAGTTTAGGAAATTCTGAAACCAGTGAATTCTATCTAAATTTTGAAAGACAGGAGGGAAACCAACAATTCAGTGACCCCTAAGTGAAAAACATTATGTTAGTTTAGGTATGTTCCCGTAACTCATTTCATCCTCAAAAAAAAAAAAAAAAAAAAAAACTAAACTAATATTATTAATCCCATTGTACAGGTTCCTAAGATCATATGGCTAATGAACTGTGAAAATCAAATTTGAGGCCAGATTTCTCTGCCTTCAAAATCCATTTCCTTCCATTTTCTTCCCACTACAAAATCATTTAGTATATTGTAAGGCTGAAGCACAAATTAATACATTAGGATTTTAAGACAAAGTGAGAACCAGAAAAGAGAGAAGGAGGCTCTGGTAGAAGGTAATGGCTACTTGCTTTTAAATACATAAGCAAACTACATCTCTTTAAGTGTCACCTAGACTGTATGATTATTTTGAAGTTAAAAACATGTGCTAGGATTCAAGTTATATAGACCTGAGTTTAAACCTGCTTATACCAAGCAAGCTATTTTCCTAACCTCAGTAAAAGGGGGATAATAACAGCTACTACACAAGACTGCTGGGTGGATTACATGAGTTACATGGAAAAGGCATCCAGCACTCTGTTTGATACGTAATAGACCCTGAAATGTTAGTTCCTTTAAACCTCAATTGTATACATATGTATCCAGAAACCTTCACAGGGTCTCTACAGCCTGAAGAATACTGGAAGCCATCGTCTGCTCTTGCTTTCCTTTTGTTTTCTTCTCTGTTTCTTCTCTGCCTCTGCCTCAGGCAACACTTTGTTGGTAATACTGGACCCACTGTATAACCAGGTATCCTGTTATTAATTATGACTAGGTTCAGCCCAGTGGAGCTAAATTACTTTCATAAGGCCAAATCAGCACCAGAATGAGTCACCAACACACTGAGACAGTTTTCCTCCTCCCCCAGGGTTTGCTCCACAGTGGACACAGCTGCCTTCGGGTTCTTAGAGGTTAGAGGGTTACTGAAGAGTGACTGAGAGTGACCTCGGATATCTTGTTGCTTGCCCTCCTGCAGCATCCCATAAATGAACAAGTTGGCATCCATCGGGAATTAGCTGGGTCATACCAGGACAAGGAAAAATGTTATATTGATTCTGTCTCTGGTTCTACTCAAACCTGCTTCTTTCCTGTAAATTTCTCTCTCATTCTTTCTTTCTCTCAGTTCTCTTTTTTAAATGTTTCTCCCCTCCATCTGGTATTTTCCTTCTCTTCGTTCTCCCCTGTGACATCTGCCATCTCCACCCTATTCCCATTCTCCTCCTCATCTCCTCCTTCTTTCTTGTTCTGTTCAAAAATAATAATAATAACAACAACCATAATAAGTAGTTGCCTGCTGATTGTACTGCAGGAACATAGACTGCTTCCATTCGTGATCACAGGTGGCTTCCCAAGTCCCGCCAGCCTGGCGGCTGAATTTTTGGGTCATAGTGAGGCAGGTAGGTAGGAGGGTGTGAGTGATAAAATGTCCAGTACAGTCAAATGCATTGTAGCTCCTTACATTTATGTTGCTAATGCACTCCAAGCCAATCACAATAAAGTTTCCAATGGAAAATCATCAAATTCAGTCTATAGAGATTAAGACTGTGACATCATCTCCTGATTTTATATCTACCCAGCTTTTGTTCTATGAATAAACAGGCTTCTGCTTTTCATATCTGTGAAAAACAGATACGCTAAAAATTATACAGGGATGCCCAGGGAAGCCTGCATCTACCCAGACAAATTGTCTAGTGGAGATACCCAAAGTAGTTAATGCAGGAGTGGAAGTTCTTACTTTTTCATACATAGCAATTTAAGAACTGACTCACATATAATTATCTCAAACTCTACTTAATTCTTCCTATGATTTTTACGTTACTCTTCTAAATTGTATTTACTCAATATTTTTATTGAAATCCTATTTTTCTTAACATATTTGTATATGCGTTTTTGTTGTAAGTCATTTCAAATCTTTTATGGAACAGCATGAGTTTTAAAAAAGAAAAACAAATAAATGAAGCAATAACTTCTGCCTTTATCCAATCATCTATACCATATGTCTTGATGTGTAATCTGACTTTTAGCTCAGATTTTTTTCATGTTAGCACTTCATTTGACCTCATAAGAGTATCTCATTTAAGAATATTAATAGAAGATGTACAAGCTTCATTTTACCAGGGTTATACAAGCAGTCTTAATTTAAATTCTATATGTGAAGAATAGATTTAGAAAAACATCAACACAAAGTGGATATCTATAAGACACTATTCTAAGCTAAGTATTCTGGCTTTAAAATTCTTGTTTTGACATAAACTATCCAGGTGTAGTATTTCAAACCAAGATTAAAGGCATGAATAAAGCAAGCATTAATTGTCAGCCTAGCCTCTATTAGTTATGACCAGTCCTCAAGGACTCTGTTATTAATAATGAAATTCTTAACAAGGAAAAAAGTTTCCTCACAACCTGGTTTCTCCTGGTTTCTATTGTTCATGGAAACTCTGATCTAGAAAATTCATCAGTATTTGTGAACTAAAGCAGAGAATTGTTTACTTATATCTCTCTCTTCTATGTTCATAAGGGTTAGAGAATCCTTTTCACCATAGTGCCCCCCAGCATCTAGCAATGTCTCCGTCACGAAGAAGGCCATGGACTCTGCACTCAGGGTATCTGATTATAATCCTAGCACCGCCATTTGTCATCTGTACACTGGAGAGCAACCTGCTTAAACTCTCTGTGCATTAGCTTTTTCATCATACAGAAAATGTAACCATTCTTAGAAATTAAAACAATGCATGGCTTATAGAAAATATTCAAATATTCAAAAATATTCAAAATGTAAACATATGGGTGGAAAAATTAAACATTTATGTAACTACATAATGACATTTCTTAATTGCATTTGTGAATCTCTGAAATTCTCAGATATAGATGCTTGGGGAAAGGTCCTTATTAGCGACTACTAGTTACTCCAGCTGACATGATCAACTGGTTGATGACACCCTTCCCAGGCATGAGAGTGCTGCCAGAAACTAATCAGTGGCAAGAGTTGTGTCTCTTAAATTCAAGCCTACTCCAGCCATGGCAAGAGTCCCAAAAATAACAGCTTCTAATTGCATTTCATAATCAACTGGGTTCTTTATATGGACAATACACACACAGAGAGACAGAGACACAGAGAGAGAGAACAGCAACATAACCAAAAGGATAGGTTTACCATCAGTCCTATATTGGGATTCCCCATTCTTCTATTCATTAATTAAGTGTCCTTGGGAAAGTTAAACTCATTAAGCCTCAACTTTCCCTTGTAAAATGGGAATAATATCTACTTTGAGGACTGGTAATTATAAAAATAAATGAAACAATGTATGTAAATAACCTATAGTTTGTTTGTTTGTTTGTTTGTTTTTTGAGACCGTCTTGCTCTGTCACCCAGGCTGGAGTGCAATGGCGCCCTAGTGTTTCATACATATGAAGTATTTACTAAGTAGGAGCTACTGTTATTATTATTATCATTGACATCGTCATTACCCCAAATTCTGAGAAAGTTTTCATTAAGAGGGAGACATAACATTGGTTACAAAATAATCTTATTTTACTTATGAAGAAAAAAAGTTTAGCAATCTTAATCCTTAATGGAATTTCTGATGTTACAATTGCCACCTAGCATTCCCTAAAATTTAAAAAGTTGATAAGTTCACATTCGTTTGTATTGTGGATAAAAGTTCAAAGTACTAATTAGATAAGAGGGTGCCCTGATTCTTCCAGATGACTGGGTCAGAGTGACTGGTTGTTTGGGTGGTGTTATTATTAATAATGGCAATAATTATTTAGCCCTTTAATGTCCCGTAATTGCAAGTGAAGCTTCCACTAAAATGCCACATCAAAAACATTTTTTTTTTTTTGCTTATGCATTCAGTTTCTTTGTTCACCCCAAGCACAGTCTATAGGTATCAGTATACATAATGATCCTTCTCTTCATGCACCTTTTGCTTTGAACAATTCCTTCCAGTACATTTGGTTGGAAGGTAATAGGCCTGTATAATATTTCTAAGGAAGGGGAGGGAAGGGATTTACAGGGAGGAGTTGAAGGATGTCAGTACAGCCAACCCAAAGGAAAGTGGGGTAAAGGAGATTTTATTTGCAGCCTAAGATCTTATAAAAGATTTCTTTGTCTGAGTGTGTTGAAGAAGGGCACCTTGGCCCTTTAAGGGAATCTAACAGGCAATGTGAGGACAAGTCAAAAAAAAAAAGCACAAGTGAATCTCATCCAGAAGTAAATATCTGAATATAAAAGAGGCCAAGCTAGGCTGTACAGAAGTATATAAAGGATATGTACTGTAATCAAGTCTTCCTGGATATTTTCCAGGCTCAATTCTGTGTTATTGTGGTAGTAATTTCATTAGTCATTTCTGTAACTACGACTTTGATACTCACTCAGTGTACAACTATTTTTTTAAGCCAACCTACACTAGTTCCTTATTTCAGTTTGCAAATTTTTTTTAGTAAGTTTTCGACTTCTGGTTTGAAGATTTAGTCTCTGAGTAAAATTCTTAAAGACTGTTCAGATGCTTTGACAGCCAAAAATGCTTTACTTTTATCTGTCATCAAAGCAGCAAGATATACTAGCATCCTGTTTTCAATGTGTATTAACTTCATTCAATAAGTCTTTCACTTAATGTGTTCTTCCTGGATGTCTACGAGTGTCTATGACTGTCACTATGCATGAAACCAAGCCTAATATGACCTTTGCCCTACTATCCCAAGGCTGAAGCTTTTCCTGCGAGTCTTGATATTTTCAGAAATGCATAATGTCTTCTTGCCAACTACTTTGAACATTGTTCACCTGGCGCGAGTTGGAGACACTTTCAATCATTCTTCATCACTCTGACCCAGACTGTCAGAGTGAATAAAGCACAAGGGAAGAAATGACAGAGACAGTTTTAGAAGCCGGGGCTCCAAAATGAGGATGAGAGAACTGAAGTACTGCCGTAGATAATTCAGTCACTGACTCCCTTTCCTGTTAAATACCCATGGGATTTGGAAGTCCTACAGAGTCTTGAAAACTCTCGTTTTTAAAGTGGTCCAATAAAGTCATTCACACTTGATGAACTGCAGGGAACAGTCAGTTGCTGCTGAAGAAGTGGAATTTCTTATGGCTTTATACTTAGAGAAGAAAGGAGTAGAAACACTAAGTCTTTTGTGATCATCCTTGGGTCATAAACATTTTTTTATAAAACTACTTCAGTTACAAGTAAATGTTGTTGGTTTTGATAAAAGATTAGAAGTCTATGAGTGATACTTTGATGGTAAGCCATATCATTCATTAATAATGTACACAGTGGCACTCAGTTTCTAAAGCCATTTCCCTGGTGACATAAAAATCTTTCTTAAGTTGTTCCACAGTCCTCATTCTTATTATCTTCAAATATAACCTTGATGAACATCAATGCCTACATAGAGTGTGGACATTATTAGAAAATGCCCTATGTCCTAGCAACTAATAGAGAGCAGTGTTTTATTTTTGAGGCTCTAGTTGCTACTCTGCTATAATTATCTGATAAAAATCTAAAGAATATTGAACCTGGCTGGGGATGGTGGCTCACCTCTGTAATCCCAGCACTTTGGGAGGCCAAGGCAGGCGGATCACTTCAAGTCAGGAGTTCAAGACTAGCATGGCCAACATAGTGAAACTCCATCTCTACTAAAAATACAAAAATTAGCCAGGCATGGTGGCGGGCGCCTGTAATCCCAGCTACTCAGGAGGCTGAGGCACTAGGATCACTTGGACCTGTGGGGTGGAGGTTGCAATGAGTCAAGATCATACCACTGCACTCCAGCCTGGATGACACAGTGAGACTCTGTCCAAAAAAAAAAAAAAAATGAGCCTGCAAAGCTCAGACTTAGAGAAATAGAAATAATTTGCAATAGTTTGTTCTAAGTTAGACATGAGCCTAATAAGACTGTTGTTTTGAAATACAAACTCTTTTATTCTAGAAGTAAAATACAAAAATTCTTAGGTAAATTTCAGTTTTGTAAACATATTATGAATTTGGTTATATTTTCTCTATGTTTCAGAGGTATTACACTTAATCATAAAGTATATGTTTTATTTTTTCAAGAATGTAAAAGTTATTTTCATATTTTAAATAATACCATGTTCAATAAAGTTAAGTTTGCGCATTTAGCCCATTTTTACTAAGGATTGTAACGACATATTGTGAGTTAGTTAGAAAGAACTCTCCAAAAGACACATCAAATTAGTTTCAGGATTAAGTAAAGAATCTTACTCTAAGTAGAGAATCTTACTCTAACTAAGTAAAGAATCTCTAACTATACTTACTCTTTTAACCAGGATGGCAAACATGTGTTTAGCTTACAGTTTTAAACTCTTATTGATCCAAAATCAATAGCTTGTGTTTAAAAGTACTATCTCAAAGACATAAATTATAAAAATGTAAGGGAGTGTGATCTGACAATATTTGGTATATATTTTTCCCTTCTCTGGAAGCTGAGATATATATATATATATATATATATATATATATATATATATATATAGCATTATATATATTGCATTATATATATACATATATATATTTAGAGCAATGCTTATTAAATTAGGATCAGTGGAAGCTCTGAAATTGTATGACAAAATATGAGCATACATATGTTGGTTAGAGGGAGAAAGAGGATGACAGAGCATATATATATTGAGTCATTTCTATATGACAGGCCCTGTCCAAGGCACTGGAAATACAGTCTTAACAAGACAAGAGTTCCTGACTTCAAGTAGCTTATATTCTTGTCAGGAAATATAGGCAATAAAAATATAAGCAAATAAATAAATTTCAGAAATATATCCTGGAATGAAAGCTCTGGGATTCCAAAAATTTAAGTTTAAACTAATAAGAACTCGAAATCAGAAAAGGACAAAAACAAGAGATACAGACGAACACAAGCATGAGCAGAAAAGGACACCAAAGACTGCTCTTAGAATTATTAAATACAACATATAAAAGAACATGAATAAAATGTTTCCATTTTACTAAAATAAATGATCAAAAACTGATCAAGGAAGAAGTGACACTTAGAAATAGCCATAAAGAATTAAGAGAGACTCAACATTTGAGAAGAAGAAATAAATGATTGGCCAGGCACGGTGGCTCATGCCTGTAATCCCAGCACTTTCAGAGGCCGAGGCAGGTGGATCACGAGGTCAGGAGTTCAAGACCAGCCTGGCCAAGATGGTGAAACCCTGTCTGTACTAAAAATACAAAAATTAGCCAGGCATGGTGGCAGGTGCCTGTAAGACCAGCTACTCAGGAGGCTGAGGCAGAGAATTGCTTGAACCCAGGAGGCGGAGGTTACAGTGAGCCAAGATGGCTCCATTGTACTCCAGCCTGGGCGACAGGGAAAGACACCGTCTCAAAAGAAAAAAAAAGAAAAGAAAAGAAAAAGAAAGAAATGATTGAAGATGGAGTTTCAACAAATGAGTGGCACATGAGAACAGAGAGAATGAACTAGAAGCTAGATCTGAAGATATTACCTAGACTGCAGCACAGAGAGAAAACAACTAAGACTATATGAAAGAACAGAGAAAATGAGACATTCTGGCATGCCTATCATTGAATCTCAGAAGGAAAGAACATTTTAAAATACAGAAGGGATCAGTTCAAGAAGAAAATCCTGAAAATGTTTCAGAATTGATAAAAGACATATATATATTAAAAGACATATGTATATTTTATATATAGTATATTGCATATTATATTATATAGTGTATTGTATATTATATAATACATGTAATATATAATATACACAATTATATATTATATATTACATATTATACATTACATTACATATTATATAATATATTACATATTACATATTATATAATATATTACATATTATATAATATGTAATATATTACATATTATATATTATATTTTATATTACATATTATATAATATATTATATAATATATTATATTTTATATTACATATTATATATTATATTTTATATTTTATATATATAGGAAGTTCCATATATATCAAGCAGGATAAACAAGTGAGGTTCACTTGGGGCATACACATTAAGTGGGATAAACAAGTGAGGTTCATTTGGGTTCATCTGGGCATATTTTACAAGGCTACAGAATGCCAAGGACAAGAAAAGAAACTTTGCGGGAGATACAAAAGACAGATCATTTACCAGAAATGATGGCTACGGTGGAAGCTGAAAAACTGAGCATCTTCCACAGCCTCATTGTGGCTTCCATGGCAGCCACAGTAAGGTCCTGAGGTGCACAGGATCTAGAGGAAGAAGCAATGTATTGGGATAATCATTTTTAAGTGGGCATATTTTACAAGGCTACAGAATGCCAAGGACAAGAAAGGAAACTTTGATTTCAGGAATCAAGTTAAGTAAGAAGTGAAAGTAAACCTGCAAAACAGAGAACAAAGATGATAAACCGGAAGTTTCAAAAGACGTAGTTTAAGGTTTTGAGATGAGAGGGAAAAATTGCATATGAGAAGTTATGATTTTTAATGAGATTTGTACTTCTGATGATTATGATGTTGAATGTAGGGTGAGAGGCATGATGGAAAGGGCTTTCAATTAACCCTTCAAGTGGCAAATGATTTGAAATTAAAAACATCAAGAATCAGTATTTTGAGTATGGTAGTAAGAGTGTCTCATAAAGTTATGAACAAACTTTGGAGATGGGTGAGTAGAGGAATAAAAGTTGTTTACAATTCTTGAGAACTTCCTTTAATATACTCTCTAGAGTGATGCTACAGTTTTTCTGTGAAATCCATGTCCTTGATTCCAGTTCATACTCACTTAAAGGACATGTAGACTTCATGAGTACCACATTTCATGTGCTCTCTCATGACAGACCCAAATATTTGTGGTATGGACTGCTAAAGTAGCAGGGTGGGGCCCAAGGCTAAGAAATGGAGAAAAGGAGAGAATGTTCAGAACCAGCTTGAAAAGAGTGGCAAAGTAGGAAAAATTTGCCTTTAGTGTCATTCAGTCTCCTAAGACTTCACCCTAACCTTTTATTCAAGCCATCAGCTACCAAACCTCTTGCTCATCTTCTTCCTCCCATCACTGAAACTTATCTCTACCTTTTACCCATTCCTTTCAAGGAGTCATCTAGCTAACCCAGTAGCTCTCAAATTATGCTAGGATGAAACTGTAAAATTCAGATGATCCTTTGCTAAGTTAGCAGTTATTTTCCTCAATTTGCAATAATAGTAATAAAAGTAATAATACTGACTAGAGTGTTTTCAATTTAAAGTTATTTGCCACACATTTTCCTCAATTTGCAATAACAAAATAAAAGTAATAATATTGTCTAGAATATTTTCAATTCAGAAACCACAATTACTTTTGCACCAATCTAATATTTACCACACATTTTCCTTAAAACCTGTGATCTCCCCCTCAGCCCATCTACATAAAATTATAGTAGCATGACATGGCATCTGATGTGGCTTGAAATCACATAATTATGAAATCACATAATTACTGGAAGGTTAGTATGTTCATGCTTCATTGTATTACACAAAAAAGCACTGTGACTTTTGGACGTTTGCATTCAGTATAATTTTGAGACCCTTGAAAATGGAACCTCTGACAGGAATCTAACCTCTGGCATAGACAAGAATATCCTCAAGCATTCAGAAACCTCCTAAAGACAAAGTATTTCCTCCAATTAAATGAAAATTAGCACATCAAGAGAGATAAGTTGGGGGACCACTGGTACTTCTAACTCCGTGTATGAGATTGCCAGCTACTTCCTCCAACAGTTGTAGCAGTGTGGAAGGAGTACAAGCTTCAGAAGCAGGTTATTTCCAAGCTCTGATACTTGGAGCAAGTTGCTTAACATCCGTGAGCTTCAGTTTCCTTGTTAACACAAAGATAGTAATCCTGTTTCAGATTGTTCTAAGGACTGTATCAAATGATGTAATGATTCAGAACACACAGAACTGGCAGTGTGCTGCCACATTGTAAGACAGAGGCTGGAATTCTGACACAGGAACTGTGGAGACAATCAACTTCACTTTGGTGGTGACCAGCAGGCCAAGGGATGGCGGGAGAGCTTCTATTCCCTTGTGAGCAAGGTTAGTGTTGAACACAAAATTAAAAACTCAACTGCTATATTTCTCTGAAAGCATGTGTTATCCCAGAACATCAGACTATAAAATCACATTCAGAAACTGATGCAGAGTATCTAGTCCATTCACAGAGCAGCACAGACAAACCTAAAGGCAAACACTTTTCAGCTGATTTAAATCTTTTCAGGATTACTCTTAAAAAAAAAACCTGCAAGATTATTCTTATTATTTCTCTTCTGCCGTTAAAACGTGCTTCCTCTAAAAGCAAAGTCTAGGGTTGTTTGGCTCACAGAAAATGTCACCATTCTTTACTTAATCTTATTATATAAAGTCTTAAGGGCTTTCTTAAACAGCTAACTTTCAATGTGTATTGTAGCTGGCAAGGCAGTGATGGACTATTTCTATAAAATCACCTGGAAAATGTATCAGTGGGTTTTCCCGCACAACAGTAAAACCTGCTGCCACATATTCGAAGGGAGCATTGGCCAATTACCATCCTAAAAAATGAACTGCCCACTGCTTCCCATCCATTTCTTAAGCAAACTTCCTTTCCAGTTTATTTTCCATAATGTAACCGTTCTAGGGCACCACAAGCTGGGCTCGTTCAGACCATATTTGTTGAAAAAGGTGCCACTGAGCTTTGCCAGTGGGAAAAAGAGACAGACCAGCTATTAATCCATATCCACACAGGAAAGAAACAGGCTATTTTTGCTTCTAAAAGCTTTTAAAAAGAAGGAAAAAAAAAATCACTCCTTGAAGCTGCTTTGTAGCTTTGTAGGCAAGCTGGCTGGCACCAGTAAAGACAACTGAAGATGAGGCTCATATCAGAGGTAGTATGAGGGATGGAAAGGAGGTTTCAGACAGATTCACTGACGTATGTCTCCAAGACACCCCTCATCCTCTAGGTCTCTCCAGCCAAAGCTGAGGAAGGGTTTTGCGATTGCTGTAGCGATTCAGGCAAAAACAAACATGACCATTTATGCATGAGCTCTGCAAAGCAGACCTAAAGTAATACAGTCAAAAGTATGTCAAAACTTCATAAAAATATAGAAAATATAAAATTGGTTGCTTGGCAGCCTTGTTACCTGGAAACATCAATTTGTTTTTTCTCCCAGGTAACATGACAAATTTAGGTTTTTCACTTAGAGTCAGAAAATGACAAATTAAGGATGATTTCCTTGGGCAAGTTCTGCTGTGGCAGAACCCCTCAATTACAGGAATAAACCAGGGGTGGCTATGAGAAGCAGGAGTACAGGAATCAGCATTCCATGAACAAGGACTGTAACCTCCAGGAAGGGCTTCTACTGGTGGAAAGCCAACAAGGACTTGCCTCCCAAGACAACCAATTTGCCCCAACATCATCACACTGGTACCCATGTTTCCTGTTCATACGTGCTGCACTATCTCAGCCTGTTTAGTGTTGCTGTAAGGAATACCTGAGACTGAATAATTTACAAAAGAGGTTTATTTGGTTCACAGCTCTGTAGGCTATACAGGAAGCATGACACAAGCATGTGATTCTTGTGAGAGCCTCAGGCTGCTTCCACTCATGGTAGAAGGGGAGGGGGAGCTGGCTGTGTCACATGGAGAGACAGAGACAGCAGGTACCAGGCTCTTTTTACCAGCCAGCTCTCACAGGAATTAATAGCGAACTCACTCACCCTCCACCCCACTATAATCTTTTCATGGGGAATCCACCACCATATCCCAAACACCTGCATTAGGTCCCACCTACAACACTGGGGACAAATTTCAACATGAGATTTGGAGGGGACAAACATCCAAACTATAGCATCCACCATGCTCTGCAAAGGAATTAAGGCAGTTTAGAAAAACCATTTATTAAATGTATAAACAAATCAAATTTTTAAATAAATATGATAGTGTTACCTAAACTAGTACATGAGAAGATTTTAAGTAATATGCAAATTACCTGCTTTCGATGTTTTACCTATATTTTTATCCACATTTTTAAAAATACAACTTGCACATAGAACTTACGCTTTCACACACTAGATATCTGTCCTAAGCAAGGTTAGAGTTATTTAGAATTTCTGAACGAGTGTATTCCCAGAAATAGTTAAGTAAAGAGCACTACAGGTGTTAAATGTAAATGGCAAAAATGTAAAGTTGGTTTATCCACATGTGATAGATTTAGGGACTACTTAATGAGGAAGCTGACACCATGAGGAGACTCACATGTTCCTGCTGAAGTCCTGGGGTGCTGACCCATGAATGAGGCTCTTTAGTTTTCCTGTTCCAAGAAATACTTACCATGAACTATTTCTCTGGATAGATAGAGCCCTGCTTCCTGAACTGAATGCAGGTTGTGGGATGATGCTCTTTATTGCCTAGTACTCCAGCAGAGGAAGGGGATCCATTCATTGCTGACTGGGGACAATATCCCTTCTCCACCCTTAATGAATGCCACCACGTTTGTCTGTCCCTGAAGGAAATACAGTCTGGCCTTCATGATTTAAAGTTTTTTACTGAAGGGACTCCAGTGAAGTTTCCAAAGCTTGACAAAATGTCTTTGGGGCAGGGCATAGGGATGGAGGAAGGAGCTGAGTAAGAAATTATGCCTTTGGCCCAACCACCTGAATCTCTCATTACACATGAGGAACTAGGCCCTCCAAGGTGCAGACTTTACCTCATCCATTATCAACCCTCCCCATGCCCAGGCCTCCCTGCTTATACTCTCCCACCCTCCCCACACACACCTTGCCTTCTTACGGAATTCTGACAATGAAGAAAGCCTAACCCAAAGTACTGCTTCCTATTCTCTGTGTGTGTTTAGGGGATGTTGCAAAGGGAGGGATTCTCAGATACCAACACACATTACCCATTTACTAAAATCGTGTTATGTTACAAATTTTCTTGTAAGAATTCTATCGATCCTATCAAAAATGGGATGCGGAATAATCATGGTTCCTCAGAGAAATGTTCTCCTAGGTCTTCATATGGAGTGGCAGTCCCCAACCTTTTTGGCACCAGGGAATGGTTTTGTGGAAGACAATTTTTCCACAGATGGGGTAAGGGGTGGTGGATGTTTTGGGGATGAAATTGTTCCACCTCAGATCATCAGGCATTAGATTCTCATAAGGAGCATACAACCTAGATCCCTTGCATGCGCAGTTCACAATAGGGTTTGAGCTCCTATAAGAATCTAATGCTGCCACTGATCTGACAGGAGGTGGAGCTCAGGCAGTGATGCATGCTGGCCTGTCACTCACCTCCTGCTGTGCAGCCAGGTTCCTAACAAGCCATGGACCAGTACAAACTCCTGATGTGTAGGACATCAGCAACATCCCCTACAAAGAATGGCCAGTGGCTGGCTGGACATGGTAGCTCAAGCCTGTAATCCCAAAGCTTTGGGAGGCCGAGGCAGGCAGATCATGAGGTCAGGAGTTCGAGGCCAGCCTGACCAACACAGTGAAACCCCGTCTTTACTAAAAATACAAAAAAATTAGCTGGGCATGGTGACAGGCATAATCCCAGCTACTTGGGAGGCTGAGGCAGCAGAATCGCTTGAACCCAGGAGGTGGAGGTTGCAGTGAGCTGAGATCACGCCATTGTGCTCCAGCCTGGGCAACAGAGCGAGACTCCATCTCAAAAAAAAAAAAAAAAACAAAGAATGTCCAGTGGCTTCCCTTTGGCTATGTGACATAATTCATCTGTGTAAGCTGGGGAGTGCTTAAACACCTTGTAATTATTTGTTTATATGTCTGTCCCCTCCTTCTAAACTAATTAATTTCTTGAGGGCAGGTTGTATATAGACACGTTTCTATCTTCAATGCCAAGCACAATACCAGGCTTTAAAAGTGTTTACTAAGTGAATGAATAATCACAAGACAAATGTTTGAAGATAAAGGAACTGAAATACTATGTTGAAATAGGAAATAGAGATTAAAAAAAAATCAACAACTACGTTATTTACACCAAGAAATCTGCTAAGGAGCAGTAAACAGCAGACAGGAGTGTTTTACCCAAGATGTCCCCACGGCTTTCCTGTCTATCAAAGTTATTATATGTGTGCTCAGCTTTCCCTTATGTTTCCCCCATATAGGCTCAGATTCCACAGTTTCCATGTAGCTATATTTATCCCTACACTTCATTTTGGACACAATATGGGCCCACGAGCCTATAGGGGAAAAAATGAAACCATAAGGCAGAGTGACCTAGATTCTCTTTTGGGGTCCCTTGAGCCCACGCTATATGTAGGCCATTTGGTTTGAGTGACAAGCAGACCAGTGAATGATACTAGATTGTCTTTAATTTGTAGCTGCATATCATAATCAATCAGTCTTTTAAAGAGAAAGGAGGCTCTGGGGAAGTAGAGCTTGGAATATGGTCTGCTTAGTGATGTGTGCTAAAAAAGGAAGACAGAATGTTTAGCATAAATGGACATATTGTTACATAAGGCTTTTTTTGGACAAAAATATCAAAGATGGTAGAATCTCCTTCTCCCCCACTCCCATCCCAGTATACATACTCAGAAGCAAGTTCCCATGTAAATGGTTTATTTTAGTTTGCTAGGGCTGCCACAACAAAATACCAGACTGGGTGGCTTAAACAACACAAATTTATCTTCTCACAGTTCTGAACACTGGAAATCCAAGATCAAGGTAGGGGCAGGGTGGGTTTCCCCTGAGGCCTTTCTCCTTGGCTTGCAGATGGTCACCTTTTCGAGGTATACTCACATGGTCTTTCCCCTGTGTGCAGGCACCTCTGGATCTCTCTGTATGTCCAAATTTATTCTCTTTTTACAAGGAATCAGTCAGACTGGATTAGGGCCCAACCAAACATTGTCATTTTAACTTAATTGCCTCTTGAAAGGTCCTATCTCCAATAGGCTTTTAGGCCTTTGGGCTAAGGCCTAGTGTAGTATCTGTTCTTATCAGTTTAAAGTTCCTATCTCCAAATACAGTCACACTCTGGAGTACTGGGGGTAGGGCTTCAACACACAAATGGGAACAGGGTGGGGGGATACAATTAGCCCATAACATGGTTGCATACCATATTCTTTGAATGTAAAAGTCCCAGTGCCAACCTAATCAGTAAATGGCTTGACTTGTCACTGCAGAGGTACTTTTGAATGATATTGAGGTGAAGGAAGGAACTAAGCATAATAACAAGAAAATTAGAGATTGTTTTCCAAGGAAAACAGATGAGGCTGCAGACTGAGGACCAAGACTTTGGATTATTTTGTTTTTAAAACAAAACAAACAGGATGTCACGTTCAAACTAAACCTGGTGCGAAAAACTCAATACTTTCTGGTCCAAGCAGATAACATCAATGTGGGCTTCAGCCTACTGTTCAAAAAAAAAAGGCAAATGGAAGAGAATGACAGTAGCAAACTGGAGAGGCTATGTCCTAAAGGCAATCAAACTCCATTTTTTTCAAACACATTAGCCAGTTTGTGAGCCCTGAAGTAGATGCTGAAGAACATCTTTGCTATACGCTCAAAAGATGTCTTTCCCATATGTCCCATGACGGTTCTTCTTTTCTCTCCTCGTTTTTCTCTAACACTGTTCAGAAAAGTTCTTTGATTTGGTGGCAGCCCAGGGCTTCAAGCTGCTGACCTACAGTTGGAGCATCACAGGAGCCAACTACCCTGTTCCCAATCAGTGCTGGCCATGAAGGCAGTCACTCTCTTGCAAGCACGTTCTTGCCTCATTACCCTTCTCCTTTAACTTTGGTTGTCACATGGACGGCAGCATGCTTGAGGCCTGGATGAAACTCCAGGACCAGAAAACTAGGACATATGCAAACCTGCAGGGCCTATCAAGCATTGAGTCAGAGCCAGAGGAGCAACAGAAATCAAGGATTTGTGAATGCTATGAGGGAACATCAGTTGGCACATCCAGAATCTAAGCCAGTGGTTCCTAACAGAGAGTAATAAGTAGATGAGGGGATATTTCCGATTTATTTAGGAACCCTTTTCAAAATACAGATGCCTACTCCCTGCTAACCTCTACTGAATTTGTATGACAGGAATAGACTTAGCGGCCAATGGTGTCTCAAGAACAAAGGGAATCAGAAAAGGTATAAACTGAAGCAATTTGTTTAGTCATAGCTACCTGAATAATCTCTTCATCTGGTAGTGTTAGGAGATAAAACTTACTCCTCTTTCCTCACGTCTCCTCTCTAAGAGAAGAACTTTTAGTGTCACTTCTGGCCTACCCACTCCTATAATTGCTCTACCTCAAGGGATTTGGAAAAATTTATCTTATGGGTGAATTTGGGAATAATAAACTGGATGTCTTAATTTAGGTGGCTTAAACAAAAAAAAAATTTATTTCTCACAGTTCTGAAGGCTGGGAAGTCTAAGATTAATGTATAGGAAGATTCACACATTATGATGAGGACTCCCTTCGTGGTTCATAGAGTATTATTTTCTTACTGTGTCCTCAGATTGCAGAAAGAAGGCAAGAGAACTTTCTCTGAGATCCCTTTCATAAGGCACCAATCCCATCCATGTGGGCTCCACCCGCAAGACCTAATCATCTCCCAAAGGCTGCACCTCCTGATACCATCACATTAGGGTTAGGATTTCAACATATAAATTTTGGGGGGATACAAATATTTAGTCCATTCTACTGGGCATGCTTAACTCAGCCCTGCCCTTCTTCCTGTTTAGGAAGCAGCTTGCCCAGAAACAGTGTAGGTTACCCTTAGGACCAGCTCTGCCCAACAGCAGGGGTGGAGATGATATATATGTCTTGGTCCAATATTGGATGTGTCTGTTTGATAAGCCTGCCAAATTCTGGGGTTCAGTATGAGTAAGGTCATTTTGATAACAGACCTAAAGCTCAATCTTCTAAACTGCTGTTTGTCCTACATCTGTCATTCTTTTTTGTACAGAGCCTGAGCATACAAAAGTACCAACAGTAAAATCATATTAAACTCTTTTGTGGTAATAATGATGAAATATGAGATTGCTCTGTGATTAACAAGAGTGTGAGGAGAAGTGGTGCTAGTCCTTAACAGGTAATGTCTCTGATACTGGCACGAGTAAACATGAAGGTAAATACACACACACACACACACACACACACACACACACACACAGGCTTACATATGTAGTATCTCCTATATCAAAATAGAGCCTATAACACTTCAGGGCACAAACTAGTAGTTCTTTCTATTAAAGTCTCCACAATACAATCACTTAATTCTGTAGCATCTACCTGCATATCAAATATCTTTGAAATATGTAATTTTAAATTACAAAACATAACCCCATTTGAAAAATTCATCATCTATAACCAAACAATACATCAAATCTAGAGGTTTGTCCTGTAATCTTTAAGAGTATACCACATGTTATCAAAACCCATGACATTTTTCTGAGGTTAGTATAGAACATACTAACTCAATATGAAAAATATTATTTTTCAATATGGCTAACATTTCAACTATCTAGGAAACAGTTGAAACAGTAACCTACTTGGTTTAGTCAAAAGATATTTATTAACATTTGCTAAAGGCCAGAGTAAATGAGAAATACACTTAAGTCTTGTTTCAAAAAAAATGAAAGGTAAGAAAAATAACCTATTAATTTGGGGTAAATAAAGGAGCTGTAGCAAGTAGGGGTGGGATGACTCAAAAGACAATTCCACACAGACTTTGTTTTGTATGGCCAAGTCCTTCAAAACAATGAGGCTGAATTTCCCCAAAAGATGACATTTTGGAGGCTGCTGGATTCTAGAATTAAAGAGAGCTTCTTGACGTGAATGAGTTTTGGGAGGAAGAGAAATGTTATATGTTTTCTGAAATAGAGCAGAGACCTTGCAAAGCACTACTCCAAAATTAAGTAGCAACTCATGTAGGAAAGGGTGTGTAGGTGCCTTAAGATGGCCACTATGAAGTCTGACGGTCCCCATCTATAGTCAAGCTTTGCACTGAGAGATGCCTGTCTCTGCAAAACACTGGACCCTGGACTGAGAGCTTCCACAGAACTGACCACAATGGATGTCTTCTTTTCTGGAACTGAATAAGTCTTCAGGTTCTTGTACCACATAAGGGAGTGAGGAGAGCGTACAGTGTTATCCATATCACCCTTCTTGATAACCAAATAAAGAAATATTACGCTGGATCTGTTCTATTAAATTCCTTGTTAATTCATGAAATTATTTCACACACTGCATCATCCTGCCATCTGCACGCTAGATTGTGTTTTATCAACATGGCATTGCCACTCCAGTCTGAGGCTGGAAACATCTTCCAAATACCCTTCCCATAATGTCCTGGGTTAAATCTGGCCACGAGAGGTCCCTATGTGACATTTGGAAAGCAGAAGAGCGACAGAAGCCATTACTCTGGGAAGATGATGGCAATCAGACAAGGTGAAGACAGTGTAAATGTGCCTAAAGGGCTCTGGCTTTCAGCTTGTTTTCTCAGCTTCTGGCTGTGCCAACCAAAAGTAACTCACACCGATCACCAAATACTTGGCCGTATTTCCCTTAGAGGTAGCAGCTTCCACAGACCTCACTATGAGCTCTCCCTTTACATTGCACTTCAGTGGAATACTTTTTGGCAAATTCTGCTTAAAACCAACATTTTGGGGGTTTCTGTGTTGAGAATTTTCCCACAAGTTTTGCCCTGCACATCAGCACCAATGCTTCAGGCTGTGGTGTTAGTGACTTTTTCTGATCTTCTGATTCCTCTCTTCTTGATCTTCACTTTCCTAGCTCCTCCCACATATGCATATGTCCTAATTTCTACAGTAAATCCCATAATATTTTAGTGATTGTTTTCTTGAGTGAATCCTGATGGTTTAAGCTTGGTACTGAATGTGTTTTCAAATGAAAAGACTCTCAGGGGAAGGAATCTGAAATTTATTCTCTGTTCTGATTAAATACAATAATTTATATTTATTATATCAATATATATATTACATAGAAGCATTAATAACTCTGCTGCTATTAGTTAATGGTCTAATAGTAGTCCATAATATCCAGTGGCAAAAAACTGAAATTATGACTTGAAAACACCTGCAAGTGAGTGCCAACAAAAGCGAAGGGTTTTTGGGTGACCAAGTTGCTGCATCCATCTGATATTATATTAGAAATTAAGAAAATAAAAACTGAGGAGTTCTTTGTCTACTCGTGGAGCTTGCAGGAAGAAAATTGTCATTTCAGAGGTTTAAATTTTCCAATCATGACACAGTAAGGATCTAGAAAAACATTCGTAATTTCCCTGAAAAAAAAAAATTCCTACCTCCTGTACACATGGGATCCATATTTCTGAAAACTAAACCCAAAGTCAGAACTTATAGGTCACTAAATTACAGTGCAAATTGAATTCATAGCTGAGGATCTTGAATACCCCAATTCTGCTGAATCCTTCCCTTCTAAAAAATAAATAAATAAATAAAAATAAAAAAGCAGCTCCTCATTTCTTCTCTGAAGAACTTGCAATGACCTTTCCTAAGATAGTGGCTTTGCAGGAAATAATGATCCTCCTCAAGACTCATCCCTACCACTTCTCATTGTTTCTAGACCTATAACCAGCCTCAGGTCCCAGTAGGACCCGGGAGCTGGGTACAAACGGTGGCCCAGGAAGAGGTCCCATGTAGCCCAAAATAATTACCAGATTTTACCAGTTTATACTGATGAAAACCTGGGGAATATATATGTGAATGGATTTTAGGGATATTGGATCAGGCTGGGAAGAAATTCATGTTGGATTGGGCTACATTTATTTATGAGGTGCACTAATCAGATATTCTGAATTCGGTGTATTATCTTGAGCACATTGGCATGGTTCTAACAGTTTGCTTAAACCTGGACCCAAAGGTGACCTAAGCTGAATAAAGTTGAGATGCCAATTCTCTATTGTATCCAAATGCTTATGGAGATTGGAAGGCTGGAGTGTATTTAGGTGCCCGCCTATTGCCTACGTGTGTCTCCTGGAAGATTTCAGAGGACAGTCTCCTTCTCCAAGGTTTTATAAAATTGCTGAAGGTGCAAAGCATCCCAGAAATACTGTGTGGTGGCTGTCCTCTAAAGGATGGAAATGACAGGAGCAGATGCTTCATTTAACTGGGCTCCTGAATTGAGTGGAGATGATGGGACCCCAGATGATGGGAAACAAGTAGCAGCACTTGATCTCCAGCCAGGGGCTTATAGTTACTGTAGTGGGCAGAAAAGCTAAGTAATCAGGGCATTTTCAACTACAAAGTTATTTGGTGTTGGCTAATTGATTGTTCTGTCACGAGGACTGAAATAGATGGGCAGACTCCTAAAGTTTAATTTGATTTGTCTTGCTCTGGTAAGGAGAAGTCTGTCTTGAATCACTTTCATACAGAGTTGGGGCTCTTCAACCAGTTTCCAGATGTTAGCTTGTTACCAGTCCCTGAGCCCCTTACATGGAGAAAAGACCAGGTCTTCTTTAAGACAATCCTTCTACTCTTTTAAAACATACAGTGTAAATCTTCCTCTAATACTTTTCTAAAGAGACTGGCAACCATTTACCTATTAACCAGATTAATTGTGCATTAGAGAAAGAAATTAGCCAATTTTTTTAAGCAAATTCTGTTCAATAGCTCTGAACCAACATGAATTCCTAGGAATCCAAAACTCTATTATTGCTATAGCTTGACTGTCCCCTCCAAAACTCCTGTTGAAATTTAATTGCCATTGTGATAGTGTTGAGATGGAACCTTGATCAAAAAATGAGTTATTAGCTAATGAAAGGGGTCATGAGTTATAGTTAATTTCTGTTTATTCAGTTTATTCTAACTACAGTATAATATTTAGTTTAGGAATAAAGGGAATGACATTAGTAAAATAGGTAAGCCAAATTTTATAGTACCTTGAATTCTCATAGCCAAGTCTCAACACTATCATTTGATGAGCCTGTTTTCTGTAAATTGCTCCTAAAAGAGGGAATTTTTATTTAACTATCATGTTGAGTGTAGCAAAATGATTGGTGTGAATTTACTTTGGAGATTTGCAAACTCAAGGCAGTTTTTCAACTGGAGTGGGTGAGATTGGTGGAGGCTCCAGGTTAAACCATTGTAAATTCCAGACTACTCTACATGATGAGGGCACTTAGCAAAAATAAAAGCAATGTGGAAAAAAAAAACACCTTTTTGTAAAATTCAGTTTTTATAGCATTAATCTCCCTGTGAGATAATAATCTCCAGACATAATAAATGAGAGAGAGTGAGCAGAATCCATCTTAGAACAGATTCTCCTCTCCACACACTAATTTCTTCTTAAACGTTTCAAAATTCAAAAGGTGAAGTGATATAGAAACTGATCAAACATCAACCCCAAAGCGTATGAGAAATACTATGTTCATGTTGTTAAATTGTGGATTATTGTTTCTCTGCATATTTACCAGTGAACTAAAGGTTAATTCTCTGTCTGTAAATTAAATGGATTTGTAATTAGAGCCTTTTGCTTAATTTGCTTTAAAGATCATTCCTGTTTATGTGTTGACCGCAATTTCACTTTTAAATGTAATTGCTTTTAAATCCCAGAGGATGCTAATGTAGATTCAGATCAATACATTTTAATACTGAAAACTATGATCAAGGATTAACAATGTAAATTTTTATAAAGAAAGTTAAGTGTAGCTATCTCTGTGTCCCTCTTGTTGGTGGCTTCCAATTAGATGTTGCTGAGAGCTTAACCTCCAGAAGCTCTAGAACATTGTACACCTGCAGCAGCCTCCCCAGCCACATTCATTGTGGAGCATGGGCAAGAACACAAACTCTTTAGTAAGTCAGTCTTACCAGACAGAGCCCAGGAAACAGGAAAAATAATAACTACAATCCAAGCAGTTCCTATTTTTCATGTCTATGTTGAACCTCTTTGAAAAGTCATCTCCAAAGGTTAGGGGAGACTTTAGACTGAGTCCAGGATATTTCACTTGTACTGCAGCCCATGGGTCAGACATGTCCCAAAGCTAAATGATTTATCCCAACTTTTTACATCACAAACTCTTCCCTGAGCCAGACTGCGTGGTGGCTGGGCAACTGTACTTAGTGATTATTTTTAAAACGTCACTGTGTTTCACTGGACAAGAATGAGACAAAGAAAGTTATCTTTACTTGAACTCTTCTCAGAGAAAACTGCTTATAGATGGAAGGAATAAACTCCTCTAAAGATGGGGGCACAGGTTAGGGGAGATTGGACACTGACATGGTTAGGCTGTGTCCCCACCCAAATCTCATCTTGAATTGGAGTTCCCATAATCCTCAAGTGTAGTGGGAGGGGGCCGGTGGGAGGTAATTGAATCATGGGGATGATTACTTCCATGCTGTTCTCAGTGATAGTGGGTGAGTTCTCACAAGATTTGATGGTTTTATAAAGGGCTTGTCCCTTCGCTCATCCTCTTTATTTTCTCTCCTGCCACTACGTGAAGAAAGATGTGTTGCTTCCCCTTCCATCATGATTGTAAGGTTCCTGAGGCCTCCCAAGCTGTGCGGAACTGTGAGTCAATTAAACCTCTTTTCTTTATAAATTACCCAGTCTTGGATATTTCTTCATAGCAGTGTGAGAACAGACTGATACAGGCACCCTCAGGACCTTGCTGACACTGCCTTCCTTCTAAGGAAGCTACATCTGACTGACCACAGGGTGCGTGTGTGTGTGTGTGTGTGTGTGTGTGTTTTGTTAACAGGAAACTTCAAGTTTCAGGCCAAAAGCGACTTTCTGGTGATTATTATAGAAAACCTGAGAACTACCACAACTGGTTCTCTTTCTTTATCCTTCTTTCATACTTTATTCAGTAGTTTCTTAAAATAAATATTGAAGGAATATTCAAAGAATGGCAGTTTGAAGAATTACTGAATTCTTATAGCCATCCACAGAGCTCCCATGTCTTAGCTGGGCTCTGCCTCCGCTGTCCTCACCACAGCATGAACAGATTAAGATATGCCAGGTAGCCCCTATAAACCATGTCACCTCACCTCTAGTATGAGGCTATAGAAAAAGAAAAAAGAAAAAAAAAAGCATGTCTCCATCCCTACGTCAGTGTCACACATGCCAGGAACTCGGCAACACTCTGCTTAGAAGATTTAACACCACATTAAATAAACACTACACTGAGATTTTAATTTCAAAAGTACTTTCTTGAAAAACAGCTATGTGACTAGCACCATTTTAAGTATTACGGAGGCTGCTATTAGAAATAAATGGCATGGTCCTTCCCATCAAAGAGCATAGAATCTGCTTAGAAAAACAAGCTTAGAGTAAGCCTTTAAAGTAAACCTCCAGCAAATCTTGGTCCACGCAGTTACAAGCCTTTGCTCTTGAACTGGCACTTGGGAAATATAGAGAATTATTATAGGAATGGATCTCCATTTTGTGAGTGTGTGTGTGTGTGTGTGTGTGTGTGTCTTAGACGTGGAACTTCTCAGATACATATAGTCACCTCATGGCCAAATTATAAAGACACAGGATTCAAAATATTTAACAGAAGGCAAACTTCCTCTGCAGAGATGGGAGAAAGAGCCTGTGTACACAGTTGCAAAATGAAAGGGAGGAAAAGATTCCCTCAGAAGCGTAATCATGCTGGACCCCCTGCCTGGATAATTCAGAGAGAGCTGAGAAAACTATTTCTTCAATTTTGCCATTTTTAGATAAATTAGCAGGATAATTGCCTTGACTCCACTCTTTCCCCGGTGGGTGGAGACACAGCTGGGCTAAGAGTAGAGGCCAAGCCAATCTGAATCCAAATGAAGGGTGAATCACAGTAGGGTTGAATAATAATCCCCTGCTCTCTGCCTCTGCTCTTCTTGTAACCTGCTTCTAGATAAGACCTTTGTCTTTGGGCTGGGATATAATTAAAGCTTGTCAAAACATCCTTCCCATTTCCCTATACACAATTGCCCTCTGTATTATGTTTTATATTAATTTATCCAGATGCTTTAAAAAATTCCCATGTACAATTTTTGAATAATTTTTGAAAAGATCTGTATTCTTCATAACCAAAGCTTTATTTCTAGCTATACACAGCATTTGCCTTCATCTGCATGGCTCTGCTGCAATCTATAGTCCACTGTCTTCATTCATTCATTCATGTTTGTTGACTAAACTAATTCATAAATGTGTGTTGAATGAGAGAGTGAGTGAATTTCTGAGAAAACATGAATTTGCGGGGGAGGGGTCAGGCAGAATGAGGTGATTTGAATGTATCCCCCTTTAAATTTCAGGTGTTGCCAATGCGGTAATGTTGGGAGGCAGGATTTTTGACAGGCGACTGGGCTATGTGGGCTCATCGCTTGTGGGCGAGATTGAACGCCCTTGTAAGAGGACTTGGCAAAAGGAGTTCTTCCTTTCTCACCCTCCCAGCTTTTTCCATGTGAAAATACAGCATTCTTCCCTGCTGGAGGATGCAACCCTGACCAGACACCAAATGCCTGTGCCTTGTTCTAGAGCTTCCAGCCTCCAGGACTGTCAGAAATAATTTTCTGTTCTTTGTAAATTACCCAGTCTCAGGTACTGTGTTATAGCAGCACAAACAAAGACAGGGGTATTCAACAAATACGATTGTGTAGACACATTTTATAGTATCAGCATGGTCTGGATTTTGAGTCACCTTGTCTTATACTCTGAGGTTGAACTCCATGACATTCACTTAAATGGCAAAATGCTGTAAACATGTATATATGAACCGAAGTGAATTTGTACTTACATCTTGATGCCTAACTTTCCTGGCAGTATTAGTATTTGTTATTTTTTTCTAAACCACCTTCAGTGTATATGTCTCCAAACATAAATGTTCAATATTCAATATCACACATGTAGTCATTCATCATTTCATAAAATTATGAAATCGAGAAGAATCTCTGTTGCCCATTGCCAATGTATTATACAGTCTGTGTACTCTTCATAACCAAGGCTTTATTTCTAGCTGTACACAGCATTTCCCTTCATTTGCATGATGCTGCTGTAATCTACAGTCTACACTATTACCAATGTATATGCAATTATGCTACACTATAGCACAATTTTTATATAATGTACTATTTTCAATCTCTGTTGTTTGCTGAGTATATTTTCCTGATATGCTTTCCTTCTATGGGTTTAGAGTTTTATAGTTGTTGCCTATTATTTCTGAGTGTGGTCGAAGTAGACAGGTTTTCTGTGTACTTATCAGTGTTTATGATGTCTTCTAAGATAACATCATCAGTCAATCTGGAATGTTTCTCTAACACTTAAACTTCACTAAAAATTTGAGGGAATGATTACTATGCCCCTAATTCTAACTAGAGCATATGTTCTAGCCTGAGCTAAACAACTGATTCAGAAGGCTTTAAAATATTTCAAATGATATAAATAACCCTCAAGGATCATAATTGGCAACTTTGCTTCTAGATATAATGGCAAATAATAAAAAGTAAAACCTCTACAAATCAAGCTAGAAGCTAGACTTCTTACTATAACTCAGGAGAGCAAAAATGTATATTTTAAGGTAATAAAATGAACTGATATTTTCACAACTTTAAAAAATTTTATAAGTATCTTTTATATTTTTATAAGTTTTTTTAATTTTATAAATATCAACTTATATTTGTTTCTGGGTAGCTAAGAACAAAAATATCAAACATGTTTTATGTTTATAATCAAATGCTGAGTTTTTTAAAACTAGCAAAATGTTAATAGTTGTTGTCTCAGACATTAGGTCATTGGTGATTTTTATTTTCCACTTTTACTTTTTTTGTATTTTTTTTTTAAGTTCTGGGATACATGTGCAGAACGTGTAGGTTTGTTACATAGGTATACATGGGCCATGGTGGTTTGCTGCACCTATTGACTCGTCCTCTAAAGTTCCCTCCCCTCACCTCCCAAACCCCAACAAGCCCTGGTGTGTGTTGTTCCCCTCCCTGTGTCCATGTGTTCTCATTGTTCAACTCCCACCTAATGAGAACGAGCGGTGTTTGCTTTTCTGTTCCCCTGTTAGTTTGCTGAGAATGATGGCTTCCAGCTTCATCCAAGTCCGTACAAAGGACATGATCTCATTCCTTTTTTTGGCTGCTTAGTATTTCCATGGTGTATATGTACCATATTTTCTTTATCCAGTCTATCATTGATGGGCATTTGGGTTGGTTCCATGTCTTTGCTATTGTAAATAGTGTAATAAACATATGTGTGTATGTGTCTTTACAGTAGAATGATTTATATTCTTTTGGTTATATGCCCAGCAATGGAATTGCTGGGTCAAATGGTATTTCTGGTTCTAGATCCTTGAGGAATCGCCACACTGTCTTTTCCACAATGGTTGAACTAATTTACATTCCCACTAGCTGTGTAAAAGCGTTCCTATTTCTCCACAGCCTCGCCAGCATCTATTGTTTCCTGACTTTTTATTAATCACCATTCTGACTGGTATGAGATGGTATCTCATTGTGGTTTTGATTTGCATTTCTCTAATGATCAGTGATGTTTAACTTCTTTTCATATGTTTGTTGACCACATAAATGTCTTTTTTGAGAAGTGTTCATATTCTTTGCACACTTTTTGATGGGGTTGTTTTTTTCTTGTAAGTCTGTTTAAGTTCCTTGTAAATTCTGGACCTTTGTAGGCTGGGTAGATTGCAAAAATTTTCTCCCATTCTGTAGGTTGCCTGATCACCCTGATGATAGTTTCTTTTGCTGTGCAGAAGCTCTTTAGTTCAATTAGATACCATTTGTCAAGTGTGGCTTTTGCTGCAATTGCTTTTTGGCATTTTTATCATGAAGTCTTTGCCCATGATTATGTCTTGAATTGTGGTATTGCCTAGGTTTTCTTCTAGGGTTTTTATGGTTTTGTCTTTAATACCGCTTTAATACATTAAGTCTTTAATACATCTTAATTTTTGTATAAGGTGTAAGGGAGGGGTCCAGTTTCAGTTTTCTGCCTATGGCTAGCCAGTTTTCCCAGCACAATTTATTAAACAGGAGATCCCTTCTCCATTGCTTGTTTTTGTCAGGTTTGTCGAAGATCAGATGGTTGTAGAAGTGTGGTGTTATTTCTGAAGTCTCTGTGGTGTCCCATTGGTCTATGTGTCTGTTTGGGTACCAGTACCATACTGTTTTGAATATTGTAGCCTTGTAATATAGTTTGAAGTCAGGCAGTGTGATGCCTCCAGCTTTGTTCTTTTTGCTTAGGATTGTCTTGACTATACGGGGTCTTCTTTGATTCCCTGAAATTTAAAGTAGTTTTTTCTAATTCTGTGAAGAATGTCAATGGTAGTTTGATAAGAATAGCATTGAATCTATAAATTACTTTGGGCAGTATGGCAATTTTCATGATTCTTCCTATCCATGAGGATGGAATGGTTTTTCCATTTGTTTTTGTCCTCTCTTATTTCCTTGAGCAGTGGTTTGTGGTTCTCCTTGAAGAGGTCCTTCACTTCTCTTGTTAGCTGTATTCCTAAGTATTTGATTCTCTCTGTGACATTTGTGAGTGGAAGTTCATTCTTGATTTGGGTTTCTACTCGTCTGTTGTTGGTGTATAGGAATGCTTGTGAATTTCTGCACATTTATTTTGTATCCTGAGACTGCTGAAGTTGCTTATCAGCTTAAGGAGTTTTGGGGCTGAGAGATGGGGTTCTTTAAACATACAATACTGTTGTCTGCAAACAGAGACAATTTGACTTCCTCTTTTCTTGTATGAATACTCTTTATCTCTTTTTCTTGCCTGATTGCCCTGGCCAGAACTTCCAATACTATGTTGAATAGGAGTGGTGAGGGAGGGCATCCTTGTCTTGTTCCTTTTAAAGGAAATGCTTCCAGCTTTTGCCCATTCAATATGATATTGGTTGTGGTTTTGTCACAAATAGCTCTTATTATTGTGAGATATGTTCCATCAATACCTGGTTTATTGAGAGTTTTTAACATGAAGGGATGTTGAATTTTATTAAAGGCCTTTTCTGCATCTATTGAAATAATCATGTGGTTTTTGTCATTGGTTCTGTTTATGTGATGGATTATGTTTATTGATTTGCATATGTTCAACCCAGCCTTGCATCCCCAGGATAAAGTCGACTTGATCACGGTGGATAAGTTTTTTGATGTGCTGCTGGATTCGGTTTGCCAGTATTTTACTGAGGATTTTCACATTGATGTTCATTGGGGATATTGGCCTGAAGTTTTCCTTTTTTGTTGTGTCTCTGCCAGGTTTTGTTATCAGGATAATGCTGGCTTCATAAAATGAGTTAGGGAGGGGTTCCCTCCTTTTCAATTGTTTGGAATAGTGTCAGAAGGGATGCTATCAGTTCCTCTTTGTACCTCTGGCAGAATTCGGCTGTGAATCCATCTGGTCCTGGGCTTTTTTGGTGGTGGTGGTGGTGGTGGTAGGCTATTAATTACTGCCTCAATTTCAAAACTTGTTATTGGTCTATTCAGGGATTCACCTTCTTCCTGGTTTAGTCTTGGGAGGGTGCAAGTGTCCAGGAATTTATTCATCTCTTCTAGATTTTCTAGTTTATTTGCATAGATGTATTTACACTATTCTCTGATGATAGTTTGTATTTCTGTGGGGTCAGTGGTGTTATCACCTTTATCATATTTTATTGTGTCTATTTGATTCTTCTCTCTCATCAGTCCAGCTAGCAGTCTATCTATTATGTTAATTTCTTCAAAACACCAGCTGCTAGATTCATGGATTTTTTTGGAGGGTTTTTATGTCTCTGTCTCCTTCATTTCTGCTCTGATCTTAGTTATTTCTTGTCCTCTGCTAGCTTTTGGATTAGTTTGCTCTTGCTTCTCTAGCGCTTTTAATTGTGAGTTTAGCGTGTCACTTTCAGATCTTTCTAGCTTTCTGTTGTGGCCATTTAGTGCAATAAATTTCCCTCTTAACACTGTTTTAGCTGTGTCCCAGAGATTCTGGTACGTTGTCTCTTTGTTCTCCTTGGTTTCAAAGAATTTCTTGATCTCTGCCTCAATTTCATTATTTACCCAGGAGTCATTCAGGAGCAGGTTGTTCAATTTCTATGTAATTGTGCGGTTTTGAGTGAGTTTCTTAATCCTGAGTTCTAATTCAATTGCACTGTGGTCTGAGAGGATGTTATGATTTCAGTTATTTTTCATTTGCTGAGGAGTGTTGTACTTCCAATTACGTGGTCGAGTTTAGAATAAGTGCCATGTGGCACCAAGAAGAATGTCTAGTCTGTTGATTTGGGATGGAGAATGCTGTAGATATCTATTAGGTCCACTTGATCCAGAGCAGAGTTCAAGCCCTGAATAACCTTGTTAATTTTCTGTCTCATTGATCTGTCTAATATTGACAGCGGGGTGTTAAAGTCTCCCACTATTATTTTGTGGGAGTCTAAGTCTCTTTGTAAGTCTCTAAGAACTTGTTTTATGAATCTGGGTGCTCCTGTATTGGGTGCATATATATTTAGGAGAGTTAGCTCTTCTTGTTGAATTGATCCCTTTATTATTATGTAATGCCCTTCTTTGTCTTTTTTTGTCCTTGTTGGTTTAAAGTCTGTTTTGTCAGAGACTGGAATTGCAACCCCTGCACTTTTTTTTTTTTCTTTCCATTTACTTGGTGAATTTTCTTCCGTCCCTTTATTTTGAGCCTAAGTGTATCTTTGCATATGAGATGGGTCTTTTGAATACAGCACACTGATGGTCCTTGACTCTTTATCCAATTTGCCAGTCTGTGTTTTTTAATTGGAGCATTTAGCCCATTTACATTTAAGGTTAGTATTGTTATGTGTGAATTTGATCCTGTCATTATGATGCCATTTGGTTATTTTGCACGCACACTAGTTGCAGTTTCTTCATAGAGTCATTGGTCTTCATATTTTGGTGTGTTTTTGCAGTGGCTGCTACCAGTTTTCCTTTCCATATTTAGTGCTTTCTTCAGGAGCTCTTGCAAGGTAGGCCTGGTGATGACAAAATCCCTCAGCATTTGCTTGTCTGGAAAGGATTTTATTTCTCCTTCACTTATGAAGCTTAGTTTGGCTGGATATGAAATTCTGTGCTTAAAATCCTTTTCTTTAAGAATGTTGAATTGGCCCCCACTCTCTTCTGGCTTGTAAGCTTTCTGCTGAGAGGTCTGCCATTACTCTTATGGGCTCCCCTTTGTAGGTGACCTGGCCTTTCTCTGGCTGCCCTTAACATTTTTTCCTTCACTTCAACCTTGGAGAATCTGATGATTATGTGTCTTGGGGTTGATCCTCTCAAGGAGTATCTTGGTGGTGTTCTCTGTATTTCCTGAATTTGCATGTTGGTCTATCTTTCTAGGTTGGGGAAGTTCTGGATAATATCCTGAAGTGTGTTTTCTGGCTTGTTACTATTCTCCCAGTCTCCTTCAGGTACTCCAATCAATCATAGGTTCGGTCTTTTTACATAGTCCCATATTTCTTGGAGGCTTTGTTCGTTCCTTTTCATACTTTTTTCTCTGATCTTATCTGAATGCCTTATTTCAGCAAGGTGGTCTTCAAACTCTGATATCCTTTCTCCCACTTGGTCAATTCGGCTATTGATACTTGTGTATGCTTCACAAAGTTTACGTGTTGTATTTTTCAGCTCCATCAGGTCATTTATATTCCTCTCTAAACTGGTTATTCTAGTTAGCAGCTTCTCTAACCTTTTATCAAGGTTCTTACCTTCGTTGCATTGGGTTAGAACATGCTTCTTCAGCTCAGTGGAGTTTTTTATTACCCATCTTCTGAATCCTAATACTGTCAATTTGTCCGTCTCACCCTCTATCTAGTTCTGCGCCCTTGCTGGACAGGCATTTCGATCATTTGGAGGAGAAGAGGCACTCTGGCCTTTTAGGTTTTCAACATTTTTTTGCTGATTCTTTCTCATCTTCATGAGTTTGTCTAGTTTCGATCTTTGAGGCTGCTGACCCTTGGATGGGGTTTTTGTGGTGACTTTTTGTTGTTGCTGATGCTGTTGTTGTTGCTTTCTGTTTGTTTTTCTTTCAATGGTCAGGTCCCTCTTCCACAGGGCTGCTGCAGCTTGCTGGGTGTTCACTTCAGGCTGTATTCATCTGGTTTGCTCTTGTGCCTGGAGATGTCAGTCAAGGAGGATAGAGAACAGCAAAGATAGGTGCCTGCTCATTCTCTGGGATCTCTGACCTCGAGAGGCACCAACCTGATGCCAGTAGGGTCACTCCTGTATAGGGTGTCCGAAAACCCCTGTGGGAGGGTCTCACCCAGTTGGGTGGCACGGGGACCGGGACCCGTTTAATGAAGCACTTTGACTGTCCCTTGGTGGAGCGGGTGTCCTTCACTGGGGTCATCCCACTCGTCTGGGCTGCCCGGATTCCTCAGAACTACCCAGAGGAAAGGCTACGTCTGCTGATCTACAGAGAATGCAGCCAACCCTCCCCTTAGGGGCTCAGGCCCATGGAGATCAGGGTTCTGTCCCTGAGCCCCTGGCTGGAGTTGTTGGAGTTCCTGAAGGTAGGCTCCACCCAGTGAGGAAGGATGGGTCAGGATCAGGCCTGAAGAGATGCTGTGGCCTGAATCTGCCACAGCCAGTGTGTTGGGCTGTGGGGGATGCCTCTTGGGACCAAGTTGTCCAGCCTCCCTGGCTCCAGCCGGAAAAAAGCATGGCCTGGAGCTATAGAGATGGCTGCCGCCCTTCCCCCGCCCAGGGAACTCAGCGTGTTAGGCAGTTATCAGTCCCAGTGTTGGCTGCTGCCCCTCCCCCAAGGAGCTCCAAGGGCTTAGACAGCAGGCAGCCACAGCTGTGGTGCTCATCGCCCCTCCCCCTGGGAACTCGGCAGCCTTAAGCAGATTCTAGCTGAGAGACCATTGAGGATCTGCACGGCTCCAGGGTCAGAATCCTAGGCCCCAGTGGCGTGGGTTTGCGAGTGGGATCTTCCGTCCGTGGGTTGCACAGTTCTGTGGAAAAAGCACGGTTTCCCACGGCTGGGTAACACTCTCACTCACCAGCTCCCTTGGCTGGGGGATGGGGGGCTCCCCTGCCCTGTGTGGCTCTCAGGTGGGCCACGACACCACATTGCTCTTCTTTCCTCTCCATGGATCACACTAGGCACCTAGTCAGTTCTGATGAAAGAACCTATACCTTGGTTGCCAGTGCAGGATTCACAGGCTATTATGGCTCTTCAATGGGAGGCTCTGATCGCTGCTGCTTCTAGTTGGCCATCTTGGCCCCGCCCTGATATTTTTTATTTTCTACAATGAACACATATTGTTTGGAAAATGTATTTTAGAGCATTCTAAGTAATCAAACAACTATCATCCTATTTAAAAAGGACTAAATTAATTTCATATTTTTTACATCCTCAAACCCAAACCATGAAGAATTTTATGAAACTCCAGTTTGTTCTGATCATGGTCAATAGACTAATATTTTACTTAATATAAGTCAGTAATTTTATGGAATTTGTCAATATAATCTGGAAATAAAGTAAATGTTGAAACAGACAATAATAATTTATTAATTTAGTAGTTATTACAGATGTATCATAATACATCAAAACCTAAACATCTTATATAACTAAGAATTTATCTTGTTTAGATTTGCTTTTAAAGCAACTTTTTTTGTAAATGTAGGATAATTCTTCAGTTATAGTACATTATAGAAGTATTCTCAACCTGCACTGTTAAAATAAATATGAAATTTATATATACCCTATATACACACACACGTGTGTATATATATTTTATGTAAATATATACATATATGTTTTATCTATAATATATACATATATCTATAATATATACATATTATAGACAAAAATAGTAACTGGTGTGATTTCACATAAGTGCATTGAATACTTAAGAAACTGATGATCTATAAAATTTAGAATTCACCTGCCATATTTCTAAGAACTTATATTTGCACAGTATTATATTTTAATGTTCTTGGCAAGAGCCATGCCATTACAGTGAAATTATTCCAAAACCAGCTAAACCTCAAATAATACAGCACAATCTTGACAGAAGAGGATGGAAAGCAATATAATGAGTCAACAGAATTTTAGTACCTGCTCTGTGCCCAAATGAAGCCTGTTCAAGTGGTTTAAAAAGTGCCAGACACGGCCCCTGTCATAAAGAAGCATTGAGGAGATGCAACAAACCTCACTAAAAGTTTTGAAAACAGGCATGAAATTGCATTGTGTTGATTATAAGAATAATAGATATCCAGATAAAAGGAAAAAGGGGGGAAAAAAGACTAAATAACACACATTAAAGGCTTCCTGAAGGAGGAAGAATTCAAGAAGGTCCAAGAAGGATGAGTGTGGTCTAGTCAGGAGGTATGGAGACACGTTATTTCAGAAGATGAAAAGTGACTGAATAAAGACAATAAGGCCATTAATTTAAATGAAAATTGACTGAATAAAGACAATAAGGCCATTAATTTAAGGGAGAAATGATAAGCACAAGGAGGAGAAGAATGAGACGATTTGATGAGCAGAAACAATGAAGTGCAATAACGTGAAGGTCAGAAAATGGGAACTATAAACATGTCTTCACTCTGTCAGGCACAACCAAATGCCACTGAGTCATCCAATCTCCAGGGAAGCCGTCTTGGAGTCTTTTGGAGGAATTTATCAGCAATTCAGAATATCAAATATCCATCTTAGTACGGGGTAATACTGATGGCTTGGAATCTTGTGCTTAACACAAGTTTTTATGTCAAGATACTGCTCCAAATGTTCGTTTCATCTTAAATTTAGGTGTTCTGGGATTCTACTTTGTTCTTCAACTCTCCTAATCTTTTTTTGGACTCCAGTTTATGGACCTTGGGCTCATTAAGCAGCACATCCCTTTGGTTGCATCTTTGCTATGGGGACTGAATGTGACCTTTCTCATAGTCATATTCTAGAAAAGCTAGATAATTTATCATTTGAAAATCTATGACTAGGTGTGATCCTTAAGTGCTATATTTATTTCAACTATTTGTAGGAAGTTTGGTGTTTGGAGCTTATGCAAATTTACTGAATTAAAACTGTGTAATTTATGAGAGGAGTCTTGAATCTAATCTTTTCTATTTGGGAGTTTGAAAAGAATAAAGGGGAAATCATTGGGATGAATATGGTTTTGTTTTGTACAATGGAAACTCATGTGTGGAAATGATCTATAGGGCATTCAGTTCAGCTTCCTGCCAATGCAGAATTGCTCCCTACCATAAAACCTCAGAAGCTGACTTCAGACTATCTTAAAATATGACTCAGCTGCTACCAAACATCAAGGAGAGCTTGTAGGAGTCCTGGACAATATGCTTCGATATGAACTGGTGACCTCCTTCGGTAAACTGTACTACCTTCCACATCCAAACATATTTTCTACTTGTGATTGGTCTTATGAAAGTAAAATCTTGGTAATAAGACAAGGTAAAAACTTGCTTTGTTATGGCTTATTGAATCTGTCTTTTAGGATGCAGCCTGTCCCTGGAACAATATATTAAGAGGACTAGGCCCACTCTTATCCATCCTAGCCGTTGTACAAAATTCATCACATGCCCTACACTCTGGCTGCCACATCAAAGCAAGCTACAGACAATTAAGCTTGTTTTAGGCAATTTCCCTAATCTTTTCTCTGACTTCCATAAAGGTGACCTCAGCTAATGCAACACCCTATTATGTAACCCCCATGTGAAGCTGAATGAATGAATGGACTTAAATCTGGTCTTGAATCCAAATCTTATAGTGTCAATAGCCAGCCTAAAATATCCATCTTTCAATAGATTCCCGTAACTTTCAAAACAACCAAATCAATATGGCCTACAAGAACCGGTTAAAATCTGGCTCTGACTGTGGCTACTTGCTCAGCCTCATCACATGCCACTTATGAACATTTGTACTCCAGCCTATACAAGCTTTTGTTTGTTTGTTTGTTCGCCTTCTCCATTGTGTCATGATTCTTCAGCCTCAGATTCCTTGCAAATGCTGTTTACTTTGCTGTTTACTCTTCCCTCCCCACCCCATTCCCAATCTTACTCCCTTCTCATCATTTTGCTGGACAACTGCAACTCATCTTTCAACTCTCAACTCAGATGTTGCTTCCTCAAGAACAGCTTCCTGATACCTTCAAGTATTTCAGTTCTACCTAATACATGCGTTTATATTTTCTTGCAATTTGTATTCAGAGCAAGTATTGCTAATAATAATTATGAATGTCCTTAGTACCTAGTGGGCCATCAATAATCATTTTATAAGTCTGAATAAGGCTAAGCGCTGTGGCTAATGCCTGTAATCCAGCACTTTGGGAGGCCAAGGTGGGGGGATTGCTTCAGTCCCGGAGTTTGAGACCCGCCTGGGCAACATGGTGAGACCTTGTCTCTACAAAAAATATTAAAATTAGCTGGGCGTGGTGGCACATGCCTGTAGTCCCAGCTACTGAGGAAGCTGAGGTCACTTATACCCAGTGGGAAGTTGAGGCTGCAGTGAGCCATGATTGTGACACTGATTATGCACCCCAGCCTGGGCAACAGAGCTGAGATCTTGTCTCAAAAAATAAAAATAAAAATAAATAAATTTTAGAAAGATTTAAAGACTGAACGAAAAGCATACTGAGCATGTGTCTGTGCAAGATCTGCAGTTTCTGTGTTTAACACAAGTAGGGCTCTCACATCAGCATGGAAAAATGCTATCTTGCTTTTTGCTTTTGCGTCATTGGAATTCCCGGGGGTTCTATCTTGGAACAATCAAATGACTTAGCAAAAAACAGATAGAAGTAGAGTATAGGTGTTTATTATGTACAGATCATTTGAGAAATACGAAGCTTTGGAAAAAATGAAAACTACCAGTACCCAGATCTATTGTGGCACAAGGGAGTAGTCTACACCAATCAATCTCTTCTTTCGAATCCATTGCACTCACTCAGATATAAAGGGATCGTTAGAAGAACAGAAAAGAGGCAGAGACATCATAACTTTTTAAAAAATGTCAATGTGGTAGTAAATATTACTAAGACAAAGATACTTATTTTGTGTCTCTTAGCTACTTGACTTAAGAATATCTAGAATAGCTAGTCTGCTCCAAAAAAAGACTGTATATTCAGTATGGGATTAGTTATCCTACAGTAAAAATCAATCCCAAAATCCCAGTGGCTAAACACAGCACATCCATTTCTCACTTCCTCTACATGCCCAAGGCAAGTTGACATTGGATTCTGTTCACTGTGGTCATTCAAGGACTGAGGCTAAACGGGGGGTTCAGAAGACAGGGGTTTCTTCTTAATACAGGCTTCCTTGATGAACCACAACATGGAATGAAACAGCAAAAAAGTACCCATTAGCTCAGGATGTTACCCTTAGAAGTGAAACACATCACTTCAGCTCATGTTTCATTGATCAAAGCAAGTCTCATGGTCACGTCTAACTACAAAGTTGTTGACAAAGTGTAATCCTACTATGTGCCAGTATCAAGACAAAACAGTACTAATGGCTACCGCAAGAACCATGTGAATTGATAGAGCCCAGAACAAAGGTTATCATGACCTTGACCTCTCTGTGCACTAGCAGAGCTGCGATTGGTATAAAATAGAGACACCAGGGAGGAAAAGAACTTGCAGAAACCCAAAAAAGCCTAACCCCAGGAGTACAAAGTGGCAGCTCAACAGGAAAAGGAAAGAACTTAAGGAAATGTTTGCTCACCTTCATTCTCTGGACTCCGTGTGTGTTTATGACCAACTAAATGTAAAACTGTTTTCTTTCTAGTAATACATTGCACATACACACACATAACCAAGGGGTTATACTATTATAGTGCAATTGTGATTATTTTAAAAGATTAAAGATATTTAGGGGGAGAAAGGACAGCAGTATTTTTAGCAGAGGTCTGAAGTAGCTTTAAAATGTTAAAAACAGTTGGGGCAAGGTGGCTTATGCTTATAATCCCATCACTTTGGGAGGCCAAGGCAGGAGGATCACTTAAGCCCAGGAGTTTAAGACCAGCCTGGGCAACATAGTGAGACCACAGCCCTACAAAAAAAAATTAAAAGAATTAGCTGAGAATGGGGGTACACACCTGTAGTCCCAGCTATTCAAGAGGTTGAGGTGGGAAGATTCATTGAGCCTGCAAGATCAAGGCTGCAGTGAACCAAGATCACAGCACTGCACTCCAGCCTGAGTGACAGAGAGTGACCCTGTCTCAAAAAAAAAAAAAAAAAAAAAAAAAAAAGGTTAAAAACAGCTGGAATGTGTAAAAAAAATTGAAGATAAGGGAATCTAGTAGGAAAAAAGTTTAGAAGAGAAAGTGGGTGTCACTAAGAATCCTACTTCGGGAATGAGGCAGGATCATTTACTGAGATTTAATTCATATCAATCCTCTCTTCCATTTTCTTTCCACCTTGCCAAACAGGTAGCCAGATCCTTTGAATTTCCTGATTCAAGTATTGTGCTATGCAAACAGCAAAAGACCAGCTTCATAGAGGACACCATGCCAGTGTTTAGAGGGTAGGGAGAAAAAGAAAAAGACCCATAACTTAAGAACAAAGTAAAGGGAAGTATACAAATAACAGAGGCACACCTGTGCAAAGAATGGCCCTGCTCTGTAGCACTAACCTGAGAAGTTAGCTAAACTCGGGGCATTGCTATGTGGTCACTCAGGAACACTGGACCCTAATCAAAAGTAATAATTTCTATGTCCCAAGCCTAAAACAAAAGCCGCACAGTTGCCAGACTTGGAAGGAACATTGACAATAGGCATCGCAGAGTTTATCAGTAAGGTAAGAGGAGTCTCCTTCTTATTTTGGTGCAGCCTAAAATGTCTCAGAATTTTGACAATCTGGTGGAGTAGAGGGAAGATGACATTAAAGATTAAAATTGCTGCTGAGCATGGTGGCTCGTGCCTGTCTTCACAGCTACTGAAGAGGCTGGGGAGGATGGCTGAAACCCAGGAGTTCAAGACAGTGGTGAGCTATGATTGCACCACTACACTTTAGCCTCAGTGACAAAACAAGACCTCATCTCTAATTAAATTTGCTACCAGCCCTACAGGATGGGAACTCAAAGGCAGATTTAAGTTGATTTATGGGGAAAAAAAAGTCTCAATCCTTATATACCAGAGTTTACAGTTAAAAAGCTAGACTCATTAGAAAAAGGAAAGAATATGGACTAGGACCAGACTTATGAAGACATTAGAAGAGGAGGGCCTATTTTACTTGTCATCATCTATTTTTGTCTGCCTTGAGAGAAAAGGAAAATAAGTATGCCATTGGGGAGATCCTGCAGATATGATGGTGCTAGACCTGATCTTAGGGTAAGTGCCTGTCTTAGTCCAGTTATTGCTGCTATAACAAAATGCCTGAGGCTGGATACTTTATAAACAATAGAAATGTTTCTTACAGTTCTGGAGGCAGGGAAGTCCAAGATCAAAGCACCAGTAGGTTCATCATCTGGTGAGAGTCAGGTCTCTGCTTCCAAGATGGCGCCTTGAACACTGCATCTTTCAGAGGAGAGGAATGCTATGTCTTCACATGGCATAAGATGGAAGGGCAAAGAAAGGTAAACTCTCTCCATCAAGCTGTTTACCTAACCCCACTCAGGAGGAAGGACCCCTCATGGGCTAATTTCCTCTTAAAGGCCCCTACATCTTAATACTATCACATTGGCAACTCCCCGTTTTAGAGATAACACATTCAAACCACAGCAGTGCCTAATGCAATACCTGATGCATGAAAGCGACCTACCCTAAAAGCTGCCAGGGGCTATATTCAAAGTACCAGACAACCTACAGAACCAGTGATTGCCATCTCTAGGAGAAGGAATTTTGGAAAAGCAAATAAATGTTGAATCATAAAGGTTGGACCTTGGAATATTTATGCTGCCTTTCTAATAACGAATTTATTTTGCCTAGTGGGTTATCTATCTCTCAAATTCTTAGTAACTACAAAATACTGAATATTATTCCAAAAACATCAGGGTTCAGTGTTGCCTTTATGTACTTTCTGTGATCACACCACTCCTTCTAGGTCCCCTCCAACTGAAAGAATGCGACATAGTGCAACTACTTTGAGTTTGCTGAAAATTTGCCGATGTGAATCAAATAATACGGGGGGAGTGGTAGGGGACTCTTAAAATTTAGAAAGGAAGGAATGCCTGACTTCTGATTTGTCAATCTGTGAAGGTTTTCCTTAGAAGTTTTAGAGTACTTTCATCACTAATTAATAAATAATGATGTGTCAGACAAGCAAATTTAATACTGAGAAAACTAACAGATACGCTTTTCAAAAGCTATTAACACTGACTTCATCTCATTTAAGTGCCATTATTTCAGTGTTTTGTTCAACGAAAACTGACACTTGGTATATTAGACCAATTATGAGATAGAAAATCGTGTGCGAAATAATTACAGTCAAGCCCTCACTGTCAGGTTGCTATCTTCCTTTCCAACTTCTTTCTTTCCACAGCAAGTCATTTCCTCTAGCCACTAGTCTCTGAGCATCTCCCAAATCCTCACTTCCTCCCCCATGTCTTTACTTATAAAATTCCTCCCGCAATTGTGCCCCTTCTAATTGTTTTGTGGACCAAAACCAAGATTTAGTCATCCTTGTATCCCCTACAGGCCCTAGCATAGCGCCTGCACATAAAAAGCTATACAACAAATGCTTGCTGAAGTGAATCGAATTTTTATTGTTGACTTCAGTCATTATTATAGCAATTCTCACATCACAGGTTGCATAAGGACTTACCAACCTGTACTGCTACCCCTTCTTAATCTGACAAGAGAAACCACCTTGTTGAGAAAAGAAAATAAAAGGAGGAAAAGCAAGTGGGCAGGATGAAAAAATAAAAACTGTACTATTGAAGTCAATTCCATGGAAGAACCATTTCTTTACTACCTTAAATAGGTGTGTTGGTCAAATGTACAATGTTAAAGAAACATTCCTATTTAGTTAATAGTGCATGATAGACCTCATCAGAGTTAGTCTCCATTCTTTGGAGGATTCTGTAGGGTTTTTGTAGGCTAAAAAGCTTCAGTTTTAGGAAAGTTTGGACTACTTTCTCTTGAAATTGCTTGTCTTTTGGATTTCATCCCTCTCCAGGGCATATTAGAAGAGTGAATCAATTCTACTTAAAGTGAAAGGACTTGGGTAATTAGGTGAACCATTCAATTTATTTAGAGACAATCCTTAGATGTGTGAAATAATTTCAATAAAACTCATTTTCATGCCAAGATTGATATGGACATTAAGCTCTTCTGTTAGCAGACATAAGTGCAGTTCACATATTTCATACATAGTCACCTCAGTCTTTGTGATTTTAAAATATGTAAATGTTTTGTGCTTAAATAATAATGAAGATGGTAGTGTTTATGAAATACCTACTATGTGCCAGTCCCCATGATAAGCACTTACCACAGAATGATTCAGCTTAATACTCATTAGTAATAACAGAATTGATATTTTCTTTTAACAGATGAGAAAACTAAACCAAAAAGAGATTAAATAACTTGGCTAGGGCCACACAGTCTTGCAGCAAAGACAAAGTCAGACCAAAGACAAATTCCACGGTCCTCACTCTTAATTACTGTATCATGTTGTGGCCCAAGTTCACAGTGTGTCCCACTAATTAGGTGGCACCTGTGATGGCAGCAGTTTGAAAAAAGTTGATCAATTTACTATATAAAATTCTCATCAATAGGATTTTAAAAAGAGATAAGAAAGTAAGCAGGCAGTTGTAGTTTTCCTTCTAATGGAAAATTTGAGAATAGATACATGTTACTCTGCCAGGCCCCACTGAAGCAGCTAGGTGGGGAGGAGGCTTCTACCAGATTGCTGTAACCAGACACGCCTAGCTGAGACTGGATGAATGGTTGTGTGAGGAGGAATCTGTAACTCACAGAAACCTTACTGTCAACTACCCAGTACCCACGTGGTTATGTGAACAAATATCTACTTGCCTGTCATCATATTGAAAAGGCTTTGTTCTGCTTACCAGCTTTGTGCTGATTTGTTCCAAGGCCACAAAGAAAGAAAATAAAACAGAAGGTTGATGATTACTCAGCTATGCTGTGCTAGGTAAACTTTTCAACATGCTTAGCAGTGATTTGAAAACATAAATAATTCTCTTACCATATTTTCAAATGGCCCAAAATGGAATGAGAGAGCTAATATTATTAAGGCAATAAGTAGAGATATGAAATTATCTCAATAAACCAGAACATTAGAGGAAACCCAAGTAAAATTTAATAAAGTCATGGATTTTAGTTCAAAATTCGTAGAAATTGAGTGCAGAGTGAGAGGGAGTTGGATGAACTTTCTGCATCAAAAGGCATTGCACAGGATGTAGATTGCAATCCATAAGAAGCCAGAATTTTCCAACAGTCTTAATCAACATTACTACCAGGCTAGGGTCTTTATCAAGAAAGGTGATGGTGATGGAAGATTATGTTCAGTTTAGATGCCACTATTTAAGAACAAGTCTATCCAGAGAAGGAGAGTGATCAGAATAATGAGAGCTTCGGGAACCTGTGCATGTAACGAATGGATAGAGGAACAGAGGAAATTTAGCCTGAAGAGGAAGGCACTACAGGTGAATTTGATAGAGCTCTTCGTGATGTAATGGAAAGTGTGCTGAGCCTGGAGACCAGTCTCAACCGTAGTACTCTGAAAACTAGGGCAACCACTTAACCAGCCAAACTCTCAGAACCTTAAGCCTACGTGATTTGTTTATCCCTAAGTTATCTAGACTCAATAAGCTGGGTACTGAGAACACAGAAATAAAGAGAAAAGCTGTGGACCTTGAAGAGCTTATAGGCTTGTGCCTAATACAGACGAGTTTCAGACTATTAACATACAGAGTAATGATGTCCTGGGAATGATGTTCTGGGAGCTCAGAGGATGGGCAACTCACCTTGAAACAGGGCATTTTGACCAGCCTTTTTGATACAATCCTTTTATATGGTGTATTAATTTGCTAGGGCTGCTGTAACAAAGTACCACAAACTAGATGGCTTAAACAACAGACATTTACTGTCTTACAGTTCTGGAGGCTAGAAGTCTGAGATCAAAGAGTCAGCAGGCCTGGTTCCTCCTAAGGCCTGTAAGGGAGAATCTGTTCCATGCTGCTCTCCTGGCTTCTGGTTGTTTGCTGGCAATCTTTTGCTTTCCTTGGCTTGGTGATGCATCACCATGATCTCTGTCTTCATCTGCACATGGTTTTCTCCCTGCATCTCTTCACATAGTCTTTCCTCTGTGTATGTCTGTCTCTGTGGCCAAATTTCCTTTTGTATTATATGTAAGAACAAAGTCACATTGGATTAGGGCCCACCCTAATGGCCTCACCTTAACCGGATCATCTGCAAAGACCCCATTTCCAAATAAAGTCACATTCACAGGTACAGGGGGTTAGGATTTTAACATCTTTTGGGGGGACAAAATTCAATCCACAATATATGGCTTATTTGAAATAATCATGTCCAGATGTCTTTTTTTTTTTCTTTTTGTTACTATCTAAGCAGCAACTGCAACAAAATTTCTACTCCCATGCCAGCAGGAGCCTCTGACCCTCCACCCTGAGCCTAATACTCACCTCACCGTGGATCCTTCTTTCATCTCTGACTCCACTGCAGAACTCATTCTCCCCTCACCTCATTCCTGAACCACATCCCCTCTCTCTCCCCACCCACAGAGGAGTAAGTCAGCAATGCTGTAAAGGTCAGCAACAGAATAAGAATAAATGTTTTAATAATTCCTTAGGATTTTTTCCTGGGTTGAAAATGTAATGGTTCATTATTTTATCCATCAAAGTGAACTCAAATGATGATGCATAAAAATGTTTCTGGAATCAAAATGTCCTCAGGGTAAAAGTTACCAAAATAGCCAAATCAAAATATCATATAACAAATTATGTGATCCAGAAGAGTCTTGGATAGCACGCTTGTGAAGGCCACGCCAGAGCTGAGTGTAGAAGGACAAATGGAAAATTAATCAGGCAAGTAAAGGAACATTCTTGGCTGAAGGAAAAGCAAATGTAAAGCCACGATACCGAGAAAGTAGGAGGCATCAGAGACCCTGAAGCGGTGTGGCATGACCAGGGCACAGAAGAAGGGGTGGCAGGCACAGACCTAACCCTCAAAGGCCTAGTATACACCATTGGTTGTCTACTCACTTTATTATTATCTCATTTATCACTGCAATAGAGAGTGAGCCGAGAATTGGAAGTAAAAAGTGGCATGCCCAGACATTTATGTGCAGTTTCAAAAGATCACTTTGGCAACCATAAGGAGGGTGGATGAAAAGGCCAAAGACTGGACATGGGAAGACCAGTGAGAAGTCTTTCTAATAATGAAGGTAAACAACGATGAAAGCTACGCTAACATGGCAAGCACGGGAAGTGGGGCGATCCTTCCCAGCTGTTTGTGGAAATATTTAGCGGGTAGAATCCACAGGATTTTAATGAGAATCTTGAGGAAGCTAAATGAATGGTTTCCAACTCCAGCTGCACATCAGAGGCACCTTGGGAGCTTTTTTAAATGTGGATTTTTCTGGCCCTGTCTGAGACTTAGTGAATCATAATGTTTGTGTTCAAGCCTTGTGATTCTGAAGGTCTTCTCCAGCCAGTCTCTGTGACGAAACGTTTAAGGGCTGATACCCAGGAGAAAGAGGAAACACTCTGTTGATTCAGGATCAGGTTTTAGTCCCATATAAGAAAAAACATATTTATAATTAAACTGTTTAAAGATAAACCATTCCCTCAGAACGTTCTTGCTGAATATATTCGAGAAGGGGCCAGCAAACTCGGTAAAGGGAGGTCGTAGAAGGGCTCTTTACTTGTCAGAAGAATGAGAGAGCCTTGAAGGCACTCCAGAGGCAGAGCTCCCCATGCACAGTGAGCGGGCCACTGCAAAGCCAGCCAGAGCAACAGCCAGGCACTCAAAGGAAATCTGCCTGCCCAGGCCCTGTGTGTGCACCCCTTTAGCTCCAGCTGTGGCTTCAGACACTGTCTCACTCTGACCTGGTTTAGATTCCAGGTTCTGGCCTTTGGATCTGTGTGTGTTTCCATGACAACCTCATTCTATTGGAGCCATGCTTGCTGTCTGGCTGCTGCATTTAGATTCACCCGGGTACCCCACCCTATGGTTTCAATTTGTCATGACTCCTGAGATGAGTTTGAGTCTAGCCCACCTCACACCTACCTTCCAGCCCCATTCAACCTTTCCAAGCTTCCTCCCTGCTCGTGCCCACATTCAGACTCTGCCTCTAGCTCAGAATGTAAACTACCAATTCTAACATTGGTCTGCTGGACAAAGTTTCTGTGAGATTATTAAGATCTAGCAGCTTCCCAGTACTAGTGGGCAGGAAACTACAATTATTGAAAGCACAGGCTTTGAACCCAGACTTGAATTTCAATCTGGACTGTGTTACAGTAAGCAAGTTACCTAACCTCTACCAGCCTCAGTTTCTAAAACTACGTAAAGATGATAAATGCACCTAACCTAAGTTATAAAGATACAAGCAGCATAGCCAGCTACACCAAGTGAGCATGAACAGATGACACAGCCTCTTCTGATTTTTGGTTAACAACTCAAGCATCCAGGTATCTTTATTAACAGGATGTTCCATATCTCCCTCTTGAAGCCTAATGCCAATTAGTCCAAGAATTCTGAAGATTCATTCCATCTGAAAAGGTCAAATCTAGGTAAGTCAAAGAGAGAGCTGGAACTGCTGGTCAGTCCACGGACCCAGTTTCTGCACACAGCGTCATGAAGGCTCTTCCTCTGCTCTCTGACGAATGCTTGCTCACTATACCAGTAATGCCTTTGCTGGCTCCAATGTGTGCCCAGGGTGTCTGAGAGACACAGGGTGCCTCACTCTTGGGTTCCCAGGTAACAGCCATTGCTCTGCTGCAGCCGGCCCCTCCTCAGACTCTTACATTGGAGTCCTGTGCGCTAACTCCCAATGAGGTTCTGCCCAGAGCTCCCTTTCAAGGCCTTGAGGCTTACGTTAGTTTCCTAGAGTTGTCATAACAAATTACCACAGACTGATTGGCTTAAAACACAGAAATATCTTCTCTCACAGTCCAAGAAAGCAGAAGTCTAAAATCGAGGTGTCAGCAGAGCCGGTTTCTTTTGGAGGCTGCAAGGGAAAAACGCTCATGCCTCCCAGCGTCTGATGGTTCCCAGCAATCTTTGGCTTGTAGCCGCATCACTCCAATCTGTATCTTCTTTTTCACCTGTTTTCTTCATTCTGTGTAACGCTAGGAGTCCTCCCTTCTTATAAGGATACCAGTCATTGGATTTAAGGCCCATCCATTAAATGACTATAACTTTGTCTTAACTAATTACACCTGCCCACCTTATTTTCTAACAAGGTTACTTTCTGAAGTTTCAAATAAACATGAATTTGGGGGCCTTTCCTTGATAACAAGACTTAACGACCCATTTTCATAATTTCAGATCTCTGAAAGAAGAGTTTTCACACACCTTTCCTCAAGAAAATCTACTGAGCTCTGTATGCAAATTTTCCTTTTACCGTCTCCTTCAGAGCGAGAGAAAACAGATATTCATATATTTTCAAATGTCTTAATTAATAAGAAAAATATACTCATGGAGTCTTTCTAGCCCTACTCCCAGAATCTAGAGGGAACTGGAATAATTTTATCTTATTTTGTATGTGAAGTATATACAAAGTCTGGCACATAGAAAGCCCTCAATTATTGGTAATTACAGTCATGAGTCGCTTAACAACAGGGATATGTTCTAAGAGATGCATTGCTAGGTGATTTCATGGCTGTGAGAACATCATAGGGTGTACTTACACAAAGCTAGATGGTATAGCCTACTGCTCCCAGGCTACAAGCCTATACAGCATATTACCACACTGGAAACTGTAGGCGATTGTAACACAATGGTAAGTGTTTGTGTATCTAAACATAAAAAGGTACAGCAAAAATACAGTGTAAAAGATGAAAATGGCACTCCTATATAGGTCACTTACCATGAATGGTGCTCAAAGGACTGGAAGTAGCTCTGGGTAAGTCAATGAGTGAGTGATGAGTGACTGTCAAAGCCTAGGACGTTACTGTACATTATTGCAGACTTTTAAAAGACTATACACTTAGGCTATACTAAATTTATTTTAAAATTAAGTAATTGAGCTATAATATTATGATGGCTATGATGTCACTAGGTGATAGAAATTTTTCACCTCCATTATTATCTTATGGGACCACCATCCTATATGCAGTACATAGTTGACTGAAATACCATTATGCAGCACATGGCTGTATTTATTATTCCAGAAGGTAATCAAAAGTACCCTGAGGATACCAAGCATCAGGATAAAATTTAATTTGCTGGAGGCAAAATGTCTGCCTTATTTAGTTTCTAGCACAATTTGAGTGGAACTCTCAATGCAGTCTGGCAGGCTCTGTATCCCTCATATAAGACCTAGGTAAATTTTATACATCTTTGGCTCATGGATCGCACGAACAATTATGTGTATCAGAGCTCTCTAACCATCTGAACATTTCAGGGCTCCTGACTAGTGCTAACCTAGAGTAGATAAACAGTATTCCATTATGTATATATACCACATTTTCTTTATCCATTCATCTGTTATTGCAGTTAGGTTGATTCTGTAACTTGGCTATTGTGACTAGTGTTGCAAAGAATACAGGACAATTCATGTTCAAAGTGGAGAAAAGTGAGATATGGACACTCACTAAGGGCTTTTGCCTTGTGACGAGCATATCTTCAGATCTACAGGTTCCATGAAACCATGGGACAGTTGTAGAGGCAGCATCTTGGGACTCTTCTGCAGTTACAAAGCAGGATCTCACTCAAGACTCCAATCTAAATCTAGACCTTTTAGGCTGAGTGGAGCCACTGTTTGACTCCCTGGGCAAAGCTGGTCTAGCTCCTCTGCTTCTCTAAAATCTATAGAAGCAGGAGTCTCCCTGCCTGAATGGGGTTGTTGGGAGTGCTTTTGGCTGAGTGGAACCATTGTTTGATTTCCTGGGTCAAGCCAGTCTCAACACAACAAAGACCATGTATGAGAAGCCCACAGCTAACAATATACTCAAAGATAAAAAAAAATTGAAAGCCTTTCCTCTAAAATCCGGAACAAGGTACAATGCCCACCTTACCACTTCTATTCAACATAGAATTGGAAGCTCTTGCCAGAGCAATTAGGCAAGAGAAAGAAATGAAAAGCATTCAAATAGAAAAGGAAGAAGTAAACTTTTCACTGTTTGCTGACAACATGATCCTACATATAGAAAAACCTACAAATTCCACCAAAAGACTGTCAGGACTAATAAATGAATAAAGTTGCACAATACAAAATCAACACATAAAAGTCAATGGTGGTTCTATATACTACCGATGAACTATCTGAAAATGAAATCAAGAGAACAATCCCATTCAAAACAGTAACAGAAACAATAAAATACTTAGGAAAAAATTTAACCTAGAGGTAAAAGATCTAAACACTAAAATCTATAAAATGTTAATGAAAAAAATTGAAGAAGACACAAATAAATGGAAAGAAATTCATGTTCATAAGTGGAAAGAGTTAATATTGTTAAAATGTCTATACCATCCAAAGTAATGTACAGATTCAATGCAACACCTATAAAAAGTCCAACATCATTTTTCATAGACATAGAAAAAACAATCTTAAAATTCATATAGAACCACAAAAAATCCTGGATAGTCACAGCAAGCATAAGCAAAAAGAATAAAGCTGGAGGTAACAAGCTACCTGATTTCAAACTATACTATAAAACAATAGTAATTAAAACAGCATGGTATTGGCAAAAAAAAAAAAAAATGAACATGTTGACCAACGAAACAGAATAGAGCACCCAGAAATGAATATATGCAAGTCAACTAATTTTTGACAAAGGTGCCAAGAATATGCAATGGGAAAATGGCAGTTTGAATTTCCACATACAGAAGAATGAAACTGGACTGTTATCTCACATCATATGCAAAACCTAACCCAAATGGATTAAAGACTTAAAACAAGAAACTCTAAAACTACTAGAAACAAACATGGGGGAAAACACTACATGACATTAGTCTGGTCAATGATTTTTTTTTATTTGACTCCAAAAGTTCAAGCAATGAAAGCAAAAATAGTCAAATGAGATTACATCAAACCTAAAAGCTTCTGCACAGCAAAGGAAACAATTCGCACTGTACAGAGTCAACCTTTGGATTAGGAAAAAACATTTGCAAGCCATACATCTGTTAAGGGACTAATATTCAAAACATACAAGGAGCTCAAACAATTCAATACCAAAAAAACAAAAATCTCAATTTGAAAAATGTGCAAGAGACCTAAATAGGCATTTCTCAAAAGAAAACATACAACTGGCCAACAGATGTGTGAAAAATGCTCAGTACCACTAATTATTAGGAAATGTGAAGTAAAACCACAATGAGCTATCATCTCACACCTGTCAGAATGGCTTTTATCAAAAGCATGAAAGATAACAAATGTTGGCAAGGATGTGGAGAAAAGGAAACCCTCATACACTGTTGGTTAAATGTAAATTAGTGCAGACACTATGGAAAACAGTATGGAAGTTCCTCATAAAACTAAAAATAGAATTATCATACGATCCAGCAATCCCATTTCTGGGTACTTACCCAAAAGATAGTCAGTTTCTCTAAGAAATGTCCTGTATTCATTACAGCCTATTCACAATAGCCAAGTTATGGAATCAACCTAAGTGTCCCTCAATGGATGAATGGATAAAGAAAATGTGGCATATATACACAATGAAATATTCAGCCTTTAAAAAGAAAGAAAATCTGTCATTTGCAACATGGGTAGGATTGGAGAACACTATGCTAATGAAATAAGTCAGATACAGAAAGACAAATACCACATGTTCTCACTCGTATGTGGTACGGGGAATGGCCAGATGGTTGAAGGGTACAAAATATCAGACAGAAGGAGTATGTTTTCTTTATTTTTTTGAGTTTCTTTTGCACACTCTGGTGAATATAATTAATAATATTGTATATTTCAAAATTGCTAAGAGTAAATTTCAGACATTCTCATCACAAAAAAATGGTAAGTTTTTTGGGTGATGGACATGTTAACTAGCTTGATTTAATTTTTCCACATAGTATTTATAAATTATTAATATACTTTGTACCCTATAAGTTTATACACTTATAAATTTTTAATTTAAAATAAAAATAAAGAAATCTAGGCCCCTGATATATGTCTTCTATTCCCGGCCATATCTGCTCTCCATTCTACTACCCTTCTTCCTGTTTCAGGACCTAACAGGTAGAGGCTACATAATTAGGCCCTTTGGTCTTGAGGCTTCCAGTTGGATGTAGAACAACAGTGGAAAGACCCAGCAGAAATTCAAAAAGAAAAGGTATAAGATGAGGTGATTCATTTCCCTGGCTCCTTCCTTGTAAACTATCCTATGACTGGTATGTCCATAACCCATGGTCATGGCTCCTCTCAGAGGCCTCCACAAGCCTCTTTCTTTTTCCTCCCCACCTTCAGGCCTAGTGGTAGTAACTACTTCACTGTTTTTACTGTGTTAACACTGCACCCTTGTAAATAGTGCCTTTGTAAAAATTTCTTCAAACCCATTTCCATTCATTACAAGTTAACAACTTAAATTTATATGAAATACATGAGGTGATTCTCAGTTATTTTCATCTTAAATACTTCATCAAGAATTTTAGGACATGAAGAGATCATCTAAATTAAATCTAAATGTTACTTGGTAGGAGAGCTAACCCTAAAACACAAGCCTCCTAAATCCTAATCCAATAGTCTTTCTACTTATGTGCCTGGAAAAAGGCTTATTATTTTCCTAGACAATACCAGTTTTCTGTGGTCAATAGATACTCAAAATCAGAGTTACCTTCAGCCATACTATAGACTTCATCCTCCATTCTTTTCTTTCCTTCCTTTTCCTTTCCTTGTCCTCCCTTTTTCTTTCCAGTGCTCTCTCTCTCTCTCTGCCCTGAGAGAGGAATTAACATTTACTGAATACTCATTATGCAGCAAACACCATGAAACACATAAATAACCTGTGCTAAATGATATCTCGCTTAACACTCCCAACACTCTCACTTAACACTCCCAACAACCGTGAGTTATTAAACCGATTTTACATATTAGGAAACTGAGGCTTAAAGAACTTAAATTTCCAAGGCAGCACAACTAATTATGCAAGAGCATGAGCTTCAAGTCCAATAAGTCTGACTGTAGAGTCTATGGTCTCCCCACGGAGCCCTGACACATCCCGCATCCTGTGGCCCTGTGCTGACCCCTCTTCTCCCTCTCCTGGATGTTTTTGTTTTGTTTGTTGGTTGTTTGGTTCGGTTTTTTTTGTTTGTTTGCTTGCTTTTTGAAACAGAGTCTTGTTCTTTCACCCAGGCTGGAGTGCAGTGACATGATCTCAGCTCACTGCAACCTCAACCTGCCGGGTTCAAGCAATTCTCCTGCCTCAGCCTCCCGAGTAGCTGGAACTACAGGCACACACCACCACACCTGGCTAATTTTTATATTTTTGGTAGAGACAGGGTTTTGCCATGTTGGCAGGTCTGGTCTTAAACTCCTGATCTCAGGTGATCCTCCTGCCTCGGCCTCCCAAAGTGCTGGAATTACAGGCGTGAGCCACTGCTCTGGGCCTCCCCTGGTGTTTAGACCAAAACTTAGCCAACTTATGTTTGATGCCATTAACTGGTAACAATACTAGTTGAATAATCTCTAATAAACTAATTTAGATAAATTAATTACCCATGACTTCTTCAGCTTTTATGTTTTTTAAACGCCTCCTAGAGTCAAAACCTAATGTGGTTTCTGCAGCCGTGGGAACAGTGAAATTGTAATGGATGCAATATATTGGCATCCATTCTTATTAGAGAAGAAAACAGTACCACTAACTTTTGTTGAAAATAATTGCTCAAGAGGGAAGATAAACAGAGCTCTTCTAACACATTCATGTAACTAGAAGTCTATTCATTTGTTCTCAAAGCACTGCTGGAAACTGGTAGAAATAAGCTAGTATATGACAGAATCCAGATTCTGCAAATGCAGGGCCCCAGAACGATGAGCATTGCATTCACAGTGTGGGAGGCTACAGTGGGGAGACAAGGTTTGTGGCCGGCTTTCAAGCCTTTAAGAGGAAGGAGCTGAATTCATAAGGAAGGATTACATCTCACTGCAATCATTTGTATGACTGACTTTCAGTATATTTTGTAATTGTTCTACAGTTTTCTCTCTTTTGTCTTCTGTAAGCTTTGCAATGATGGGAACTATGCCTTATGCATCTTTGCGTTTTCCACAGCTCAGAGTCAATGCCTTATACATAGAAGATGCTCAATAAATGTTTTAACTAAATAAGCACCCTGCCTTTTCAAGTGACTGACTGAATTTAAAGAGCCTACTCCTAAATTTATATACTGTGTTGTGCGTATTTCAGAAGTATATTTTTGAAGATAGGGTGAAAATAAGATTTTACAATAGAATCGGAGGCATAATGGTAGGATTTTGGAAAATAATAATGAAAATAAGTGTCAAAGTTCAACAATTCCTAGGCTTTCATCTAAATGACTTTGACCTCTTTTATAAAGAAGAAACTGAACCTGTAGCTATTATTTTCTTTTTTTCCAAATACTTTTAAAATAAAATGTATTTTGGGGGCACAATACTGTTCTTTATGCATTCAGATGACTTGCATGTTAGACACAAAAGGGTTCCTTGGGCCGCTGTCGGTCTATTGTATATACATGCACATTTCAAGTAGATTTTCAGCACAATAGGGGTTAACAGCAGTCCTCAAAACCACTCACTGTTCGGGGTGCACTGTTTCCTGATTTTTATAGGATTTTGTTTTCTTCTTTTGACATTGTAACTACAATAATACCTCCAATGGTTGATAAATTAGAAAGGAATTCAGAACTAAAATTGTTTATGGTTTGTTTTTCAGGAAAAAATCAATAAAGAGGCAAATTTCAAAGCACAGAGTTAATAATGTCATCTATTAAACAATGTAAGTACCTTCTAAGTCTAATATTTTTACTATCAGTTTGAATAAAAGCAGATGATAGTTTTTAAGCTTAGATTTCTATGACTCAGGCATTTAAAAAGGCAGACTGCACTGTTTTTTACTTTGTTGAGCCCATTGTGTCAAAAATGAGATTTTTTTTTTTGTGGACTCCATAAAATATAGTAAAGTAGGTACAGCAAGATTAGTGAGTTATGCTGAACAAAGCATGGTTCTGATACACCCTTTTGGCCTCTTTGAAGTTAGGAATCAGAACCACTTTCCTACCAACAGTTGGCTACACTCAATGAGATGATGTTCAAACATTGGCTATATGTAAGAGCTCCAATTCATAAAAAGCAATTGAAAATTTGGCCCTAGAAAATGGAAGGGCCAGCCACCCACTCCTTTGCAGCTTGTAGGTCACTGTACCCACTATGATGACTCAGTTGGGTTCCAGATGTCATTTTCTTCTCTCACTGTCTAGAATCACAGCACCCAACTTTTCTTTTTCTGTAACTCTAAATTAGACAGCAGGGAGGCTTTGTCACCCTTATGTCCTAAAGTTAAACTAAATTAGGAGCTAGTACACTTCAAAAACCATTGAATAAAATTTATATATTCCTGTGGTTATCATGATATGAAAGTAATCTTTTAATATTTAGGCTCAGCATGTGAAATATATCAGGTTGGCCTCTCCCTGCACTCTCTCAGTATCAAAGAGGAAGAAGCAGGAAAAGCCAGTATGCCAGTGATCAGCTAGAATTATCCCCTGCATGACACACAAACAATGTCACAGACTCCTGTTGTAATCCTGCCTGCTTGGGGTTGGGAGATGGAGGGAGGACAGGAAGAAGTCATGAAAACTGACTCTCCTCTCAACCTCTACTCTCCATTCAAAAAGCCCACCACATCCAGCGTTTGCCTGGAAGATTAGAAATGTGTCTTTTATTGGGATTCTCTGGTGACACTTCTATGGACTCCAGACATGGCTAATGTTCAGCTCTTGAGCCAGACTGTGGGGCAGACAATTCAAAAACATGTGTCACATGTAATATGTTCATATTTTCTGAATCAAAATTTGAACATACAAGTATGACACATTGGTCTAGCTGTACATGGTCTAGTAAGAGCACAAAATAGAGTATTTTAGTCAATTCTAAGATACACATACTGTGATGATTAATTTTATGTGTCAATCTGATGGGGCAAAGAAATGCCCAGCTAGCTAGAAAAACATCATTTCTAGGTGTGTCTGTGAGGTGTTTCCAGAAGACATTAGCATTTGCATTATTCAAGAACACTGCCTTCACCAGTGTGGGTGGGTGTCATCCAGTCCACTGAGAAAGCAAATAGAACCAAAAGGTGGAAGAAAGGTGAATTTGCTCTTGCTGTTTAAGCTGGGACATCCATCTTTTCCTGCCCTCAGACATCAGTGCTCCTGGTTCTTGGGCCTTCAGATTCAGACCACAACTTACATCTTTGGCTGTTCTGTTTCTCAGGCCTTCAAGTATGAACTGGAACTATATCACCAGCTTTCCTGAGCCTCCAGCTTGCAAAAGGCAGATTGTGGGATTTCTCAGCCTCCACAATCATGTGAGCCAATTCCTTAAAAAAAAAAAAAATCTCTCCCACTGGTTAGCCATATACAGAAATGGAAACTGGAACCCTTCCTTACACCATATACAAAAATCAACTCACAATGGATTAAAGACATAAATGTAAAACCCAAAGCTATAAAAACCCTAGAAGAAAACCTTGACAATACCGTTCAGGACATAGGCATGGGCAAAGATTTCATGATGAAGATGGCAGAAACAATTGCAACAAAGGCAAAAATTGACAAATGGGATCTAATTAAACTTGAAGAGCTTCTGCACAGCAAAAGAAACTATCAACAGAGTAAACAGACAACCTGCAGAATAGGAGGAAATTTTTGCAAACTATGCATCTGACAAAGGTCTAATGCCCAGCATCTCTAAGGAACTTAAACAAATTTACAAGAATAAACAACCGCATTAAAAAGTAGGCAAAGGATATGAACAGACACTTATCAGAAGAAGACATGCATGTGGCCAAGAAACATATGAAAAAAAGCTCAACATCACTTATCGTTAGAGAAATGCACATCAAAACTACAATGAGATACCATCTCATGCCAGTCAGCATGGCTGTTATTAAAAAGCCAAAAAACAACAGGTGCTGGAGAGGTTGTGCAGAAAAGGAATGTTTCTACACTGTTGGTGGAAGTATAAATTAGTACAACCATTATGGAAGACAGTGTGGTGATTCCTCAGTGACCTAGAGGCAGAAACACCATTCAACCCAGCAATCTCATTACTGGGTATATACCCATAAGAATATAAACTGTTCTATTATAAAGACACATGCACATGTGTGTTAACTGCAGAACTATTCACAATAGCAAAGACATGGAATCAACCTAAATGCCCATCAATGATAGACTAGATAAAGAAAATGTGGGACATATACACCATAGAATACTATGCAGCCATAAAAAAGAATGAGATCACGTTCTTTGCAGGGCATGGCTGGTGCTGGAAGCCATTATCTTTAGCAAACTAACACAGGAACAGAAAACCAAATACCACATGTTCTCACTTATAGGTGGGAGCTAAATGATGGAACGCATGGACACATGGAGGGGAACAACACACACTGGGGTCTGTCAGAGGGTGGAGGGGTGGGAAGAGGGAGAGGATCAGGAAGAATGGCTGATGGATGCTAGGCTTAATACCTGGGTGATGGGATGATCTGTGCCGAAAGCCACCATGGCACACATTTACCTATGTAACAAACCTGCACATCACGCACATGTACCCCTGAACATAAAAGTTGGAAATTTAAAAATTAATTAACTTAATTAAATAAAATTGTAATTGCACAATATTTTTTAAAAAAAAAAACTCTCCCTATGTATCTAATAGGAAGAAGTGGGAAGAGCCAGTATGCCAGTGTTCAGCATATTGGTTGTGCTTCTCTGGAGAGCCTTGGCCAATACACATAATCATTGTAATATAACAGAAATAAGTATATGTCTTATGATCAATAGCATGTCTGTTAAACTGGTGGTATTTTTTTCTTTATTAGTAGCACAAAAAATAATGGTGTATCTTACAATCGATGTCATCTTAGATTCAATAAAATATTTTTGACCCCAGAAATATCTCAGAAAATCCAGGAAAAGTGATTTGTTTTTCTGTCACATTCAGTATATGTTGCCTTTATTGCCAAACCTTGCCATTTCTCTAATAACAAACTGGATTTCAGAGGAAAGGTGAGATGGTCGGTTTTATGTGTCAAATTGGCTAGGCTTCAGTCCCCACTTATTCAATCGAACACTAATCTAGATATCACTGTGAAGTTATTTTGTAGATATGGTTCAATCTGTAATCAGTTGATTTTAAGTAAAAGAGATTATCCTCTACCATCTGGATGGGCCTGATCTAATCAGTTGAAAGGCTTTAAGAGCAGAATTGAGGTTTCCCTGAGGAAGAAAAAATTCTGCAGCATAAGCTCTTGCCACAGATTTTCCAGCCAGCCCATCCTGACAGTCTGCCCTAAGGACTTTGGACTTGCCTAGACAGGCCCCCAAGTCACATTAACCAATGTTGTGGCAATAAAACTCTTCATATACATCTTACAGTTCTATTTCTCTGTTAGAACTCTGAGTGATACACAGAGTCAATGGTATTCATTTCTCATTCTAATATTTTCTCTTTATTGTATTTATTTGAAAAGGTGATATATTCCCATGTTCTTTATATTTATGTAGGAATACAATGAAAAGATTTATTTCTACTCTCTTCCCCATTCTCCCAGCTCCTAATCCACCACCACCTGTCATAGGTAACCGCTAGAATTACTTCCTTGTAATTCCAAAGTTCCTTTGTGCATAAGCAACTCAACACAGATATATATTCTTTCTCCCAATTTACAAAACAGAAGAAAAGGTAGCCTACTATGTACAATGATCTGCACTCAGCTTTTTCCTGACTCTTTCTTAAGAGTTTTTCATTTCATTATACAAAGAGCTTCTTCTTGCTTTTTTCTCAGCTCTATTTCCTATCCATACCGTGATTTATTTAACCAGTCACCTGCTGGCAGACATTTGGCTTATTTCAACACTTTTGCTATTACCCACAAGTGAAATCCTTTAAAATCATTTAAATAGATAGATAGATAGATAGATAGATAGATAGATAGATAGATAGATAGAAAACATGTTATATATGATGAGTCATGTATAAAAATCATTATGTACTTTGAGCAAGAATATGCATAGAAGAAAATACAGGTAGAATGACTCAAAGGGGCACAAGGCATATGCATTTGTGATTGTGAGAGATCTTCCTAAACTTCCCAGTATCAACTGAATAAAGTATTTGTTTGGAGAATGCTTGCCTCAATGCAAATGTGCTAATGAACTTTGGAATATGTATCAATTCAGTAAATTACAAAACTTTCAGTGGATGTATAATTTGCATCTCACTGAATATGAATGGCATAGACCATCTTTTTAAAATATTTATGTCATTTTTATTTCATTTTATAATCCCCATTCACATCTTTTGACTATTTTTCTATTGAATTGGTCTTTTTATATCATACAGGAGTTCTTACATATTCGAGAAATCAGTCTTTTATCTGTGAAATGGAATACTAATATTTTCCCCAATTTTTTATTTGTCTTTTAACTCTCCCAGTAGACATCCCCCTAGAAAATGTCTTTATTTTTATGTATTTAGATTTATCAATCTTTTCTTTTACACCTCCAGATTTTGCATCATAGTTACAATGCCCTTCTCCACACCGAGGTTCTAAAGGCATTCATCATCCTTCATTACTTTTCAGATGGCTGACCAATTGTTCCAACATCGTTTATAATAAGGCTACTTTTCCCTACTTATTTGAGATTCCTTTATCATATACTAAATTTCTATATGTCTCGCTCTAGTGTGTTCCATTGCTTTATATGTCTGTGAACCAGTACCACATATTTTACTTATTAAAGGTTTATAATACATTTTCACATCTCCAGGGATTAATTCTTCTTTGTCTTTCTTTAACACTACCATTGCCCTTCTTTTTCAAGATTTTCTTAGCTATTTTATTTAGTTCTGCACAAGTACTTCAAAGCCAATGTGCCCCTCTTCAACCCACCCTGTCCCCTGTCCCACAAAATATTATCATGCTGGCTTGGCTTATCACAGTCCTAAAATTCTATCATCAGATAAAATGAATCAGAAAGCCATAGGCATCAGATAGTGCTACCACTTTGTGCTATGAACTGAGACAGCCACTACACCTCTGGGTCTCGGTTGTGACAGAATGGGAACGAAGATAAGAAGTTTTACATAGATGTTCTCTAAGATTCTTTCCAGTTCTAAGGTTTCCTGGTTCAGTGTTAAACCTCATATTTGGGGTTTTCTTTAGCACTGTGTCCATTTCTCCTAAAAATACTTCCTTTGTGATTATGTTACAAACAACTGGAATTTTTTTTCATCATATACCATAATTTGCAGTAACAGAGAAGAGTAAAATCACTTGCTTCTCCTACAGATCAAATTTGAAACAACAGAACTTTTGCTAAGCCACATTTTCAAACCATTTACCTGTCTAAGTGCAACATAGTATAAGCAAAGAATCTGGCATATGGAAAATGCCAACAAAAAATGAAAATTTGGGTTTGTTGTTTTTTGAAAAGGTCTACTTCTATTTTTTTTGTTGTTGTTTTTTTTCCTTTTTCCCATGTCTGTAAATTGTTGGCTGACCAAATTTTGTGAGATCAAAGCCTCTGGATGCAGTTTTCTCACACATGACTGAGAGGCTGCTGGGCACATTGATTACACATCACCGCTGAGTAACTGGGACAATACTCCACTCTAAATTGCATGTCGTGGACGAGGATGAAATAAATGAACCAATAACAATTTAGTTGGTTTCATTGCTCAGGAAAGCATATTATTAAAAACATCTTGCCAACAGGTTGGCATAATACAATTTGTACCACCAAAACACACTGTGATTAAATGTTTGGTGGCTTCTGATCAGCCATCTAAATATCTATGAACTAAAAAGCTGGAAAAAAAAGGCTCCTCTGGCAACCTCCATTCTGTTCATCACTGCTTCGTTGACACATTTTCCTTCTCCATTTTCCTCAATGGTTATGTGTTAGCTGGACTCTGTGAGAAAATGGAGTATAAAGCACAAAACCGAAAAGAATAGTTTATTTTCAGTGTAGTATTTTTATGCTTTCTGCAGACTAGTGCCTTACATATGCAGTATGCCTCCCGCACAGAAAATGAAGCATTCTTACAGTGATTGACCTACACGGAAATCTCATCTCAGCTTTAAAAATTTCTGTACAAAAATGTGAAGCTAAGATAGAAGGATCTGCATTTATTTCAGGAAGTCAGAAGTTACTTGGGCACTAATCCTAATGGGAGCTGCATACAAATCCCTGGACATCAAAATACCCTTGACTGGGTTGACTTTTAATTTAGGAATTTACTAGAGCCTGCAACTATACTGCTGGAGTGTGTGATAGTGTCAGATCCTATAAATGAAGCATGGAGGACTTGGTTAGCCGCCTGGGTTGAATGCCAAAGAATGCCCTGGGGATGTGGTAATTCAGTACTCGAGGTAGCCTTGGTTGCTGCAAGCCAATACTAAATCAGTGCCCCATAATGGTGTTAGAAGCACTGCGGTGCAGCCTCAGATTTTTGCTATCCGCTCCCTCACACTTATTTACAAAGCTCTTTTCTCTGGCAATATGCAGGGTAACTGCAAGGACAATAAGTTATAGCTGTCACATCCAATTTCCCTGCAAGCAGGGACCGCCTGGCACCTCACCATCAGCCAAGTTTTCCTTGTTGGAAACCTTTCCTTGTTTCCCCCTTCCTGGTTGGTAAATAAGGCTGGAAAGAAAATGGATGACCTGGGAGAGGAGAGAAGTAGAGCTAACTCTTCCAACACTTCAGTTCCAATGGACATATGGGAGGAATAACTAGAGGAATGAATAATAGACTATGGCCAACTCTTATTACTCTTCACCTTTCCCCAGGATTCTTCTGAGTGATGAGAATGCCTAGGAGTGCCACCTTGCCAATATCTGGCATCCCACTGCTCTGCTGCTAGAAGTTGGGGGCTGGGGAATTATTTCAGGCAGAAAATTTAATCAATTGTTGTCAATAGGTGGAGGTGATAAGATGCTCAGGAACTAAAAGAACATCACCACCACCACGATCATTAACATTTTCATCACGTTCATATGCTGCACATCACACATGGAGCATTTCCACTATTCTATGCACTAAGCAGCCTCACAACAAAACCATACCTGAGAGGTGTTTTTTCCACTTTGACAGAAGAACTGAGGCTGCAAGAGTTGAAGTTACTTGCCTGAGGTTGCTCAGTCACAAGCAGGAGAGCCTGCACCCTTCTGACACCAGAGCACAGGAAATGGGGTGGTAAAATTAGACACTTCTCAGCTGTGGCCAAGTTCCCCAAAGATCAAGAACCACGTAAGGGCCAAGTACCACCCAAAACCTAAAGTGGGGTTCCTCAGCATCAAGGCAGAGCATATCAAGATAGCAACAAACCAGTTCTGTCCGAGTTAGCCTCTCATACCTCAAGAGTTTAGAGCAAATGCTTTCTTTAGAGAGAGCTGTTAGGCTATCATGGCGTTGTTCCTCTCCCTTCCTTAGGAGTGAGGAGCAGGGTGAATCCCTGCTACCTTAAATGTCATGGGGACACTAGAAAAGTGTGGCATGTATCCCCTCCTTTTTTTTAAGAAAGCATGCTTACATTTGCCTTAATCTTTTTTTTATTTGTATAAATTTAAGGGGCACAAGTGCAGTTCTGTTGCATAGATATATTGCATAGTAGTGAAGTCTGGGCTTTTAGTGGAACTATCACCCAAATAATGAATATTGTGCCCAGTCTGTAATTTCTCTTCCCTTACCCTCCTCCTATGCTCTCCCCTTTTGGGGTCTCTGTTGTCTATTATTCCACAAGGTGTGTCCTTGTGTACACATTATTTAGCACCCACTTATAAGTGAGAACATGCGGTATTTGTCTTTCTGTTATTTCACTTAAGATAATGGCCTCCACTTCCATCTATGTTGCTGCAAAAAAAACATGTTTCCATTCCTTCTAATGGCTGAGTTTTATATATACATATATATATATATATATATATATGTATATTACACTTATACCACATTTCCTTTACCTAACCCAATCATCTGTTGATGGACACTTATGTTGATTCCATATCTTTGCTATTGTGAATTGTGCTGCTGTAAACACGTGAGTGCAGGTATCTTTTTGATATAATTTTTTTCTTTTCCTTTGGGTAGATACCTAATAGTTCAACTTTGAAAAATAAAAACTGGCAATTTATTCCTATCAGGAAAAACTAAAAGAAAAAAATAGCAGTTTGGAGAGAAGGCACTGCATCGGGAGTGAACAGCTCCACTATTGATGTAGAAAGTGGGTCGTTTTTTCAGGATACTCTATGTGGACTCTGCTGTTGCAGGGAGCAGACCTGTGGTCATTTTTAAAGGATTTGCCTCTGGATGCCTGGAAGGACAAAGGTTTCAACAGTAGAAAGGGTCTGTGCATTGCAGCATACCAGAATCCAGTGGTGGAGGGAGCCCACTATTTCCAGGCATACTCACATCCTGGGAGCTGCAGGAAGAGAGCCACAACAGGAAGAGAGAAAGAGCCAGCAATAGCACAGGAACAAAATCCAAAGGGAAACAAACCCAGGTTGCAGCTGCACGAGCCACACAGAATTGACCCTTTCCTCCTGATCTGTTCTCTGGCTGGGCCAGCCCTGGAGAGGTCAAGGACAATCGCTTTCCATGGGAAGGACGTTCATCACCAGGAGCAAGAAGCTGGCCACCGCCACTCCTCCCACTGCAGGCCTCCAAGCCTAAAGCAGAATTGAGCTCTGAAGGATCAAGTTGAAATACACTGGCAGATTTCACCCAGCACTGGACAGCAATTATGTGATTAGACCAAACTGAGATTTTTTTCTATGGGTACATAGTAGGTGTACATATTTATGGGGTATGTAAGATATTTTGATACAGACATATAATGTGTAATGATCACATCAGGGTAAATGAGGTACCCATCACTTCATGCATTTATCCATTTCCTGTGTTACAAACATTCCAATTATACTCTTTTAGTTATTTTTAAATGTACAGTAAGTTATTGTTGACTGTTGTCACCCTGTCACCCTATCAAATACTAGATCTTATTCATTCTATCTAACCACATTTTTGTACCTGTGAACCATCCCCACATCTACCTCTCCCACGACCCTTAAATGGAATTTTAATGCTAAAACAAGGAGATTATTGATTTATTTAAAAGTAGCTAAAAACTCTGAAACCTGCTGGAAACATCATGCAGGAACCAGGAACAGGGAATAGTCCCTGAGCCTGTATAACACGTATTTCTAAAATAAATAGTTACTTTATGCTTGCCCTTTCTGAGGCAAGTTCATTTAGTAGATAGCATAGTTAAGAGTTCCACAGTGTCATGTATGCTGTGAACTACTTTTCCTACAATCCCCTCCCCTAACCTTGCCCATAGCTACCTGGCAATCCCACCCCACCCTACCTCCACAGGCCAGGAATGAGAAACTCTCAGTTATGCACACCCAATGAATATGTCATCCGGTATATTGTGTTCAGGATCACAAAACTCGTGCATTTCTTGATCCTGCCCTAGTCATACCTTTTTACTTCCTACATTTTAAACCAGTTTTTTGGTGCCTCACAGTTGCAAGTCCTGTGACTACTTCAGAAGATGCCAGAAGAATTCATTAGGGCTGAGTGCTTTGAGATCCCCCAAGCAATTACCTCCTAAGTACTACTCATACAGGCAATCGGGGACTGCAATGGGAAGCAATTTGTCCATCAGAAGCACTCACACAGATGGCGTCTCTGTTAGCAGCAGGAGGGCAACCTGAGAACGTAGCGGGATGGCAAAGTAAATGCACCTCGACACGAAGTTACATATGTATTTCATGGAGACTTCAGTTTTTATTTTATATTTTTTACACACTATAAGTTTATAGGTTCAACATTTTTAATGCTTTTTAATTTCTAAAAATTGTCACTATAGGAGTATAACTTGCCTTCTAATTTGAAGATAAAACTTATGAAGCTTCTTTTTTTGTTTGTTTTTGTAAAGACGGGATGTCCCTATGTTGCCCAGGCTGTTCTCAAACTCCTGACCTCAAGTGAGTCTTCCACCTCAGCCTCCCAAAGTGCTGAGATTACAGGTGTGTCCCACTGGGCACAGCCTGAAGATAAAACTTCTAATGATCTAAAAAAGTTAATAATATTTAATATACAGTTGTACTTACTATATACTGTTAAGTGAGAAGAAAAGGTACAAAACCGTACATGGGACATGTATATGTAATACAATCTAGCCATACCCCAGCTAGGGGTTCTCAAACATGTTGAATTCAGGTATCTCCAGAGTGCATGTGACCCACAAGCCCAGGAAACACCCAGGGTCCTCTGCTGAGTTTCTACATCCTGGAGCAGACATTGTCAATGCCCTACCGTGTCTCATCAAGTCTTACAACTGCAGGCTACATTGCTTGACTACCAAGTACCTTAGGACTTTCTCTGGCATCCAGAGTCTTCTCTGCCTGCACCTACAGCAGGCTAGGACTGCACAGCAGGTAAAACCTGCCATGCCTACCAGTCTTCAAACAATGACTTACCAGCATTGTTGTATAAATATTCCAACTTTCTTGCTCCTTCAGTAAGATAACTCTGAGATACTTATTCTGTACCTACTCCTTGTATCCCCCCAAGAATTAAATTTCAGTTACCCACAAAGTTGTCTTGATAACTCAACCTTTATTGGAGTTGCCTAAAATCCCATCAACTAGTCACACCAAGTCTTTGTTTTGGGGCGCTTCTGTGGAAACCCCTACTGAGACAGTTGGCAGCTGAAATGGTTCTAGGAAGTAGATCTTGTAATGGATTCTGGAATTAGAAATTGTGGAGACTGACAGCTTGTGGTTAGCTGTGGCATCATAATTACAAAGACCCTCAACTATTATATATTAGGGTCAGACTAAGGTGAAAAGGGACACACTAGTTTATGCAGTACCAGTAGAGTTTGGGAGATATTATAAGAACTGTGAAATCTTTGATTAGTTGGTGTCATTAAATGCCATTGATGCACTAAAGGAAAAACACTGAGGCTCAGGTCATCCAATCAGAAGACAATGTGAAAACTGAAAGGAAAGCCTCTATAATAACATTTAGAGACTCAAATCCTGCAGCTAAAAGGTCAACTGCTGAATATTAAGCCCAGATCCTGAAAGCAAGATTAGCAATTATAATAAAATTCTGAATTCGGAATCCCTGTAAGTCAAGGAAAGTCCTCTGATAGAAAAGGAATGGGATTCAGAAAACTGGGAAGTGGACACATGGTTAGATGCACTTGAAACATGAGTCCCCAGGATCCCCTAAACCCTCTAGGCCAGCAGAAGTCATCCAACTCCCCTGCCTTCTCTTGTCTATAGATCATGCAAAATCCTCACCTGTAACAGATGTTTCATCCAGAGCAGATAATTCTTGCCTCAAGAATTGCCCCCACTTCTCCTGATTGCTTCCAGGCCAATAACTAGGGCTAAGTCTTAGCATAGCCTGCTATGTAGGACCTGCCTACTAAATAATGGGAAAAACTAGGAGAACATGCCTGGGAACAAATCTTGAGGGTACTGAACAAAAGGAGGTACAATATAATGTTGTACCTGACTCAATTTGACTCAGAATTGAGCATCCTGGAAAAGACACCTGGAATTGGTCCTAACTCTTGCTAGAATAATTCCTTGAAGCTAGGAAAAAAAGATAGTCCTACAGTAAAAGAGATGTGATACCAGAACTACCTTGGCAGAAGATTGAGGAAAGAGTCAAGGCTCAGAAGCTGAACATGCTAGAATGTATGCATTATATAACATCAGAGAACCAACCAGCTGTGGTTCACCTTTATGTCCCTCAGGAGGTCAGAGGACACTCCCTTCACTAAACAAATAATGAGTGAGCCAGTGACAGGTACATGGGCATTATTGAAAAGTTCAGTGCTGGCTGTTCTCTGTATGCTAGAATTGATGGTAATAATGATGCTACGCACCTGGGCTCCCTGGTATTAATGGGCATGATAGGATCTGGAATTGCAACAGCCAGATGGCAATATTTAATCATCAGAGGCAAGGTAGATGTAATAACTGCAACAACAACAAGGCTAAAATGGCATCAGAGAACCCCAACTCACAAAGGTCTGTGGCAATGGCTAAAAGATCATTGTGTTCCTTTGAGTGACATAGTTTCTAGACCTGAGCTGATTCTCAGACCCAAAGTCCACTGATGGAAGAAGATTCTCAACCCCCCTGAGGAAGGACACTGTGACACTATCGCAAGTGTAAAGACTAACAATTTTCCCAGTTCATCTCCAAGGAGACCCATGGATATTTGATAGAATAAAGACAATGCCCAGACTATGTAAGTACTGTTGGCTGCATGGTCTTTGCTGATACTATTAGGAGATTCAAAGCACCATCATAGCCCAACTATTAGGAGGAAAGTCTACAGAGGCAAGGTAGCAAATGGAGGTCGAGACCAAGACCTTACTACGGGCCATGAACCCTCTTGTGGTCATTTTCTGAATCTTTGAGTGCATAGTTAGCATCAATGCACTTAGCATTTATCCTCACCTTTGTTCTCTAACCCATGAAATAAGAGCCATAATGGTAAGAAAGGCAACTTGTATCCTTCTAATCTACCCCTTCCCCATACAACACTGTAAGTCAAAGTAATACTACTTCCTGGGAGGAATGGGAGTTTGGTGTCACCCTCAATGTCTTAAGGAATGCAAGATGGTTGGTTGGTCCCCAATAAATTCCTCTTTACTCTACCAGTCTAGTCCCTACAAAACCCATATGGGTCATAGGAAATGATAGTGGATTTCAGTAAACTTAACTAAATGGTAGCCTTAGTCATTGCAGCTGTGCAGGATGTGGTATCTTTAATTAAGATACCCTATTAAGAAATTAACAGTCTCTGGAATATAGTATGTAGCTATTCATTTGCAAAAGTTCTTCTCAATCTCCCACCAGAAGCAGCTTATGTTCACTTGGGTTAGACAGCAGCACACATTCACGGCCTTGCCCCAGGACTTTGTTAATGCCCCTGCTTCCTGTACTAATAAAGACCAAAAGGATATTGATACATCTGAGCATTGTATAGAACATCATGTTAATCCACTGTATTGCTGATATTATGTTAAATGAACCTGGGGAGAAGGAAGTGGTGAGTCCTCTGGATACCCTGATAGGACAGGGGCATTAGAAGGCAGATTCAGTGGCCTGGCACACTGGCAAATATTTCAGGGGTTTAGAAGTCTGGGGCATTGTATGAGTTTGTTTTCATGCTGCTGATAAAGACATACCTGAGACTGGGAAGAAAAAGACGTTTAATTGGACTTATAGTTCCACATGACTGAGGAGGCCTCAGAATCATGGCAGGAGGTGAAAGGCACTTCTTACATGGTGGCGGCAAGAGAAAAACGAGGAAGATGCAAAAGCGGAAACCCCTGATAAACCCATTAGATCTCGTGAGACTTCTTCACTACCGTGAGAACAGTATGGGGGCCACTGCCAGCATGATTCAAATTATCTCCCACCAGGCCCCTCCCACAACACAGGGGAATTATGGGAGTATAATTCAAGATGAGATTTGGGTGGGGACACAACCAAACCATATCAGGCATGCTGAGACATTTCTCTACATACACACCCAAGATGAAAGATAATTGCTGTGCTTTCACTACCATTATTAGGGAAGAGCCACAACATTTGGTAAGTTCCTTTGGATTTTGGAGACAATACAAACCATACTTGGGAATATGACCCCAATATGTTTATCAGATGACTTGGAAAACTGCCATTCTCAACTGAAGCCCAGGACAAAAGACAACTCTGCAAAAGGTTCAGACTGGTACTAGCAGCCTTGCCACGTGGAACATATTACCTGGCAGATCCCATAGAGCTGTATTTTATGGTAGGTTCTCTGGAAAGCTCTCGAAAGATTCACAATGCTAACATCTTGGATTCCGGAGCTAGGCAGAAGAACTTCACAGCACAGAACTATTCGCTCTTCAAAAAGTAGTGTCTAGCATGTTTCTGGGCTTTTGTAGAGACTGAGTACCTAACCATTGGTATCAAATAGCTAAAAGATGCCTATCATGAGCTATGTATTGTCTAACTCTCCAAATCACAAGTTCTGCTGGGCATATTAGCAACCTATCATACAAAGGAAATGGTACACTCCAGATTGGGTGATGCTAATCCGGAAGTCATAATCAAGTTATATGAAGAGGTAGGTCAGACCTCTGCCATGAATCTTTGTTTCCCCCAGTAATCTCTTTGTCCAGTCCACTCATCTGGTACTTCCCAGGAATCAAGCCCTCTCCTTTCTTGGACAAACCTTTCTGTCACCTCTCATCTTACCAGATACTCTTCTGTGACTCTTCCTCACTTCTCCCCCATTACTCCACACCACACACTCCCCAACCCATCCTACTTTTGCCTGGCTTCCTCCCGTGGCACTCCATGCCTTCCTAAAAATTACCCTTCTCTTACTCTTTTACTCTTACTCTTTTATAATAAACTGTGAAGTCCCATAAGTCCATAATCCATAACTTTGGCAATTTCATTAAATAACTTTCCTTTTCTTGAGTGCAAGGAAAGTTTCATCCTCAACCCTTTCCAGAAGATAAGAAGAAATATTTGTGTACTATCTTTCACTAGTAGCAAAGCAAAGGAAAAATAGAGACACTCTAGGCCAGGCGCAGTGGCTCACACCTGTAATCCCAGCAATTTGGGAGGCTGAGGCGGGCGGATCACGAGGTCAGGAGATCGAGAACAGCCTGGCCAACATGGTGAAACCCCCATCTCTACTAAATACAAAAAATTAGCTGGGCGTGGTGGTGCGTGCCTGTAGTCCCAGCTACTATGGCGGCTGAGGCAGGAGAATGGCATGAACCCGGGAGGTGGAGGTTGCAGTGAGCCAAGATCACGCCACTGCACTCCAGCCTGGTGAAAGAGCAAGACTCCATCTCAAAAAAAAAAAAAAAGAAAAAGAAAATACAAAGAAAAAAAGATAGAGCCACTCTAAATGGTCACATTTTGTTTCATATGTGAAAACAAAACACACAAAAACATTAATAGGTTTTATTTCTTCTTGGTAAAATTATGGGGGTGTTGATTGTCTTTATTCTATATTCTATGTTTTCCCAAACTTCTAAAAGACACCACACATACAAACTTAAGAAAATACAACTGTGTACCTCATTTTAGAATCCATAGATTATAAAGCAGTCCTAGGACTCTAAATCTGTTTTTTCTAATGTTTTGCCTATATAAAAGAGCAAAGAACTAATAGGCCTTACTCACTTGATTTTTCATTTATTTTCCAATGATAGTCTTTCAGATTTAAAATACGTCACACAAGTAAAAATGAGTCAAACTCTGTGAATTAGAATACCACTTACTTATTTACACCAATAATAAAACTCCGAATCATTTCTTTCATGTGTATATACCTACAAACAGAAAGATCTGTCTAATTTAATGAATATTGAATCTATTCATAATAAAAAAAACTTTACTAACCTGGCAGCTATAAAAACAACTCCAGCATCAGTTAAGTTTAAAAATAAACTGTATGACAGCTGATTCTGTCCAAGAATGAAAGACCCTATAGTAGGCCACCATTAAGCCCTGCAAATTTGTTCTTTTATGAAATTTCTTATAAAATAGCTAAAGATCATCTGGTCTGAGACGGGTAATAAAAGGATAGCTACTATGCTTCCAGACAGCCAAGGGAATCTTTCCAAGCTGCTTCTTCCACTCCTTAAAAGCACAGTGGAAAATAACTCTGAGGCACAAGATGAGCTTCTGTTAAATCCCATCCACTTAAACCCTAGGTATAAGAAAAGAACTAGAAGAGGGCAAGTAAAATTTGAAAACTTTTCACTATATTCTGGATTAAGTTCTTTTCTTAGAGCTGTCTGGAGCCATTTAACAAAGTACGTAGGGAGACGAAAATTCACAATAATATGTTCAGTACTACAAAATTAAATTTAGCACAAGTTAATTTGTCACAGCTCACAGTCCCTAAGAAAGACTATTTGAGCAACAACAACAATAAGCCATTTCTGGAATAAACCAATCATCACATATCACGTATTAGGTTAACTCATATGAAATTGCCTATGTTTGATCATTTTTTACAAAACAAATTTTTGTGGTTCAACCTAACATTTTCTCTCATAGTTGCACAACTTCAAAACACTTAGAAATGTAATCTTTGGTCATAATGTTGATCTGAAAAACTGTGCGGAGAAATGGTCACAATACTTTATGATCTCATCTCCCTAAGCATGTTAAGCTGGCAGGGGAAGAAGGACTCAGCAGAAGTTAACACTCCATTTTCAATTAAAGTTCAGTTCCACATGGTCAAAGACCTAAGTCCTTATCTGAGTAATTCACATAATATAGATAATTACTCAGAAAAATTGAGTTTAAAATGCTTTATTTTCCCCAAAAACTACTTGCATTAACTATTCCTATTGTTCTCAAGCTGATGTCCTTGGTCCAGAGCATCATACCTGGACAGGAATAGGAGGAGAAATTATTCTCTTTAGGAAATTTTCCAATGGTGTTGCCTTCAAAACAATTTTTCAAGTAATAAGTTAACATAATCGTTGTTGAAATGATGATGCAAAGATATTTAAGAGAGAAAAGGTACTGGATAAGGTATTGGAACACATACCTTTTGCTTGCCCTATCAACCGGTGACAAACAATCCCAAGACCAACTACCATCTGCCCAGCTACTCCCAGAATTTCTCCTTCTGGTATCAGAATGCAATTTCCCCCTCCGCCTTACCCTTTTAAAGGAAAACTGTAATGTGGATCCTTAAACTCAGAAGACCCCTTAGGAGTATTTTAAGGAGGTTATCATTTATTTCTCCTTTTTTTTAATACTCTCTTCTCTTGAAAAACTTGACTCCTACCTCTCTGGATCTCTTCAAATTCTCAGACGAGCTTCTCTTTATCTGTTCAGCCTCTTAGTTTGGGGATTCCTCAGAGCTTGGTCTTGGGCCTGCCTCTCTTTCTCATCTTTCTCCAGGTATGTAATGCCACCATACATAACATCTATGTGGTGACAATTTACAAATTTACATCTCTAGCCAACATCTCTTTTCTCAGATCCAAATCCACACATCCAACTGACTACTTGACATTTCCACTTGGATCTGTCTTCCTCACAAGTAAAAATTAGAAGCTGAACTCCTAATTTTTCTCCCCAAAACTCATTCTTATTCTATATTCTTCATCTCAGTAAATGGCACCTCAATCTCACCAGCTGCCAAAATCAGAAATTTAAAAGTCATCTGCGACAATTCCCCTTCCTAAACCTACCACAACCATTACTTTCTTGGCATTTCAGCATACAATACACATCTCAAATTCATTCACCTCTTTCAGTATCCACTGCCATTTCTAGCCATCATCTCTCACCTGTACTACTGCAATAGTAACACCTACAAATCTGTTCTTCACAAAGCTGAAAACAGAAAATATCTCAAAGTACAAACCAGGTAAGGTAAATGCCAAAAGTAAAACCTTTTGAAAGCTCTCAGGATATAATCTAAGACCCTGCATGATTTGAATCTGGTCTCCACCTACCTCTCCAGCCACTCCTCTGCTGTTCTTGGTCCAATTCTACCACACTGGGCATCTGAGCTGCTATTGCATTACCTCCAGTACCTCCGCTGCGATTCTGCCTAGCTAAACCCCTAGGTTTCCGCTTAAAAGTCACTTCCAGTCCGGGCGCGGTGGCTCGCGTCTCTAATCCCAGCACTTTGGGAGGCCAAGGCGGGCGGATCACGAGATCAGGAAATCGAGACCATCCTGGCTAACACAGTGAAACCCTATCTTTACTAAAAATACAAAAAATTAGCCGGGCATGGTGGCGGGCGCCTGTACTCCCAGCTGCTCGGGAGGCTGAGGCAGGAGAATGGCGTGAACCCGGGAGGCGGAGCTTGCAGTGAGCCGAGATCAGGCCACTGTACTCCAGCCTGGGAGACAAAAAAAAAAAAAAAAAAAAAAAGTCACTTCCATAAATAACGATTTTTCCCGATCCTCCAGACTCAATTGGGCTCCCCCTATTATCCTTCCTTGTAGTAACCTACACTTGTCCTTTAAAGGGCTTATCACAATTTAATTTATACTTGGATGTCTTTAGTGCCTTTCTCTCCACTAATCTATAAACACCATGAGGGCAGACATCTATTTTGTCCATGAATATAGCCAGAGTCTAGCAGCATGCATAAAACATAACTACGGTTTGATAAATACGTAGGGAATCTCAATCAGCTCTTGACATCAGTAATATATTTTCAGGCACAATACCCACGTTAGAAAATGAAAACATCAAATTTCTTGTCTTTTGCTGGAATTGTGTCAATTCAGCTTGATGTCATAGTTTACCTCATGCTGATCAGAAGCTTTGCTTGGCCTTTCGTAATGAGCTTTTAAAGGGAAAATATATGTTTATCATCATAATTTATCATAAACGCAATTTGAGAAATAAATATATTTCAAAAGTCTACTAGGAACAGTGACAAGTGGGGATCCTGGCAACTGAAGTTGAGAATTGACTTGCAGTTTAAGATGGTAGATTGAACACGTAAACATTTACAGCCCCTCCCTCCAAAGATCTCATTGAAATGACAATAGTGTAAAACAAAGAAGAAAATAAATTCATAGCAGCCCCAAGAGGAAGGAGTGATCATTTAGCAGACTGAGAGTTTGAATGATTTCTAGAAAATAGAAAGCAGGTGGAATTGTGCAGATGGAAAGTGGGGAGTGGGGCAGGCTGCAGTCAAGAACAAGCAGAGGAGAAGGCTGCAGGGGAGGAAGAAGCCATTCTTTCCAGCACAGCTCAAGCAAAACTCCAAACTCAGAATCAGAGTGGGAAACAGGCAGAAATCAGGTGATCAATCAGAGGACTGTCTGCAGAGCAGATGCACAGTCAACCCACCCCCACCCACCCACCTACATGCCCACATGGGCAAAGTGACTGGCAGCAGGAGCATTTTCCCCCAGCCTAAAATCAGAGAAATGCTCTCTAAACAAACTGAACAATACGCCCAGGAATGTCAGAGTTCCTAGCATGAATGTGCACACCACAGAATTAAGTGCTTCTTCTTTAGTAAGGAGGGAGAGGGGCCAGCTTGACCATATCCTCCATGCTCACACATTCCCAGCTGTGTATGTGCACCCACATTCTGTGCACTCACAGTCTGCCTTACAATTTAGGGGAAAATCTTTGGGGATACAACCCTACACAACATAGCAGCTACCAAGATTCCTCAATCAAGTCCTTTATATTGCTTATCATATGTAAAGCACAAGTTACATGGTATTATAATGAGTGCCATATAAATATTTCTGGAATCAGAAAATTATTGAAAGATAAATGCTTCAAAGAACCTGTTGCCTAGTAAAAGACTTATAGTCATCATTCTCCTGAAACTTTGTCTTGCAGTTTTCAAAACGTGGCATTTGCATTTTACTACCTGAATCTTCCCACAGTTTCAGGGACATTACTTTCTCTTCTTTCTCTCCCCCTCTTCTCTGATTCTTTTTCATTTTATTTTCTGGTTTCACTTGTTTCTTTACATCAACTATGGAAATTCCTCTGAAGCTACATATGGTTACATATGGTTATTCTCTCTCTCTCTCTGTCTTTCTCTCTCTCTCTTCATTCTTTAGCACTTTCATTTTTTCACTTTCCTGAGCTCCTCTCTTGAGCCCCACCACCTGCCATGTGTCTCACCATCTCATTGTAATACCTTCTTCTTATAGTCACTTACATGAGACTTTCAATCACTTCTAATAAACTTCTCTCCTTCATTTTCTATATCCAGCTGCCAATCTCTCAGGCCTGTCAATACATCATGGAAGTACCGTATTATTTAAATTTGGCCTCATTCCACAAAAATATTTGAGTGGCATATAGAAAGCACATATAATAAAAAAGTTCACTGTAGACTTAAAAATCAGAACTACAGAAAATACGTTAGAATGCAAACACAATATCAGGAAGGAATAAAACACAGATATGTAGACTATAAAATCATATACAGTGGTTCTACTTTAGTAAAAATTTGGTTTTGAACAATCAGAGAGAGCAAATAAAATGTAAGACATAGATTCCATTGTTGTTAATGTTCAAAATATGAACATTGCTTTTGTAAGATGATGGGGTGTTGAGGAGGCTCAATAAGTAGTAATCCTCTTTCCCACCCAGGGTTTATTGTAACTGAAAAATAAGAAGAAAGGAGTAAAGGAATAAGCCAATGAAACTAAAACAAGATAATCCCTGAAAAAGGTGATGTTAGAATGTGACTTATGTATGCACACAGGTGGGCGTAAACACTGAACGCAGAATTAGACAAACTTTCTCAGTCTTCCCTGCCCAGGGGCTTCCAATGGAAGCAGGGCCTGATCCTTTATCACTAAGCTCCCAGAATGGCAGAGGGCAGTTGGGTGCATACTCTGTTTGTGGGGAGAATCACTTCCAAAAAGAAGAGGAGAGGCAGGAAATGAGCTATCCTTGCCCAGTCCTTCTTCCAGAATCACCAGTCTGATTAACTCACTCACTGAGAAGCAAAGAGATATGAGGAATGATGTACTGCAAGACTTTCTCCATATCCAATCAAAAACATGGGAGAGAAGCTCCTTGTCCCCAACATAGAGGCCCCGAGAGATGTAGCAGAAGAGGCATTTGACAGCATCCCCATAGTGAATGCAGTAACAAGTTGTCAAAGACTGATTCGTGCAGATTTCTTATAAGCTGTGATTGTAACACAACAACGCAACCCGATGAAAGTGATTCTGACAGAGCCTCAACAATAAAAGTAGAAAATGGGCATTTCCAAACAGAAAGCTTCATCATGCCACACTCTGATAAGTATAACGTTCACTTGGCTTGTTTGTTCTTCCTGTAATAACAAGAATAGACCCCTCAGCTTAGAATGAATGTGTTTCAACCAATTCATCCCACTATCAGAGACCCTCTTTGTAAGGCTGTATCATGGCTCCATGAACACAACATACTCGTGTGCCATTGATTATATTTTTTCTAATTGGAATGCCCTTTTCTAAGCTTTCCAATCTTAACCAGCTTTCAAAGCAATTCTAAGATTGCCTTCTTCATGAAGCCTTCCTTGGTTACTAAAGACCACGTTGACTTGTCTTATTACTTTTTTGAGAACTTAGTCTATATCAAAAATCTGGCTTATATAATTGTGTTGGTGTTGCTCATTCTTGTTTTACATGTATTATGTCTACTTAGCCAGGCTTTAAAAGGTAAAATATTTTGAACTTGAACTCTTCTATATTAGCTACATCTACCCCAGGACTGAGTATATGGTAGGTGATTAATAAATACTTCTCAAATGACAAATCAATCAGTCAAATTGCACACACTTCAGAAAAGAGATACAAAATAGGTACTTCAGAAAAGAGATACAAAATAGGTTTTAGAAGTCAAATGCTCCAAGGTCCAAATTAGGTATACTATCTTTCAAAATACTCAATTGAGGCTACAAGAAAATTGAGCCTTTTAAAGTAGGTTTACATACTTAATATTTCACCGTATATTAACATGTTGTTCCTATTCCCTCATATAAAATGATACGTATGCCTGAAGAACTGAGAGATTACTTGTAACAAAATGACTGCAGCAAAGTTTTTAAGTATGTGAGTTTCCGTGTTAGATTTGTATTTGAATCCCAACTCTTCCTAGTTGGGTAATCTTTCTTTTAATTTTGAAATATTTAACTTCCCAGTAAATCTGAAATAAATACACAATTAGCCCAGTAGCTTGCCACTGATATTATGTAGAGACATAGATACAGATATGCACACACACACTGCCCTTTAGGCAAACCATCTGAAAATAGGCTTTAGAGTTCATGACACTTAACATAACCATATCATCTTGAGTAAGTTAATTCAGCCTCTCTAAGTCTTCGTTTTCTCATATGTAAAAAAATGCATTCTTAATAGACTTACTGTGAAGGTTACATTTTTTAAAAATACTTCACATGAAGGTGTTATTCTTATTATTATTCTCATAAAATCTGTACTTTTCCTGTTATAGTGCAGTACTTATCACACTTGTAATTGTTCATTACATTGCCTTAAGCTACACTAAGGTTGTTGACTGGTGGCAATTTACTCACCATCTTACCTACAGCAAAAAGCATGCAGTCTGTCTAAGAGCCACAATTTAAAAGACAACACTTTAATTCCTACCTATAAGGGTCATTGTGATTTTCTTGTCGAATGCTTGAACACTAAGCATTTTAAGGATTAACAGGTAATTTGTGATTATTACAGAAAATGTTTCCAACAGCCAAAAATGAAGAAAGTAAAGCTCATACATCATCCTACCACCCACAAATTACCACTCATGGTTAATATTTTTGCATATCCTTTCAAACTTTATTAATACACAGGCTTTATAAGCATATCTACATGTATGCTTATTAACTGGGTCTTATCTTGTCCAAAGCACAAATACAAGTCACATAGCCCTTTCTTTGCCCCTCATGTGTCATAAAACCTGCAGCTTAATTGCTTCTCTATGATTTGCAGACTATAAGAAAACTACAGGCAGAGGATGCGTGTCCTATTTGCCTGGGAGTCCCTTGGGACATAGCACATGGTACTTACACAACTGACATTGTCTAGTGAAAATTAGATCCATTAAAAAAATTTTTAAAGAACACTTACAGAATGATGATTAGCATTTTGGAAAGACAACTTCTTGCAAATTGTACCATAATCCTTCCCATGAATTAAGACCTTGATACATTTTGAGAACTGTGTTTTGGGAGAAAGAAAAAGTGCAAACTTTGGACCCCTAGATTATGAGCTCTCCCTTTTTATACCAAAGCACCATTTTGTTGGGATTTTTATGTACTTAAAAATAAAAGACAGGCCTCTCAGAACATGATCTTGTGCCACCCTGAAGCATAGCACAGAATTAACGAGTATAACAGAAAAGTTATTTCAGCCAAAAGAAGATTTTTTAAATAGAGATGGGGTCTCACTGTGTTACCCAGACTGGTCTCGAACTTCTGGCCTCAAGCGACCCTCCCACCTCAGCCTCCGAAAGTGCTATGAGGCACCACGCCCAGTCCAAAGTATGATTTTTTGTATTTACAGCTTGTGGAGATGAGTATTCTATAGGGAATGGTGATATTGTAAACTTTCAAATGTAAAATATTTTAGTAGTTTTACTGAAGTTTTCAATCTGCCATTTAATATGAACTGATTTGATTCCTGGGAAAAAGTTCACTACCTGTTTATGCAGCCCCATAAACCCTGGATCCCTCTGAGGATGCTGCCCCTACCCCAGGTGGGCCTCATAGCTGATCCACATTGTTGAACTTTCCCAGTTAGTTGGGTAGCCTGATGCCTTGGAAAGATACCTGTTTTTATTTCTCCATTTTACAGAAATAGCCCAAGCCTTCTTATGATCCTGTTTCATCCAGTAATCTTCCTATTTCCACATGTTCTTTTTTTCTTCTTACTGTTATCTACATCATTTTATCTAATATGTACTCATCCTCGTGTTAGGTAGTTTGTGAGGTACCTGGCAACCAATTCTTTCTATGTCTTCTTTTTGATCCTGTGTACCTATCTCTTTTCAGATAAATGAAAAACTTAGTATATACAAAAGAATATATATACATGTTATGAAGTAAAATAATAAGCAAATATTAAGTATCTTTTTATTTGGAAAAATCTGATTTTGTTCCAGATTTAGCAGGTAGTATTATAATTAACAGTTAGTAAAATGGTGAGTTCAAGAGAGAGAGATGTCATTTATCTAAAATGTACTCACTCAAAAAACTACTCACAGTAAGGTATAGCATGCTCAGCTTGCTTGTAAAGTGTGTGTGTGTGTGTGTGTGTGTGTGTGTGTGTGTCATATAACAGATTTCTGCTTCCAACAATATGCCTGGTTAGGAGGTTCAAGGGGACATCCCTCCACAGAACAACTAAAGTTTGGAAGCAACACACTATTTGAAATATTGCTAGTCACATAGAAGTAGGAGCATTTTCCAAAAACGTACTCTCTTTAAAGAAAGTCACTTGGGCCAGAAGAGACAGCAGACATTCAGGACGAGCAGAATTCATGGAGGGAAGCAGTGCTGTCTGGAAACTGAGCCATTAGCCAGCCTTGGACCAATATGAGTCGCAGAACAACAGCCTGGTTCTGACATATAGAGTTTAGGTAGTCCCACGTTGATGGTGCTAACCACAGGAAAAAAAAAAAAAAAGGAAATCTACATAACGACTGCTCAAGTGTTCGGTTTAGGCACAAAGAACAGCTATCGATGAAGAGTAAGCAGGAAACTCACAATATATGTTGGCCAAACATACTTGAAAACAAGCCACTGTTGACTGAGGAAAGGAGAGGAAACAACAGATCCAGGGGCTGTAGATAATGTAATTGCAGCTATAGAATACAGAATGACTACCTACAAAACAATGAAAATAAATGATAAAATCAGATCACCCATCAAAAAGAAATTATTTAAAATGAAAGTTATATTTGAAATAAAACTCATACAAAGGAAACATCAAATGTTGAAATTAAAATCTCAATCAATGGGCTAAACTGAAAATAAAGCACAGTTGAAGAGAAGATTGATGAAACAGTACACACAGGCGCACACACAAGTGACCCAGAATAGAGCAGAGAGGACAGAGAGATGCAAAATATGGAGCTGTTAAGACGTATGGGAACTCGAATAATGAGGGCCAAGATGATTCTAATTAAAATTCCGGGAGAAAGAGATAGAAAACAAATAACAATACTGTGCCTGATCTAGAAAATAATCTAGTGAAATTAATTATAGGAATAAAATCCTTTGAGGCCGGGCACGGTGGCTCACGCCTATAATCCCAGCACTTGGGAGGCCAAGGCAGATGGATCACCTGAGGTCAGGAGTTTGAGACCGTCTGGCCAAAATGGTGATACCCCGTCTCTACTAAAAACACAAAAATTAGCCAGACATGGTGGCGCACGGCTGTAATCTCAGCTACTTGAGAGGCTAAGGCAGGAGAATCGCATGAATCCAGGAGGCAGAGGTTGCAGTGAGCTTAGATCATGCCACTGCACTCCAGCCTGGGCGACAGAGCGAGGTTCCTTCCATCTCAAAATAAAATAAAATAAAATAAAATAACTTAAAAATTAAATTAAAAAAATAAAAGCCTTTGAAATTTTGTCAATTAAGATACATAGTCACATGCTTTAAAGCTTTAAACATGCAATACTTCAGCTGAGGAGCATTTTACATTTTTTCAGAGATCATTCTCTGTGACTTGCAAAGTCCTAAAAATTACCTAATGGAGGCCGGGCACAGTGGCTCACGCCTGTAATCCCAGCACTTTGGGAGGCCAAGGCGGGCGGATCACATGGTGAAACTCAATGTCTACTAAAAATACAAAAATTAGCCAGGCGTGGTAGCATATGCCTGTAATCCCAGCTAGCTGGGAGGTTGAGGTAGGAAACGCTTGAACCTGGTAAACGGAGGTTGCAGTGAGCCGGGATTGCGCCACTGCACTCCAGCCTAGGGGACAGAGGGAGACTCCGTCTTAAAAAAGAAAGAAAGAAAGAAAGAAAATTACTTAATAGAATTCTAATATTTTTAGATTAAATAGGATTGGCAATCCCAAGAGTTGTTTTGGGTTTTCCTCCAAAATTTACTGTACAGATAGGTGATGGATTTAAAGGTCTCATAGTCAAAACCTTCAATGGGCACCTATCAATAGGTGGAGAAGAAGGAAGGGTGGTTATAGATAGAAAAGACAAAGGGAAGTGTAAATGCCATCAAAGCCGCTTTAGCATTTTATGCAGCAGTTCCAGAAAGAAATCTGGTGAAACTTTGTCTTCTACTAAAATTTTAAATGGCCTTGGAGCATTTAACAAATCTTTAAATTAAAATCTAACAACAGAAAAATTCTGCATATTTTTGTAGATTTAAAACAGCCCACATTTTTGTTACTCTTCACTAATCCTGTGAATGTACAGATCATATATTAGATTTATATTTAATATGCACAGGTATCATGTTTCATAACTCATCTCAATTAATCTTCCCCACCACCCAGTGATGTAGATGCTATTACTTCCCAGTTATTTTTAAAAATGAGGCTAAAGCTGAATGAGGTTAAGTATCTTTCCCGAAATTGCAAAGTTAGCAAAAAGAACATTTGTTAACATTTTAGGTTGTGTGATTTTTTTTTTAATGGTTATTGTGAAAATACTGTTCTTACGTGAACATTCAAAGCCAATCATTAGATGAAGTCACTTGGTGAAATCAGATGAAGATTTCTAGTTTCTAGATAACTTCCTCCCCATAAAGCTTTTCCTGAAGCTCCTGAAGTATTCAAATTAGCTTCCCTGCATTTTGCCACCTACGTGTTCCTCAAATCTCACTCTGATGAGGCTGTAATGAAATGAAAGAATGGAAAAGTGAGGCAGAAGCCAGGAGGAAGGGCAGCTCTGGGATTCTCTCAAAATAACAGTCATCAATAACCGAACTGCCTCTCATTAGCAGATAGGATATCAATCCTTATTGACTTTGCCTTTGTAGAAAATTCTGACGTGAGATTAGGGCTCTATTGATGTGGAAGCAAATAAAATATGACTCTAAGACTCTCGGGCCAGTGACAGATACCTTGCATGTGGTCCGGCATGCATCAGGCAATAGATTGCTATCTGAAATTGGGCAATAAATTGTTTCAAAAGAGATGAGTTTACTTTGAATTGTCAGGCACCTCACTAGCCAAAATAGCTGGTTTCAATAAGTGGAATTTGATGCAGGATCATCTCCATTCATTTTCATCTATGTTTCAAAGGTTACAGTCCCACTAAATAATATATCTCACAGCAAACACCAATGTTAATGTGATCGTTTCCTTCTGGGGTGACCTGATCCAAGTACCAGACAAAAAAACACCCATTGGGCACTAAAAGTAAATCCAGCATGAGGCAGAGTTCTTCCCTTTCATCTTCCACATTGGAATATTATTACAATTTTAATGATCTGCCTAGAATTTTTCATACACTCAGCTTCTTTTGAAGGAAGGACAGGAAACCTATTGAAACACACCAATCTCCTTGAAATGTCTATAGCTACAGAGCAGTGGGAATATATGCTTTGCTGTAAAGAAAGGAGAAAGAGTAAAGCAATCATAAATGTATCACTTTGATCTGTTATAGTATACTGCTTTTCCTTCAGAGAGAACAGGTATTTGTGTTCTAATATTATATTTTCAGTCACTACATTATTCTTTTAAGGTATTGAGAGTATCAAGAATTCCCCCCCAAAAAATTTCTGAGTATTATTTAATCTTTAGAACTTCGTGTGCAATCCAAAGCAATCATCTGATTTCCTTATAACTGGCCAAGCTGCTGTCACTTCTTCCTAAAGGGAAATTAAACGATTTTTTTAATGATTGAAACATCATTTACAAAGTTTGGAAGTCTTACTTATTTAAAATACAGGTTTTGGCAAAAAGCAGTTGGAAGTGCTAGGAGTTAAGGCAGGGATAATAGAGAAGGAACTAACCTTTGAGCAGTTACTATATACAAGGTGTCATGTTGGGTGCCTTCAAATGTTATCACATTGGAACTTCCCAGTAAGCCCTAACTCTCAGCTGTGTGGAAAGAAAATGTCCCAAACATCAACATCAAATAAGATTACTTGTCTGACAATCCATCAATTACCAAATTCATGTCACATTTTACTTTGCTCAACATTGGGATTATGATTTTTTTTAAGAGTCACTTTTCCCAGAGCTTCTTATTGTCCTCTTTCCAGTGATTAGTAAAACAAATCATTATCTTATCAATAAGATCACACAATTTTTTTTTTTTTACTTTTTTATGTTATTTTACTTTAAATTCTGGGATACATGAGCTGAACATGAAGGTTTGTTACATAGGTATACATGTGCCATGGTGATTTGCCGCACCCATCAACCCGTCATCTAGGTTTTAAGCCCCACATGCATTAGATATTTATCCTAATTCTCTCCCTCCCCTTGTCCCCCATGCCCTAATAGGCCCCAGTGTGTGATATTCCCCTCCCTGTGTCCATGTGTTCTCATTGTTCAGCTCCCACTTATGAGTGAGAACATGTGGTGTTTGGTTTTCTGTTCCTGTGTTAGTTTGCTGAAAATGATGGTTTCCAGCTTTATCCATGTCCCTGCAAAGGACATGAACTCATTCTTTTTTATGGCTACATAGTATTCCATGGTGTATATGTGCCACATTTTCTTTATCCAATCTATCACTGGTAGGCACTTGGCTTGGTTCCAAGTCTTTATTATTGTAAATAGTGCTGCAGTAAACATACGTGTGCATGTGTCTTTATAGTAGAATGATTTATAATCCTTTGGGTATATACCCAGTAATGGGATTGCTGGGTCAAATGGTATTTCTGGTTCTAGCTCCTTGAGGAATCACTACACTGTCTTCCACAATGGTTGAACTAATTTACACTCTAACCAACAGTGTAAAAGCATTCCTGTTTCTCCACATCCTCTCCAGCATCTGTTGTTTCCTGACTTTTTAATGATCGCCATTCTAACTGGCGTGAGATGGTATCTCATTGAAGATCACACAATTTCTTCACAACAATTTTTTTTTTTTTTTGAGATGGAGCCTCACTGTGTCACCCAGGTTGGAGTACCGTAGTGTGATCTGGGGTCACTGTGGCCTCCACCTTCTGAGCTCAAACTATTCTCATGCCTCAGCCTCCTGAGTAGCGGGGATTACAGGATCCTGCCACCACACCTGGCTAATTTTTTTTTTTTCTGTATTTTCAGTAGAGACTGGGCTTCACCATTTTGGCCAGGCTGGTCTCAAACTCCTAACCTCAAATGATCCACCCACCTCGGCCTCCCAAAGTGCTGGGATTACAGGCACGAGCCACTTCGCCTGGCCCTGACAATGAAATTCTGTAATACAATTTACTTTTTTTTTTAAAGACATTCTTTCTGGAATGTTGGGCTTCATGCTATAATTTGGATCATCCTAGGACTTTATCATATTACTAGACAAGTTTTAATATTTCTTGGATTCCATACCCTTCTTTTCTCATAGATTTATTTTTATTTCTTTAGATATATTCTCAAATAAATTTTTCATAAAGGATAAATGGGAGACAATTTTTTGTTTCTAGAAATGTTTTCTTGGACTGGAATAGAATTTTAGGATCAAATATTTCCCTTTATAACTTAAAGTAATTAAACTATTATTTTTTGTATCAAGTGATGTTGATTGGAAGTCTAAAACCAATATTATTTATTTTCCTTTATAGGTAAGAAGTTTTTCCTTTGAATAACTTTTTCTTCTTTGTATTCATCATCTTCTGAAATTCATCAGTGATATAGTTGGTGTAAGATGTTAAAAAATGTTATTCAACATGGCACTTCATAGTCCCTTTCAATCTTATCATTTATATATTTTGTCCATTCTGAGAAAAAATATTATTTTATCTTTTAGTCTCCTTTTTTCTCAATTTGCCCTTTTCGGTACTCCTTTTAAGATGTGTGCAGAAGCTCGTGGGTGGAGTCTCCATTTGTCTTAATTCATCTTTATTTCATCAATCTTATCTGTACTTACCAGGAACTTCTGCTTGTTCTCCGATAGCTCCCTTTCCATGGTGTCCTATTCTTAGTTTCGGTGCCTTCTTCACTTTTTTGGGAAAGTAAGCAGATTAAAGTGGATTGAGAAGGATGCCGATAGAAAGAAGATTGAGGCTATCAATTTGGATCTTTTATTTTTGCAGTTTTTCTGTGAACAATGGTAGAAAAATAAAATGGTAGCTAGAATTTGTAACCAAGTTAATGTGTTTTGTTTTGATTTTTTCACCCATAACAGGAAAGATTTGTGCATTTTTGAAAGCCAGTAGAAGGAATTAAGAGTCCTTAGAGTACGTGGATTCTGTCCCTCACCACACACACGTATACCCAGGGCTAGTATTTGGCCATTGCACAGGAGTACAGTCGAAACAATGATAAAATATCAAGTTACTTCCTTAATCATTGGAAAAGGCCATTGTCATAACTCCGCTGAGGGCTACACAACATGCCGGCTTCCCCGAAGCTGCCCCAGCATCTTCCCTGAGAACATCATAACGTTTCCTCAATTTAGAAGCTAAACGGTTATTCCTGGAACATCAGAGGGACTCCAGGGCTCTGTTCTCATGCTAAAGGAGGACTCCTTTTTGACGATTGAGTACCTATGCACATCAACTTCCCAAATTTCCACCTCCTGCACATAGATTCCCTTCAAGAACCATAGAAGTCTGGCTCAAGGAGTTTGGGATTGGCCCCACCAGGAGGCCACGCTCACACTGACCAGCATGCTGACCTGCCACCCACACCCATCATGGCTTTTACATGCTGCTTCCATCCTACATATGCCCAGCCAGAGCAGGCCTGTCCCCACTATGTGGGGAAGGGAGGCATCCCAAGTAGCAATCCTGGTAGCCTTCAAGGAAATGCCAAGTGCTTACTTGGCCCTCCCAAAGATATGACCAACTCCCACCAGCCAGGTATCACCCTTGGAAGATTGCAGTGGGACCCATATCTCTGTAGGACTTTCACTCTGAGAGCTCAGAGGAAATGAGGGAAGAGCAAATATACGGGTAATGTAGCTGCTGTACAAAGTGGCTGGGTGCTTGAGCTCTGGTGGCCTGGCTTCCAGAAGAAAAAATGGAAGGGGCCTGAGGGCAATCTGGGGTTTTAAAAAAAATAGCTGAGATGTATGTGGGCCCCTCTGTCCACCATCTCCATTGAATTTCACCTCCAGTTAGTGGTATGAGTTCATTGAAATTGATCAAATGCCCACTAGTCACAAGGTTTGAAGGATTTTTTTTTTTCAGTACAAATGACAGCATGTCTGAAGCACATAACAAAAATTTGAAAAGAAAAAGGCCAGATATACACATACTATATTTCAGTAACATAAAATTCTAAAACAGAAATAAATTATGGTGAGAAATTATATGGAAATGAGTGGCAAAACTATAAAGAAATACAAGTAAGAGATTATTACAAAGTCCAGAGAGTGGTTGCCTCTATGTGGGGAGAGGTATCAAGTGGTTTCTAATCATGTTCTATTTTTTGACCTAGGTAGTGGTTTCCTGGATATTTACTACATAATAGTTATTAAATTATACCCATATGTTTATGCATTTTTGTATGTACAATACATTAAACAATTTTTAAAAAGAAAAAATCAATGGTATTGGTTAGAAAAGTATTTTTGGTATAGAATAATATATAAAACATCTTGAGGTTTCCACCTTCTATCTATTGAAGAACAGCCATTGAAAGAAACAACCATGGCAGTGAGCTGCCCTGTGGCTGTGTGCTATCCATGGCACAGATACAATAGACATAACCTCAAGCATATAGATAACACTAGAATGTAGTAAAACCATTAAGAAGTGATAAGCCTTGAGTATTTATTACCTGTTTTTTTAAAATAAGTTGTTTAATTACAAGTTCATATAATTTAATGTTTAATTATGTCAATGTTTTACAACCAGTTCACAAAACTCCTGAAAAGTGAACAAGTGACTGGTAAGCCAGTGCAAGCCAGCTTCAGCACCCTCTAGCTATGGCCCTCAACGAGGGCCTTAATTAGGGTGAGACGAATATAAGCAAACCACAATCTGGTCTGGAACACCAAGTACATATGGGGCACAAGTGACTTATGCATTTAGCAATTGCATAGCACTTAAAAAGATACCAGATGCTGGTCTAAGCACTATACAAATGTTCACTCCAATGTACATGGCTTTGCCTGAACCAGATGCATGCAATGGAACTAACTACTCAAGGTCATTAAAGGTGGATGGTGTCTCAAGTTTAACAAGAAATGGGTCAGCCAGGCACAGTAGCTCATGTCTGTAATTCAATGCTCTGGGAGGCCGAGATGGGAGGATCACCTGAGGCCAGCCTGGGGAACAGAGTAAAACCTTGTCTTTATATTAAAAAAAAAAAGAAAAAAGAAAAAAAAGTGGATGAAGACTTACATCCCAACACTTATACTGTGCTGGTAGGAATGCAAATTAGTACAACTTCTATGAGAGTCCTTAATGAACTAAAAGTAGAACTACCATTTGATCCAGCAATCCCACTACTGGGTCTAACCAAAGGAAAAAAAACATTATGTGAAAAAGACACATGCACACTTATGTTTAGAGCAGCACAATTTCCAATTGCAAAGAAATGGAACCAACCTAAATGCCCATCAATCAATGAGTGAATAAAGAAATTGTGGTGTATACACAACATGGAATACTACTCGGCCATAAAAAAGAATGAAATAGTGTCTTTTCCAGCAACTTGGATGGAGCTGGAGGCCATTATTCTAAGTGAAGTAACTCAGGAATGGAAAACCAAATACCATATGTTCTCACTCATAAGTGGGAGCTAAGCTATGAGAACACAAAGATATATAGAGTGGTATAATGGACATTGGAGACTCAGAAGGGAGACGTTGAGAGAGGGCTAAGGGATAAAAAACTGCAAATTAGGTACAATGTACACTACTTGGGTGACAGGTGCACCAAAATCTCAGAATTCACTACTATAGCATTCATCCAGATAACCAAAACCCACTTGTGCCCCAAAAGCTATTGAAATAAAAAAATAAAAGTCTTACATCCTGGCCAAGGGCAGAGAAAATTTAGCACTGTGGTCAGAAATGGCTATGACTGGGATTCACTCCCAAGCATGGCCCCTAGTTAAGCCCACACAGAGTTAATTAAAGGATCCAGTTGGGCATGGGGGGGGAAAGGGTCACCTAAAAGGAATTTTTAAAAGTAAACCAAGGAGAATGGAGAAGGAGTAGTTAATTGTCTTTATGAAAGACTAAGAACACTGAGACAATTAAATTTGAGGAGTAAAGGGTAATTAAGGACAAGTAGGGCTATCTGGATTGCTTTGGAGACCAATTAATAGCCTTAAAACCACATGAAACTCTAAAGAGTTTCATACACAACCTAAAAAACAAGCATCAAGGAAAAAAAACTGCCATTTATTTTATGAATAAAATAAAAACTAATGAATAAAATTTCCTTCAACTGTTGTTAAAAATATGTCTTTTGAAAGACCTGATACTATAGTATGATGTAGACACCATACGAATTTCATGCAGACATGAATAAATGGTATAAAAAGTTGGGAGCTCTATTCAATATAATGAATATAATATAAAAACATTTTTAATTATTGTAAAATTTTAAATAATACTTATGGCTTCCTGCACCTGCCAGGCCCTAGAATTCTAGACCTAGGTGATGATGATTGATTTCTTTTTAAACAGAAAGGAATAAATACCAGGAATACAATGCAAGAAGCTACAGATTTTGAGAACTAACTGGACACAGGTGTCAAATGATAGGTTTTGGTCAAATTCTAGAAGCTATTGCCACATTTTATACTGAGCTAAGCTGTGCCTGGGATTCACTCCCAAGCATGGCCCCTAGTAAATCCCACACAAGAGTTAATTAAAAGATCCAGTTGGATCCTGGTCAGTATTTTACTGAAATGTCACACTAATTTAAAATGAGAAATCCATGGGAGATATTTTATTTTTCTGTTCCAATCATAAATTCACTTACAGATTTAACTAAGACTTTCCTTAAATTTTCCATTATTGTTATCTATGTATAGTAGCCGAATGACATTTATATTAAATTATATTCATTTTATTTGTATTTGTGATTTCTCAAGGGCCCATTTTGAGTTTAATATTATATAAGACAGAAGAGAAGACCTAGTCCATGCCCTGGAGCTTTTGTAATCTCAGCATGATAGACAGAACTGTAATGGTCTGACCAATAAAATTCAGGGATGATTGAGTTACTACCCTGGCCCTAGTTTGCTCTAGGAATTCTTCCAATTATATACAGAACCATCGGACTAAAGGAAAACTGGCAGTTTGAGAAGATGGATGCTTAATGCCTTTACCACCACCTCCCTCTAAATCTCTCCTGGGGAACTAGGGGAGGAGAATGGAGAAAGGCAAAGTTATCCTACTGTTTGGGCAGTGTGAGGTGGCATTTTTGCTTTCCACAGTAAGCCTGCCACATGTATTTATAGTAATGCACTAATGCAAACAGGAATTGAAGCTCAGGGAGCTTTCTTTTAGCCTGTCCCAAAATTAAAGCTCTAAGTAGTAGAAAGGTTATTGTTTGGGTAAGATCTAGAAGTCAAGATATTAACCTGGTTGGATGCCCAAGAAGGATCTATCAAAACTCCCACAATGCCTCATGGTGATGGAGACAGCAGACACACCCAACACTCTCCTCACCTGTTAGCATTCCTTTCTAAGTCCAAACAAAATATGAAAGGGCTGGCACCTGTTCTCGTAACCTGAAAACCTATCCATAAATATTCAATCTTACTTTCCTGAAACATCAAGAAAGTCATAGCCTCCAAGAAAATCCTTTAGGCACAAACAAATTTTTCATCAGCAAAACAGTTCACAGAAGATGTCTCCCTTACATCTTTCCAAGCTTATCATTTTATAATCCTGTGAGCTGACCTCACCTGGCACTTCTCACCCCTTACAATCTCGCATGATCTCCGAGTCCTACCACGCTCTTGTGCTCTTTAAAATAATAATGAACTGAGAGATGACCCCGTGAGTGACTGCTCTTCAGAGCCCCTCCCACTCCTTTTGGAATTTCAGTCTCCATGGAATGACCCCAAGTTGCATCATTATCCCTCTCCTTTCTCCTAGCATGCTGAGAAAGCAAAGAACCAGGGTAAAGACAGGGGTCTGAGTCTGGGGAAGGAAAGTATCAGCACGGCTGCTCTCTTGCCCCCTTTTTCCGCCCTGGTACAGCTAAGAGAGGCAGAGAAGGGGACAACAGAGGTGGGTTTTCAAAGACTGCCCCAGCCACATCCCCTAGGGAGTGGCCAGAGCCTTCGAGCTCTGCTTTTGTTGCCCATAATGTGTTAAACAGTCATCAACTGTCCAACCTCCCCTTTATCCCGACCCCCAGCGAAGGAAGGAAATAATACGTTCTACTTTAAACAAAATCGGAATTTAGAGTTGAAATAATTTTGCTTGTAGCCTCTCAGTTAAGTGTTATTTCCTGCTGGAGTGAACCCTCTAACCTCTGTGCTATCTTTATCATGTCAGCTTCCTAGCATTTAATTTTTTTTTCCCTTGGGAGGGGTGGAAAACTAATGAATAAAATTACAGGTTGCTATCTCTCTCAGGAGACTGCAAATAAACCATGGTAGAAAGAAGTCCATAATTTTTGGAGCTAAAAATAATTATACCAATTGTATTGGCCGTATCACAGTTTTGTGTTGCATCTCTCAGATCTGGAGGACTATTACGATATTTCCAACAGTTCTTTTCAATTGACTGATGGACTCATGAGCATGGCAGGCCTAAGGGACCTCATGAATAAAGGATTATTATTTAAAAAAAAAAAAAAAACTCATTTCTGCACCAGGGCTTAAGAACACATGCAGTGACATGAATCAGTGCTGAAATTTTAAACCTTTAATTGACTTTTTATGGGTCTGTACACTGAATATTAAACACAAGGATTTATTTACATTATATTTCCAAACTAATTTTGCATTCTGTTTTGTTCAGTAACTTTATCTTTTTGTTTTTGAATTTGTTTTCAGCTATCTGACTTTATTGCGTTGTTTTAGACCAATCTACCACATCACCCAAACCTGCTGTTTCACTCTGTGTCATCTTGCTGCATGCTGACATGGTTATGCATACACTGTACATTTTCAATTATCTGGGGTAGTGCGTGATCGGGAGGGCACAGATAAGCAAAGCCCATGGATAATGGTAAAATCTCTCTGTAACCAGTACTTTATTTTCAAGATTTTTCCCCACCATTTCACAAAATCTGCTAGGAAAATCAGTTGGATTTCCAATTTCTCCTCCAGACCATGCTAACCCATTGGCAAAATTGATAAGAATAATAAGCAATAAATGATTAGATGACGATAACGGGAGAATTATAATTGATATACAAACCTGCTCTCCAATGCAGTAATAAGAGTTGGCTCAATCTCAATATGCCCTTTTTCTTATTTCTTTACAGTCTCTGGAGGAGGAGGGAAATCCAATTTGACCCTAAATTGTGCTTTTTGTAAGGCACATGTTGGCCTGATTGGGGCCCAGGAAGAGGGTAGCAAGGTGACTTTGGTACTGCGAAGCAGTGTTACTTCCCTAGATGTCACAGCCAGTCCACCTTGTTCAGCTTGGTGGGCAGCCAATACCTCGGCGTACTATTTACAATATTATATCAGATATCAATGAGAGCAGCCAGTGTAGAAAAAAAGGAAAGGAATTGAACATCACAAGAAAGCTGAAAGAACCTGAGTCTGTGTCTGCATGAGATCAGAGGTGAATCAGAGTGGATAAAAACCAGGAAAACATAATCATGCTTAATGTAGCCTACGGGCTACTTTCTGACTAGGCTTGAAAATCCTGGAGAAAGAAGAACTAGAGATATGTTTGGGATTCCATATTTTTATTTTAAAGATGTAGTTATTGTGTATGTGTGTGCTTGATTTTTTTTTTTTTAATTCTTGTGGCTCAATATGCTTCCTCTTTCCCCACTTCTAGGATCTCTCATTTTTCCCATGTTCTCAGATAATTTGTCTTGGTCTATGTAACAGAAGTCGGCTGGAGTGTTATACTTTGTCTGATAAAACACTGGGATGATCTGTCCATATCAAATCAGCACAAAGTTGTAAAATACCCAAACAATAGTCTCAGAAACACCAAAAATTGCTCAGAAAATAGACTCTAATAAGTCTGTTTTCTAAACAAGAGAATGAATTCATATAAGATGATACAATTAAAAGGAAATGCATTCCCTTTCTCACCCTGCCAACTATTCCCCCTCTCCCTGTGGAGCAGCATATACATTTTATATTTAGTGAAAGAAGGAGCTGGTATAGTAATGGCTGCATGCCACCCTGAAATGCTGCCTAGCAGCCTGGCAGAGTGGGAATTTACTTGTTCTGCTTTGTAGACACAGTTCGTTCCTGTCAGAAGTAGTTGAAACCACATTCAGTGATCTTGAAGAATCTAGGGGAAAAGGAAAAGGGCTTTGAAACTGGAGACAGGAAACAAAAAAACATTTTTTCCAAATGCAAGAGGAAGCTGGATGCTGCAAAATGCAAACTGGCAAGTGTATTTGTTAGGACCTATTTAGCCATCGATAACAGAAAGCAGCCCGGGCTTCTCAAACAGATAGTGGGAAATTCATTGTCAAGTAGACCTGAAACTAAATTCCAATCTAAATATGTTCAAATCTCAGTTTTGCAGCTTCCTAACTCTATGACTTTTGGGCAATTACTTAATTTCTCTAAGACTACAAAATGAAGATCATGGTGGTACCTAGCGTGTGGGTTTATTGTGCAGGTTAAATGAAATGATGCCTGTAAAGTACTTAGCAAAGGAGCTGATGTATTATAAATGGCAACTATCATAATTGTTATGAAAAGACCCATGTGGGGTCATGAATGTTGTATGCAAATGTATAAAGAACGGTCTTATGGAAGAAAGATTTGTTCCATATGGTCTTTATGGGTAGAACTTAGAAGAAAGATTTCAGCATAGTCTGTAGAAAATCAGTTGAACAATCTAGGCTACATAAGATGAGAATGATTTGTCTCAAGAGATGGGAAGCTTCTGCCAATCCCTAGGGCAAGATAAATATCAGCCAGGCAACTTGGTGGGATGTAAAATTTCTCCAGCATTTGGACTCCAGTAGTCCAAAGATGTTTGGACTACGAGACAGCTATTAGGATTCTTTCAAACCTATGAGCTCCTATGATTCTATTATTTCTTTCTCGGCAATTTGCAGTCGAAATGAAAAGAAAATTAAGCTTTAGGAATGGCGGAAAGGAGAATTAAAGCAGACTATTGCTCTATACTTATTGAATGGCCACTGTTTCTCTAGAAAAGATGTGGCCATCATTACTATAGATGACAATAGTTTTCAGTCCTCCAGAAAGTGGGCCAAGACAGATTATAAGGGAATTTGAACACAAGATCCTTGGTTCCTTTCTAAGGACAATATTTGCATATAAGCCTCTAATATAACAAGAATGCATATTCATTCATTTCCTGATTTATGCAAGAAAAAGTTATTAGGCACCAATTATGCACCAGGAGCTAGGGATACAACAATTAACACAATGGGTACAACTCCTGCATCCATGGAACTCATGGTTATTCATTTTGCAGTCTGTAAAATTGTACTTGTTATTTCCAGTAATTTACTATATATAAGTGACTACTTTATAACAGGTTTCAAAACAACCCTTTCTGTCCCTCCTGATACTTAGTTTGCTATTATATCATGCAAAATTGGTACTCTGGCCACACTGAACAGAAAATGTGTCCATTGAGTGGCCTCAAGCATATATTCCAAGAATATTGGTGTGTTTTTAGAGCCACTTATTATTCCATGTAACTACAGACTATTGCTAAATTCTGCTGTTTTTAGAAAAAATTCTCACTATTGAGTCTAGGCTCTTTATTTTACATGGCACAGTTGCACAGTTCCATTTAGAATTAACTAGAAAGCTTATGGCTAACCTACTCTGTGGAACTATACCCAAAACTATATGAAACATATATATGCTGGAACTGGGAGAGCAAAACTGTAAATATTTATGTAATAACCCCTGCTTAGAATCAGATTCTAAATAGTGCCTCATCTTGGTGATCAAGGATACAGAATCTTAGAACAGCAAGAGTTTTTCAGTTCAGATTACAACAACAACAACAAAAAAAGATCTTCACACATCTGCTTATCCAAGGTCCCAGCTATTTTTATCCTAGTATGGGCTCTAGCTTTATCTTGAACTATTCAAAGCCCAGAGGAAAGCTAGAAAGTTTCAATGGGTAAACCATTATTTTTCCTGCTTCTATTAGTAAAAAAGAAAAGGAAAATATTCCAGTTACCAAGAAATCTAGAGAGTAAAGAATTCTTTTTGAAAAATACAGTAGTCATCACCGATAGAGTGAATCATCTGTGAACCTCCCATTACTGCTAATGACTGTCACTCTATTTCAGGATTGTAGTGGAAGTAAGGCAGCTAGGACTGCATCCATAGTCACGAAACTATTTCCTCTCAGATAGTGGATCTTGGACCAGAGAAAAAACATTTATATGCCATCTTATGACTCAGTTCTAAGACCAAAGGTGTGCCTCTTGTAGTGCATACAGTGGCTCTCCTATGCCAGAGGAACAGCCTCAGAAGGCACGGGGTAGTGACACTCAGCTTGCCACCCCATCACTTGGAGCAGAGGAGTCCCTTTATCCCTTCAGCACAGTGGATAAAGTCTATCACTGCACAGTGTTTTAAACTTCCCTGGGGTCCTTGTTATACACACAAATTCTCAAGCTCCACCTAAAACCACTGCATCAGAATCTCCAAGTGAGGGGTCTGGAAAGTTAAATATTTAATAAGTGCCCCTGGTAATTCCTATCTGCAAGGAGGCTAGGGAAACATCACGGAAGATGTCAAAGCTCTGTTTGTTATTCTCCATTGAATCTCCTGGGCTCTAATCAATTTGGTGGCATGAGCAGTACCTTGTCATCCAGCTTGCAGAGGTACCAAAAACCCTTCATCTTAGCCATCACATTCAACAGTGCAACTTGCATGTCACCAAATGTCTATGATACAAGCCAAATTATATAATTTAGGAGTATAAAGAAATAGTGGTTCATAAGAGTTGTTTCCATTACGTCAGTGTTTTTGGAGTAAAACGTCAAACCAAATGCTTTAGTTGACATAGTATTTGAAAACCACTTTCAGTATACCACTCCTCTGAAAAAAGAAAAAAAATCTGCATCAAATTGTAAATCCAATAGAAACATAAGCATGTAAAACCCCCATCTAAGATTAAACCTTGATATTAACTTATTTTCCATGTAGGGTGACAATTTTACTTTTCTAACCATATCCTACTTGGAGTTCATGATTATTTCAAAAATTTCCTGATGAACAAATACTATTTATAATGTTATATAAGGTGAATTAATTTTATTTTTATCTTAAAGGAAAGTTAATCAAAATAAAATTTTATCAGAAAGCAAAGGTTATTAAAAGTTAGTTTTGGCTGGGCATGATGGCTCATGCCTATAATCCCAGCACTTTGGGAGTCCAAGCCCGGTGGATCACTTGAGGCCAGGAGTTTGAGAACAGCCTGGGAAACATGGTGAAACCCTGTCTCTACAAAAAAATACAAAAAGTAGCCAGGTGTGGTGGTGCACTCAAGAGGCTTAGGATGGGAGAATCACTTGAGCCCAGGGGGTGGAGGTTGCAGTGAGCTGAGATCATGCCACTGCTCTCCAGTCTGGGCAACAGAGTGAGACAGAGACTGTTTAAGCAGAACCTAACTTTTTTGTTAGTTACAGTCCCCCCGAAACTAGGGGAAGAGTACTTTGAAATGGCCCCAGATAAATCCCAGTGTTCCATGTGTCTAGTTGTGACCATTTGATTAAGTTCTATTCAGTGGGATATAAGCAAAAATAATGAGCCTTGCCCTCAAAACATTTGAGCAGGAGTCCCTTGACACCTTTGCACAGCCCACTGGCTAAGACAGGCAGCCAGCTTGGACTCACATATGGAGGCTATAGGTTAAGAAAAGTAAAGTGACCTCCTGGTCCAAGACATTTAAGTTTATATGTGAGAAGGAAAAACCAACAGAAATCACTATTTTGTTTAAGGCATTATAATTTTTTAAGCCACTTTGAGTATTTTTGCTAGAGCAGCCTGGCCTCTACCCTCACTAATACATTACTATAAACACACACAAAAATTCCGTGAAAAAAGGGAAGTATTATGCCAAAATAAGAAGAAATTTGGAAAAGGTATTAACTAAAACTAACCACTTTTCAATACATATTAACCCTAATTAGATTTCAGGTTTTTACTTCCATTTTTTTTAATCAATGGACTATTTTTGAAGTAATTGTCAATTCTTCTAACCTATTTTTTATTTTTAATTTCTGCAGGTACACAGTAGGTATATATATTTATGGGGTATATGAGATATTTTGTTACTGGCATACAATGTGTAATAATCTCATCAGGATAAATGAGGTATCCATATCTTCAAGCATTATCCTTTGTGTTACAATCAAATTATATTCTTTTAGTTATTTTTAAATGTACAATTAAATTATTATTGACTATAGTCACTCCGTTGTGCTATCAAATACTAGCTCTTATGAATTCTTTCTAACAATTTTTCTCACTCAACCCCCCCACTACCCTTCCCAGCCTCTGCAAATTATCATTCTACTTTCTATCTCCATGAGTTCAATTGTTTTAATTTTTAGTTCCCACCAAAAAAAAAAAAAGAAAAGAAAAGTAAAAAAGAAAACGTGAAGTTTCTCTTTCTGTGCCTGGCTTATTTCAGTTAACAAAATGACCGTCAGTTCCATCCATGTTGTTGCAAATGACAGGATCTCATCCTTTTTTATGGCTGAATAGCACTCCATTGTGTATGTGTACATTTTCTTCATTCCTTCATCAGTTAACGGACACTTAGGTTGCTTACAAATCTTGGCTATTGTGAATTATACTGCAATATACATGGCAGTACAGATATCTCTTTGATACAGTGATTTCCTTTCTTTTGGGTATATAACTGGCAGTGAGATTGCTAGATCATATGGTAGCTGTATTTATAGTTTTTTGAAGAACCTCCAAACTGTTCTTCATAGTGGTTTGACTAATTTACATTCTCATCAACAGTGTACAAGGGGCCTGGGTGAGGTGGCTCACACCTGTAATCCCAGCATTTTGGGAAGCCAAGGCAGGAAGGTCACCAGAGGTCAGGAGTTCAAGACCAGTCTGGCCAACATGGTGAAATCCCATCTGTACTAAAAATACAAAATTAGCCAGGTGTGGTGGTGCATGCCTGTAATCCCAGCTACTCGGGAGGCTGAGGCAGGAGAATCACCTGAACCCAGGAGACGGAGGTTGCCGTGAGTCAAGATTCAAGATCGTGCCACTGCACTCCAGCCTGGGCAACAAAGACTCCATTTAAAAAAAAAAAAAACAAAAACAAAAAACCACAGTGTGCAAGGGTTCCCTTTTTTCCACATTCTTGCCAGCATTTGTTATTGCCTGTCTTTTGGATAAGAGCCATTTATTTTAACTGGAGTGAGATGATATCTCACTGTAGTTTTGATTTGCATTTTTCTGATGATCACTGATGTTGAGCACATTTTTATATATCTGTTTGCCATTTGTATGTCTTCTTTTCAGAAATGTCTATTCAGATTTTTTTGCCCATCTTTTGATCAGATGATTTGATATTTTTCCCTATAGAGTTTGAGCTCCTCTTATATTCTGGTTATTAATCCCTTGTCAGATGGGTAGTTTGCAAATATTTTCTCCCATTCTGTGGGTTGTCTCTTCACATTGTTGGTTGCTTCCTTTGCTGTGCAGAAGTTCTTTAACTTGATGTGACCCCATTTGTCCATTTTTGCTTTAGTTGTCTGTGCTTGTGGGTTGTTACTCGGGAATCTTTCCCCACTCCAATGTCCTGGAGAGTTTCCCCAATGTTTTCTTTTAGTAGTTTCATAGTTTGAGGTCTTAAAGTCCTTAATCCATTTTGATTTGATTTTTGTGTTCGGTGAGGGATAAGGATCTAGGTTCCTTCTTCTGCATATGGATATACAGTTTTCCCAGCACCATTTATTGAAGAGACTGTCCATTTCCCAATGTATGTTCTTGGCACCTTCGTCAAAAATAAGTGCACTGTAGATGCACAGATTTCTTTCTGGGTTCTGCATTCTGTTCTATTGTTCTGTATGTCTGTTTTTATGCCGTATCATGATGTTTACTATAGCTCTATAGAATAATTTGAAGTCAGGTAATGCAATTCCTCTAGTTTTGTTCTTTTTGCTTAAGATAGCTTTGGATATTCTG